>NC_000005.10:106984807-107609807 GCF_000001405.40 Homo sapiens | reverse complement strand
CGGGCAGGGGCACGGTGGCTGGAGGAGGGCTAAGGTGGAAGGCACAAGGACTGTGTGTTTGGAGGCCTGTGGCCTTGGGAAGCATGGCTAGTATGGTGCAGGTAAATTTAGGAAGAAACAATTTTAGCAGAGATCCGTTTTCCCTGCATAACACTGTGGATGGAGTGGTGGACGCAGGGTGAGGCGACTTTGGTGGTGCAGCCTCCAGCTCTCACGTGGGCTCAGCGGCAATTTTTCTTCCCTGTTTTTGCATGGATCAGCATTGGGTACACTTGCCGTGTTTTAAGACCTCTTCTGCTTAGGAATTATTTTTCTGATTTTGACGTGGATCTACTACTCCTGCCGCTAATGTTAATAACCAGGAGAGAAAGATCAAAGGAGGCCAAGTCACGGGAAGGCAGGAGGAGGGCTGGCATGGCAGACGGTTAGCTTTAATTACCAGTCTTATAGGTAATTTTAATAATGACAGATTTTAGTTGTTGCTTAAGTGAATGGAAATTATTGATAGTAAATTCTCATTGCTTTTGTTTCTTTGTGTGATATTGGATGCTGGGGTAGAAACTGTACCCAACCATACATGATAACAACCAAGTGCGTTTTATTAGAAATGTAGAGAGGATACCCTTTTAATTACATTGTATAATTTTAGTTGGTCTTCTTCCTATTTCCTTCTTACTTAATTTAACAGCCACTTGATGATTTGAGATTTTTTCTTTTATAAATTATTGTAGCTGTATATGTATGTGTATGGAATATGCAAGGCCCATGTTTTGCAGGAAGAACTATAACACTCAGAATTCAGTAGATGAAGAGAGCAACCAGGAAGTTTTGTAGTGCTCCATTTATTGAATATATCACAATTAGAAAGCCACTATTTAGGGTTTAATGAAAAAGCCTAGAGCCCTCCCAATTCTAGTAAAGTGTTCTGTTGGCTGGGTATTTGGACATTCACAGAAACTGATCTCTTTATTCAGCTTCTGGAATAAACCGAGCGTTGGGACCAGCCTGCTTGGGGCCATCATTAATGCCATTGTGGATAAAGGGTGAAGGCTGTGGCCACATGCAGCTCTGCTGACACTTTGTGAAAGGTGAGCCCAGCCATGAAGTCGTGGGTGTGTCTTGCCCAGTAGGAAGATAAAGCACAGCCATGAAGTTATAGTTGACTTGGTGCCTCCATCTCCTGCTTTAAGGGGCACCTCTCTTGGGAGCTCAGGACCTTGCTGCTGGTGGCCTCCCGGCACCATGACATGCAGGGGACAAAGGGAATATTTTGCAAAGAACATATTCAGCTGAGATAGGCAGGCAGAAAGATCTGTCTACATGGGACATAACATTTGAAAGTGTCTGCATGAACAAGAAGGAAAACTAGAGTTTGAGCAGTGAATTTTTACGATGAATGAGGCTTAACATTTTAAGTTGTGTATGAGACTGTGGACCACAGCATGGGAATCTGTCTTCATTTTGTTGCATCGATGGCTACATCAAGTCTCCTAACACGGTTGCTCAAAAGGAGGTACAATGTGAATCACAGAATGGCGGAGCCATTTGGGGACTGAACTGAAAAGCAAGCATTCTGAGCAGCAAACAAGACACCTAGAGGCCGGCATCTGTCATTTAGCTTTTGAAGCCTTTGCTTCAGGGGAAGTTACACATTTCTGTATGATAAGTACAACTCATGCTTCAGAATTAATTGCAGCAGCAGTGATGTAACATTGCCAGCCCTCTTCAGAGAATAACTCAGTCTGTGTTCGTTTTGACGTTGCTGAACGTTGTTTTCCTCATATGGTGCTGAATTTTAAAAATTTCCATGAAATTTGCAAGCAGATGGAGAGTAGATCGCTTGGACTACCAGGCTCTGACAGCTTATCTGCATTTTATTGTGAAGGTGGCAGCTTTGGAAGGTTATGAGAGAAGTGTTAGGGGGAGGAGGAAATGCTGAAGGATGTAATAGGTTTGTCTGGTCCAGGTCTTTTTATAGATGTGGGTCATGCACCGTAAGCAAGGTGAGGCCCTTTGTGACACTGAAGATTTATTTGTTTTTTGCTTTCCTCCCTCCTATGGTCATACACTCCCTCCTTCCTCTCCCCCTCCACTCCTCACAGCAAGTTTGGAAGAAACTGTGTTGAGAGGTGAAGGAGAAAAAGAAGACCAACTTTGAATTTTTAGCTGAAAAGATACAAGTTCAGCTACCAAATATCATACATAGTCTATGTCATGATGAGTATTGATTTAAACAGTAGCAAAATATTTTTAAAAGTCACTTGTAATATAGGTTAGTAAAATCTGAAATCTGTGAAAAAAAATATAATTCGTTTTAAAGGTTTGTACCTGAAATGGCCAGAAAGCAAACTAGACAGTGTTGTCTTAAAACAGGTTTTTTAAGGTATTGATTAACTGGGCTCAAACTCTACTGCAAATGTTTGAAGAAGGAAAAGAAATGTGTGCAGTGCCCTCTCTAGCAGGCAGCGAGTTAGCCTACTCGCCGTTTTATTTAAGTGTGTGCGAGTGTGCTTCCCACCCGGGGTGGGAGAAGGATCATAAACCTCCACCATTTTCTATTCTAATGTATCAAATTGTGTTATTAGTCATAGCAGTCTGGTTCAGAAATGTTTTCATTTGTATTTGCAGACAATCTCTTTTAGGATATACACTTCATATTGGCTTTCACTGCAGTGGCAGATTTTTAGCATTTTAAACACAACTTTGAAACTCAAGGCTAATGGCAGAGTGACCATATTCATGTTTTTGTTTCAATTGTTTACCTATTATTAATATAGTTATATTAGATCTCTGTACCTTTGAGAAAGATTGGATAGAGAAACAAAGAAAATATCAATCCCCTTAGGATAGGAGAATACAGATTTGTGAAAGAAGGGGTAAGAAGTATTTTAAAAAGAAATTAACAATGGAGAGAAAAAAATTAGGGCGCTGTTCCTGGCATCAGCAAACTCCAGGAGAAACCCTTTTCTATTCATTGATCTGTAAAGTCTGTATTTAAAGGATATCAGAGTGCATTGTTCACGGAGAGAGGGGAAAAGATGGGAACTAATATTTATAGAGCGCCTACTACAGCTGTGATATTTTGTAGCCCTATGAGGCAGGAATTATCATCTTGATTTTATGGAAGAGGAAATTGAAGTTTTAGAGATATTATGTAACCTTCCAAAGTCGTACAGCTAATATGTGGCTCAGATAAAAATTCTGCTATACCGCATTACTAGCTCTGTGTGTGTGTGTGTGTGTGTGTGTGTGTGTGTGTGTGTGTGTGTTGTACGTGCAAGTGTGTGTCTATGATTTGGGTAGAGTAGCAGGAGTGCAGCATCAAAGCAATTAAAAATAATACAAAACAGGTAGATGGATAGATGGCAGAGAATGAGGAAGGAATTAAGTTTCCCTGTGTGAATCAAGTGGCTTCATGTACTCATTCACCCAGTAGGAAGAGAAAAGCTATTTTAAAAGTTGAGGCCAATGCTATTCTAATCTGTTCTTTACTCTGCATTAAAGCCTTATGTGTAGGCAAATCATATGAGCTGGTGAAAATCAATTTTAATGTTCATTATGTTACAGGTAATAATACCACAGTTTGGGAAAGGACTTTAAAAAAAAAGTCAAGTAAAAAGTGGCTTCATTGCATTAAGTATTTGCAGCAGCTATTTGTCTGAGCACGTAGAATTCTTAAGATTTGCAATACTTGAGTAGCTGGATGATTGGGCAGAGGACTTGGTCATGCTGCATTGATTTGGAGCATGTGGGCCCTGTTGAGTGCTATTCACAAGTGTAGTCCACTGCTCGTCTCTGTTTTTGATCACCTTCTCACCTTGAAGTGACCTGAGTGATATTATACAGGAAACAGGAGTTTTATTAAAATGAGAGTGATACTCCATCCCCTGGAAAACCATTTTATTCAGTGCCAAGAGAAATAGAAATACTTGCCCTCCCCCTGCTTCCTCCCAGTGCCCCATATGGGCTTTACAAGGAGGGAAGAAAGCCTGTTATTGAGGACAATATTGAAGGGAAGAGAGGTTGGGGCAGGCAGGGAAAAGGGAGGTTCTTGTAAGAACAATGCAATCTCTGTGTTGTTTAAATAGTATGTGACTTTAATTCTCAGTCAAAGCCTGTTGAAATACATATGGATCAACGAACCACTTTTGCACCCCAAAAAAAGAGAAAGGTGCTGGCAATGAACCATATTGAAATTTTGGGTTGAGAGTTTGAAGGTGAAATTGTCGGGGTGGCGGGGGGTGGGGGTAAAGGTCGTAATAGCAACAGGATGTACCATTTGCAGACTGGTAGGTCAGCCTTAAATCTCTAGGTAGCTCAGGTTTATTGCTCCTATAAGGTTTCTCACTATTATCATGACAGCCGTCTGCTAACAGTGCAATTTTCTGCTGTATTCATGTGTTTAGATAAAAGAAGATTGCAAAAAATTTTCAAATAAAGGTTTACCTCATTCTCTTGCCAGGTAACTTTTGTCATTAATGTGCTGAGTTATGGTCTCGGCATCATGCACAGTCAAGAGAGCTGATCCTCTCTGCTGGGTCATATATATGCTTTCCTTCCTAATACCCATAAGAGGCATTAGGGGGAAGGAGAAGAATATAAACACAGAAACCACATCCTAACAGCTGCCTCTAGTTAGCTCTGCTTCCCCCCCCATCCCCACCCCCGAGCTTTTAAATCTTGCAGCGGCACCTAATTTGTCCCACATGGCTTTCCTCCCAGTGGAACCACTGGCCCTTTTCTTGCTGCCCTTTTTGATCAAAAGCAAACAGTTATGAAGAATCAACTAGTTTAACTAGTTTAGGCCACTGTCTTTAGGCTGCTGGTGTGCAGGTGCCTATGAATAGGCAGGAGATAACCATTTGTAGATTGGGAGAGACTTAAAACAGTCTGAACCTAGTTAGGTGCCAGTGGACCTATGAAAACATCCCGCAATTAAGCACTAAGTGAGACAGTGAACCGCTGAGTGAACTACCGTGATGGGAATAGATGAGTGATTTTTGACCTAGTGGGGCAGATCAGAATCATGTAGGGCGCTTAAACATTTCGTACACATGCCAACTCCTGCCACTGACATTCTGCCTCTATTTTAATACGCCTGGCAGTGATGAATATAGATACTACAGATCTGTGTTCTGACATGTCTGCACGGCAAGTGGGTTGCAACTTGCATTATGATATTTATTTTTTTAAGTTCTAATTATTTTTTTCTTATATGTGTTACTCATGTCTCCATTCCTTTTTCCATGTTATTTTTTGAATGCAGTGAGACCAAAGACAGATGCTTGTAGAGCAGTGTGCTGAATTAAGTTATTTCCTTCACTGAGACTAGTGTTCTGTTTCTCTCTTCCAGCTCATGTTTATTTCTTATTGCTGTTGAGAAGTAAGACATGAAAGCCACACAACCAATGTGCTCTTCTTGTGACTTTTAAGATAGGAAATTGGTTTGGTTAAAAAAAAAAATCAGAGCCAGGTGCAAGCCCATACATGGTCCCAGCTACTCGGGAGGCTGAGGCAGGACGATTGCTTGAGCCCAGGAGTTCAAGGTGGCAGTGAGCCGTGATACACCACTGTATTCCCATCTAGGTGGCAGAGGTAGACCCTGTCTCTTAAAAAATAAATAAATAAAAGATTAATATTGGTGACTGGGAATAGCCATTCTCTTATAGATGCTTAGCTGTCCAATAATTATCTGATTTTTAAATGCATATTGCAGAATAATATTGGTTCACGTCCCCAAAGATTTGAGAAATGTGTGTACTTCACCTTGAAAAAGGAGTACCTGAATTAGTCCTTACAAAATTACCTTGTCCTTATGGTTTTGCTAAAGAACTGATATTCTTTTTGTAAGGTAAGGGATAAACCTATCACAGCTTGCTTTGAAAGGTCATTGTCTCTTGCAAAGTAGATTAACTCACTTTGTTCTATGAGCAGGAACCACATTGCCGTTCTGTAAAGCTATACATATAAAGTAAATTTCTGCTATCACTTTGGCTTGCTCTTGTAAAAGAAATTTCATGCCTACCAGTTTTCACTTGCTAACATAAGTCACAGCTCCTCACGGTTAGAGTGTCAGGACAGACGAGAGTGGTGTCTGTAGCTTGTTTCCACTTCTAACATTCTTTGCTCTCAGTAAACGTACTTTACCAAGCATGGGAAACACATGTAAAACACTGATGACAAATTTGGTGATTTAATGTTTTTTATGTTGTTGGAGCTGGTCGTTAGTAGGTGAGCCACAGTAGTAATTGAAATGAACTTGCATTTTATGGAAGTGAATGACTAAAATGGAACCTTTCCCTTGGTTCATGCGTATTGTTCAGAATGAGAACGCTGTTCTCCTGAGGTATGGCCTACTAATCTCAGTTAAGTATAAATCCTCATGTATCAGAGACAGTGATTTATCCTGTCACTTAGAAAAGCCTCTAAATTTATATGAAAGTGAGGGATAAAAATTGCCATGATATTTCCTTGAGAAACTACAGTCAATTCTGTATATTCTTTCCTTTCTAAGCTAAGACTGGAATGGGGGAAAATTCCATTAAAAGGAGTAGTGACTCTTTGATGCACCTTGAACTACAACCTTCCTTACAGTAGCTAATTCATCTAGAGTGTCCAGGAAGGAGGAGTTCGGCTTAAATCTGCTTAATCCTTTAAACAATGAAACAGTTATAACTGCTCTCATTGCAAATGTTCTAAAATGTCACAGTCATTACAAGAAGTGATTTGACTAAGTATGGTGAGTTTTCTCAAAGAACCAGGACCCTCATTAAGAACACCATTTATTGAACTCCTTGGTAATACCGGAATGCACTCGGGAGCCTTCGAGGTCTGTAGGTTTAGCCTGACTTCTTTATGATTTTTCCCAGATGGCTACGTCTCCTGCCTCCTGCCAGTATCTAGGGCTTTTTATCCCAAAGCCCATGGCCTCTAGTCACTGTGCTCTTCTAATTAGTATTTTTTTCTTTCTTTCTTTTTCCTCCTTTGTGATCATTTCTATTCTCCTCTGCCACGTCTAACGACTGGGAACCTGCTCTGACTTCCAGAATCCCAAATCGGCTTTCCTTTCCTTTCTCAGTTTGTAAGCTAGGACCAGTTTGAGGATTTCTAGTTGAATCCAGATAAGTATTACCATGTAATTAAGTCAAATTATTAGTCCTGTCCCCAGCCTGTGAGGTGTTTGGGGGATGGAGGGGAAAATGCACAGCTCACTCTACCTCTGTTCTGCTGAACAAAGTATAAGGGCTCTGAAACTGCTGTTTTCATTTAGCTTGAATGTTCGTTTGTTTTGTTCCTGATGTTCTGGGTTTCCTAATTGTTGGCCAAAAAATGAGAAGCAATTCCACTTTCCCTTCTAATGGCAGGCTTAATAGGCTCTGATTTTTATCTTTACCCCATAGTTATTGTGACTTTTTTCTTTCTTGGAATGGTTATTTGTTGGGATGATACATCCACATACATTAACAGGCCTGTTTCGAGGTAATGAAGTCCCAAATTCTGTCTCATCAATATACTCCTCATCAATATTCAGAATTACAAACATTTTATGAAAAGCCATGTTATATATAGATAAGTGAGGTACCTGTGGATTTTCCAAATTTAACTCCTGCATTAAATGGAGACTGAAAACAGCTCCTCATATGAAACATGTTTTTGCTTTGAGTCCCATTAATAACGTGCACATTTTCTGTGATCATAAATCACCATTCCTTCTTTGCCTCCTCTGTGAGCTCACGTCTCTTTCCCGAGATTCACCAGCGTTAAATTCGGAGTAATGCTCATTGTTAGTATTCAGTAAATTAAGGGATAGTTTAAATACATGCAATAAGCCTGGAAAGGGGAAAATAATTGGTTCCTAGAAAGCTGTGAAAGACTCCAAAAACATAGGTTTTTGAGGAAACTTCTTACTTCTTTAGTGAATATTGTGGCATACATAGTTTATTGTCTCAACGAGTCATCATCATGAAGTTAAATTCATAGAACTCCAGCTTACCTCCACAAATTATCTAGGTGTTTTTGTTTTTTGTTTGTGTGTTTCTGTAAAGGTAACGATCAAAAGGAAAAGGAAAAAACATGAGTTAAAGAATTTGGAGCACCTTGCACAATGTCTAGCAACTAATAAGTGTTCAGTTACTGCACTTACCCTTAGCAAGTATTATTAATGTCAGTTGCAGGCAATTCTTTCTAATTTTAACTCTTAAGGACTTTTATTTTCTTTAAAAAGATGGTCATTACCTTATCTACCTAATCAACTGAGAAATTTTTCATGTTATTTTGCTCTCTTCTTAAGATTAAATTATATAGATTTCCTAACCTCCTTTGATTTTGTATGCTTGATTCATTTTGGTTGTTTTCTCAGAGTTACACTTACTTCTACAGTCCTGAAGATGGTGCAGCCCAGTACAGTGGTGGGCAGAGACTGGCAGTGAATTACTCTGTGCTTCCCTAACGCTCTGCTTTATGGGTTACGTTATCTTCCTTTGAAATGTCCCCACTGTCAGCCCTGCCAGCTGACATAGGAGCTGAGATAGAGGTAAGATTGCGTCATGAGTTCTTTGCCAATGCGGCCAAAACATTGTGGACAGTCAAAGATCTCCTCCCTTGGAACATAGTACGAATGGTCCTGATTTCTAGTAATAATATGTTATGAATGCTTTTCCTATGAAACAATCTAAACCTCTTTCGAAGTTACTTGTAGATTCAGCATGTATCTCATCTAGGGATGATGAGTTCTCTAAGTTTTCCACATACTTTATAGGGACTGCTAGCTTTAATTTTTCACATTTACCAGGTTTGAAGGTAACAAGAACTTGATCATTGCTTGTCTCAGCTTTCATTATTTTAGACAAAGGGCTTTCAATCTTTATAGGTCTTCTGGGCTTTTCTGTATCTTAATCAAGATACGGAATCTTTCTCTCCTCTAACCTGTCCTCAGCTTTTCACGGGGTGAGGTCCAGATTTAAGATGGGATACCAGATTAAACATACTTCAGAATTGTATATTAAGAGAGAAACATTTTTGGCTGGGCCCAGTGGCTCACATCTGTAATCCCAGCACTTTGGGAGACTCAGGCGGGTGGATCACTTGAGGTCAGGAGTTTGAGACCAGGCTGGCCAACGTGGTGAAACCCTGTCTCTATTAAAAATACAAAAAATTAAGGGGGCATGGTGGTGCATGCCTGTAATCCCAGCTACTCGGGAGGCTGAGGCATGAGAATCACTTGAACCTGGGAGGCAGAGGTTGCAATGAGCCAAGGTCCTGCCACTGCACTCCAGCCTTGGGGACAGAGTGAGACTCTGTGGCCAAAAAAAAAAAAAGAGAAACATTTTTTATTAACTTAGCTGATTACCTTCAGTTTATTGCTGGCCTCTGGGCTACCACAGTATATTAGGTTGTAATCGTTAGTGAATAGTCATCAGTGGCCAACAGTTCCTCTTCTTAGGTTGTAACTGACATCTTGTAGCCAACTGATCATCGTCCAAGAGTAATTTATATTCATTTCCCTTAAATGCATGCCATTACAGTTGCCCACATTTCAGCTTCTGTGCCACTGTTCTATCTATTCACATAGCTCTGTGAAATCTTACTGCAATTCATCTCTTGTTAACTTGGCATTCATTTCCCTTCTGTCACCTTCAAACCTTAGCTCAAATTCACTTCCTCTGGGAAGTAGCCTGTGATTAACCCAAAATGGCACTGATCAGTCATATTCAATATCTGGATGACATCAGGGGAACTTTAGCATCCAGGTTCTTCTGTCATTCTGGGTTTTGTTGTAATTTTCATTTCTTGAATCTGTCTACTTCACATTCCTTTTTACTGAGTTTGGAAGGTATTCATGAGATTGAGGAGAGTCCTGAAGGGAAGCTGCTGCTTTGGACAATAGCAGGTACTTTCAGGTTTTTCCAACTACCTGCCTAAAGGCAGCTGCCATTGTGTGTCTGCAAGGCACAGCCTCGGAGATGCATTTCTGAAAATGAGAGCAACTCACTGGAGTCTTCCTAGCAATGGCACTACAGTAGGATTTTCCTAGAAGCATACTTTGGCAATTATTCTTCTTTTCTCATCAAATTCCTAAAGTTTTGTTCCATGCCCTATAGGTAGCTACTTTTCATAAAATATTTAACAAATCTTTCTAGACTGCAGTGATATTTATGATTACTACATGTTATAAAAAGTTTTCTATCGATTTCTAATTGGCTGTAGATCTATTTATTTTACTTTTTAGTAGTTAATACATTCAGAAGGTTCAAACAGCAACATGATAGAAAAAGATACAGAGTGAGAAATCTTGCTTTCTGTCCCTGTCTCCATTACCCTATTCCCCACTGCCCCATATATGAAGCCACTTTTATTAGTTTTCTGAGTATTCTATTTTTGTGCAAGCATATGCAAATATATGTTTTATAATCCCTACTTTCTTACTTAAACCATATCATACTCAGAGCATATCTCTGTTCTGTATCTTGCTTTTTAAATTGGAAATATGTCCATACCTGGATAAAGAGACCTTCCTCATTATTCTTTACAACTTCCTACCACTTTATTGTATAGATGTGCTATAGTTTGTTTAGGAGCTCCCTAGTGATGGACCCTTGGATCGTTTGCAGTATTTTGCTGTATAAACAATGCTGTAATGAATAACCTTGTACACACATCATTTCAAATATGTGTCTACTGATCTTTATCCTCTGGTTCCCGTGCCCATTTCCTCGTAGACTTCTTAAGTCACAGAAAAACCAAATATGCATGTTTTTATTTCCCTTAATATATCCACAGTGACTTCCTGACTAGGGAAGCCATGCTTTGAACTGTAGGATGCCCCCAATCCAGGCGTTTAGTGTTTCATTTGACTCAGTCCTGGTCTGTTTGAGCATCTTTAACTCAGTGAATTAAGCTAAGAGAGAATGAATGTAATTCAAAAGAAATGGTTCACAGTCAGATGTAAAGAGTTAAACATTGTGGAATTTTGCCATACAGTGAAATATTAAAATTTCATTTAGATCATTCGGCATGTTAGATAAAAAGCATGAAAAAATGTTGTATTGAGATTTAAGAGTAGAGAATTTAAATATAACTGGCCGTGAGCAAAAAATTAGTGTCATAGTATACTGGTCTGAGTTCATAATTCTGATTCTGAATTCTGACCTTTATAAGACCACCTGTATGTTTATCTGTATGTATTTATGGGTTCAGAAGTTGCTTTGTGGGTACATAGCCTTCCAAAGGAAAGATTATAAACTTTTCAAGTAAATAATTCTGTTTCATTGTCCAGTCTTTCTTTTGTTTCTTATTTCTCATCACATCTGGTTTTGCACAGAGTCTGTGGTCCACTATGAACCTTGATTTTTCTATATTAAGTATAACTAGTCTTTTCCTATAATTTAATTTCCTCCATTCATAGAGAAATTTAGTTTTTTGCTTATCCTCTCCACTTTTGGAGTATTTACTCTTCCACTCAATTTGGTGTCAGAGCCAGTGATTATGGATAAGATGTTAAAAATTATGCAGGACTCAGGGCAGGACTGCAGTAAGGAAAATTATTTAACTCCTCTGATTCCTGATCTGTAAAATGTGAATAATAACACTGTGTCTTTTCCTCTTTGTTACTGAGAGAGGGGTAGTGGGGAGGAATGTGAAGCACCTATCATTGTATCTGACATGTGGTAGGACCTCAATAAATAGTAGGTATTCTACATTATCTCCTACATATATTACTTTATGATTTTCTATTATCTTTGAAGACTCTTAAAGTTATCGTAAATGGTTGAATAAATTATTCAAATGGTCTTTAATAGTATCTCATTTAAAAATAGGAAAATGACTACAGAAGTTGTTAGAGATCCATGTTAGTGTGCTTACAGATAATTATTAGGTCTCTCCATTTGTTTAATACTTCTCCATTTTTCTGGCAGTTCATTAGGAATTCTGTCGGGGGATGCACTTCTATCAGCGCATTATCAGCAGCTGAAGAATTTTCAGTTTTCTGCTCACTCAGTGCTTGTAAAAATTGAATATATATCGTTTCCCCTTTATCATGTTGAAAATCTCTGGTTCACGGTCTGTTGAAATTCATCTTGTTATATTCAGAATTCATCTCCTGGAAGCAGCAACAATACACAAGGCTTGAGTACACTTAATTTTCAGTGTTTTTGTTTCAATTCCTTTTTCTACACTTTTTTTCTGGGAGATATTTTGTTTTAATCTTCTCTCCCCCCTTTCTCTAGCCAAGTTTTTTGTTTGTGAAAAGTAATATTTTTCCAAGCTATATTCTGTGTGATACAATATGGCCATGTTTCAAGACGTTCTTCAGCTCTTGCATCCAGCTACTAATTCAGTGCTCTGAAAAAACTAGATGATGTTTTTGTGGTGATGGGTCAGTGCCAGTGGAAGGAAATAATTTTGCGGAAGATGAATCCATTTCCAAGTAATGTTGGCTGAGTGGAAGCTTACATTGGAATTTGTTAGGTTGTCTGATGGAAACCAAATTTGACCAAGACGAGACTGTGTATGTTATCTGTCTTTGCCTACTCATGCATACCTTATGGTATGTAGATATATAGGACATAATTTCACTTCGATAGCTAATTTTAGGCTTTAAGATGATTTAAATAGTAGTTTTTATTCCCTTTACTAAATATTTTTGATGGATCTTTTTAAAATATTGTAATCAAATTTAAAATGACGTATTTCTTAAAACAGTTTTTATGTGCGTGGTTCTTATCAGTGCAACAGTCCTGAAAGAAATGAGTGTTTTAAACCTCAATTTACAGGTGAGGAAGTAAGCTCAGAGAAGGTAAGTAACTTGCTCAAAGCCACACAGTTATTAGGTACCAGAGCTAAATGTTGGATCTTGGGTCCTGGGGTCCTGATCCACCTAATTCAATTTTTGTCAACTGACTTTCTGTTTTGTCTAGTGAAGTGCCAATGAGATTTCATTTTAGGACTGTTACAGTTTGTTGATTTTCTCAGAATGTAAAGTCTCAGTGGTGACAAAAATAGAATTTTCAGTATTTTTTTTTCCTCATGTCTACTTTGGACGGGGAGAATGGAGGAGTGTTGTCAAAACCTGCTAATTCCATCTACCTCCTTTTGCTGGGAGAGAGAGACATTTCAATTTTATAGGTTAAATAACTTGTATATATTTGCAGGCCAAAGATTGAATTATCAAAATTATTAATAAATTACTTTTAAAAAAGGAAAGTCATCACTTTCTAAAAGAAATAGCACATCCATTTCATTACAGCATTATTCACAACAGCTAAGAGATGGAAGCAACCTAGGTGGCCATCCGTGGATGAATGGATAAAGAAAATGTGGCGTATATTTATATACCATGGAATATTATCCACTCTTTAAAAAGAAATCCTGTCATATGCTACACCTCAAATGAGCCTTCAGGAAATTATGCTAAGTGAAATAAGCCAGACACAGAAAGAAAAATGATTCTACTTATATGAGGTATCTAAAGTAGTCAAGCTCTGGAAATATGGTTGCCAGGGATTAGGTGAAGGGGAAAATGGGGAGTTATTGTTCAGTGGGCATAGAGTTTCAGTTTTGGCTGATGAAAATGTTTCAGAGATGTGTTGGAAACATTGTGCATATAATTAACACTACTGTACTGTACACTTAAAATGGCTAAAATGATAAATTTTATGTTTTTGCCATAATAAAAAATAATACAAGAAAATTGAATTTTCCTGTAACAAAGTAGTATTAAGTAAAATGTTAGCTGTACTGCTTCCCATTGAATTTTATTTTTCTATCTTGTTTTGACAAGAAATAGGAGGAAGGGAATATTTTTTTCTGAGGCAATTAAAAAAATAAATATTTGGAGTAAATGTAAGCCTTTTGCTTATTGCCAGCTATGAATATGTGTTCTTTTTCATTTTTGCTTTTTTAGGTTTATATATCTTTTTCTCTGAATAGGTATCATTTATTGGGTATGTAGATGCCTGACACTTTGAAGTGCGTATTTTATCCCCATTTTAGAGATCAGTAAATTGAGGACTGAAAGACTTAATTAACTTGCATGTGGCACACAGCTAGCAGTAGCAAAACAAGAAAGAAATCTGGGTCTGTCTGATTCCGAATCTTGGGCTTCTAATCCCTTGTGGACACTGAGGGGAATGGGTGTTACCCCCGGCATTGCAGGGAAGCTACTCAGATGTGAACACTTTTCTAAATAAGTTTTATGATTTCAGGAAAATTATAAAGTTGAGTTTATAGTAAATTAATTTTATCTTTCCCTTTCCCGGCTTCCCAAAAATGAGTTATTGCTTCTTTTTCTGTAAATAATATTTATTAAATTATGAATGTAAAAAAATGTGGTGATATATAACAACTGAGCTTCATATTAATGGTATATTTAAGCTTTATAGGATAGGGTGAAGTGATTTTAATTATTGGGGTTTGGTAAAGGTTTATACCAAACATATTTGTTTCATAGTGAGCCCCTTGTTGTATAGTAAGTCTGATTTTATTAATTTGTACAGAGAAATTCCTTTGTAAAATATGACTGACTTTTCTTCCTCTTAGGGAGACAGATTAATAATATTTCACTATTAATTAGGTTCCATCTGCTCATCCTGCCTTTCATTCTAAAGGTTATACTTATTACCATATTCTCAAACCGACCCAACTGTGTAATCAAAGTTTAAAAAAAAAAATTAAACCAAAGGTTCAATCTTGGTTTTTATAGTGTACTTTTTTGGTTACTAAAGGGGGGACCAATGACTCCACTTCCTCCTTCTTCTATATTTTCTTTGATTTCATTTTGTTTTTTCTTGTAATCCAGCCATATACCACAAATTACACAAAATTAAACTATCTGATATGAGATACAGTAATAAAAAAAAGTGGCACACCCACTTAGCCGCTGTTTTGGCCAGAAGGTCTGCTTTGGTATCCAGGTCATGAGAATGAACGGTTGAGCAATGGAAAGGCCTAAATGCTGTCTGTATTTGGGAATAATGATTTGTATTTCATTCCTGGGTGTTGTAATTTCACCGGTGCTGGTCAGTGCATACGGGGTAAAACAGGGGGCTCCCATTTCCCCAGGCCTATAAGGCCTGTCAGGGGAGTGCTGTGTGAAGGGGAAGGATTAGAAAATGGTTGGGAGAAAGCAGGCCCTGACTTTGTAGCTAAAAATATGAATAAATGAAGTTCCACACCACCAACTGAGTAAAATTTGATGATAGGGGATTACTGGAACATTCTATTAACTTGGGTTTTGCTTTAAAAAATTAACTTTTGAAAAAAGTTGAATCTCTGAGCTTATGTGTAAGGGTTTGGCTTGTGGATAGTGGTGATTACAGCAGCTGGCACACTTATCCAAACCTCTCACTGCCACACCCTGCAGTGACCTGGCTCAGTTTTTCCTCTCCTCCTGCCCCCTGCCTTGGAAGACTGCCTTTCTGTCTTCCTTTTCCTGTCTCTGTGCCTCTCAGTACCACCAGCAGCCCTTCTTTTTACCCCTCATTATGAGCCTGGTGTAGCTTTAGTGGCTCATTCAGTTACAACATTTTTAAAAAGGTGATTATGAATGGATGTCTACATACATAATCTTTAACAATCCATCTTACCTTCCTAACTGGTCTTTGATAAAAGAGCCTCACAATTTTTAACACTATCATGAATGTGGCATTTTTAGCACAGATGAATCAGTTTGTATTGATGAGGTAGATATACCCAGGTTACAGTATTATTTGAAACAAGATGCCTTTTTTCCATTCAAGTTTAATTATTTGAAGAGCCAGTCATGAAAAGGAATGAGAGAACAAGCACATACCTTGACTTGTCTCACCTTTTTAACTAATCAAATAACTATTTTATGAGAAGCAAGTATTCTCCAGTAGGCAGAATGTAATTCTAGTTTAGTAGCTTAAAAATAAAAGGATTATAAATACCAGAAGGATTTTCAGGTGGAAAGAAGATGATGGCTGGGTCAGGAAAGGAATTAGATCTGAGCTATTGTGGGAGATCTTGGGTGAGTTTGTAATTATTTGATAGTGGTGGTGGGATCCTTTTATAGCAACATTCTGTCTTTTATTCTGCCTTTTTCTTTTAACATTTTCTTTCTGGTTCTATTTCCTTTTTCACTTTAATCCTTCCGGTCCCATAGTTCAATGCTGGCTGCATGTTTAGAATCACCTTGGGTGAGGGTGATGCTAGCACCTACCCCTAGAAAGCCTCATTTAATTTGAGTCAGGTGAGGCCAGACTGTTGGTGGTTTTGAAAGCTCCCTAGGTGATTCTGATGTGCAGCCAGCGTGGAGCCCCTCTGCTCTCGAGGTTTGAACATCTCTGACAAAACTGGACATGTCTTAGGAACCATAAGCAGGTTGGACTTTAAGTCAGAAGCAGTGCTGTTTCCTATCGTAGTCTTGGCATTATCGACCACGTTAGAGTCATCAAACAGTTTGGCTGGAAATCTCCTCTCCTTCCAGAAAGAACAGATTTGTTCTCCTGGTGCAAAGCCACAGAATGCCTGGATACTGAAGTCCGGTCCTGTGCTGGGCAGATGCTGCTCCTGGAAACAGACTGGCCTTGTTTTGACAGTCCCAGATGGATGATTGACAATGAGGAGTGCACATAAGGGTCGAGTCTCTGTATCTGATTAGTATCTTCTTCCAGTCATGGGCTCACTCAGCTGCTCTCAGAGCTGTTTCAAAACAGGTGCTGATGTATAGCCATGGACATAGCAAACAGTTACATAAGAACTGCTAACTAGGAGCATGAGCAGAGATCTCATGCCACAATCCCTTCTGGAGGTTAGTTTCTCACATCTCTTTTAATATATTGCACTGCTGCTTTTGTGAAACATTAAATTTGACAGATTTTGCCTCATCACTGCTTCCTCATGGCTATTTAGAAAAATTAGTCAAAAGAAGCTTGGCTTTTCCTGTCTCCACTATGGCTTGTGAGCTGAATTCCTTCGCAGAAAAGAATGGCAGTGGGCTCTCCGGCTTGTCATTTGGGTGGAGACATTAGGAAGTGTGATGGCTTACTCCCAGTCACAGATTTCACTTCACCTCCCTGTCTGTGTACAGCTCCACTGCAAGCACTGCTCACAGATGCCGATTCGCTCACATTGAAAAGGTCCTATTCCAGCTCCAGGATCCTCCTTTTCTGAAGAGCCTGTCCCTGCATCTCTTTGGCAGTCATGTTCTGACTGCGGCCTGGTGCTCCCCTAACCTGCATGGAATAAATTTAAAGCTAAGAGATAACATATTGTTGGTCTGTCTCATTTCCTCGACATCGAGACCAGTTTTTAAGTAATTTTAGAAGCCTAGTTTGAGAGAGGTCTTTTTTTCAGATTAAAAACATGAGAGTATTCATAGACTATTTAAAGCATGTCCATGTTGCCAATAATCATGTGATATTTCGCTTCACTTTACTGAAGAATGAGGGGTGTATTTGCATCCATCAGTTGACTTCTTGGTCAAATTTATATACCAAAAGTGTACTGTGATTTAGTGGAGATTGATCATTGGTATAATTGAAGTTTATACAAACTTATTTTTAAATGTTGGAAATCTATTTGAAAATATACTTGAATACATTTATAAAATTTATAGTACAAAAAGTAACTGCTTTGGAAATAAACTGGAATATATTTTGGGCTTGCCTACTCTAATGATATTTAATGTTTGATTCTTCATTGACTCATTTATTCTATATATTCTATATATAATATATATAAAATATATTTTTATTAAAAATTAATAATTTATTATTATTATAAATATATGTTTAATGTATAATATATATAATATATAATATATATTATATTATATATATTATATATTATATATATTATATATTATATATTATATATATTATATATATTATATATTATATATAATATATATATTATATATTATATATATATTTTTTATATTATATATTATATATAATATATATATTATATATTATATATATATTTTTTATATTATATATATTTTATATATATATATATATTTTTTTGAGACGGAGTCTCCCTTTGCCACCCAGGCTGGAGTGCAGTCGTGCAATCTTGGCTCACTGCAACTTCCGCCTCCCAGGGTCAAGCAATTCTCCTGCCTCAGCCTCCCGAGTAGCTGGGATTACAGGGGCCCGCCACCAAATCTGGCTAATTTTTCTATTTTTAGTAGAGACCAGGTTTCACCATGTTGGCCAGGCTGGTCTCGAACTCCTGACCTCAAGTGATGTGCCCACCTGGGATTCCAAAGTGCTGGGATTACAGTGTGAGCCACTGCACCCGGCCTCAATACATTTTTATTAAGCATCTACCATGGGTTAAATTCCTTCATCTATATGAGGGGATCTCATACATGCCAATAAAGGCAAAGCAGGTAACACAAAGGAAGAAAATAGGATGCTGTGGAAAGAATAGGGAGAGGTGGGGACTGTGGTCAGCTGGAGAGTACAGCTCCCACCTCCAGGGGTACCTGGTGTTCAGCTCTATGGCTGGGCATGAATGTTAATATGGACAGTGTTGCCAGATGCTACCATATTTTTATGAGAAGCTAGTTACCTAAATTTTTAGGCCATCTCCACATTGACTTTTAAATGTTGGCTCAAGTTTTTAAAAACATTATGTGCCAGCCGTGTAAGATACCTATGTTGGCTGAGGGCTCTTTGTGACCTTTGATCTTTGTAGCTCCCCTGCCTCCCAGCCCACCCTACCCAAACACGTGGAAAACATTTGATCAGGGTAGCTTACTTTAAAATTTATTCTCAGCACTGAGAATTCCATGTTAAGTAATTAAAAATTATTGAAACAACAGATGGTAGTAAAATATGTACAATGATAGCTTTGCTTCACACATACACTCCCCTCTTGACCCACCCACACAACTGTTAAAATTTTTGCATTAAGAACCAAACTGGTTACAAGCGTCTATGATTATTGGTGTGGAAAATGCACATAAATACAGGCACATAAACTATCCAGATGACTAAAGGAGTTATGTTTGCATTATTTCTCAAAACAATTTCTGAAAGCAGTTGTGGTTGCAGTGAGTTTTGTCCAGCTTTATGACTATGGAACAAGTAAGATTCTTCCTTTATGTGTGTACACCATTTACCTTTAAGATAAAATCATGTCCATGAGGCCAGGTGTGGTGGCTCACTCCTGTAATCCTAGCACTTTGGGAGGCTGAGGTGGGAGGATCACTTGAGCTCAGGAGTTCAAGACTATCCTGGGCAACACAGTAGGACCCTGTCTCCACAAAAAAATAGAAAAAAAAATAGCTCAGCCTAGTGGTGTATGCCTTTAGTCCCAGTTACTTGGGAGGCTGAGGCAGAAGGATTACTTGAGCCCAGGAGGTTGAGGCTGAGTGAGCTGTGACCATTCCACGGCACTCCAGCCTGGGTGACAGAGTGAGACTGTCTAAAAAAAAAAAAAAATTATGTCTATATCTAGAGTTCCTAGATCACCAACATTTGACACAGAACTACAAATTCTGTCTCTTAATGGAACTGCTTTGGAAGCATTCCAAGAATGTTATTCTTCCTCAGGTTGCTGTTTGGAAGGTAGAGTTTAGAATATAGGAAGGAATTACTCCAAGAGAGGAGATGAGTTGTTTCTTTTAGCATTTTTTTCTAAAGGTCTTGAAAGCCTTCTTTAGCCATTTCTTTCGTCCTCTTACCTGCTTTGGTAGATGGCTCAATATGACTATGCTACTCTTTATACCGATGAGGAAACAAGGTATGGAAGTATGATTTGTCTATCCAAATCACCGTCTCCAATGAGAGTCATGGAAGACAAATGGCTGTATCTCTGGTCTTACGTAAATTCTCTGCGGTCCATGTGTTTACATAAGACAAGGGAATATAGCTATTCATTCTTGAGAAAAGGCAGGAGCACTTTTTCTGGCAGGGTTTCTAGAAGGAGATATTTTGGAATTTTAACTAAAAGCAGAAGAAGAAAAACCCAAGTCATTTAAGTTTTCTTAGCACACGGGTAAAACTCAGTGGAACAGATGCTTTAGTACCTGAGACCATTGTTTTCACTGAAACCCCTGTCCTCTTCCAGAATCAACATCAATAATCAAGGTAGAGAGTAAACAAAGAGTGTTAAAGGATGCTGTCTCTGGCCTTCTTTTTTCTTTCTTATGATGATGATAAAATAACAAAGAAACAGATAAATGGCCTCTTTCACTCCGCATTGTGGGAGCTGCAGGGAAACAAGTTGGTGGATGCTTCATTCACTAGCATTGTACCTCTTTGCAGAAGAAACTCCATGTATTTCAACTTCATTCTGCAGTTTTTAAATGCTAACTATGGCAAAGAGTAACTTACTCCTTTGTTGGTGTGTGTGTGTGTGTATATATGTTTATAGTCAGTTTTTAGTTTTTTTGGAAGCCGCTTAATTCACTTGCCTATTAGCAGGGCTCTTGATTATACCTTTTCCCCCTACTTGCTTTAGGTCTTTCGGTCACTTTGTTTTCTTAGGATCTGAATAGAAAAGGATCTGGGAATGAAACTCAAATGACCAATTCTGGTTCTTTAAGCAATTTTGGGCTTGGTCTTATGAGCAAGTTAAATAGATTGCTTATGCTTAGCGTTTGTAGTTATCTTAATTCAGTCATCCTGCTTTCCCTTGTCAAGCATAATTCAGTTGGCTTTACATAGCTAAATCCATGTCCATCTCCATAATTTCTTTTTGAGTTTACTCTCTTTGCCCCCAATTTGCAGCCACTTGAAATGGCAAGTCTCTAGACTGGGTTTCACTCTCATACTGCCACATAGCAGGTAGGGGCTTGGCTTAAACTGTCAATAATGGCAGTTCCAGGATATGTTGGAAACCTTTTTTTAGAGCAAGTTGAGGACCCTTGGTACCTTTTATAGAAGCCAGAGTGGTGTGCACGCTTTTCACTTTGCACTGCAGCCAGCGCACCTGTTCAGTGAGAGGAATCAGCTAAATTACTAGACGTAATTGATGTTTGTGCAAAAGATAGAACATTTGTTTTTCTCTCCTTGTGGTTAATGCTCAGGTTGATAATTTAAATGAGTCTTTTTCCTCTCTCTTCCTATCCCTCTCTACATTCTATTACACACATTGTTTCCCCTTAGCCTTTGTCTCCTGGGCACTAACAGTTGCTAAATGTTTCTTACAGAGGATAATATATTTGGGAAACAATTTCCATTCAAGATTGTAATGCTACCTGGCCCCTTTCTACAACCCAGGCAATGAAATGCAGATACGATACAGTTATCTTTCCCAAGTCATTTTAAAGTGTATGCACGTAATATATAGTTTTTAATAATCTCTCTGCTGTGGAGCATAAACTGGTCTATGAACAGGATGGCCTGATGAAACTCACTTTCCTGTAAACATGGCTCGAGCGGAATCAGCCAATTTCAAGGCAGATTAGTGTCAGTGCAGAGAGACTAGGATAAATAGGGGATGAACATCACTTGAAGAAAAGAAAAATCATGAGAAGATCCTCTTCCAGGACGGAAGGATACAATTGGGGTGACTAGAATGGGCCTTCTAGTTATGTACTCTAAATGTGGAACAATAGGCCAGTGGACCTGGTGTCTATCTCTGTTGCTTTTTTTTTTTAACGAAAAATAATATCTGGTTATTTTCAAGACTAATTCAGACAACATAAGCAGCAAGTAGAATTTGAACACTCTTTCCAGATAATGGGTTGGTTTGATTAACTTCTTGCCAACCCATATTTTTGTATGAGTTATTACATCAGCCAAGGGAGAGAGTCATTGGGAGTTTTTAGCTTCATCTCTGCACAGGTTAAATTATGTAGCCTTCTTCCCAATTTTTCTGGGTTAGTTACTTTCTTTTGTGCACGTTGGTTTGCAGCCTGGTGCCTGGCACCATAGAGCCTGTAGTTGTTGCTTTAGCATGCCGTGGGTCCACTTGTCTTCGCATCTCCTGCTACCTGGATTGCTTTCCTAGATATAAGGGAGTAGTGACCCCAGAAGACAGGAACAGTCATCGTATATTAAAACTATAGGTGGCAGGCCAGGCGCAGTGGCTTACGCCTGTAATCCCAGCACTTTGGGAGGCCGAGGCGGGCGGATCACGAGGTTAGGAGATCGAGACCATCCTGGCTAACATGGTGAAACCCCATCTCTACTAAAAATACAAAAAAATTAGCTGGGCGTGGTGGTGGGCACCTGTAGTCCCAGCTATTCAGGAGGCTGAGGCAGGAGAATGGCATGAACCCGGGAGGCGGAGCTTGCAGTGAGCCAAGATCGCGCCACTGTACTCCAGCCTGGGCAACAGCGCAAGACTCCATCTCAAAAACAACAACAACAAAAACTATAGGTGGCAAAAACAAGGAGAAAACTGATGTCATTGTCTTAGAGCATGATAACTGTTACATATACAGTTTCAAGTGTAAATGCTTGATTTTTCATAACTTTAAAAACTGTACGTATTTCTTGCCACTTTTCCTCTCCTTTTTTTCCCAGCATACAAGTAGGTCAAGAAGTCTTCTGAGAGTCCTGAAATAACTTTCAGGTTTCTTTGGAGGCCAAGAGGCTTCCACTTTTACTACTTCTCTAGGATAAGAAGGAGGAGACAAGGACAGGAGGGGGAGAAGGGGAAGAGAAATGGCATGATTCGTTAAGCATGTTATCGAGAATTTTTATATGTCATGAATGTTAATCATTTAAGTGGGTTTTGGATGCTATTAGGATTTTAGATAGAAAATTAACCCACATTCCCTAATATTCCCTGCTTTCTACATTTTACTGAGACATAGGTGAAAATAAATGCAATCTACAAGAAATCTGATACATCCATTTAGTGTGCAGTGATTCATGGATCTGGGAAGATTCCATAGAAAATAATCTAGTTGATCCTTCTGTGTCCATGTAAGATTACCCCTAGTCATATCTGAATGGCAGTTGTTAACTCTTACAATTATTTTTCCAGAAATAGAGACTCTGAAGTATTCTTTGGTAAGGCAGTGATATGCTTAACAGCTGAAAACTTCTGAAGACAAAATTATCTCTAATTTTTAACCTAAATTATTTCCTTAAAATAACCCATTTTGAAGGAGTGTTCTTGGTTTCCTTCTGAACAGATACACTTCGCTTTGTTGAGTGGCTATGTTCCTTTAAGATTGGTACATTTCTGTAAATACAAGGCTATTGGAGCTATTTTCCCATAAAATTGAACCACATTTAAACCACTCCTTGGATTTTAAATGTACGCATTAATAGATAATAATTATTTTGGGTAGAGGGGTAATAAAAACAGTCATCCAGTGAAAGCACTCTAGGGATGCCTGGAATACAGTAGCACAGGGTCCATTTTCTTGGGTCCAGATGCATGGAAGAGACTTGTCCTACATTTTTACCCTCTGTTCATAGTTCTACGTCCTCCCTCAATCTCATGCTTTTAGCTGTTCTTTATAAAGGTGAATTTATGAGGTTGGCTATTTCAGTTGTGTACTCAATAGCCCTAGTTAGGGATGGAGATTTGTTTACCATCTTTTTCTTTCTTTGGTCTAGTTTTTTATAGAAAAGACCAGCTTACTTTTCCTGAGATCTAGATATGCGGTATCTTTAAAAACCATTACTGCAATTATTGTAATTGTAGATCTTTACTTCATGAGTTTTACTTAGGCAGGCTTTATTCTTAATTGAGCATGATTGAATACAACAAAAATAACTGAATTCGAGCAATCCCATGAGTTGACCAAAGAATTCAGAAACAAAGGAAAACACGATAAACAATATTTTTCAGACCAGTGGCAAGATAAGTCATTAAAAAAATTGCATCCACTCTAGCTTTAGTTTGATGGGGATTTTGATGTCAGTCTGATTTTTCTCTTTGAGTGATCTGCTTTTCATAGTAGTCTTCATTTCAGCAGTTTTACTCACTGTGCTATCCAAAGCAGCATTAAACATACCAGTGAACTAAACTGTCCCCAAAATGTAATTTTACTTTATACCATATAATATCTTCCACTGATTGATTGCCATCCAGATGTTCTTATGTAACTTAACTTCTAACCACAGTTCTGAAACATTTAGGGCTAATTTCTGTTATGGCACCACTTCAACTTCTCTCATGGAAAGAGAATTATCTTTTCCATATTTGGGGATTGACTTGATTTTAAAGGATTTACTAATTCAATAAAATCCCTACCCTACCATCCCCTTTTCTTGTAGTTACCTTCACCTGTTGGATAGTGGGTGTAGTATCTGGCCTAATAATTTGGCTCATCCAGATTCCTTCTGAAAACTCTTCCCTTATTTGTGCTTTTTAGATAAGAAATGGGTGCTATTCACAGGTTTTTCTATTTCTCTATATGGCCTAATATTGTTTAGAATTTATCAGTACTGTCACTGAGCTATCATTCCCTCTTTTAGAAGAATTTATCTTTCCAGATCCCCAAACTGCTTTCCTGCTTGCCTTGAATTGGCTGTTGCTGCCATCAGAAATGGAAAGAAATTTAGGGTATAAGGAAAAACTCCTTTGTGCCCTTGATGTAGTGCAATAGGAATAAGCCAGCTGCTGGGTGCCTATGAGAGGGTCCTTGGGCTTGGTATTTTCTAGAAGTTAACTTAGAATTTCCATCCAGTAACTCTTATGATAAGTGAAAAGCAGAAAATTGTACCTACTTATTGCCATTGATATTGCATGAAACTGTGTTCTTCAAATCCTATTCCACTTTTATCCCCATCCATTGCAGGAATGGAAGGGATTTATTCCCAGGGTAGATTTCCATACCATTTGTAGCCCATGGGGACTGCCCATCTGTAATCATGATCCTCACTAGTCCCATAATATCAGCAATTGACTTTCCCTACTGACCAGGGAATATTTTCCATTTGATGTGCTTGTTTTCCCTACATTAGAATAACCAGAAGAAGACTTGCTACGTTGTGACCACTCTGATTACCTTGTCCACCATCACCGCCACTTCTGCCCTTGCCTCAATTACTGAGTGCCTGCAATGGGTCAAACCTCTTACATTCTTTATATGGAGCCTCATAGTATTTTAGCAGCAGCTGGGTTCATTCGTTCATTTGTTCCACAAACACTTATTGAGTGCCTACTATATACTAGAAATTCACACAAAGTCCCATGGCTAGCAAGCAGGAGCAACTATAAAAGTTGATAGCAAGTTGCTCATCAGCAGTAACTATCAGTAAATGCTGTCACCTGGGAAGGAAAACAAATCAGAGACATTAATTGTGCCCATTAAATTTCTTAATGGTTGAGTTTTGCACAACAGAAGACAGACTGGCAAGATTCTGAAGGCAATGACTATCCAAAATAATATTTGAGAGAGAAATGTCCAACTATTGAATTTAAAGGTTATTTATGCTTAAATAATAAATTTAGGGAATATATAAATCTCAGGGGAAATGCTGCAGCCAGCTACCTGGACTGTGCCTTGGCTATACTCCTTTTTCTGAAAGGACTGAATTTGGGGCTGTGTGGACATCAAAATGGGGTTCATCTTCAGTGAGTTTGCCTCCTTGGCGTTTAGAGGCCGTTGGTTTAGGCAAATATGGCCAATACTGGATCCCAGTCACCATGAAAGTTTGATGTTGCCTCAGAGAATAACTCAAGCAGTGGTCTTGGTTTATTGCCCAACTCATCGATCTCTTGAGGACAAAGTTCTGTTTTGTAGATTTCCTAAGGGGATTCTGATTGGTCCTGTGGGGAAAATCTTGATATTCCCAGAGTAGCCTGGACCTCAGTGATATCCCCTAGAGCTAATTAGAACCTTTGGGAATGTTTACATGTGACCTTTCCCTAGAGATACATAATCCCCTGTGGACGCCGAGCCTGTGTGGATCCACAGTGGATTCTTCTGGAACTATGAACTAGCATTATGGCCCTTATCTTTGCTCTGAGGTGTAGATTAAGTGTGCAGGTCTGTGGTCACCAGAAAACCTACCTGGATTTGGCCTATGTCTGTGATGTCTGGTTGGCTCTGGGTGTCTTCCACAGTTGGTGGTAAAGAGAATGAAAATATTCAGTTTGTCTGTGCCTCATGAAATGATCAAATAAAAGATTGATCGAACTAATGGGTAAGAGCTGTCTAATTCCATATAAAGTACTTGTTATAAGTAAGCAGTTTTCATGTCTGTCTACTGAGGTATAAACCAATTTTCCCTAACAGTGCTGACGTCCCATTATGTAGATCCTTTTTCTACCTTGTGTCCACTCTGTCTTTGCTCCCTAGCCATAGTGTAACCCACGCAGATGCTCCAAAGGGATGGGCCCAGTTCTTCAGACTGCTCTCTTGCTTCTTACCAAGCAAGAAGCATTTCTGTAAAAACTCATTCATTGGGAAGATGTCTGGAAAAGCAAGTTCACATTAAAGAGTAGGGAAATTGTGCCCATTGTATTTCTGTTGCCTTGCCGACGCTCAGTAAATAGTAGTGCACAATTAATATTTTTATATCCAAATTATTACTATGCCATTAAACCTGATATTTTCATATTTTCTTTTTCCAGGTACTTCAGTCTGAACCAGAATATTTTGTTGAATAAATTATTCCTACTTCACTTTGAGTTGTTTTAAATTTAGCCAGACTTATTTGGACATTCTCTTAGGATGCTCTATTTTTTAGGGAGAGAAAGTCACTCTTAGGACATTGAGAACTGATTGATGTTAAGCTACCTTTCCTCTCACTTTTTGTTAGAAAATATTTAGTTATGAGATCCTTGGATCTTTGTATACCTAAATTTTATAGGATTAAAATTCTTTACCCTGGTTCTTTATGATTAGTTCATATATATAAATGTTGTATACATGACCTTGTTGTTGAACTTTAGAAGATGTCCTGTTGTTTCCCTATAGGAGGGAATTAAAGTTTTTGATCAGGGAAATTTAGGACTCCTGTTGTTATAACCCTTCAAGCCATAAAGGAATCCTACTAACTAGATTATAGTTATTTACAGCTGTTTCTGTGAAAAGCTAATCTTCTATCTATTCATCTGTTGTTTGAAATGGAATGTGGGATTATTGACATTAATCTGGTGAGAGTAGAAGAGGAAAGGAACAGAAAAAGGGAAAAAAGAGAGTGAGGTCATTTATTTTTACTTTTTTTTTTTTGTACAAGATCTTCATAAATTCCTTAGAAATTATGTTTAGTTTTACTTTAAATCATTTACTTTTGGGGCTTGATGAAAATAAAAATAACATTTAAACATTAGCTTGAAGGAATATCATTTGGACAGTAATGGAGGAGTCACTTTTATGTTCCAAAATATTCCATTCTGGGGCCTGTAGCAGAATTCAGTGGAAAGTGGTCTCTGATCGCCTAAATTGAGCAATACCACATTTCTTGTTTAGCTTCCTAAACTGACTAAAGATGGTAATTTACAGGTCTTTAGCATCTTCAGGAGGTCCATATTGTGTTCTCTAAACATTTATTGAATCACTTACTATTTGTAGTATCCTGTCTTACATTTGCTAAAGTGAACAAAGCATCATCTCAGCCCCAAATGAACTTAATTTCCTATGTAGATATGTGGAACAATTCATGAATACAAGTAGTTTAAAAATATCTGTTCATTCTACCCATATTTTTTGAGTACCTGTTATATTCCAGTCTGGTACTTGGTAGATGCTTTAGCATATCAAAAACATTTGACACTATACTAGTTGAAGTAAAAATGGACTTATAAGTAATATTTTATCTCTCTATTAGAGTTACTAACAATTTATTTTTGTAAAAGTCTTCAGTCTCTTTTTTGTTACACTCATCTTTCACTTATATACGACTGATTGATACCTGTGTACTTAGAATAAGACTTTAGGCACCAGGATTTTTCTGGGTACCTATGCAAAGCAGTTCATTTTCTCCCTTTCTTTGTAGAGATAGAAGTTTGAGGTGCTTTCTGTCTCTGATTTTCTTTTACTTCTTTGCATTTGATGTTGGTCATATAAGAAGAACCTGCAACGTGTAGCTAAAATCTTCTGAATATTGAGCAGAGATGTTTTTGCTGCTAAAATGATATAGGAGTTTTGGGTTCTCATGAGGCTTCAGGACAGCCAGTTTGTCTCTTAAGATATAAAAGGATCTGTTTTCCTTGGGCTGGGGACCTAGATTCTACTCCCTGTTCCCATTTACACACTAAGCAGGCAGCTGTACAAGTGGAACTTGAGTCTAAATCACAGGGTGTTATAACATATGAAACTTGAATGTGGCAACTGTTATTGTCTGCAGTAGTGAACTGTCTGGGGAAATTCAATCCCAGCCTTGGGCCTGGCGGTGAAGGCTCTAGCAGCACTTGGTCACTAGTGTAGATGGCTTTGGAACTGATTTTAAACACTTTTCATTGAAACTGAAGTATAATTCTGGCCTGCAGCTTAATCAGATATTCGATGTGCTGTAGACTAGTGGAATTTTTCACTATTTTTGGCTGTTAACATCCCTAAAGGCACAGCGTGTCTCTGTTGCTCTTTGTTATTCCTTCATGTCTCCGGGGTAAAGGACCATGATAATGAATAATCTCTCAGGATCATATCACAAAGGGAATGAAAGTTTAGCAAGTGGGGAAAGAGGTAGACTAAATTATTTCTGAGGTCTCTTTCAGTACTGTGTTTATGAAACAGTTTAACCTGTATTAGTTTGTTCCAAGGTGAAAAATGCGATGTTTCTGGAAGTTATTAATGCAGTTTTGGCAGATGAGCATGCTGGGGAGGAGGGAACTAGATCTGAATTAAACAGCCTGGCTGGCAATGTTGTTCACAGCCTGAATTGCTCAACTTTAATGAGGTCTTGCTACAACCATATATTTTGTACACACACATCTTAAAAATTTCTTGTTCAAAGTCTTCTTCCAGTTTCATCCAAAGCACAAATTTACGGTAAAAAAACATATTCTCAACGTACTGGCTCAATGCTGAGATCAGGAAATTCTCTAAGCTCGTTTTTTTGGAACATGCTGATTTTAAAATCCATGATTTCTACAATTTGGAGAACAACAAATTGACCAAAACAGCCACACTTTTGTGTGGACACAGCTAATGGAGTGGTACAACACAATGTGGGCGCATGCTTATTTTTCTGTGGTGTTTGTGGTTGTTTTTCTTTTTTCTTTTCTTTTCTTTTCTTTTTTTTTTTTTTTTTTTGAGATGGAGTCTTGCTCTTTTGCCCAGGCTGGAGTGTAGTGGCGCATCTCGGCTCACTGCAAGCTCCGCCTCCCGAGTTCACGCCATTCTCCTGCCTTAGCCTCCTGAGTAGCTGGGACTACAGGCTCCCGCCACCATGCCCGGCTAATTTTTGTATTTTTAGTAGAGACAGGGTTTCACCGTGTTAGCCAGGATGGTCTCGATCTCCTGACCTCATGATCTGCCTGCCTGGGCCTCCCAAAGTGCTGGGATTACAGGTTTTTCTTTTTTTTCCTGTGAAAGGGTGTAAGTATTGTGCTGTGCAGTTGCTCACCCTAATTTATCATAATTTCAGATGATCATGAAGAGAAGAAGATCCTTGTGAGAGGAAATAAATAGCTGGAGAAAATGAGTTGATTAAAATATAGACCCTGTTCTCATGCAAATGTTCCTAATTTTTAAATGTAGGTGTAGAATTCTGTATATTATAAAAATGTTCTCTAAATGGAACATTCTTCAGTGTTCATAAGGTCTTGTCAGATATTTAACTTTTAATATTAAGTATCTTCAATTGCACTGGCAGTTGGTCACTGAAAAGAACTCTTTAAAATGTAATTTGTGTGCAGCTATATAGACTTGTCAAGCACCCTTAAAAGTGTGATTATATAGTCCACTAATAGACCTTTCTGAGGGGCTGAATTATGGTTGAAATTCTCACCCAAAGCATATAAAATCAGCCTTGAAAGTCCAGGAAATGCTATGGATGACTGTAAACTGTTAAGAGATTTATGGATAAAGAGTTTTATTATAAATATTCTGAGTTGTAGTTGATTAAACATCTGTCTCTTTGTTATATAGTTAAAATATTGCAAAGAACTAGAAAGAGATCTTTTGGCTAAAAAGTGAAATCTCTGAAGGATGCAAAGGTCAGAAGTGCCACTCGTGCAGCAAGGTGGGGCATATTGAAGTTCTGCTGGAAGTGAATTTGGGGTGCAGCCTCTTTGGTGGATGAAAACATTTCAACTAAATGATGAATTCACCCTGTGCTTTTTTTGAACTGAAATTATCAAGTCATGTTGCTCATTTCTATTATTCAGACAGAGAGAGAGAAAAGGACTATAATACTATTAACTGTGGCTTTTATTATTATTATTATTCTGGTATGGAATGATTTTATTCAAGGGTGGTCTTTTTTTTTTCTTTTTTCTTTTTAAGACTGGGTCACACAACTATATGTTTCTTGGAGCCTCTTGTCTGTCATGCAGTTCTAAAGAGAAACACTGTGGATAAAGAAAAGACTTCAGCAGCAGACCTGAGTTAGAATGCTGGTTCAGCCACTAGCCGTTCAAACAGTAGTAATGATTACAGTAATGGCCACTATTTTTTGCTTATTCTGTACTAGCTCTTTGTATATATTTTACTTCATTCTCTTAGCTCTGGAAAGTTGAACCTGGCTCCATGTCACACAGTTGGTTAATGGATGAGCCGGAATTCTAATCCAGCTGTGTTTGTGTCCAAAATCTATGGTCTTTCTTCTGCATCATGATTACCAAAGCTTTTTGCACTATAATGTCCTTCTGTATAAAATAAGGACAGTGTTAATGCTTAACTTCCAGGGTTGTTGGGAAGAGTAGAGAGGGTATGTAGAGTTCAAGGCATGCAGTGGGCAAGCAGGAAGTGGCAGAGTTGATCAGGGCCACAGTGTGCTTCATGTGGACACCATTTATGCACTTTTGTCTTTATGGGTCCTTTCCTCCATTAAAAAAATTAAAATTTTGTCTTATGACTGTGTTGGTGTAAATACAAATGTGATCAAGGCTGGATTTTATTTATTTTAAAAGAAATTAAAACACTGCTGGGGTCTTAGGCACTGGGCCTACCATGTCCAGCGTAGAAGCCAGCCCCATATCATCGCAGGCTCCCTTTTAATTTCAGACAGCAGTGTCATTTCCTTTTGCGAATCATGTTGCCATCATGTCCTTTTTACTGCAAAAAGAATTCTGCTTGGCAAATGTACATGGGTATGAGTGTGTGTGTTTGGGGAGAACAAAAGTCTGTCACCATCAGTATTAATTGGACAGATGCTCTGAACAGTGGATGCTTATAAGGGTGCCTCTTGCCTGATAAGTCTGAGGTAGGCCATTTATCATTTATTTTTTCTGGTATTCTTTTACATATATTACAATTTTTAGAACACTCAGATTCAAACTGAAAGTTATGTATTTAAAAGGTCTAGAAATTTCTCACTTTTTTTCCTCTACTGATTAGAACTGGGAACTGGTTTTGGCCTCGTGTGGCCCCCTCTTGGGACTCTCTGGGTTGGTGTCCAGGGCAGTTACTCCTTGCCCGAAACCACCCCTGAAATCCACAACCCAAAACTGATTATCATCAACATTTCTCAATTTCCAAAATGAAATTTGTAGTTACCTCAGACTTCATGGATTTTGGCCTGGTATACATGCATAACCAGTTGGATTGACTCATAGCTAGTTTAATTACGTGGTGCTTTGCTTAGATTGCAGACTTCTCTAGGAGAGGCACACTTTTGCATCTTCTCAGCACCTAAGCATTTAATAAATTCTTGTTGATTGAATGGAGGAATGACTGGCTGGCAAAGAACCAGTCAGTTATGTCAAAGGTGCCAATTTGATTGTCTTGAGACACAATCCATTAAAAACTCAGCTGTTTGGCGAGAGAGTAGAGGCCTCACCAAAAGTTGAGAATTCGAGAGAAATCTTTTATAATCTTATCAGGACCCAGGCTATGTTCTTTGATCAGTTAAGGAAAAAAATGCCAACTGTCAGGCATAACCTAAGATTTCAGGAAGTCTTCCACAGCAATGTCTGAACCCCCGCGCTCCAAAAAAGGTTTATCCCTCCTGTGGATGGCAGACAATATGCTTGCTGATGCAGCCGGTGATATAATTAAACTTTTGACCACATGCATGACTTTAAGCAAAGAAGTGGCTAAAGCTCTGTGTCTAACGTGATTGAAGGGTGGAATCCGATGGTGAGGCTCCCCCAACTAATCTCTCCTTTCACAGTTCTCTAGAAGCAGGCCTTCTGGGGGTCCAGAGTTTACAATAAGACCCTTTTATACTTCAAATGTCAGCAAAACATTCAGACTAGCTCTTCCCAAAACACGAAGGGGTAAGCCTGGCCATTCTTTCCTCTTGACATTTGGTCTAATTCCATTTCAGATAAGTGGGCCTTGGATGTAATCCATCTGGAGTGGGGTATCCTTAAATTTCCCGTTTCGGCCTGCCTTTTGCATCTTAACCCTTATTGCTGAACCTTCACTGGGTTTTCTGTGTCTGAAAGGGCACACAGCTCTTCCTTTTTGTTTTAGCCTACAGTAATATCTGAAATTTAGATTTCACAGAAACTATGAAATGCTATTCACAGACAAAACAGCCCAACCGAGAAACTGACTTCATCTGGGAATGGCAAATTTCCCCTTTTCCCAGGCTACGTTCCCAAGCAAGATTTGAGTTTTATGTTCACAATTGACTTGTTTCAGAGTGACCAGGTGGCCAAAGTGCCTCTGAAAACCCCCTCAGGGCCTGAGGAAATTTGTGTTGGCAATTATGTTAGTCATTTTGCAGGTGAAAGGTATTCTGATTTACATTTCACAATCTGATCTGCTGCAAGGCAAGGGCGAAAAACTGGTGTAGTTGGCCACTAGATCTTTCTAAACTAAGAGTGAAATATAGATACTTAAGATTTAGGCAAAATTCTCTGACTAAAGCTGAGATAGGTGGGCAAGTTGAAACAGATTTCCATGTTTTGGGACTGGAAATAACCCTGGAATGCTAACCTTCATGGGGTGGAGGGGTTTATATGTGCAACAATTTGACTGTCAGAATGTGGATTAGAGAAGGGATTTCATCACACCTTAGTATTGTACAACTTCAGCAGTTGTTCTGAGATTCTAAAGGGAGGAGGCTTAGTATTTTTGCAGTTAAATAACAGTATGGCAAGCTTCTCTGATGTGTTCCCTCATTCTCATGTAGTAAATAATTTGGGTGTTAGCAGCTTTATAAGAACCTTTATAAACAGCCATTGTGTTTTCCTCTCACATGAGTCTGCTCCAACATGCTGGATAAGCAGTGGTAATTGATAAAGTCATGTATACAGCCTTTATTTCCATGGGTAAATTTATGGTCAGGAAAATATCTGAATTAGTCTTGTCTAAGACAATTGAAAGAAATGTCGGCATAGTTCCTGATGATGGATTTTTTTCATGTAATTCTTTTGCATTTGGCAAGATTCTAAATTGATTTTATGAATAGGACGGCAGATTAACCTTTCTGTAACAGGCTGGAAAAATGATCACTTGGAAACATGGTGCCCCCTAATAGCATTCTTTGTAGCAATCAGAGATAATCTGCTTGTGTGCAGTCATGTTATTAGCTCATTTCCTTAAGCCGTTTCCTAAACTTGTTATGTGATTGCCGTGATGGTCCCAGTTACTGGATTGGGGATAGTTCCTCTACTGGATGTAACTTTTCTCACTTAAAAAGAGTATGATAATGATGATGGAAATGGTTGTTTCTGTGAGAACACTGTAGGAAAAGCAGAAAACTAGAAAACATCCATTTACAACAACCCATTTTGTACCCTGCCGATGCATTTGGAGAACTAGACATTTAGCTTAAACAAGTTCTGGACAGTTATCATTAATGGCATCCTTGGGTGAGTGTTTAATACAACCATTTAAGTTACTGTTTGCCTGGCATTTCCTCCTTTAGGAAATGAGGCAGTTTGCAGAAAAGAAATTAAATAAATCCTGCCTTTCCTTTTTATTGCCTTTGAGATTTCCATGAAAACTTTTATTTCTTGGGACCTCTAAGTATATTTGCTATTGGCAAATGCTGATGTTCTCTTAACTAAATGATTTTGGAAACTGCTAGAAATAGGTCATGTTAAATAGGTGGAATCCTAGATGCTGTCTTTTTTCTTTATAATCTCTTTCTCCCTGATACCTTGAATTTTTACCAAATCTTTTCATTCTGTGGCCCAATTCTCATAGTGGAATGTAAACTCCTCAAGGGTAAGGACTATGTGCTGTGCTACTTGTTTTCATTGAGCTCAGTAGGTCTACAATAGATTATTTTATAGTTTTCAGGATCTCAGTCATCATGACTAACTTGCCTGGAAAAAAAAATCCAAGCTACATCTACCACATTTTCACCAACTTGAGAAAATGTTAATAAAAACATTTAAAACTGCATGAAAAGTATCTCTAACACATTTTATGAACTAATTGGTATGAAAAGCAGTCTTGGTGGGTTCAAAGGATTACTAGAAAAGGTTTTTCCCCTCAGAGGACATAATTTTCTCCTTTGGGATACATGGTATGTGTCCTGATGACCACAAAACAACCCAAACATTTTGGGAAAGTGTCTGCTTAGCTTTCTGGATTTAAAGTGCACCTGAAGATCCTTAAAAGTGTTACTAAGGTCAGTCTGTTTACAAAATATGATATTTTTCCTGATTACTTAAAGATCACTTCTTATCTGTTGGTGGAATAATTTCTTACAGACTAAAGGCTGCTTTTCACCTCTTGGATCTCTTTGATTAACTGCTTGTTATATTTATACCTCAGAACAGGACCAAAGAAAAATTCCGTTTTTATTCTTTGTTACGTTTGAAGAGTTAATGTGAAAGAACGAGTATCGTGCATTGTCAGGAAATGGTTTTTCACGTTAGCATCAGCAAAGCAGAGCAAGTGCCCTCTGCTGTGGCTTCTTCCCATATTAGACAGGGGTGTCCTTCAGCATCTTCACTGATGATGGGCATAAATCAAATTGAGAACAGTGGTATGTAGTGAATTTAGTGCAACTGCATTTTTTAATATGTAAGTAGGCTTAGGTTTTTATCTCCCTTATCTTAAGCCCCGTCAAGATCAAACTCAAGCAAGCATTCACATCCACAATTGAATCTCACCAGCCTTTTTCTTTAAGTTAACATTAGTTCAAACTCTCCCCACTGCTTCTGTCAATAGATCTTTTAAAGACAGGCATTAGAGTTAAGTTTGCCTTAGTCTTTTTCCCCCCTTCCATATAGCTTCAAGCCCAGGGGCTTCTTTTAATAGCATTAGTTAAGGCCCAGAATTGTGTAGACATTTGTGAAGGAAACTTGAAGTTTGGAACAGAATTGGCCTTTATAGTTTTTCCATGGGGGGAAAAAAATCTTCTTATGAGAATAAAGGCTGCCTACTAATCTGCTACCATCTGGAGAATGGAGAAGCCAGAGGTTGTTGGCACCAGGTCACATCCCTTATGTAAACTGTCAAATTCTTTTCATATTAATGGCATATTGAGTTTAATCTGAGGGGGTTTGGTATCAGTCAGAGCTTATTGAATGATTTTTTTTTTGCAAGGGAGGGCTCCTAGTATTGTTACAATATGAGAGAAAGACACTGAGTACTCCCGAAAATCAACCATTTGATTCATAAAAGTCTTCCTTGTACTCCCACTTTCCACCATTTAGTGATGTTTGAAGCCATGAGTAAAAATCCTCTGAGTTCTTCCAAATAACTCTTTTCCATCTGACTTTATTGAAGAAAGTATGAATACGTCTTAAATTCAATAAGAAAACCAATTGATAGTTATCATACTTATCCCCATACTTGAAATAAAATAGTAGTGAGCCTAAGATTCTGTTTTTCTTACAGATTATTTTGCACATATGTGCATGTGAGTATAAATATAGATGTGCATTTTGGTGCTTTAGGGTGTAATAGAACAGCTAAAATCACCCCAAGTCTTATGAGGCTCCTGCTAGCCAAGTGGTAAAGAATAAAAATCCTTACTTTTTGGTTATGAAACCTTTAGCCTCTTGTGGACACAGGGCCAAACAGATTGCAAATGTCTTGACAGCTCTATTCACAGCAGAAGCTTATTCCCAAAACTGGTGCAGATTGATTTTGTTCGTTCTAAAACTGTTCCGTTCTCCCCCTCTTATAAATAAAAATAGACCCACACACTCATTCCCAGACCTTTTGATAGGTAAGGGTTGAACTCTCTAAACCATAGCATGGAAACCCACGTAATCATGTTATTCCCTGGGATAGACATCCATAGTGCAAGCTAAAAGAAGTGGTGAATAAAAGCCGCTGTTGTATTCTGTACTATCCACATAGGATATTTTGGCAAAACAGGTCTAACACTGAATAAATATTTCTTGAACAAATAAATAAAAGAATGACTACAAACTCTCATTTTACCTGGACAGTCTTCTGCTTGCATAAGGAGCATGAAGAAACAAAACCTAAAAATTACGGCCAACAGGATTAAGTAAAGAAGCACTGAGATATCTAGCTTTGGAAAATTCTTTTAAATTCTGAAATGAGAGCATTTGTCCTTGGGGCCTATATTCCACTGGCACTTCTTACCCCCTGGTTTCATATGTAAACCAGAAAATGAAAACCAGACCCACTGACCCAAAGGAGATGAAGCATGTTTCTTTTGCCCATTATATTTCTCTGCTCACGCCTAGATGCCTTGCCTTCTCTGTCCTCTGTGTTTGAAGTTGAGAGCTGGGAACAGACATGAGATTGAGGTCCCAGGGAGAAGCCAAGTTCAGCCTGAGCTGGTGAACTCACTGAGACTAAGGGCAGATAATGTGAACTAAAGATACTCACTTATGACATTTGTGCCAGTAAGGGAAAGACCCACTGCGCCTTTACAAACAGGTTTCTTTTTGGTTGTCTTAACGGATGGCGCCTAGCTGAACGTCTTGGCAGTTTTCCTTAAGTAAGCGTCTCCAATTGATGATGATGGGAATGAGCTTAACACACAAGCCAGTATTACATAGGATTTTCTGCCAAAGACATTGAATGCACCAATTCTGAAGGGAATCATCATAAGGGACAGCGGGCTGATCTTACAAAACATCAGCATGCTTATGCAAGACCCCAACAGCAACAAAAATGACAAAGAATTAGGTGAAAAGGAAGGCAAAAGCTTGGGAAGAAACATGAAAATGTCCGTGTGAAGACATGTGTAAAAAAACAATGGAAGTGCAAAACTGATTTTAGTATTATATTTTGTTGGCAATAAATTCCATCCCGTTGTTTGAATGCATTTTGATCCTACGCTGCAGTGTCCATGTGCTAATAATTTAAATAATTACTGTTAACGTTATAGTAAACTCTAACTTCTAAAAGGGCAGTTAGTCCAGATTTTCTCCAGTAGTCAAGCACTGTATCTGTGAATGACTTAAGAATCTTTTCATGGCAGGTTCCCTTTGGCGGCCCCCTCCTCCCTAGCTTTCTAAACTTCTCACTTGCAAAGCAGCAAGCAGGTTTGTATTCATTCTTTTCAGCTTGCTTGGATTTTATCTGACTGCAGAGAACCGTGACTGGACAAAGATTGTGGTTTGGGGCGGTGACTGCTGTGACGGCACCCTTTGCTCCCATTGTGTGCTTTACAAGGGACTCGCTCTGCCAGAGCTCCTTTCTCCTTCCCCCGGTCTAAACCAGAGAGCTCCGAGGGCTGTCTGGCGCAGGACCAAGAGGCGGAGTTCAGCACCGCGGCCAGCAGGGGGCGTACTTGCCAGATAAGAACAGGTTTCTCGGTGCCAGAGTAACTCACATCACGCACGTTCTCTGCCGGGCTGTCCTTTTTAGTCAATTTGGCTCAAGATTAGACTCCAGAAGCATTTTATTTTGCCCTCTAAGGTCCCGGCCCACACCTGTATGACTGTCTGTCCACGCTGCTGTTTGCAGTTTCTTTTTGTTGTTAACAGTAGGCTCTGCTTTGCCATCCCTGCCGTCTGGTCACCTTTTACTTAGAAATTGGAGAGTGGTTTTCTTTCCCTCTCCCTGTATCACAGGTCAAGTTGAAGGGTACGGTCACCTGCAGGGAACAGGACCAAGTGTGTTCATTGAGCATTTTGCTGTTTTACATGACCTCGCCATAAAGGAGTGTCTCTACGAGAAAGGAAAAACCTGTTTCATAACGCAGTGCAGAGCTTTGTTTTCTCTCGTCAGGGTGACAGCCCTTTGGTTCCTGCCAGTGGGTATGCGACAGGAAGGTGGGGAAACTGGATCATGAAAATTCCACGGCTGGCAATTGCTCATTCTTTAGCCTTCTAGCCAGAGGATAGTGTCTGGTTCCCAGGGTGGCTCAGTACAGTATTTAATTCAGAGAGCCCAAACCTATGCCATTAGCATTTTATTCTTTAAAAAAAAAAAAAGAGGATGACCCTTGGTAATTTATAAGCAGCTTCAGCATAGTCTGGCACGAGGGGGTGATTGAGGAAGCGTTTTGTTTTTTGAAACTTGGATTCAGTGAACTTGTTGACTGGACTTTGCTGGGTAATGTTTTTCCCCGACAGCGAGCCATCTGCACAGGAAAAGTTCACAGTGCAACCCCGGGGCTTGTTACCACAATGTGGTGCTTTATGACTGGGAGCCTTTTCTTGAACGCCTGAGCCACTAGGTTCCTGTGCTCTCTGCCCCAGGTTGGATTACAAGTTGCCCCAGTGCTGGAGCAATTCCCACTCTGGCTGGGGCGGACACGGGAGCAGAAACCCCACAGCAGGTGCTGATGCTTCGGATATCTTTTTCTGTAGGCCCCTAAGCCCTCTTCCCCCACTCGCTCACAGTTCCCAACCCTTGCCGCCCTGGGCCCCATTCTTGGATTAGTTCTCAGGCAGCTGAAAATACTGATGTGCTACTTCCTGTTGAGAGAGAGAGAGAAGAGAGAGTGCACCCGTGCAACTGCAACAGGTACCCCCCAGGGAGGAATGTGAAATCACTGAGCTCAAATCTTAGATGGCTTTCAGAAGTCTGTGTAGAGTGAGTTTACTTTCGTTTGTTTTTAGCAGAAGCCCATTATTTAATGGCAGCAGGTTTGTTTTCAAGTCCCTTGGAAGTAACTTGGTGGTATTTCAGGTATATACGGATATAGAATCCAAACTCTGGTATTTATTGGTTCTTACTTTGCTCACATCAATTGGTCTGTTTAAGCCAGTCATGTGCACAATAGGGTTCCAACATTAATTTTTTTTCAGAAACTGAGATTTACTTGCTGTCCTCTTTTTCTACTATTAGAATCATTAATACCTGCCCGCCCCCACCCCCACACACACACTTTTTCATTTTAAAAGTCATCTCTAGGAGCTGTCTTTCCCAGAGCCTCATTGTTCATGAATTATATTGTGAATCCATTTGGACACCGACCAGGAAGTTGCTATAATTGCTCACATGCAAGTAAAAGCTTTCTCTGTGTATTAATTAGTTGATACAAGGGATTAAGATGATTACATGAAAGGCATTGCTACTTCCCTCTGAATAGTTAGACCAAGGTGGGTGCCAAGGCATCATTTGATCCCATTTGCTCAGCATGTTCCCTTGATAAAGGCACAGAATTTGAACAGTGAGGTTTCCGGAGGCAGCAGAACGTGGGAATCATTTGGATTCACTGTGTCTGTTGATGTGAAATGTGGGATATTAATCAAGGCTAATTACATGCAATGGGTTTGGAACCAACTGAAGGCCAGTTCAGGGCATGGTTCTCTATGTAATTACGGACTTTAAGGTACCAGGGTAATTACTGGAAATTAGAGGCCCTTCCTTTATGGGTCTTGCCTCTCAAAATGTGAAAACAGTTTCTTTCACCATTAGGAGGTAGGTCTCTCCTCAGAGTTTGGTGTTAAACAGATACAGCCAGCTTTTAAGTAGGTCTTGGTCATGCTATGTCAGCTTTCTAGAGTTAGGGCAGTAATCCAGATAATTCTGGCCTACTTTTTTTTCCCTGTCAGTGATCTTCTGATATTTTAATTCAAAATAAAAAGTGGTGTACACTTGCTTAGGAAGTGGAATTTTAATAGTTCACTGTCCTTTTGTAGAAGATCATTTCCTCTTGTGTTGTTTGTTTGCTTTTTTTTTTTTTTTTTTGGTCTCCCAGGCTGGAGTGGCATGGTGCAATCTTGGCTAACTGCAGCCTCCCCCTCCCAGGTTCAAGTGATTCTCCTGCCTCAGCCTCCCAAGTAGCTGGGATTACAGGCACATGCCACCATGCCTGGCTAATTTTTTTGTATTTTTAGTAGAGATGGGGTTTTACCATGTTGGCCAGGCTGGTCATGAACTCCTGACCTAGGTGATCCTTCCACCTCAGCCTCCCAAAGAGCTGGGAATATATATATATATATATATATATATATATATATATAAATATATATATACACACATATATATATAAATATATATACACACATATATAAATATATATACACATATATATAAATATATATACACATATATATAAATATATATACACACACATATATAAATATATATATACACACATATACATAAATATATATATATATACACACATATACATAAAAATATATATATATATACACGTATATATATTTTAAGGGTAGTCTGCAGTCCTTTCTATTAATACATTTAATATCTTTTTACTTGGAAATTTGAGTTGCTTCACAATGTATGAGTGTTTGGAGATGCTACTTTTTTTGAGGAAGCCCCTTCCTAGAGGGCTGGGAAAGCCACCATTGTGAGACTCTTGTGGGAAGGTGAACATTCACCCCCAATACAGAAAGCCCCAAAACCCAGATTCTTGTTTCCTGGATCTCTGGTAGCATATGTCTTTATGCTCATCTGGGGGTTAATATGCTAAGTATAGATTTAACTATGCGTATCTTTGCTTACAGGCATGTGTTTATTAAAAGCTCAGGAAAAGGACTTGGCCACTAAGGTCAACAGAACCAAGGTGGGAGGAACTAGTGATTTTTATAAGTCATATATTTAGCTGTCCTGACATTGTTCTTTTTAAGTGCTTTCAGAATTAGTTCCTATTATAGATACACCATTTCTGAATCTGAAGACCGAGAAGGATTTGTAAAAGTATGGAGGGCTTATGATAATTTTATAAAACTGAGGTTTTGTATATTTTATATATAAGATATTCTGTATCAAATTTTTTAAAAAATGTTTTTTCAACTAGTTGATTTCATCACAAGGCTCAAACCCTACAAATTCTGAAGTTTTATTTATGTTGGCATTTCTGATTCTGTTATGTTCCACAATTATTTGTATGTTCTCTGTCTAGAAAGTCTATGTCTATGTCTAGCCTCACTGCATGTTCCTGACTTGGGTTTGAGGATGGCCAATGGAAGAAGGAGTCATTGTGTCTCTAAATTGGGGCATTTAAGGACTGCAGCTGTCAGTTTCTTTCCTGATGGCTTTACCCTTTGTTTGATCACTCAAGTGTTAATGCAGTGCTGCTGCTGGCCTGATTTCACCATTGCTTCCCCTCCACTACCTGCCTAGGCATGTCCTCTCTGTAGGAATTGCCAGGCTTCTCCCTGGTCTAACTGTCTCTCAATTCTCTTTTCTGGCTTTCCCATGGGTTGTTCTCTCCCCACGATCTTTATTATTCCTCTTTGTCTTTTCTCCTTTTTTTCTTCCCCTCCCCTGTAGAAAAATGGGTCTGTATTTTGATAGCTACGGGGTATATATGTGTATATGCAGAGGGGTATATGTGTGTTTGTATAAAGCTTGAATATAGGCCAGGCACAGTGGCTCACACTTGTAATCTCAGCACTTTTGGAGGCTGAGGTGGGAGGATCACTTGAGCCTAGGAGTTTGAGATCAGCCTGGGCAACACAGCAAGACCCCATCCCTACAAAAAAAATTAAAACGAGCTGGGCATGGTGGCATGTGCCTGTAGTCCCAGCTACTTGGGAAGCTGAGGTGGGAAGATCATCTGAGCCCAGGAGGTCGAGGCTGCAGTGAGCCATGATCTAGCTAGCCATTGTACTTCAGCCTGGGTGACAGTGAGACCCTGACTGTAAGAAAATAAAATAAACAACAATAACAAAAAAGAACTTGAATGTAAATATTAGAAACACATTCTTCATTCCCAGCCACTCGCTACTTTGCCTCACATGTCCAGTGCCCAGTGCCACACCCCTTAATTTCTTGGCATATCCTAGAAATGCATATAGACCTCCACCTAGGTTTTCCCTATCTGCAGCCTTCAGGGAACCTGGCTATTGTTTTTATAAAGTTAATGGTCCTGCTACTCTTGTGAGAGAATGCTGCTGCTAGAGCCCTGTGTATGAATGTCTGCCTTTTGTCTTCCCTTTCTTGGGAGTCTTGGGTGTCTTAGTTTCGGACATCCCAACCTGGGGCAGGGGTGGGTGGATGGGATCCTGTGTCTCAAACTTCATTTGTCTGTCATGGTATTCTCTCACCTCTCCAGAGTACATAAATGACTTTTTCGGGCCCCAGAGCTTGAAAGTATGCACAGGTACATGTGCCCACACACATTCTGCCTCTAGTACAAGGGTAAGCCCAAGGTCATTGAAGTAAGTCAGCAAAACTGGAAGCCAGGGTTGTTGATTCTGTGCCTTATTCCTTGCAAGCCCTCTCAGATTTTCTGGAAGAACTTATATACATTTTTCTCTTCCCCCTGCATTTTAAAGATTTATTTCATCTTTAGCTTTATTGAAAGGAAGTGGAATTTGATCTGTGGGGACCTTTTTTTTTGGTGCGGAATGCCAGTGACATCATGGAATGACCAGAGTCCTGCTTTTTATTAAAGGACACAGGGAGGGTTGTGCTACATACACATAGGACAACTCTTTCTCGTTTTGCTTATTTCCAATCATATCTAGCTTTAATTTCTTTGAAACATTTTTTAAAAGTTCAAGTGCCATTGAATAGAAATGATGTGGATTTTTTTAAAGTAAATATTAACTTATCAAATTCAAATGAGAACTTAAAAAGGGAAACTGTAGTAAGGTTATGCTAGACACTAAATTTTTGCTATCATGGTTCCTTCAAGGATTAGTCAAGATTAATTAAGGGAATCACAAAGGATTGCATTTAAGGACATATTTGGAAGTATTTATTGTATAGTAAGAATGAGGAACAATATTCTGTTCTTTAGTACTTTCACACTTTTGCAAACTTAACTGGAAGAAACCCAAAACCTAAAACCCAAATGGTATCGCAGGCAGTGTTTATCCTCCTCTGCTTCCCCTATGGTTGATAAAAGTTGACTGATGGAATTTGAAAGGAAGCCAGGAGTCTTTTTTTAAGTGTGTGATGTCTGTGAAGCTGCAGTAATTTTGGGTGCTCCCTCTTGTGAAGATCTATGTATGCATGACAAGGAATGCAGCATTTAGGTATTTGCTTACGTGTTTTAAAATATCATTAAGAAAAGCATTGGAAATGATGGCTGTGTTTTGTGTTTTATTTTTTAAGCAGACTGTTTTATTCTAAGCTCCTTTTAAGCGAGCTGGAAACCATCTCCACTGACACAGCCTTTTCCTTTACGTTTGAACTTTCCTGGCAAAAATGACTCGTCGATAGAGTCCAAGCTAGTTCATTCCCTTTGTGTGTAGAAAATTAGACACATGAATGCCACAAATTAATCAAATGTAAGTCCAGAATAGAAGGCTCTCACCCAGTAACATGACTGTGAAAGCTGCTTTGAATAAGAGGGAAAGGACCCATCAAATATACATGAAAAATAGTGAGTTTATGAAGGCCCAGGGATTGTTGGGCTTGACCGGTCCTGCGTGCCATCACTTAGAGGGGGGCAGGAGCAGAGGGTAGGAGCGAGGGGACCACCAGCCCATAAGGTGGAGTTTTTCTTTTTTAAATGATCTTCTTCCATTGAGAGAATCTTCTGGGAATATCAATGAGCCCCTTGCTGAGACAGGGTTGGGGGTCAAAGTGCAGGGCCAGCTGCCAGCCTTCCTGAGGGACAATAGCAAAGCCCTTCTGTACATATGACAAAAGGATATTCCAAAACAATGTGTTTAGTCACTGAATGAAGCAGCAGCTAAAGTAAAATTATGCAGCGTCATGTAAAATTAACTTTTTCTCCTCCATCTTCTTCCTAACAGTGGAAAATAGATTGACTCAGCTCTTATTTTTCTGTTTTCACTCAGCTATTTTGTGATTTATAGAACTTTAATCATTTAACCATATAAGTTAAAAATAATTTATGCCCCCTTAACACGTAAATATGAATATTATAAAGGAAAAAGTTTTCTTGCAGGCTTTTGTGTTTAATATATATACCTAGCATTATTTGGCTGTTATAAAACAGGAAAATACATATTTCTAGATGGACATAAAACATATGTATATATATTAGATAAACAGCAAACTTTGTTGTGCAAATGATGAAAACATAATGTAGGAGCATAGTAATGTGATTGAATTAAATTTATACACACAAACATTATTTCCCAGACTAACATTAAAAATAAAAGTTGAACTATGAAAATATTAGCAAGAACTACTCAAGTATTTATTCCGAGATGCTTCAAATCTGGATTTGATATAATGTAATTTATGTAAACATAAACAGAGATGAAATATGAGAAGCCCTAATATTAATATAAAACAAAATGAAAACTTGGCATTTAGGTCACATAGCATAGCTATGCGTACTATTTTCCTAACTCTATCTTGATAAAATTGAAAGTTACCCATAAAAATGCTACTCTGTGGTCTTTCAGCGCATATTTTTTTTGTTCCTGGTGTGGTTTGAATTTCATATTGTGTTTGTTTTTCTTCATTCTCTTCATCCTCACCCTGAAACCACAGAAGGTTTTTCAGTGGAAAGGAGAGTATTGTATCACACTTCCTGGTTGGTGCCAATTAGTTCCAGCGTGGACTTTCTTTATGGCTTTATTTTGGAATGATATCATATTATTGGTCTTCACGTTTGCTAGAATAGTTCCAGTTTTCCATCTTTTAGCACAAATCCCTGAAAAGGTCACATACAACTTACTTACTGGCCAAGCACACACGCTGAGGGTATGTGGTAAGATTACTAAGAATGAAAAGTTGGAACTCTTTATGTTCAGTTCTTAGAGTCAGAATTTATGGAACCCATTCAGCTAGTTAAAGACTTCTTAGATCAGACAGTGATATAATTTAATGTTTGACATTTATTACCATGTATCCTTAACAAATTAATAATTTTAAATCTGAAAAAGGACCCTTGAGAAAACTAGAAGAGGACAAGGATCAGGTAAGAAGCCCTGCAGGGACCTGCCCAGGTCATTACAGATGGGGCTGTTAGGATCAAAAAAAAAAAAAAAAAAAACAAAAACCCAAACAAAAACAAAATAAAGTATTCCAACTGTGGTTTCAGCCATTTCTTCTTCAATATCTTGGCACTTGACAAACATTTGTTGGGTACCTGTATTATGAGTTAGGTGCTTTTGGGGAATACAATACCTTTTACATCCTAATAACAGACACAGGACAATTAGAGTATCATCCGCTAATTGCAGGGCAAATACAACTAATACCATCAAGCACATACCAAATGCTGTATATGTGTGAAAGAGGAAGCCCCATGTTGGCGGGAAGGTCAGGAAGGATTTCTTAGGAGAGAAGGGTGTGAAATGGCAGGATTTTGAAAATGCAGAATGGAGGGAAGGCTAGGAGCCAAGACAGAGACAAGAAGTTCTGCCTTTAACAGTAATTTGTCAAGCCACTTTGCCTGGAGCATATTCCAGAAAATGATTTATGCTGGACACTTGGGTAAATAGACCCAGCTGCTGGAGGGTGGGAAGCAACAGGCCTGCAGAGTGTCCCTCCCCAACCCCACAGCCTCCCTAGCTCCTGCCCAGCCCCTGCCCATCCCCTCTGCAGGCTGAGGAGGAAAATAGCAGGCGTAATCCTTGTAGAGCACAGTAGTTGAGACCACTTTGACTGAGGGAGGGAACCTGATGGAGGCAAATAGTAGTCCCAAGGAGGAGGTTCTCAAATGATAAACTGAGAAGTTGTTTGTACCAGGAAGGTAGAGGGAGGGTTCTGATGACTTGCGAACAAGACTGCAAAGAATTGAGAATTGCACTTTAGAAAGAATAATCTTAAGGTCAGGTGAGACTGGAGACCGAAAGCCCAGTTAGGAGTCTGCTGCCACAGTGCAAGCAAGAGGGATGTAAATTTAGATACAAGGAGACTCAAGGAAAGGAAAAGAAAGCATGGCCGGGTGCAGTGGCTCATGCCTGTTATCCCAGCACTTTGGGAGGCTGAGGTGGGAGGATCACTTGTGGCCGGGAGCTGGAGGCCAGCCTAAGCCTAGAAAGCATAGTGAGACCCCATTTCTACAAAAAATGAAAATTAGCCAGACATAGTGGCTCACACCTGTTGTCCCAGCTACTTAGGAGGCTGAGGCAGAAGGAACATTTGAGCCTAGGAGGTGGAGGCTGCAGTGAGCTATGATAGAGCCTCAGTACTCCAGCTCAGGCAAAAGAATGAGGCCCTGTCTTAAAATAATGACAATAATAATAATAATAACTTTTAAAAATAAAATAAAAAGAAAGTAGGTGTCCCAAGAACTTGGAAGAGAAAGAAAGCATCTGACCACAGGAGGGAACACAAAAGGAGCAGGTGGTGAGATGACTCCCAGGTTTTAATGATGGGGCAGGAAAGTGGGGTGCTTGGGGAAAGTCAGATGTAACCGAAGATAGCCAGCTGGAGATAAGCTGTTAGTGTGGAATTATTCAAAAATAGCAAATAAGAGTGATCTCTCTTTAAAGGTTTGGTCCTTAAAGAGCATGGACTATTAACTAAGCCCTGCTCTTTGCAAAGGAGTTATTTAATGAGTTTTCTTCCCCTAGAATTGGGTATGGCTTTGAGAAAACCCATGCATCCCTCTCATGGTCATCATAAGGGTTGCAGAGCTGGTGGGTGATTACTTTTGTACCCCACTGACTTTCATGTTGGTTTGTGAATCCTCTGAAAATGAGGCCTTTCCTTTTTGTGTATTTTATAACACAAACAGCTCAGTAATTTAATGCTGGCTGTTCCAATATAAATATTACATTATAAATAAAAGTTCCCATTATTGCCACAAGAAATTATCTGGATGCTAAGAATAATTTGGCTTTATAAGCTCATACACCAATATATTGTTTCCAAACCCAAATATTAAATGTATAAAAGGAAGCTCTCTTTTCTATTTTATTTTTTGCACTAGATTTAAAAATTTCTTGATGGAGGAGTCTGTCTTCTGCACAGTAGGTACTCAACACAGTTTGATATTCACAATGGTGAGTTTACTACATATTAGGAACTTTTTTAAAAAATGATGCTCAGCTTCTTTTATAGGATCCTTCATTACTTTATGTCTAATTCTAGTTTTTTTTAATGGGCCATGGGACCAAGCTAGAACATACCAATTATACTATATTCAAACTTTGATTCTCAAGTCAAAATCTGTTACAGAAATACTGTTGCTGTGGGTGCAAGCAACCTAATAAATACTTTCAACTTCATTTCACAAAAAGTGACCTAGAATGCTGATTTAGAAAAAATATAAGCTTAAAAATGACGCTATCTGCTTGTATGTGAGAGAGAGAGAGATGGAGAGAGAGACAGACGATGGGCGGAGGGGAGGAAAGAGCTAGGTAGAATGATAAATGAAAATCTAAAAAGGCGGGCTTCACTTCACTGGTATTAATTTGGTAAATTATCCATAATTTATTAGAGCTTGTAAACATTGTGGCAAAATTTTTTGCCCTGTCAGTAATGAATTGCTACATCATTAATTTTGTCAAAGGATCAAGAAACAACATTGCTGAGCTCAAAGAAACTCCTAGATGAATGAATATAGTTGGGTTGAAGTGCTGGTGTGGTTAGTTGAATTCAGCAGTTGAATCCACATGACCGTTTCTTTCCTCATGGTCAGCCTGACCTCAACTGCCAAGGGTGGCAGGGTGCGTCCCATCCCCCAGTGGGGAGGAGGCTGTGTAGTCAACACTGCATTCGGTTCCTTACGTTTCCCTGTGACACTGTCCTGGCCTGTATATATTTATATATTCACTTACTTCAGGCATGTCTAAAGTGGTAAATGAAAAAATACATTAAAAAAAAGTCAGTTGGAATAAAAATTATAAACTAGAAATGTATTAGATGAGAATATTTTATGGAGAACTTAATGTCCACTATCTGTTTAAGCATTAAATTTGGCATTTAGTCTCCTGTTAGCTGTGGGGAAAGGGAAACCTGGTTATTCATATAGTTGTAATTTTCTCATGAAAGTGTATTTTTTTCAGGCCAGGTGCAGTGGCTCACACCTGTAATCCCAGCACTCTGGGAGGTTTAGGTGGGCGGGTCACGAGGTCAGGAGTTCGAGACCAGCCTAGCCAACATGGTGAAACCCCATCTTTACTAAAAATACAAAATATTAGCCGGGCATGGTGGCACACTCCTGTAATCCCAGCTACTCAGGAGGCTGAAGCAGGAGAATTGCTTGAACCCAGGAGGTGGAGGTTGCAGTGGGCCAAGATAGCGCCATTGCACTCCAGCCTGGGTGATAGAGCAAGACTCCATCTCAAGAAAAAAAAGTGTACTTTTTTCCTGGTATTTAATGACTAAGAGGTGCTTGTCACATGGCTCTTAACACAAGTGGTACCAGGTAGCATAGCAGAGTTTATTTTGAATTTTATAAATTGCATTTTATGGCTATTTCTTACTAATGACCCTGTAAAGACCAAAATCATGGCTTTAAATTGTTAATTCTTAGAAGGCATTTCAGCAGGAAAGGCAGGTTTCAGTTGTCTTGTGCACTGAAATTGTCCAGGTATGCTTAATTTGCTCATCAGGCCTGTAAAGAGGTAGAGTTTGGGGAACCTAGGATAGTGAACAGGGATTATATCCCTTATACAGCATCTGTCTGCTGTACCTGTTCTTAATAGACATAGTTAATTAATGGATAAAGTCTCATGTCTCATAGACAGCAGTAGTTGCCTGTTGGTTGAAAAAAGAGCATTGTCTTTAGAACCTGATGTAAAGGTGGCGCTCACATTACAGAACTATAGGGCTTAGTTCTGGATCCTTAGAGCTTGGTCCATGCAGCCATTCCTGGCTCTGCCTCACCTTTGGGATTCTGATCTCAGGGAGCCTCACTCCATGCATTGTCTAAGCAAGTCGCTGTTACGATGGATGAGGGCCTGTCCCTGCAGTACGATATGGAGGGTAGTTGGGGATGGGAGCAAGGAGAGGAGCCCAAGTCTAATCCATCCCCTTTTTGAGAGATAAAGAATCTGATAACCACAACGTTAAGCCACTTGTCCTTGCTACACAGCTAGGTAGTAGCATATGTGAAACTAGAACGGATATTTAAGAGCTTGACTTAACGTTTGTGGCCAGCTAAAGTATGAGCACAGTTCACAGCGGCACGGGGGAGATGACTCAAGTAGTTCAATGGAAAGAAGGACAAGTGGGTAATATTAAAGGTGAATAACAAGGTATTTTTTACTTAGATTTTAACACAGCCAAATTCACCTGCTCTTTATGGTTGAGACTACATAATACCTAACTAGAAGAGGAAATTTCATCTGTCAACTAGTTACTTTGTTACTTTGTTTAAGGAATCAGGTGATTTTTCTTCTTTTCTTCTCCTTTTGTACCTTATATTATTTCAAAGGCCTTAATTGGCCTGTTGCTTTTAATAACATAGTCAATATTTTAAGTAAAAATTGAAAATCTTCGTATATTGGCTGATAAGCATTATGTAAAATTTGAAGTTGAAAGTAATTCATTCTTTAGCCCTTTAATGTAAAAGCAATCTCTTAAAAATAAACTTTCAGCATAAGAAGCTTGAATCTTCAGTGTTGGAGCATTTGAGAAAATAGAGTAAATCTAGTTTTATATAACTACCCTAATACTCTTAGAATACCAAGTGTTTCACAGTAACAAGTTTGAGATAGGATCCAATATGAATATATTATCCCCACAGCCAGCCTGTTCCTTTAGTCAATTTCAGAACACATATTAAAGAAAGCAATATCTATGCCCAATCCTTGTTTCAAAGTATATTCATATGTTCAGATTTGGGGGGAAAGCATCCAGCAAGAAGTATTTTTTAAAGCAAATAAACTCCCCAAAGGATAATTGCTCTTCTAGAGGCATCAGTGTGTATTTTAATGTTTATCTTTGCAGTAGGGTACATTTCTATTTTCTTTCAGCAATTTTACTCCTAGCACCAGGATGGCTATAGGAGGACTTCTTCCAGAGATGTGATGAATGACTTTCAAACAGTTATATTTGAGACCATATTTTCCTTCAGAGAGAATATAAATATTCTTTTGATTGTGCATATGACTTAAAACTTCATGTATGTAGTGAAATGAACATAAACAGATGTAGTTGGGTCTTTGGTAAAATGTAAAGTTAGCATTCGTTATGAATTATATTGTGGAGAAGAAAAATTATGAGAGAACTGTTAGGGAGTGCTCTCTGCAAACATCAAGAGCAATTCATTTATTCCCTCATCCTGTCAGTAAATATTCAGTGCTCATTATGGGCCTGTTGCTATACTATATCCTAAGAGGGTTGCAAATATATATACATGTATATTTTTCGCTAGACAGATATATATGAAAGAGTCAAATGATGGTTTAAGAAGAAGAGTCACAACGAATGATCAGAAAATAAAGCCCCAGACAGCAGAAGTTACCATGAAGAAGGGTTTTGGAGGCAATGGGACCCAGCAGGGCTGCAAAGGTGCTGAGTGGTGGGAGAGGCAGTGGTGATGGGAGGGGCCAGGGTAGGGGGAAGGAAAGTTGCATAGGGAATCAGGGCATCTGGCCCTAGTCCTGGCCATTCACCATCCCAGTGATTTACGAAACTGTGTCAGTTCCCTGAAACATAAGATTATCTCAAACATCCCTTCTTGCCATTCTGTCATCTAAGCGCCCATCTGGCTGTAGAATTCTCTTCATTTCTGCCTCCAGTTTTTGGCTTAAACATAAAAGTGCCAGAACATATATAAGAAAAGAAAAACACAACAAAAACCTCATGTAAACCAACTTTCTTTTGTTCTCTTTCCTTTGATTCAGCCTGGATGATTCTGCTCCATAAATATTTCCCATTTAGAAAGTAATTACATCAAGGCAAAGCTATATGTTTAAACATATATGGCTTTTATTGTTACATGATAACTGAGTCTAAATTAGATGATTCTCATTAATGAAAGGACAAGAAAATAAGTAAGTCCAGACGTAATTAGGTCACAGCATTTGACCATTGTGTCTTAACCTTCCCTTTGCCCTTATCTGCTAAAGCTTTGGCCTTAATATGGACAAAGAGCAATTTAAATCTCTTTCCATTCCTATCCTTTTTCTTGAGTGGCTTCAAATCTAAACCTCTAATAAAGAAAAGGATAATAAAATAGCAGAGAAAGTATAATAGGAATTATATTGACTCTCATAGAAGTTTTGGAAGAGAAATATATTCTCTTTCTTCAGCTCTGTAATAATATAATAATGGTGTGATTTCTACTTTGCTAGACTAGGGACTATTTTGGAAATCTTTAATGAATATAATCAGGTGGTAAGCATTTAAAAATTACTATTTCCTGAAAGCTAGGAAATTATTGTTCAGTGTAAAATGCAAAAGGCAAAGGAAAAAAAGCGAGTTACTTAAAAACAAAAAATAAACAACAAAAAAAAAACAGTATAATCTGTGTGGCATTATGTAGTACAGTTGCCGGGAGTGGGGGTTAAAACTTGAGTTTTAGGCTTAACTTCGAATATTTCGGTGTAAGCTTGGGCAAGTCTTGTAATCTCTTTGGGGCTCAGATTTTTTTTCTTGTTTATGTTTATTTTAATGCCCCTCCCCCTCTCAGACTTTTTTTAAAATGCAAAATAATAACAGCAAGCATTTATATATACCATGTGCCAGGCACTATTCTAAACCTTTTATATTTAATTACTTAATCCTCCCACCTATACCGTGGGGGTAGATACTATCATATGATTGCAATTTTGTGCTTGTTTTATCTTGCATAATATTTTTGAGAAATTGTCTGAACCCAGGTCTCTTTGATTGTAAATGTATGCTGTGAACCGCTCCACTTGACTGCTTCATTATTTACATCATTATTATAAGAGGCCAACTATTTAGATTATTCAAAGGTAAAAACGCTTCTAAACACATGTAATGGTAACAAAACTTTGTATATACAAGCTATTTTGTCTCTAAAGGAACTCTGAAAAAGGTCACTTATAATTTTAGTTATTGAGCAAAATCTCTGATATTAGAGCCTCTTTTTAAATCCCCTTTGTACAGAGGAGAACTATAGTACACACACAGATAAGAGCCGGCAGCGTGTAGAAGAATGTCACACTAACCAGGATTGAATTCACTTCTGTATATGTCCATTGACAAATGTCATTGTTTAGACATGAGGAAACAAAAATAGCTTTTACCACATTGCCCCAGGCACCGCAGTCTCGGAATTCCTGTCAACCCTCAACTCTGCCAGTGGGCTGCGTGGTTCCTGAGGCAGCGTGTGGCTGAAACTCAAGCTAGGATGCCTGCCACCTGACCTCCAGGCTTCCCTCTCTCGCCCCTTCTCATTTAACAAATGTTTGCTAAGCACCTCCCACGTACCTGGCTGAAACTCAAGCTAGGATGCCTGCCACCTGACCTCCAGGCTTCCCTCTCTCGCCCCTTCTCATTTAACAAATGTTTGCTAAGCACCTCCCACGTACCAGGCATTGTGCTGGGGACCAAGGCAAATATGTTTACAGCCACAGATACGATCTGTGCCCTGTGTAGCTTACAGTTCAAAAGGGACATATAATGATAGACATGCTGTGAGAAATGAGGGAGATGTAGGTGGTTTTAGGAGAGGGATTTGGAACAGGAGCCTTAAGGTTTGGGCCCAAACAGCCGTTTAATTTCTTCCTAAGTATTCCAACTTTGGTATGACTAGTCTGCCACATACCGGGTCATTTAGGGCAGGTAAGATGTGCTGGAGGGACCTGAATGAGATCAAAATTTAGATTAAAAAAAAAGTCTTCCTGTGGCTTTTCATTAGTGGAATGTGAAATGGAGTAATGAATTGGCTTTATGAGGGCATTTGTTCAGGTGACTTCCTCTTGCTGCAGACCACTGGATTTGAGATAGTTATTTATTTTATTTTATTTATTTATTTATTTATTTATTTATTTATTTATTTTTATTTTGAGATGGAATTTTGCTCCTGTCACCCAGGCTGGAGTGCAATGCTGCGATCTCGACTCACTGCAACCCCCGCCTCCCCGGTTGAAGCGATTCTCCCGTGCCAGCCTCCTGAGTAGCTGGGATTACAGGTACCCGCTACCATGCCCAGCTAATTTTTGTATTTTTACTAGAAACGGGGTTTCATCATGTTGTCCAGGCTGGTCTCAAACTCCTGACCTCAAGTGATCCACCCGCCTCAACCTCCCAAAGTGCTGGGATCACAGGCATGAGCCACCACACCAGGCTGAGATATTTATTTATTAAGAAGACTATGATGGGTAGGAGAACAGAGTTCCAGCTTGAAGCATAGAAAATTTGAGTTTTACTTTGCAGTTTGTTGCCAAATAACTTGTGCAGGTTTTTGGTGGTGGTTGTAAACTCTAATAGGACTCTTGTGCAGATTAAGTAAGAATGTGTACATATAACAGCTCACATGGTGCCTGGCACATAGGAAGTGTGGATTAAATGTAGTTCTCCTGGTTACTAGTTGATGTGGGAGAGACTAAGGTGGATAGGAAACTGTGAGTGCCAGGTCTGGACAGCCTTGATGGGGATAGCATGTTTATCCACAAAGGCAGTTTAGGATACTTTTGTGCCAAAGAGAGGCAATGGGGTTGACTTACTGACCAAATAGACGGTAAGTAGTATAAGGGCTCAGAATGGGTATATTTTGGAGGGGCACAAGGTGTGAAGAAGGGAAATCATGAATGTGTCCAGCAGCGTAGACTGTGTCGTGCAATTTGCATGGAATGCCTGATCTTTATAGGAGGAGTATGAGCTGGTGAGTTGGATAGAGATGCTTTGAAAGGACCAGGATGTTTTACTCTGCACCCTAAGGGAAGCTCATCCTGCTTTTTCAGCCTTCTGGGTGAAAGATGAGAAAGAAGTAGAAAGAATGCTATTTTTACTATATTCTTGAAATGGAGATTTGCAGCAAGTTGCTACTTAATAAAGAAGTTTCTTTCCATTATTTTTGGCTTGAGATTTAATGAACAGTTGTAGCAAAATCAGATTAGCTATATACACTACGATTATAGAAGAATGTGTATATCTTACATCTAACTTTAAGCTATTATCCATTCTTTGCATTCCTTTCTTCTGTCACAGGTTAATTAAACCCATGTTGTGGTCAGTGCTTACTCTACATGGCAGAATGTTTAACATTCAGTTTCAGATGACTAGATGAGAAGTAATGGGATAAAAATCTCTTTACATTGATGACTTCAGCCTCAATTATTGTAGAATAAAATAATGATGAAATTAAATATGTAACACAAATAAAATCTCCATTCCTCTTCTCCTGTACACAAAATGGCATATAACAGTGGACACAAAAGCACTAAAAAATGGTTGAACATGGGTAGCTGCACGAACAGGATTACAAAGCTGCATGTTGGCTGACCAAATAGATTAATGGGTGATGTGTATCTGGCTATCTCAGGGTTCTGAAGGTGTACCAGAGCAAGATAATGAAATTGCCTGTCAGGTAATCTGATTTGAGGATTCCAGTCATATGTGAACTGGTGTGTGGGCTAATAAGCCAAGAGTTTGCCAAGACTCATTATTTTTAAAGCTGCTCAACTCTCTACATCTGTCTCTGCAGGATATGTTAGACAAAGTGTCCTGCATAGAGCAAGAGGTGGGGAACCCGTGAGAATGCCCAGGTTACCGAGAATTGCTGAGGCACAGCTCCAGATCGAGTTGAATGTTTCTGAGTTGTTCAGAGCCCAGCTAGAGAAATGCACAGCTGCCAGGCAGACAGCATGGTAACCTCTCTCCCTCCCAGCTGGCAGAAGCTGCTGTTGCAGAACGTAGTAGTAAATGTCCCTCCAAAGATGTGCAGGGTGTAGGAATTTGCATCTTGGCTCGGGCATTTAGTAGCACTTTAACCTTGGCCAAGGTACATAGCCTTTTTAAGACTCGGTTTTCCTATCTGCAAAGTATAGAAAATAGTGCCTAATCCATAGGGTTATTACTGATAGTGAAGTTGATCTCACAGTATTTGGCACATGATATTTGTTAGGTATAATCAAAGGATTAAATAAATTGAGGGCCCTATACACTTCATGGATATTTCTCTTTGCCTATCAATTAGTTTCTTCCTACCTCCTTTTTAATTCTGAAATGATTATAATTGTTTCCTTTCTCTTCCACCTAATGTTTCTATGAGGATAAATAGAGAAACCTCACCATTACTTATTATTGGTATGTTTTTGTTTTATTCTGCTTTTACATGTATTATGCAAATATTAATTTTTCCCATATCAGTGTCATAGAAGAATCACCAGCAGTAATACTTCTTTTATTTGGGGCATAAAAGTCAACTGAAATATCAGAATGGGAGGATTCTAGAAAAGGTGCTCGAAGCTTTAATTATTTTATTTCTGATACATATGAGATGTGTGCTTTTAATATACATCTGTTTATATTCTAGTGTAATTAATTTCTCCCTTTTGTAATTTGTTAGCCTTGAAGTATTGGAAAAAAATAAAATGTCTCAGTGAATGAACTGTTATGATCAGTATGATTTTTAAAACAGTGCTAACAAATTATAGGGCGATCAGCCAGCTTTCTGGACATAAGTTACAGTTTGCCTCTTTGAAGAAACTCATTTTACTCTGCATATAGAATTTTTATCATAAAATTATTCTATTTTTCAAAGGAATTACTTCTCAACTCTAGGTATTAATTTTCTTTTGTAAAGTATCAGATATTTTCACATCCCAGGCTAAATAATAATCCAGAAATAACTGCAAAGAAAGAAAATATAATGATGTGTGGAAGAAGTTACTAGGTGTGGGGTTGTCTTTTTTTTCTTAAGAACAAAGAATCATGCAAATGCCTTTTTAACTGACTCTGTGAAGAACTAATCCCTCAGAATGATAATAATGTGTATATAATTTAGACCAAAAATGTCAATATTCAATATGTTTCATTTGGTAGAAGGAAAATCATAAAAGGAATCAACATCTCATCACTATTATCTATTTAGTGAATTCTGTAGAATTCCCATTGGATATGCAAGAAGATACACTAATGTCAATAGCAATGGCCACAAAGTAGAGTGTCTTGCCAGATAATTGCTCTACCACTAGGAGAAAGCAGGCTATGTTAGTCCAGTAAGAGCTTCTGTTCAAGGTCAAGGTCTCCTCCGAATGTTTAAACAACTACACCTCGGGGAGATGTAAAATGGAGATGGTCTCTCCCCTTTAGGGATATAAAATCTAATGGATGGGTTTGCCTTCCCTGGCGTGACTGTGGCCTTGACCCTATGGAGTAGATTACTCTCACCAAGCTTTGAAAGCAGTGGATGGTGGGGCGGTGGTGGAGTGGGGCTGAGATCTTTTCTTTCCTAGCTCCCATCTTTCCTCTCCCTGTGTCACATATTTCTCTTCCCTAACGTTTCCACAGCCGAGCCATGGCAGGGTCACTGGGGATTGCAGAGCAGGCAGTGAGTGCTCGTCCCATTGTTAGTCATGGCCGCTGCCTGCCCACAGTTTAATAAGGCCCCTGGGGAAACCCAAGTAAATATTTTAAGTTCCAGGGTGTTTAGTGGAACAGGACTGGGGCAGTTCTTTTTCTCTCCCTGTCACTCTTTCTTTCTTGGTGTATTTGTATTGCCTTGTGGTTAGGATTACCCCTCTGGGGGAAATTTATATCTAAAGCTAATTCCTTAGAGGAGGGCTATAATAAAAAAAATAGCAACTTGCATTTATTTATCCTTTTGCAGTTTACAAAGTGCCCTCATATTGTCTTGTTTACCCCTAAAACTAACCCTCACAGGTAAATTACTATTGCCCACATGTTACAGCTTATAAAAATTATTGCTCAAAATGTCAGAACCAGGAACCGGACCCAGAAATCCTGTTCTATTACATGGGCTAGTCTTTTCCACTTCACTGTACCATAGATAGCTGTTTGCAATATCTGGTGCACATGACAACATCAGAACATTCTTCTCTGAATTTTTAAAATCTTCATTCCCTTGGCTTTGTAAAATGGAGAGCTCCATGAATATACAGAGCTCCCTGATGAGATGAAGCCAATTCATATAAACAGATTTCAGACTGATACTATAAAAGTTATCAGTTACTTTACATATCAGTTACATTTTTCACAGTGCCCTGCTCTAAGTAGACACCAGATGTTGTTCACTAATGGAATGGTAAGAATGGTTAACATAGACTTTGGAGCCTGTAGTTATCACTGAGTCTGTCACTTCCCAGTTTTCTTCTCTCCCATGAGTTACCTATGCTTTCTGTGCCTCAGTTTCCTCACCTATTAAATGAGGATGGTAAGAGCACTTCCCTCATGGGTCACTTGGGGATCAAGTGAGTTAATACATAGTGAGCATGATGCCAAGCATATAATCAGCCCTCAGTTAATATTAGCAGTTATTATTATTATCATTCTTAGTATTGTTATTGGCACTGTAATTTTTTACAACACTTTTGCTATTTCCATTTACCATAAAGCTAGTATGTGGAAGGCTCTTAGGCATTTTCTCGCTTTTTCCAGAAGAAGTTCCCAGAGGTAATGAGAGCCCTGGTCATGTTTTGCAGTGTTGTGGGCCACAGTAAATGGCCAGGTTTGCATAACTCTGCTAACGCCAGAATTTTTTAAGTCACTTTTTATAGTGTATGCATTTGGCAATATTGAAAAAAAAAACTTGAGTCTCAATAGAAGGAGAAGAGGAGAGAGATTGCTATAAAAGTACACTTTTAGCTGAAAGTGTTGGTCATATGGAGACAGTAGTGGAGATTTTTTTCAGCTTTGTAAAATCTTTAACAGCCTTTTTTTTTTAAAAGCTTACATATTTTGCTTATAGTTCCTTCTTAGACTTAAAAGAATTATCATGTCCTAGGAGATTTTTCAGAACATGTTTTTATATTAAAATTTTGTAGGGAAATTTTACAGTAAATGTTCAGAGACATCCTTTCTTCTGATAGGACAGGAAAGAGACGGAATGAATCGATACTGCAAAGAGGGGTAAAATAGGTGTCATAACTTCCACTTTGATCATTTGTTTCCTAAGTGTCCTGTTTGGTAGGGAAGAATATGGAGATCGGCAGGGAGTTGCTAAAGTAGATCAGAAAAAATTCTTGTATGGATCCCTCAATCTGGACTCCAGGCACGTGGGTCTCTAGTCTCTGCTGCTGGATATTTAAGGGGGATACTCACTGAGCTTCCGTTTTCTTGCTGACCAGTGGGCAATAACAGAACATGTCATTACTAGAAAAGGTTATTGTGAGAATTGAATGAGTTACGTGTAAAACTACTCTGAAAAATATAAAGCATTTCTGAGGCAGAAGAGTGTAATGGTTTCAAGCAGGAGTTGGCAAGCTACATGTTACAGATTGTCTGTGGCAGAGATCGTGTAGCCCACAAAGCCTGAAATATTTACTCTCTGGCCTTCAAACAAACACTGGCAGACCCTTGACTTAGAGCATGGATTCTAATGCCAGTTGGCCTGGGTTTGAATCCTGGCTCTGCACCTACTGCTGTGTGACCTTGGGGCTGGTTAATTAACCTACATCTCTATCTTTTTATCTCTGGAAAAAAAGATGATGATGGTACTAAGGCCACAGGGTGGCCAGGACTATGAAATGAGTTAGGACGCATAATTATACTATAAAAAGCTCTTAGGTCATCACCTGGCATTTATTAAGTGCTATATAAAGTTTATGTGATATTATTAAAACACCTTATTAATGTAGGGTACTACTGGATTAAACAATTTTTATAGCATCCTGATTTTATAATGTGATATTTGTATACTAAAGCTTTTTAAAATTACCAAATTTATAGTTATAGAAACTGATTGTTTTTCATTTCATTGTACCTAGCAGGAATACTACCTAGAATACTACTGTAGTCTACCTAGAATACCAAAATACTGGTAGGGCCTGAAAATATTCTAAGGACTTCTAGAAGTCACATTGCAGATTATCAAGTAGTGGCATTTGACGAGACTTCAGCTGAGACAAGTCTCTATTATGATGGTGGCCAAATTGAAATGAAACTACAAAGTTTGGTATTCTTTGGGAATAGAAATGTCTACTAAAGTGCATACATTTTATTTCAATATAGAAAGTAGGAATGAAAATTATAACTGCCTTATTAAGGTACAGTACATATATCGTATCATTTAGCCATTATACCAATACTGCAAAGTATGTGTTTTTCTTCCCATTTGAAAAATGGGGAAGTTGAATCTCAGAAAGATTAGACAATTTGCCTGTGATGTAGGTGGTAAGCGCATAATCATTCTCCTCTACAATACTGTCAAAAGAGGAGTAAATTCAGTGTTGTAGTCCTAACACTGTCTCGCATACATATAAAGATGAGGAAACACTTATTGATTATATCAATGACAATTTACTATTAGTATTATATGATTCAATCATATTAAAATAGAACTTTTAAATTATTAACTTGTTATAATATTTCCATGTTAAATTGACATTTGACATCTCAGAATATTGCTGACAAGAGTTGTTCCCTGTGTTTCAGGACCACAGTTTTGTGTACCCATCAGAAATCTGAGCACATCTAAAAGCATCTCTGCATTTAGTGGAACCATGTGAGGGCACTTTGCCCATGATGACAGCTATTTTACAGTTTTCTTTGTTAATGTCTTTCTTTTCTAAGAAGACCCTATAATGAGCTTGACTACAGATTACTGTCCTAAAAATGTGTTTGACAGTCAAAAATCCAAAAGTTGAAAGGTAGACAAATACCTTATAAGGAATGACTTCCATTTCCAGAGAGCCATAGGTACTAACCAATCCCTTTTTACATTTGAGAGGTGCTATTTCTGCATGGGTCAGGCAACCCCATGGGTGCTGAAGGATCTGGACAGCATAGGAGGCCTGGGAAGGTGGCTGCTCATTCCTCATGGCCAGAGCCAGAACTCAGGGCAGCAATGCCTGATCCCAGGACAAGGCCCAGGCCACTGCCAGGACTCTTACAGGGACATCCCTACGCAGAGGCATCCTACATCAGAGGACTGGCCCTTCTCCCTTCCCTCTTACCACTGTGGAAGCCTGGGACCCAACAGGCTTGAAATGAGAGCTGAAGAGATTGAATTTGATGACTGTGAGATAGAGAAAGATGTGGGTGCTCGGTATGGATGAGCACACAATTCGATGGTCCAGGCCCATCTGTTCAAAAGAACCCCAGTTTACTCTTAGGGACTGGATACTTCTCTCTTAGTCTGTTCGAGGGGACTAACAAGCTGCTACTTATTAACAATATGAGTATGGTAAACTATGAGCATCCACTTCCTTACCTGTAAAATGAGGATAGTTCTTGCCTTGCTTATCTTAAAGACTTTGTGGGGATCAAATGAAATAATGTCTGCTTTGTGTTAAAGGATTACAGCATGTAATTCTTTCCTGATTAATTACCAGACAAATTGGTGAGGTGCCTATATATTTAAAAGCCTCAGTGTTTTTGACCACTATTAATTGTTAATCCGAAAGAAAAATAAAGCATTCTGGAAAAACTATCATGTAAATCAATTACAATTTGGGCTTTCTTTTTTTCTTACTCTGAAATGTGTCAGGACCACTATTTTAGGAAGCAACATTCTTGGCATACTTTGAATGAATTTTTACTTCTCTAGAGCTAGATTGCATAGAAAAGAAATATCCAGCCTGCAAAGTAAAGCATTCTGGAAAAACTATTGGGTAAATCAATTACACAATTGTAATTGCAAAAATGTGTATGTGTAAGTGTATATGTTTTCTTACTAAGTGTGAGAATTGTGTCATTTTACTTAATTCAGACACTGGAGGGTTTGGGGATCTTAATCTCGTCTAGAGCAAATCCTCTCGAAGACTTTTACTTGGCTAGACTTCTTCCACTTTACACTGTTGAACTTGGTGGAGTACTAGTCCTACCACCATAATCCACCAAAGCCAACACACCTTTGAAAGACTGCTTCCTACAGATGAGGAAACTGACAGGTGGTTTCACATTTTGCACATCTGGCTTTAAAACAAAGGACTGATACAACAGATACTCAGCATCAGCCTCTTTACTTCTGCTAGACACTGCTCCTACTAACAGCTCACGTCAGCTGTACATTTCAGTGCTGTGTTATTTATGTGACAGTTCCTTGTAGCCCGTTGTACAACAGGAATCCAAGCACGTATTTCCCAAATTTCAAGTTTTACCTGTCAATCTTTTTAGAAACTTACTCACCTTGCAAAAAAACTATCTGAAGGTATATCTACAGCATTCCTTTATTTTTAGTTATTGCTCTTATAAAAATAATCATATTAAATGTGAAGCAAAATTTCAGGAAAAAAATATTTTGACCATTAATGTAGCATTGCATATGTGATATCCAATTTTTCCATACTGTTCTGGTGTGAAAGGGGGAGAGATTGTTTTAAAAGTCCATTGTTTAATAAAATTTATGTTGGTTCTAAACTTCAAAAAAATTTTTAAAAAGTGTAGGTAGTCTTTCCTCACTCCACCTCAACTGAAATAATGAATTGGATTCTGAAGTTTAATTTTGAGTTGAGTTTCAGTTATGTTAGATGTGCTTCCTTGAGTAGGTTAGTTTGCCTCTCTGGACCTCATTGTCGTCATTGGAAAATGAAGGTTCAAATCACTTGATTTTTATGGCTTCTTCTAGAATCTTTCTAAAGGTAGTTTATTCTTCACAATTATTTTTAACTTAGACAGGGTTTACAGAATTTTATATAGACCTTCTTAGGAATTTGAGCTTACTACATAAAGAATAAACCACCTTCTCTGAAATTGAATGCTATTTTAGGGTATGATTTTTGTTTATTTGTTCAAAAAATAGTGATTCAATTTAAGCCAAAAGCACTTATTTTAATAACAGATTTTTAGTTAAGCTATTTTACCAAAGTTACATTACCGTGAAATTTCTGTGGGGGAAAAAAACACAATTACACTGTCTTACAAAGTCACCTCTTGTAATCATTCACAATTAGTATATATATCATCAAAAAGAAAAATGCTTTTTTTTTATGGTTAAAAATAACAAGGGACTTCATGTAAATGTATAATCTACTTAATGTCTTTTTTAATGCTCTGCAGCCAACTCAAAGAAAAATGCCCTGCCAGGGGTAAACACTAACTCTGTATTTATTTGCACAACAGGCATTGGTTTCATGAAGTAGGCTTGTATTTTTTTTTTTTTTGGAACATCAGTGTCTTACGCTAACATTTTAAACTGTAAACCAGAAATTCCTAACCAAGAGAGCTTTGTTGTTAGAACAAAGCTTGGAGGATACTATGTGACACCATCACACCTGTCTTGTGGTCCCAGAGGTTTCTGTTGTTGGGAGGTATGAGTGTTATTAAAGGAAAACAGCAAACCCATCTTGATTTTCCTCTCAAAAGTCAGATCTCTCATGAAGATGGGAGCATGAATTTCCCGTACTGGCATCTATGGGAAAATGCCTTGCTTAAAAGACCTTCCTCTAGGGGCCCGAAGGAAGTTGTATCTTTTCTGCTATTTCTACTGCATTCCAATTTTCAGACAGGCCAATGGTACAGTGTATCCATGATCCATGTGTACAGTAGGCGAATGAAGCTACAGTAAGTAATACAAAAAGCTACTTCTTTTGCAGCTTGATTGAAACAGTCCACTGGTGGTTGCTTGGTTGTCAGTTTGAGCTTGTCTGTGTGACTTCTTTTCTGCTCCTTACTTCCATCCATCATTGCAGAGAGCACAGAAGAAGGAATATATATAGTGCCCTGTGCTTGCTTAGGCCTTAGCAAATATCAATTCATCACCAACTTGGCTCTAAAAGAGACCATTCATTGGCATGTTAGAACATTACAATTTACCCAGTGTTCCCTGGTGTTGAAGGAGTCACATGACCGGATCTCAAAACAAAAAAGAATTCCATGATATGTTCTTGGAGTTATTAATAAAAATAACTGCTGGTTGACAGGAAAGGCATATGGCAAATTTAAGATGCATGGCCACAGTATTTTATTTAAAAAAAAAATTCTTTCCTACACCAGGGGTGAGAGTGTGTGTGTGTGTGTGTGTGTGTGTGTGTGTGTGTTTTACGCACCAGAAAAACCTTCAACTCTGACAAGCCATTGACGAGGTGTTTCAGTCTTCACTAGCTTCCTATTTCATTGCTCTGCCATTGAGCCCTTGTAATACTACGATGAATAAAGTAATCAAAGCAATTGGCTGCCTGAGATCTTTTTTAATGCACTGCTTCGGACGCAGTACATATGCTGTGCAAATAAATACAGAATTAGTGTTCCTGTTGGAAGCATTTGGTGAGAATGAGTGATTTGTCTTGCTTATGAAAGGTGCATACATTTCCGCTCATAGCTGTTTATCAGCCAGCCTCTTTCTGCTTATGGATTCTGAGGTGGAATTCATCATTTGTCAGCACCTGAGCAGATGTGCTGGAGATGACCAGATTGATTTGTGAGGATGAGCAGAGCAGCCGCACCAGTGCTAGGAGGGCGGCCCCTACAAATTGTGTTATCTTTTGAGACTTGTCTACTAGCTCTTTTCTATACTTCAGGAAGAGAAGGAAAGCTACCTTTTTCTGCTTCTCACTTCTGTATTTGAAAAAATACAACTTTTGATATCGCTTAAGGGAAATGGAAAACAGCCCCCATCTCTCTGGGCAGTGAAATCCACTGAAACCCCATTTTTCCAAAGGTCCACTCTTCCTCTTCTGATTGCAGGCATGTTATTTGATGTTGGATTTCAATTAAAAACAAAACACTAATGTCAGGCTTGCAGAAGTGTCATTTGCTCTGTTTTCAAACTGCTACAGACAAAATTTTCTCTTAGTTCATAGAAATCACTTCCAACAGGACATTAGGACACAAGAGACAGTGTTTCGATTAGGAAAAAAACGAATGGCTTTCCAAAAGTTTGAGTTGCTTTTGGTCTGTGCAAAAGGCCTGTTGAAGCCGAGTTGATTACAGAGCCATCAGAGGCCCTTCTTGCCAACAAAACTCCCTTGCATTTGTGTGCTGTTGAAAATTTCCCTTTGATGCCAGCAGATTGAAGAGCTAAACACAAGTTGCCGAGGAGCTCCAAGTGGCTTTCCCATAGCAGGTTCTTGACCTTGGCTTAAGTAATTAACCATCTAGGAGCCACATCATCCTGTAAGGGCATCTGGAAAAATAAATACATCCTCATCCTTAATTAATGAATGGATGCAAGTATAGAAACAGGTAGCTTACTTCATGAAACAGGGTTAGGGCTCACTTGCTAAAACCCAGGTAGAACTGCAGTGTTTTCATTGTGCTTCTTTGGCCTCTGTTTCACTCCTGCAGTCCTCAGGAAATATTTTCCTGCGGGTGATTCCTTTTTAATCAGATTGGTAGAAAACCAATTTCATACTCAATATACCCAACATATAAGATCATTAGAAATACTGCATGTGTTTTTGAAAATGTGGCCCATAGCTCTGGAAACATCTGGCTTACAGCCGATATTACTGAACCAACACTAAGGCCTTCGGCCAAGCCCTGATACCGTGACAGGCAGGTAATGTTTGTGAAAGATGTGGCTTTCACACACATCTTTAAGGCAAGTAAAGGTTCGATGTGTGACTTTTATTTCCTCAGCTGAGATATAGACAGGGCTTTAGACGGTAGACATCATGTGCTTTTGCTTGTCATTCACCTTTTAGATGTTGTCGGTTATGTTTGTCATCAGTGGATTTTTTACAAGTCACATGGCTTCAAATCAGCCTCAAGGATGGGGATGTAGACAGTGATAACTAAAATGACAGTGTAGACATTGTGGGAGTTAAAGAATGATCAGAGATGATGGTAGTTTTTTGGAGTTTGTTTATCACATATCTGAGAAAGTTACTTAATTTTTTTCAGCTTATATTTAAATAGCAATTAAAATATGCCAAGCATTGTGCTAAATATTTGGGTTGTGATTGGAATAAGACATTCTGTGTTCTCCAGGCACTCAGGGAGTTTGGCAAGTAAAGAAATAATTCTAGTATGGGGTGACGTGACGAGTGCCATAACTGAGGAATATCCCAAGAACACTGAGGAGGGAGTGGTTAATTCTGCAGGACCAGCGCCTGAATTGCTCTTATTCCTTCAAAGTGTTTATGTTGGCTCTGAAGATAATTTCTAGAACTTACAAGGATTCATCATTTGCTTTTTCCAAGTGCTACTTTTGTGTAATTTGAAGTTCAGAGTTTTGTATCATTCACAGAACACAACCTCTCTTCAAGAACAACCTTGCTCCTGGTCTGTAAGAAGCCCTTGCATTTGGTACTCCCAGAGGTTACTCACAAAAAAAAATGCATCCTTGTTCTGCCTGGTCCTCAGGTGTTCAAGGACACTATGGATGCTAGGTGATAGCTTTGTGATGCTCTGTGCACTACGCGTTGAGAGATTTTCAAAGCCCTGTGTGGGGCTGAGCCCCAGCATTTACTGTTTTGTTCAGCAAATGCCACATCTTCTGTTGTCAGAACTATCTGATTGAACACCAGCAAGTGCTCTCTAGGAGGGAGATCCTTATTGCCCATTTTCTCTGTTTCCTAAATGATCTAATTGCTTGGGTAAGGAGGCATCCATTCTAAATCTCCCTCCCACCAGGGGCGATTCGCAAGTAACAAGGTTTAGATTACCCCAAATGTCAGGACCCCCACAGATATAATGGGCTTCCCTCCAGGGCCCACCTGACAAGCTGCTTCTCTTTCAAATACCTGGACTGCCCAGAACACACTACACCCTGATTTCCTGTCCCCTCACGGAGTTAGGGAGGCAGAGCTGCCGCTCTGCACCTTTTGATTTTGGTTTTAATCTTCGGAATCTATGGAATGTAAGAGATGCTTATAGGTTCGGTATTTGAAATCCCATTTTACAGCATATTAAATGTTATACACACGATCATTTCACCAAGGCTAATAATTAGGATATAAAAGTTATGGTTGTAGCCTACATTTTGGCTTAATGGTTTCTGAAATGGTTTTCATTCCTATGAAAAAAGGGTTTTTTTTTTAAATTATACTTTGGCATGTTCACCACTTTGTGAGCAGCAGCCCATGCTCTTCCTTTCTTTTAGTCTGCTGTATTCCCAAACGATAACTTCAGAAAAGTATTTGGTATGCTGTATATAAAGTTTATTTAATCAGAGCACTTTTTTATGACAATAGTAAGTTAATGGAAAATAGCTAAATTAAGAACACTGAAAACAAAACATTTAAGTTATTTGCCCTTGCCAAGATGTTCTTTGTGTGATTTTTTGGGTAAGGAAGATAACTTTCCCCTTCATTTCCATCCAGCCATGAGAAAGAAGTAGGGGTAAAATAGCATTGTCATATTTGAAAAAGAAAATGATTGACAACGTCACTTAAATTGAAATGTCTCCTTAAAATAAATATAAAAGGGCCTTTGAAGAAGTTGCTTTGAAAATCTTTTGTGGTTGTTTTTTAACCTGGAGTCCCCAGCTTTTTTTCCCTTCTACTTTGTTTTCTCACTGATGGATGAATTTAGCTCCTGTCGGAGTGGAGGCTCCGGGAGTGTGCACAGATGTATCAGCTGTTGTGTAACTCTGCCGGGAAGCCCTGCCCAGGAAGGGCTTGGAGCAGACCCATGGGTGCTTCCCTGCTGGCCTCTTCCATTTCTTGGGAACACAGGTTCCTGGTGCTGCCAGGCTGTGTGGCAATAGTGTAAATAGTGCGGTAAATGGGCCTGGGTGAGGTCAACACTTTTTATTTATTTATTTATTTATTTTTAATATAACACTTTTATTTTATGACCATCTTTCTTCCCTCTGAGCATTTGAACCGAGTGATTCCGGATAGAAAGAACAAGTCACACATACACTGCCTGTCGAGGTTGTGAGGCAAGCCTGTTTACTTCCTTTTAGGTGATTAAAAACACTTCTAACAATTGAACTAATATTTATTACAAACAAGATTAGAAGCACCTTCCTAACCCAGACATTGTGAAAGCTAATAGACATCTCTCTAGACCCCAGCCAGAGTTGCTGGATATTTGGTGTTCTAAGATGCCCAGAGGCATGAGTCAGGCTGGCTGATAGCCAGGTGAGTGGCGTTTTTCTCCTCCCTGTACACACATTAATCATATTTGCCGGCAGAGAAGGCATGACCTTCTGTACCTCCAGCACCTACCCCCTCCCCGCACCCCCCCCTTATACCACAACAACACAGACAGAAAAAGGAAAGTGGGAAGTTTATGAGCAGCCTGCATGCAGGCGGCAGACTCTACTTATGGAACTTAGAAATCAGAGGTCATTATCATTTTCAAAGAACAGACCCTGAATAACTATATCCTTTCATCACCATCTTTTACTAATTGGACACCAGCTGTACTTGTCTTTTCCACAGGAAATTCTCACTGTGCCTATAGGACCAGAGAAATGGAACTCTTAGCAGAGTTGACTTTTTATTCTTTGACAGTTTCCTTTCAGTACAGCTTGGGAAGCAGGAGGCTCTTGTTTCTTATTTTTCAAGATTTTGACTTTTTTTAAACAATATTATGATCCTGAGAACTTTAAAATTAGAAAGACTTAAGAAGACATATTATTTTCCCCCTGAAAGTGTGGCCCCATTGTCTCATATGAACTCTTTCAGCATATGGGAAATAGAAGAGTTAAATATAATCAGATCTTAACAAAATGTCGTGATTTGTTTTGGGAAAGTTGATTTTTCAGAATTTTCAGTGTTAAATTTTTTTTCTATATCATTTGCTTCAGAACTTGTGACTTTGAAGGATGTTCACTTTTATTCTTCAACAACACAGATATAAAAATAAAACTGTAGTCTGTTTGCCAAACATTTACAATACAAAAATAATTTAGATGTTTAAAGATGGTAGAACAGAGAGAATAATTAAAATGGTGGCTGGCCTATTTCTACAGATCAACCAGGAAAATTTCCCACATGTGACTGAGTCAAGTTCCCAAAGGATGGCTCTAATTTCTTCCCTATCCTCTTATCAAGTATAAAATCTATAAGTTAAGCTTTGGGCTACTTCAAAAGAAATTTTTTTTCCTCATTTCAGTTTACTGAGCTTGAAGTTGAGGTGTGTCTGTCCCAATCTGGGATTTGTGTGTGTGCATACACAGAAGTTGCCTGCTAGACAAAACCACCTGGCTCTTTCAGTGCAATCTGTAACCAACACAAGTTTCAGGTCAATGTTATACTAGAGAAAACTGACTATATCAGTGCTAATCTAATTTATTTTATGTTATTTCTTCCTAAATAATTCATGAAGTAACTTTGTGGTGATTTTTATTGCTATTGCTAGAGTTAGGCTTCGATTACATTTTTCTGATTATAACATTTATCATGTGTAACATATTTGTAAAATTCTAATGAGTTAAAAGTAAAATAAGAACACATAGATAATTGCTATTGGCATTCTGATAAATTAACTTTCAGTATTTTGTCTGTATACTTATGAAAGTTTTCATTTGTTGTTTGATTTTTCTACCTTGCTATAATCATACCGTGAATATAATTATGTAATTATATTAATAATTAATTTTCATCACTTATTATAATTACTTTTACATCCCATTGAAATCTTTATAAAAGTTAATTTTTTTCTTTTTCTTTCTTTCTTCCTTCTTTTTTTGAGATAGAGTCTTGCTGTGTTTCCCAGGCTGGAGTGTAGTGGCACAATCTTGGCTCACTGCATCCTCTGCTTCCTGGGTTCCAGTGATTCTCCTGCCTCAGCCTCCCGAGTAGCTGGGATTACAGGCCCACGCCACCATGCCCGGCTAATTTTTGTACTTTTAGTAGAGACAGGGCTTCACCATGTTGGCCAGGCTGGTCTCGAACTCCTGATCCACCCGCCTCTGCCTCCCAAAGTGCTGGATTACAGGCATGGGCCACTGCACCCAGCCTTAATTTTTTTTCTTGATTAAAATTTCTAAACAGAAATGTTTATTCATATTCTAATGAGTTCCTTAGGGTAGATTCCCAGAATTAGGCTTTCTCACTCAAAATCTGTGAACATTTTTAAGATCTTTAAAGTATAAGTATATTGAATAATGCTTTTGATAAGTTCTTACAAATTTTTACTCCTAAAGCATCTGAGAGTATTGAGTGATCTTTTCATTAGCTTTAATAATTTATAGCAAAAGTGATTGACTTTCTATATCTTTGATTACCTCATTGATTGGGGGAACATTTTCATATGTATTATACAATTACATTATTTCTTCAATCTGCTCATATTTTTTGCCATACTGTTTTCATAAAATTAGGGCAGAAAGTTAGCAGATAATCAGCTTTTGTTCGGTGACATAATTTTCATTTCAATGAGACTTTTTTCCTTTTTTAAATATGTGCAAGAATAAATGGGATTCTTTTTATATTGTATTCTTTTACAGCCGTAGCAAACTTATATAAACAGGTTTTGTCATGCATTCTCAATCTGGTTTTAGATTATACATTAGAATAACTATTTTGTGCTTCCTCTGTCTTGACTATGTATTTTAGTTATGGGCATAATTATGTATGTTCATAAAGCTTGAGAATGTTATGCCCTTTGTGTTTTCCTTGTTTGCTTTTTGACTCTTGCCCCCTCCCCCTCTTCACCCCCAGGATAGAGCCTTGCCTCCCTTGAGTCCATCTGTCAGATCATCTGTCTAAGGAGTTAGCATTCCTTCACCCTCTTAGAATCCTTTAGAACAAATAGTCCATGGCTAAGGAAAAGCTGATGAGCATTTCTGTGTGAAAGGCAGATGTTGCACCTTATGGATCCCTACATGTAGTTTGAGGCAGGAAGCCACCAGCTAAGGTGTGACTTCAAAAGCCACATTCGAAAGCCTGTTCTGACCTCTAGCTGTGGCGTGAATGATTCTTTCCATGATTTCCCTCTCCTACTTTCTCCTTTTAATTAACCATAGAGTTAAATAACCATAGAGTCACCAATGGTATGCTGACTGGTTTGTATCCATTTAAGAGTTTTCTGGCCGGGCGCTGTGGCTTGTGCCTATAGCCTGTAATCCCAGCACTTTGGGAGGCTGAGGTGGGTGGATCATGAGGTCAGGAGTTTGAGACCAGCCTGGCCAACACGGTGAAACCCCGTCTCTACTAAAAATACAAAAATTAGCCGGGCATGGTGGCATGTGCCTGAAGTCCCAGCTACTTGGGAGGCTGAGACAGGAGAGTTGCTAGAACCCGGGAGGCAGAGGTTGCAGTGAGCCGAGATCACCCCACTGCACTTCAGCCTGGGCAAAAGAGCAAGACTTTTTCTTTTTTTTGAGACAGTTTTCCAAGTCAGTGATTCTCCTTCCCCTGCTTAAATCTCACTTCCCTTCCAAGCATATCTCCATGCTTGTAGTGGTCATGGATTAAGCACTATTACCCACAGCCATGCCACAGCTAGTATTTTCCATTGCTCTCTCTTTCCCAGTGTCAGAGGATCAGGGGGATCCCTTGTGTGTACAGGGCTCGGAGCAGCCCTTTGCATTCCACTGCCTTCGCAAATGGTGCAGCTCTTTTTAGCATCGTAAATTAAATTAGCACATGTGGCCTTAAATAGTCCAGGCATGTAGGGCATGATTATCTTTCTGAGAAAATGATCAGGACCACATTCAAAGAACCCAGTGTTTCCAGGCAGCTCCCAAGGACATGTCAGTGTGCTGTGAACTTTCTGGGGTATGAATGGGATTTTAAAGTCTGCCTTTTCATTAGTGTACCAGTGCATACTCTGTGTCTTATGCCTCACAAGCTGTGAATGTTGTGACAGTCGCTTTTGTTCCCATGTGTGCAGTTGTTAATTGTATAAGCCGGAAATACAGAAACCATATCAAAGCAAGGCAGCCTTGACAAAAGAGAAAAGCTGAATGCCTCAAAGGAACCACTGCTTAGAAAGGTACACATTCTCCTCCAACCCCTACACCCAGGACCCAGATGTTCACATGACATCATTGCAGCTGAATTCGGACTTTACAAATGGAATACAAAATTACGAACATAGCGTGGAGTAACCACTTTATCTCTTCTTGAATCTTCTATGCCTGCTCTACATTCCTGGTGAAATTTGTATCTCCAATGGCTTACACCACCCTACCACAGAGTAGATACTACACAAACTGTCAGATGAGTTTACTGAATACATTTTACTCATCCCCCCTTGTCAGCTTTGCTTGTGCTATTAAGTGGCCAAGACTACCATGTCAGTATCCAGCTCATCTAAATCCCACTTCCTGTCTGTACATTCATTGTACTTACTGCTCAGACCATTCTTATGTTCCTCAGTAATGGAATATTCAATTTGGGCATCTAAATTTTTGTGTCTGTGCCCAGTGAGATTCAAGAGCATAAACAGTGCTTTGTACTTGTCAGAATGGCAAGCATAGTACTTTGCACATAATAGAGGCTCAGTAAGTACTCAGTAAACATCAGTAAGTACCTCAGTAATTAAATTGTTATTTTTCCTATAAGAAAATGAATTTGGATGGACAAATCTGAGAGAAGAATCCAGGTGCTTCCCTATGTTGAGTAAACTCAGCTGTAGTGAACTCCTCTTGGCCTCAAACTACGTACTAAATGAAAATTGGAGATGCACCCTTTGTGGAATTATTCTTAGCCTGACATTTCCAGACTGACTATAACAAGACACATTATACATCGAGCTTCTGCTTCCCCTCTTCCTGCTTAATGGCTTTATCAATCTTTTAAGACTCAGTCGAAGGTCCACCCTATAAAATAGCCTTCCCCACCATTCTAATCTCAATATACCCCTTTTCTTCAGCCCTGGAGGACAGCTGACTCACCTCCATCATTTAATATTTGCCAATACTCCAGTGTATTATGTGCTAATCATTTGTGTGTATCTGGCTTCTTTCCATAACTAGCTTACAACCTCCTCTGAGGTCTCACGACCATAGTTTAATTCTTTTGAATACTGCACAGTAATTAGCGTGATGTTTGTCCCTGGATGTAGGGTAAAACATTCAGAAATTTGGTTTGCATGGCTCTGTTACCTAATAACTGTGTGAGCTAAAAAAAGCACTCTACCTTTTTGAACCTTACTTTTGTCATCAGTAAAATGTTCATGATCTCTCATGGAATCATCCTGAAGATTAAATAAGATTATGAATGGACAAGTGTTTTTGTTTTTGTTTTTGAGAAGGAGTTTCGCTCTTGTGGCCCAGGCAGGAGTGCAATGGTACGATCTCAGCTCACTGCAACTCCTGGCTCCTGTGTTCAAGGGATTTTCCTGCCTCAGCTTCCCAAGTAGCTGGGATTACAGGCAGCCGCCACCACACCCAGCTAATTTTTATATTGTTAGTAGAGACAGGGTTTCACTATATTAGTCAGGATGGTCTCAAACTCCTGACCTCGTGATCTGCCCACCTTGACCTGCCACCACACCTGGCTAATTTTGTATTTTTAGTAGAGGCAGGGTTTCACCATGTTGGTCAGGCTGATCTCAAACTCCTGACCTCAAGTGATCCACCCACCTCGGCCTCCCAAAGTGTTGAGATTACAGGTATGAGCCACCACACCCAGTCTAGACAAATGTTTTTAGCTTATAAACCAATATACTAATGAAAGAAATTGTTGTTGCTAATTGTTGATTAGTTTTGAGAAATCTACTTCAATTTTTTTTTTTTTTCTTTGAGGCGGAGTCTTGCTCTGTTGCCAGGCTGGAGTGCAGTGGCACGATGTCGGCTCACTGCAACCTCCGCCTCCTGGGTTCAAGCCATTCTCCTGCCTCAGCCTCCCAAGTAGCCAGGATTACAGGCAGCCGCCACCACACCCAGCTAATTTTTATATTGTTAGTAGAGACAGGGTTTCACCATATTAGTCAGGATGGTCTCAAACTCCTGACCTCATGATCTGCCCACCTTGGCCTCCCAAAGTGCTGGGATTACAGGCCTGACCCACTGCACCCGGCCGAAAAATCTACTTCTTATCCTATTGAGTATAAGTTTCCTGAGGGTGCCGTGTGTTCCCTGTGTCTCCAAACTGTAAATTGTGTTTTGAATTATTGTCAGTGCCAAAACATATTTTTTGATTGCCATGTTGGCAGGCTGATTGCAAGACTTTGAGCTCCTGTTTGATATATTTTAAATAAATACCTTCTGCCTTAAGAATTTGGACATAGAATTCATCAATCTTTATTTTAAGGGTGGTATGTTGACCATCCTTTAGAAATAAGATTATAAACAGTATCCTATGTGTGCTAGGCATGCAATATAAGAAACAAAAGTATAGAATAATTCTAATAACAATGTATGTGACCACCAGTAGTATAAAGATACAGTTGAGTGACTTATGGTAGGAAATGAAGGATTTGAAAGAAGTTTTAATTCTTTATGTCAGTAATTTTCTGCCCTAGTTATATGTTAATCACCTGAGTTGCTAAAGAAAAAATATCAGATGCCTGGGCTCTGTCCCTATTAAATTAGGATTTCTTCTCTGTGTAGAGGGTCGGCCTGTTGCTACAGGTGAATGGTATGAAACAAGCAGATTATTTGAAGATTTCCATGTGCCACCATTTAATGTCTTATTATTAAACTTAGCTGCTTCTCTGGCAGTGAGAATGTTGAAAAGAAATAGAACAAGGAGTAATTGTATGGTGTCATCTGAGTCTTATTAGAAGTTCAGTGAATGCCTCCCTCATATCAGTCAGGTACGTGGTGATAAAAGTATGCAAACTGGCTCAAGCAGTGGTTCCTGCCACTGATGAGTGCTTGGCTAGTGGGGAGAGGGATATAGAGGATTCCAGGGAATCAGCAGGGAAGAGAGGGTGCACTGTGCCTTAAAAGGGTAAGGGAAGAATGAGCTTTCCAGATAGACAAGTGTAGACTAGACAATGAGTGAGGAATTCTGGCTATTTATAAAACAAACCATGTTAGTATTTCCTCTAAACCCTGCACACAGTATTGATGTTCCATCAATATTAACTGGGAGTAATGATAGTGATGATCTTCATGACTAACATTAATTAAAATTAATTTTGCCCATAACGACCTCGAGAAAAAACTGTCATCGAGTAAGAAAATGAACCAGACACTACATTATTTGCCTTTGACTTTTCTAAATCTAGAAACTTCTTATAGTTAATAAAAATTATTTATGCTGCAGTTAGAGGGCTCTATATTCCATTTTAAATTTAAGAATATATAGTTTCTGTTTTCTATAAAAATAATGTCATATAATAAAGGTAAATATATTTTTCTTTTCAAACTTTATCATTTGATTAATCTTATCAGTTTTATTTTCCATTCTTTGAAAATTTTTGTTTTATTTTTGACTCTATGTTTTTCTGCATTGTTCTTTAGATCATCATAGTCTTAGTAAAGGTGTAATCAGGCCCATATATTGGAGGAAGATTATTTGGAAGTTCTTCAGTATTATTTATCATCTGCTACTACTGGCAAATTGCCTACTTTTTAAACCACATACTGTATTATTTGTTAGGTGGGGGTCATTAGGCCTCCAACCTCTTTTCTCCCAAATCTACAAACAGTCATTGTTCACCTAGTGTATGTGACATTTATTTTTCCTTTCTAAGTCTGCAGTCCTCTGTCTACCTACCTAGGTACCCACCGCTGTTGAATGCCACTCTGCCATTACCCTCCTCTCTTTACAATACAGGTTATTATACTCTATTTATACCCCAGGTGTGAGACATAGCTAAATGAAATAGCTACTAAGACTTTTTTCCACTTTTCATCAAAAAGGCATACGTGGAGGAAGGTACATCATATTTTTCACACCAAAAATATAGAAAGTCACTTTTAAAAAGAAAATGGAATATTTTCCTTCATGGCAAACTTTCATTATGCTTTTATTTATTTATTTTTCATGAAAGAAATTCAGGCTTTATAGAATCAGGCTCCCTTTGAAGATATACTATTTTCCTTTGTATCAATTTTGTTTTCCTTTAGAACATCATTTGGCTGATAAATTTGCTAGTATCCTGTTTAGCTGTCAGATTTTGATAAGCTTTCTGGGGAGCTCACATACACTGTTCATTTCACCCCAATTCAGTGCTGTTCTCCTTATATGTGGTCTACCAGAAGTAACTTGAGGTTAAGGTTTGGCACTTCTGCCTGGTGTTTTGGCTTTGGAGCTGCAAAACATATCACAAAGCAGACATAATATGTGTACAAACAGCTAGAGACACTAGTAGAATGTTGTCAGCTAAAAAGAAGAAAAGCCTCTGAAATGTGAAAAGGGAAAAATTGTGCTGAGTGTATTTAGAATAGCATGTTTGAGTCTATTATTGCAACCACAACTAGTATTATGTATTTAAAGATGACCTAGATTTACATTCTTTATTGTCATTTGCTTTCCAGGACTAGACATAAAACTAATTACTAGCTCATGCAGTTTGCATGTGTTGCTTTCTCTTAGCTCATGTGTTTACATGGAAGCAGTCCCCCATATACACAAAAGGAAAGAAGCCTCAAGTAATGTTCCTTACAGAAGGAAGATAGTATCAGACCCCTTATAGTTTATACATCCTCAAACTCTATTTACGGTGAAAGTCAAGATCTTGAAGTGTTTGCTGCTCTTAGGTTTAATTGGTTTTATCTGCTGTTATCATAACAACCTTATCTCTGCAGACAGTTGCATGGATAATATTTGGAGATCAGAATTCAAGCTCAGACACACAGTGTCATCCAGCAATTAAATGTTATTTGATATTTCTGTGTGTGGCTCAGGTGCTGGGGAGATCCTGCCTCTGGTTAACAGTCTTTATAGCATCATAAAATAGTTCTCAGGGGAAATCCAGATATGGAAAGCTTTCCGAATAGAAATGGCTAGAAAAGCCAAGGTAAAGTGTGGTTCAGGCTCTCACGGCAGTTCCAGTCATTGACTATTGTCTAATGACTGTGCAGTTCAGGTCTGAGAGATGTTTAATTATTTTTGTTACTGCATTTTGGTGAAAGGATAAAGAAGCCGTCTAGCTCCGTGACAAAGATGCTGATATATATTTTGGGGGAGTCCATTAAATGGATCAACATTGCTTTCCACATGCCCAATTTAATCCGTATATGGGAACTACATAAAACATACCTTTTATAGGAGAATTCTTGATGGATGTTTAACTGCATGGATCTAATGATCTAATTAGATGCAGAGCAGGACTTTTCCCAAATGATTAACTGGCAAGATTAGGTAGACCTTCCTTTGTTTTGTTGGGATTTGGGCTTTCTTCCTGTAATATTCTTTTTTATCTTTTAAAATGAGTTTCTGAAAGCAGAAATGGAAGCAAAGCAAGCACTTGACACAGCTAAGGTTTGAAAAGTATTATAGTTATTCTTCTGGGCTTTTTCAGGAGTGGATTACCTCTTTAGCTTCTTGTGGCCTGTATGGGGGAGATAGAAAGAAGCCCAATTCAGACTTCTCTATAGGTGAAGCACTAAAGTGTTCTGCTCATTACATGTTTTAATTGCTCAGTTGTGCTTGGAATGTAGATTAACTCTCTCACACCTGAAAAAAAGATCCCCCCGCTTCATATCGAGAGCAGTGAAGGTGAGAGACAATAGGATGACAAATGAGATCGCTAAGTGGAGCCCTGATCAATAGAAAGTGCTGTCCATTTGGGTAATGGACATCCCTGTCATCTCAGCTGTTAAAGAATTCAGCAGAGATGAGTCCCCAAAGGTCTGCAAAGTATAAGGCATCCAATACAGGAAACATTACCACCTCCCTTCTCCAACGCCAATAAATAAAAAAGGTACATCTCAGGAGCTCCGTCTTTAGCTGCCGTGAGCTGTGGTGCATGGAATTTATTGTACTCTATTTTCAAAAATCTGTGCACAAAGCAGACAACCTGGAGACCCGGGGGAATAGTCTTTGTTTCCTCAGACCTTAACAGTGGTGTGAACACCTTAGGTAATCTTGTGTCTGGCGTAAAGTATTCATACTTAAAATTATGAGGTTGTTTAGACTGTTCTTTTAAAATATTCTCTGCTTCACATGGCATTTTAAAGCCAGCATATTTGGCAACCAGGATGCTTGACGAATCGCTTTTGTCAGACAGCCATATGGCAGGTGGGGTAGAGGTCACTCTGGTGCCCAGCCTTCCTCACTCAGATTCGGTCCACATGTCCAATTGTGGTAGAGGACCAGTTCATGGTCTTTCCTTTCTAAATACCTTCAATATGGCCAGTCTGTACTTCTTAGAAATTCCATGCTTCTTCCGTCCCACATTGGACCGTGGAGGCCGGATAAAGTCTATTTCTTCATCTGTCTTGCCACTACTCATTTAACCCGGCTAATTCCTAGAGGGATTGCTGTAACCACTGGCAGCCAGACTCCCTGCTGGAATGTGTGTGAGGATTTCTGGACAGTTGTGAAGAGGAGTGCAGTTTCACTGGGCAGTCAGGTGTGGGTCATTAATTTTCAGTGCTGTTGTTTAACTATTAATGAGGTCATGGCCCCAGGGCCAGACTGACTTTACCTATCAGATGTCTCCCATCTCCCAGCAGGCCATTCACCTTTAGTCAAAGCTCTCCACTAATAATTGTCTCATGCAGCGTTCACACGCCATTGCCTCATCTCTTAACCCCAGTTTCTTCTAGATAAGAAATAATTCCTCCTGCCCATCTCCCCAGTCATCCATCTTCAGTGGGGCTCATAAAACAAAGCCGTTCCCATTTTCCATTAACCTCTATGTCCTGAAACTTAGAGCCCAATATACTTTCTCTTATTCCTCAGAAAGGGGCATCTATTTGCCATCATTTTCAGGAGGTCTTACATTATTCAGAAAGGCAGGCATCACCCCTGGTGACCTAGCCACCTACTTTACCTTTTATTTCTCTCCTATTTACCATTGCAGTTGATAATTTGTAGAACTCAGTAATTCACAACTGTCAGCATCTTTATTATATTGCAGCCAGCAGCAGAAATTGTAACCTGAAGGGATATCTACTAAATCAAGATTTCTGTAGCATAAGCAGTGTAAATGAATTCCTGCACATTACGTTAGTATTTCTATAATGTCTTTATTGAAAAGGCAAGGAGAGAATGCCTATTTAGAACAAGTACTGCACACCCAAACGCTGATAGATTTGTAAGGTTGGGGAATAAAACACATTAGAAATCCAAATCACTGGTGTATTCCCAGAGGTCAGCAGCCAGCTTCTGCTTGGCCATGAGCTCACCAGTAGTCAAGGGCTAATTCTTACCTCTTCGTCCTCCTCCTGTTCTCTAGGGTGGCACAGAGAAAGATCTATTCTGCATGACAGCCCTTCAGGTATTGGAGGATAGGTATCACGTTTCCTGAAACAGTCTCTTCCAGCCTAAATGTCTCCAGTTTTTTTAGGCATTCCTCATCTGTCCTGCCTTCGGCAGCCTCACCGTCCTGCCTGCCCCTTTCATTTGTCAGTAGAGGTTTAGAAGGTGGCACCCTGAGCACTGCAGTAAGTACGTGGTCTGGCTATACGAGTTAAAATGTACAGCATTGGTTACACCCCTTCATCTGGATTCTAGGTGTTAATTAAAGTAGCTAAGTCTACCTAGGGCTTGAGAGGCAGCTGTGTGTCACTGATCCAGGGTGAGCTTACAGTTAACCAGAATCCCTCAGATTAATTCACATGAACTTTAGGTAAGTTAGAGACTTATCCCTCTTTTGACTCTTGTGTAGTTGACATTTTTTGAACCTGAGTCTAGAACTTTAAAAAACATCTTCGTTAAAGGGCATTTTTAGTGAGTTCTAAATCTGTCATCTTCTACAGCTTTGATTTATTGCAAATTTAATTCAAAAAATTATCTTTACAAAGTAGTGCATCTATACTAGTAAAGTATACAAATATGGCAAAAAGAAATAATGATATACTTGGATACTTCTTTACAGGAGAGGCAATGTCCCAGGTAAACACCCATCAGTACCAGCTGCCTTTTATCAGGTGCCTACTGTATGCCAGTCACAGCATGAAACAGTATCACCCATTATTTCTCATCCTTACACAAAACCTACTAGGTGGGAATTGTTGCTTCCCCTTTTATAGGTGTGGGAACCAGACTGGGAGTCATTAAGAGATTACCTGAGGCCATGACACTAGTAAGCAGTATAACCAGGCTTTGAGCCCAGATCTCCCACTCTGTCCTTCTTCTCACTCTGCCTTGATGCCTGTGTTAAATTTGGTATGTTCATTTGGCCTTTAAAATAAATTTCCAAATTTTTCAATATTTTCTGCAGGCCATTTGAAATCACAGCCAATCCATGGATTAGACATCAAGAGCAAAATGTTTCTGTAGTGGAGATAACTTACCCCAAATACTATTTGTGGTAGCTCTTTGGACTTTTTACAGAGGTTTTGTTTCTCTTACCTGCCAGGTGTATAGTTGAATTACACTCCCCCACCCACTTGAAATTTGGCGTGGCTATGTGATTAGCTGTGGTCAACCAAATGTGAGTGAAGGTGACCCATGTCACTTCTAGGCAGGAGCTTTAAGAAGCAGTATGTGCTTCACCATTCCTTCTCCCTCTCTGGCATGACCATGTACAACTTTCAAGATAGCAGTTGTCTGTCAACCCTAGTCCCTGAGTTACTACAATGAGCAGAGCCCCTTGCTGACTTACAGTGGATGTACAGTGTGAGCAAGAAATAAATCTTTATTATTTTAGGCCACTGAAATTTGGAAGTTGGTCGTTACTGCTTCATAATCTAGCCTATCCTGACTATTCCAACTAGCTTAACGAAGCTAGAGCATGGGTAAGATATCTGTAATAAATCCTAACCCTTGTTTAAGACCAAAAGATAGAAAATTTGCACTCAACCTAAAAATGTTCTTGAGATTAAAGTACATAAGGCAATGACATGTATAGATAATACCTGAAACCTCTATTTTCTCATTATGTAAGTTGTTAATACACAGTGGAATTTGCATTTGTATGTAGGATGCTGTCTTAGCCTAGGCTCCCTAGAAAGCACAGCATGAATCAATGGCTTGTATACTAATACTTTGTTGTGGAGGGAAGGGGGTTGGCCATGCAGTTCCAGGGAAGCAAGAATGAGGAGAAAAATGAATTGAAGCAAGAAAGATAGGAGAGCAATACAAGGTGGTGTGTTACTAAAACAGCCATAGCTTCAGCACAAAACAAAAGTGGTCACTTGATCATGTGGAATGGCACCAAAAAGGTTGCATTTCAGAACCACTCTGCCTTGGTGCAGAGAAGGAAGGCAAGCAATCCATCTGTTGCCTCCATGCCTTTTCCTGTCTCTCAATGGTCAAAATCCCATGCATTTCCAGATTGTGCTGCCTGGAGTGTCCAGGCAGCTTCTGGGAAAGCCAGATCCTCTGAGAATCCAGTTTGGACAGTGTGCAGGCATGGTGAGCTATACTTATCTAGTTGGTTTTTTTGGGCTACGGTGGCAGCTAGAGTTTACCTGACCTGGTGCATAAATTGAATCTAGTACAGACATTAACAAACCTTGGGTAGGGGGGACTTCACTACTCAGGACCTCTGTTACCTGTGAACAGAGTACACTGGACTCAATGATTTGAAAGACACCATTAATTCTAACATCCCAATGTTTCAAACTAGTTTTTCAAATCATAGCAACCATTTATCTACCAATATTGAAATTAGCTGGCTAATTTAATTACTGAGAAAATGGAAATAAACTCGGAACAATCTTAAAAGAAAAACAACCTGTGAAATGTATACCCTAAATAGTGTTTCTTAAACAGTTATTTTTTTACAATGACCCATAGTAAGAAATTAGTTTTGTAAATGGCCAAGCAAATACATGTACACAAACATATATACATAATTGAAACAAAAGTTTCATGAAAGTAATACTTTCTTCATAATATGTAAGTAACTCTGATGTATTTATTCAGTCGTATTCTATACAAATAAAGCTTCTAACCACTCATGGGTCATGATACAAAGTTTGAAAGGCCTAGAACATATTATCTATATACCTATCAGTCACAATTTATTGCTTATAATAATATAACCCCATACCTAAATCAGTGCTTATTATATAATTAAAATATTAAATTTCATTTGCAATAGTTTGACCATAATGATATCACTGAGAGAAATGTTAAACATTATTTTTCAAGTAGTTTTTGTTGTTGTGTTTAGGAAGACCATTCTAGCTGTGAAAAAATCCAGAGAGAAAATTAACAAACTCAATACAACCAAGAATAGAGGTGTATGGAAGTTAGCTAGGTGGTTTCATGCTTTTGAGACTATTGCTTTAAACTCACAGTACACATATAAGACTGTCATGGTTTAACTGAGTGATCAAGCACATTTCACCCTTCCATTTTTATTCAATTCTGAATTTTACCTTTTTTAATATTATGAAGTTATTAGTGCACTTAGTAGATATTCTGAGTAAATTAATGCCAATAAAAAAACTAAAAAACAAAACTGTTTTCTTATCACAAATAAGCTGTGTCTGTAGCTTTGTAAAAGACATTATTATTTCTCCTGTTATAATGAGTGTCCCATCAGGTAAGGACCAAAGGTCTTCTTTCTGGCTTAGTTGTTTTGATATCAAGCTCTGGGGATGAAGATGGAGGTTTTTTCTTGTTATCACAGTCAGTTGTCACAGCAGCCTGGTGAGGCGAGCGGGGTAAGTACTACCATTCCCATTTTGCAGATGACAGAGCTGAAGAGTAACTCCTGCTATACTGCCTGTCAATTACCAGCTCCGTGCCAATGTAGAGATGCAATTTTGTGCTAACAGTGACTTGACACTGTTTCTTCCTGTCCATCTATTTGCCAAGCTGTGGTTCCTGAAAGTCATTTTATTTGCTGGCTTCTGAAGTAACATTTGTAGAGAATGTTTGGGATAACTTCTATTTCTGGGGGAGAAAGTTGTGACATTTTTCATGTACTGAGGGGGAGGAGAAGGCCCCGGAGTCAGAGCTTTCTCCCTGACGTGGTTGTTGTCAGTCATTCCCTGACCTCCCTCATTTCCTTTCACATGTTCCCATCTTGGTTTTCCTATCTGTTATATGAGGTTATTATGAAACTTCCCTACCTGCCACATCTGGGTGTTGGGCATCTGAAATAAGATAATGTGCATGAGACTACTCTGAAAAGGAAAATTAATTTTAACAATAGAATGATTTTAGGATTGTTGAGATTATTTTCTCTTATCCCATTCCCCTAACACACACCCCAATCTAGATGAACCTTAAACGTTGTTTTAGGCTGGGTGCAGTGGCTCATGCCTGTAATCTCAGCACTTCGGGAGGCTGAGGCGGGTGGATCACAAGGTCAGGCGTTCAAGATAAGCCTGGCCAACATGGTGAAACCCCATCTCTACTAAAAATACAAAAATTAGCTGGGCATGGTGGCATATGCCTGTAGTCCGAGCTACTCGGGAGGCTGAGGCAGGAGAATTGCTTGAACCTGGGAGGCAGATGTTGCAGTGAGCCGAGATTGCGCCACTGTATTCCAGCTCGGGCAACAGTGCCCGAGACTCCATCTCAAAAAAAAAAAAGAAAAAAGAAAAAAAGGTTGTTTTAAAAGAAAATAAAGTTTATCTGAATAACCCATTTATACATCTACTTATATGATTATATTATACCCTTTGCAGTTCAAATTTCATACATGAAACAAAACAAGAACATGGGATGTTTTGGTTTTCTGGCTAATAGACAAAATGCCAGGTCATATTTATGTCCAGAAACTTAGGGGGAATAAAAGCACAAATATTTTTTCCCAACACAAAGGTATTTTTTCCTGATTTATCCAGGAGAAAATAAAGTAAAAATCTGGCATTTTGTGGCTAATATGGTTGGTTATTCTGTATCAAAACATGTGGTACCTATAGTCAATATATTAAAAGAACAGCATAGGTGAAGGCCCTATTTTTTTCCACTTTAAGCCATCTTGTCATAACTTGTAGACTTTTCTAATGGTTTTATAATATTTTCCTGGCATTGTAAGCTATTTTATTACTATATTGAAGAAAGTAGAATTTCCCATTGCACTTACATTTTGTCCTCATACTTCCATTTTTACTACATGACCTTATTATTTAGGAATTTGCTCTCCTTCTGATCTCCTAGGGATAACTTGCTGCTCTACTGATTTAGTTGTTAGAATAAAATAATGTACTTTCACATTCAGAAGTAAATCCTGTTCTTTTCTATATACTTTTCACTTGGGAAACTAATCAGAGAATCTATTTATAATCCATGACTGAATAGAAAAGCACATATAAAGATGATTTCTAGAAAGGCAGAACTCATATACTTTTTGCCTTATGAAATACAGCAGAGTCACAGAGGGTGGCCATGTTCAGACCCAATCAAGTCTGGGCTGTTTGCTTTCTCCTGTCAGAGTGAGCAGAGACCACATGTATGGCCCAGCCCTGGTTTCAGGAAGAATGTTTTCAGGCAAACCTTACACTGGAATGAACTGCTGCAGAGGAAATATAACTCTCACTGTAGACCTACAGAGCTAGAACTGGGATCAGGCTTCTCTTCCAATTGAAGTCTTTGAGTCTTCTAGTTGAAACCTAATGGTTATTGCAAGAAGCAATGTTGTCATTCTAAAATCCAGAATCTTGAATCTATAATCATTCTAGAATAACATAGGGCTCATGGTGAGCCAGTAGAAAACTTCCTGGATCCCTTTATCTCCTTGGATAAACAAAATAATAGATAAGTTTCTGTTGATTTCTGTAATTCCGTATTTGCTGGCTATACACAAAATGGCCTTATGTCTTCTTTTGATTGACCTTTGCGGGCAATTCTGATTCATTCCCGTATCCATCATAAATATCTTCTATAGTACAGTATAAATATGATTGCTAACTAAATAAAAACTTTGAAAGAAAATTTAGATTTAGGTTTTAAGAAAATCAGAGACCTCCTAGTGCTTCAAATTTAAGTAAAATTGACACTTGACCGAAATGGGTTTGAAGCACAGGAATTCATTTACACATGGATTTTTTTCAATAAAAGTTAAACTGTGTGCGCCTGCCTCTCCTGCCTCCCCTTCAGCCTCTTCCACCTCTTCTGCCTCTGCCATCCCTGCCACATCAAGACCAACCCCTCTTCTTTCTCCTTCTCCTCAGCCTACTCATCATGATGAAGATGATGAGAATGAAAACTTATGATAATCCACTTCCACTTAATGAATAGTAAACATATTTTCTCTTCCTTATGATTTTCCTAATAATGTTTTCCTTTCTCTAGCATGTAAGAATATAGTATATAATACATAAAAAAATACAATATGTGTTAATTGACTGTTTATGTTATCAGTAAAACTTCTGGTCACCAATAGGCTATTAGTATTTAAGGTTTAAGAAATCAGAAGTTATACATGGATTTTCAACTGCATGGAGGTTGGTCAAATGTAAGGTGCTCATGGCTTTAAATAAACTAAAATTGAACCATTTACATTAACATATGAATTAGGGAAAAAAGAGATAAGACAGCAACATATATTGAATATATGCCATATACATTTTATATATACATATATACACACACACATATCTATATACACTGTGTGCCAAGAACTGTATGTGCCAAGAACTGTAATTTCTTCAGTCATTAACCCACTAATCTTACAATCTCTTTTATCTCATAATCCTTGAAAGTTGTAATATAATTGTCTTCATTTTTACATAAGAAACAGAGGCCCAGAGAGGTTAAATTTTCTGTCAAAAGTCTCTCAGGCAATGCTGGATCTGAATGTAAAATCCCTTTAGGTCATCAAGCTTGTGTTCTTTTCCCTTATACTTTGCTATTACTCTAAGATTAATACATGTAAATCAGAAGTGCAGTTTGTGTATGATATAAACATATATGCCTAATCTGCATTAACAGTATGAGTTTAATTAAAACTGGGAGCTTGCATGCTACTAATTTTTAGAAGTTTAATATTTACTACTATTGAAATTTCTAGGGTGACTCTGAGTATGAAGCAACTATCCAGAAAGTTTCTAAAATTGCAAAAGTGGTATCACTATAGGCAAAGGTGGATAGATGCTGTAAAAAGGACATCCCTTCTGCACTTCTGGGTTTTCTGCTGGTTCACTCTAGGCCTGAGGGGATATCAAGGAAAGTTACCTCTCCTTGGATTTAATCATGAAGTTTGACTTTACCTAATGTGTAAAAACCCAGTTTGGCTTTTAGTGAAGCAAATAACTTCACAGTTTTCTCCTATATTCAGTATGGCTAGCATCATTAGACCTGTATGTAGTTAACTTTCTTCTTCTCTGTTTGCCAGTAGTAAAAAATGTGTTTGCATTAGTGGAGTAAATAGTAGATGATGTATAAATAGTATAGCTTGCCTATTGTTTTTCACCTACCTGAAGCTGTTGTTGCATTTTTAACATGCTTAGACATTTTCCTATTTTGAGGCACTTTTTGATCAGCTGTGACTCACTCAACCTGTGCTGTGGGCCATTTTCTGTGACCAGGCAAACAACTATGTTTTGCCATTATTAATATCCCTCCCTCATTGCTCCTACTGGGACAGCTGGTGCCCACAATGGCTTTATGTTACTTCCAGTGAATTTTTTGCTCACAAATCTGGCCTGCCAGGAACATAGGTGAGTAACTTCAAGTTAAAGAGTCACTCATGGTAATTTCAAGTTAGAATGTGCGTGGCTCAGTGACTTCATCTACGGTAAAGATTGCCATGGGTGAAAAGAGGTTAAATAGTATCATTTTGGTTGACTAACTACATGAATTACAAAACAGAAGAACCCAACAGGTTGATTATCAAGATCTAAACAACTGGCATTAAAAAGGAATCTATTAATTGCTATCATGAACCTTAAAGATATTCATTCAGAACCCAACCTGATACTTTAAATTGCTGTGCAGTTTAATTATTTTCTATTAGCATAGAGAAATGAATTGGAAGGTAAGAAGGGAGCTATATCTCCTATTGTTAATTGCAAATAATAATCTACAGTCTGCTTCTGCTACCTGTTGTCATTCTTCCCTACCAGCTAAATATAAAAGCACCCATGCATTGCTCACCTGCATAAAGAGAAGAAGGAAAGTCTGATTTGTTATTACAAAGGGATTTATTTCAAAAAGGAAAGTGAAGGGATGACAGATAAGTGCACTTAAACCTTTTGAGCATTACAGAAAGCTTGTAGAATTCGGGTAACTGAATGTAATCTCTGTATTCTCCGTTAACGATAGAGCCTCTTGGACAGACTGAAGTTGTGCCTGGAACCATAATACTCTCTTTATGCCACTGTCTTCCTTCTTAGCAGGCCGAAAGGCACACACTCATGGCTGATTCATCTGCTCTCCACCTGCTGGCCCCCTTGTGAGCCAGAGCTTTTGGATCTGATGTAGCCTTTTGGGTGTTTGCACAAAGGGCTGGCACATTTGCAAGTGGTATGTCTGCTTGCAAAGCAGTGGGACACCAAAAACATTAAACACAGATTGTTTGGGGTTTAAGCAAATCTAAGACAAACAAGTTGAATATCTGAGACTATTTCTTAAAAAAAAAAAGGAAGCACATATTTCTGATTTTCATAACTGAATGATATCATGGCTATTTCCCAACTCTGGATAATACTAAGATAGCTGCCCTTCCAGAGGTGTCTGGCATATGTAAAATCTTTCAAAAGCAAAGGTAAGAACACACTAAAAGAGGAGAAATATTGTCTGGTCTGTGTGAAGATTGGCCATAGTTGGTTAAAATAAACAAACAAACGAAAAAACAGTACTAATTGAGCTTAGTGATATTAACTTGGTAAATTAAGCCAGTTTGTCTCTTTGCTTTATCTGTCTTGTGGAATCTGTATCAGTGGAAATTAAATAGTCTTTACATTTGATGAACCCTGTTTAGGTGTTGGAAATACCCATCTATTTGTTAAAAAGGCAAGGTCCCATGATTTAGTGAATGGGGGATACAGACAGCCTTTATTCAAGTAACTGAATAAACAAAAGAATTAGAGAGTGTGATGAGTTTGAATAAAAAATATAGTTCATAAAAACCAGAAATGTGATAGAGCATAGTGGCTGGAAGAAAGTTACCCAAGTGGCTTGGGTAGTCAATGAAGTTGACTCCAACATGCAGTAGTACTTGGACTGAGGCCAGAAAAATTAGAAAGAGGCCAGGCATAGCAACTCATGCATATAATCCCAACCCTTTGGGAGGCCAAAGTGGATCACTGGAGGTAACGTCGACCTCAAGTGAGATCGTGTCTCTAAAAAAAATAAATAATTTATTTTTAAAATTAGCTGCATGTGGTGGCACGTGCCTATAATCCTAGCTACTTGGGAGGCTGAAGTGTGAGGACCACTTGAACTCAGGAGTTCCAGCCTGCAGTGAGCTATAATTACACTACTGCACTCCAGTCTAGGCAACAGAAGGAGACCCTGTGTCTTTAAAAAAAGACAAAGAAAAAAAGAAAGAGAGTGAGAAAGAGCCAGGAGACATAGGTTTTAGTGGCTCTGTGAGGCATAAAGTCCTGGGTGACCCCATGGATATTTCAAAGAGGTCTTCACATTTCCTTGTATCACAAAATTTGATGGGTGACTAATAAAACATGTACAGATGTGCCTTAGAATACATGTAGCATTATTATCCCCCAATAATATGCATGCTAGTGAGTACAAATTCATATAAAAAGTTACTGCACTAGAGTACTTTTTGTCATGTTGTACTTTTTAGTGTTCAGATAACAGAAATACAGCTGCTTCATGGAAGAGTTTTCATTCTTGAAAATACTATGGACCGTTGCTATATAATATTGTTAGGTGCATGAGGATGATTTGTCCACTCTTGTAACAGAAAAAGAAAGCATAAAATGCCTAGCAAGATGGTGTACCTGTAGTCCTAACTAATCCAGAGGCTGAGGCAAATTGCCTGAGGCCAGGAGTTGGAGGCTGTAGTGTGCAATGATCACTGATCCTGTGAATAGCCACTGCCCACTCCAGCCTGGAAAACATAGCGGGAACTGACTAAGAAAGAAAAAAAGACATACAATAATATATAGATGGTCTTCAACTTACAATTTATGCACTTTACGATGGTATGAAAGGGACACACATTCAGTCAAAACTATACTTTGAATATTGGGTTTTGATCTTTTCCCAGGCTGGCGATATGCAGTACAGTATCTGTCACGAAGCTGGGCAGCAACAGTGAGTTGCAGTTCCCAGTAAGCCGCGCAATCACTAGGGTAGACAACTAGTACTTGGTGGCTCATGCCTGGAATCCCAGCACTTTGGGAGGCTGAGGTGGGAGGGTTGTTTGAGCCTAGGAGTTTAAGACCAGCCTGGGCAACATATGGAAACCCTGTCTCTCCAAAAAAAAAAAAAAATATATATATATATATATATAGCCAGGTGTGGTGGCACATGCCTGTGGTCCCAGCTACTAAGGAGGCTGAGAGGTAGGAGGATCACTTGAGTCCCAGGAGGTCAAGGCTGCAGTGAGCCATGATCATGCCATTGTACTCCAGCCTGGGCCACAGAGCGAGATGAGACCCTGTCTCAAATAAATAAATAAATAAGTAAATACATACATACATACATACTCTAAAGTTTATTGTGTGGCCAGATGATTTTGCCAAACCATAGGCTAATGTAAGCGTTCTGAGCATGTTTAAGGTAGGCTAGGCTTAGCTATGATGTTTTGTAGGTTACATGTATTAAATGCACTTTCTACATACAATAATTTTCAACTCACAATGAGTTCGTTTATCAGGAAATAAGCCAATCATAAGTCAAAGGAGCATCTGTATAGGTCTAATGGTGAAATGGCACATGCTTATTTTCAAGTTAGATTTCAAATCATATTACATTTATCTTATAATTAAATTGACTAAATGTAAGAGAATGGAAGCTTGGAAAATAGACACAAATGGTGTTTTCTTTAGTATGATACATTTAAATATTGTGTATGACTACATGACCAGGGTATGAATGACTGCTAAGTACCCTGAGCTATCACTGTTAAGATAATTTAGTAAAAGAAACAGCAAATACATCTTGATCCACAGTGATTACTACCCATTCACTCTGCTTAAGGCAGATCTGGTTGGTACCAAGCAGTCAGAAACACTCACACATCCTCGAAAACTTGCTAATTATAGTTTGAAGGCCAGCTCTTCTCGTAACCTCTTCAGAAGAAAATCATAAGATGGCAGACTTATTCGGTTCAACCTAACAAACATTTATGTTTTTAAATAAACTGAACTCCACTAGGAGCTCCCCCTTGCCTACCAGATGAAAGACAGAATAGTTAATTTGGACTCACCTAGACACAGATACAAATAGATGCTCAACATTTTGTGCCTGTGATCTTGAGAACAGCATAGCCAACTGAAAGTAGCCAGATAACCAAGATCATGCTTTTTTATGTGTTCAGATTGAAAGCATTTTCATTTCTTATCTGAGACCTTTTTAGTTTTTTATTTTCTTAGTAACTGGTTTCTTGAATTCTTTCTTAAGAGGACTTTATTGTATTGAGAGTGAAGGGCCCCACCCTTTTCTCACTCTTATTGATTCACTGCCTTTATAAAGCTTTTAGTGACAAACCAGATGTGGTATGCAAACAGACTCCACAAGCAAGTACAGCGAGAGAAAGCCTCGGGTACAGTACATGAGACCAGTTTTTGTTATAGCAGAGTGACACAGTGATTTATGAAGTGTCAAACCCTCTTGCCGTTGAAGAATTCCAGCCTTCACATCTGTCTTTCGTGTTTATTTCAGTTGCCCTGGTGACACACTGTCCCCGTAAGCCCTGAGATGGTTCTGTGGACCTTGTAGCAAATGAATGGAGGGCTGTTTCCCCCCTTTAAAGAAAGGAAACAAAGCATGAATGAGAAATCAGGATGGAATGGGAAAGTAAGTCATTGTGCTTTGTCGCTGTTGCTCCACTTCATCCCACCTGGCCCAGCCAGAGTGGTGCTTACAGTTCAAAGAGAAAGGAAACTTTGCGTGAAGATTTTGATGTGACTTGAAGCTCCCAGAATGAAAATGCACTAACTGCTCTCCTTTTCTTAAAATTACTTATTTTTAAAGTAAAAATATTCAAATAAATTCACTTAAGCACAGTTGCATATTTTTTTAGACTAAGTCATGGTGTTCAGGTAGATGTCTAATTTTACATTTTCTGCAGTGTGTGCTTTCCAAGGGGATCGCTTCGCTCCATGCCCCAAAGAAACAACAATCGTTTTCTCAGTGTTTTATTTTGGAAGACACTCTTTCAAAGACCTCTGTATGTTTTTCCCTTAGAACTTTGACACCCTACATGTCTGTTTATTGTTTCAGTATCATATAGAAATTCTGAACAGGGCTTTCTACAGGATGAAATGGATTAAGTGAGAAAAAGTTTTCCAAAAGGATTAAGCTAGGAAAACCTGGTGTGACCTTGTCAAGACAAGATTGTTTTTATTCCTTTGCCTCAATAAATGGTCCTGTGTTTTTGAGCAAAGGAGTTATGAAAAGGTAAACAGCCCATTTTGTAAAAATCTACATTTCAGCACATGTACTCCTGCAGTTTTAACTGATGTTCTATAAGCAGAATCAACAATTGGACCATGATTCTGCTCACTAGGTTCCGACTTTTAGAATTAGGATATTTTGATGGTTAAAACTTTGCATGGGCAACAGCTAATATATGATCTCATTAATAAGTGGAAATGAAGAACAACGACAGGGTAATTCAAGTTCTTGTGGCAACTACCTTTGTGTCTCTGGAAGAGGAATATCTTCATTGGTTGAAAGCATATTCATTAAACTAATGTAATAACATATTATAGAAATAGATTTATTCTCTGTAACCACACATCTCAAATATCATTACATCAAATGAAACCGGTTGGATCTTGTTTTTAAATTTGGGTCACAGGGATCTTTAAGGGGAGGAACCTTGGGAATAATTAACATGGTTCCTCTCAATGACTGGAAATACAGAAAATACTTTCCATTGAGTTTCTAGGAATTCAAGTAGAACAAAAAGATAAAGTTCAGGTGGCTTTGTGATTCAAAGCTGTGGTTTTTGCCTTTCAGCCATGCCTAATGAAAACATTGCCATACGTTGTAGGAACTAGTGTTGCTTTTCTAAAATGACTTGATCTTCAGCAGCTCATAGGGGTGCTTTGGGGGAGCTGAGGTTACTGAAGTATACCTAATGGAAATGGCTACAGTGGTACCTTGTCTTTGGCAAAGGAAGATTCTTGCCCTGAGAATTTTTAGGTATTTTTTTTTTTGGCATGGTGTACCTCGGCTTCCCAATGGGTACTAATTGACTGGGAACGTCATTTGCAATCCTTGAACATCCTTCTGCCCACCAGTCCCCCAGGCTTTGCCTGTTCCATTGTTCTCCACAGTGGCTGCCCTTCTATTAAGCATGATCAGGACTCCGGAGCTCTCCTCTCCAGAGATGTGTGTGCATTATCAACTCTCCTACTAACACCAAAATCCTGTCAATCACAGTGACCTCCAGGGCCTCCAGCAAGCCTAGTAAACAAGGGACCGATGTCTGCAATGGCTTTTTATTCACTTTTTTTTTTTTTTTTCCGAGTGGGGCTTTCTAATTACTCAGTTGTGTATGCAAACACTGAAGGAGCATTAGGCGCATCAAGTGGGCCTCTGCTTTTATTAGGAAACCCTTTTATTTTCTAAATAGAATATGTCAAACATAGTCTTTCCTTTTTAGACAGTTAACCTTTCATCTCTCCTGTAGCAGAAATTCCAGTCTCTGGGGCTTGCTAATTTTGTATTTGAAATATTCTAAAGCAGAAGGAAAATGCTGTTTACAGTGCCTTCATTAAAAAGCTTTTAATCCTGTTTTGTTGTTGCATATATAGTTTGGATCCCTGCTGAGTACACTTCATTGCATAAGAAAAATACAGTATTTTTAAAAGATATACCAATCAACCCAACCCAATTCTACTTTGACCCTGACAATTGAGTAGACAAAAACGCTTTTATAGTGTTCATACTTAGCAGATTATAATGAAAATATGAGTTTAATAGATCCTTAAGAATGTGTTTCTAAGTGATGTACAACCTTATTTTTGAAAAAGTCTTTTACGTAGCCTGCTTCGTTTGTTCTCACACATTATCACATACATTGCATAATATAACCGTACCACTTGTAATATGACTTGTCACAGAACATGATTCAGACATAATGCAGCGCAATTTGTTTGACGTTGTTTCCCAGTGATTTTCATATCTTGGCATATACAGAAAACCAAGATCTTTATTGGGCACACAAGAAGAGGCTAAAAGGATAATAATGATAGTGAGCACTTTTAAACTTTTCTCATATATTGAATTTAATATTCACAACAACCGTATGAGGTCAGTACTATTACTAGTGTTTACAGATGAGGAAACTAAAGTACAAGAAGCACCGAGTGATTTGTCCTGAAGTCACAGAGCAGTAGGTGGCCGACCTAGGCAGTCTGGCCCGGAGTTCAGTACTTTTATCACTGTGCTTCAACACACCTGTAACCCTCTCCTGAGTCACCATGATTGTATAGGAGTGGAGAAAAGAACAGAAACCATAATTTGCATGATGAATACTGTGAGATAGCATCATTGTCTTCTAGTTTCTCCTCCCTGCACCCTATAACCTGTAAGCTTTTATAAATACTGGACTTTTTTCCATCTTTTTTTTTTTTTAGTAACAGTGTTATTGAGATGTAATTTACATACCATAAAATTCATGAGGTGTAAATGTACAATCAATGAATTTTAGTGTATTTACAGAGCCATCCAGTCATCACGATATAATTTTATGACGTGTGTATTCTAGAAAGGTTGATACCCATTTATAGTCATCCCCTGTGCCTACCCCCAGCCCTAGATAGCCTGTCATCTATTTTCTGTCTCTATATACTTGCCTTTTTGGGACATTTTGTACAAATGGAATCATACAATATGTGTTCTTTTATGTCTGACTTCTTTCACTGAATATAATATTTTTGAGGTTCTAGATATTGGACTTTTATGTAACATATTTTATTATTTTTCAGACATCACTGAAATGTTTCCTAAGCCTACAGAGGAGCAAGGAGCCCTGGCTTTACTAAATAAATGCTGTGGTTTGCAGCTGTCACACATGGTTTAGATTTACCATTGAGGGAAAACATCATCACCATCATCATAAGCTTCCCAGATAATTAAGTACTTAGATGTGGGCTTCATGGTATTTAAAGCATTCTTTCTTTTACGGCCATATGTGTAGTGTATCAAAGAAGCAGTTTGGGAGGAACAGGAGTTGTCAATTCTATAAAAACAAAAATAACTTGAAGTGGTTATTTCTCATAATATAGTTAAAACAGTTGTTTGATTAACAGATTAGCAGACCAACAGGTTGTTTTGGGCACTACATAGACACAAGCCCAAGTCATTTCCTTTCATAGAGGTTTTTCTTTTTTACTTTTGAGGATTAAATTCTCTTGATTCCTGTATATCGTGGCTGCTTAAAAAAAATAAAACTCAACCAGGCATGGTGGCTCAGGCCTATAATCCCAGCACTTTGGGAGGCCGAGGCGAGAGGATTGCTTAAGGCCAGGGTTTGCCACCAGCCTAGGCAACATAGTGTAAACTCGTCTGTCCAAAAATTAACACACACACACACACACACACACACACACACACACAAAACTAGCCAGGCATTGTGGTGCCCATTTTTGGTCCTAGCTACTTAGGAGGCTGAGGCAGGAGGATCACTTGAGCCCGGTTACTTGAGGCTGCAGTGAGCCATGATTATACCACTGCGCTTCAGCGTGGGCGACAGTGTGAGACTGTGTCTCAAAAATGAAATAAAATTCTAGTGTCTAGGGCTGTAGGTCATTTGAATTGTAAGGATAAGTAACCCAACATAAATGGTAATTCAACAAATGGATGATGTAACAAGCTCTACAGTAAAATAAACCCTGTTCATTTTTAAACTGCTTTGGGATGATTTTTAGTTTCTTGGGCTTGGATTCTCCTGTGTACAACATATCTCATAGATAGATAGCCTTTGGGGCGTGAGCATGAGTAGGAAGAGGTTATAAGATTAGGAAGTACCCAGAGTTCTGTATTATAACACATTGATTTGATTTGTGGAGTCCAGGCCTTAAGTAGATAAAACAGAGCACTTTAAAAGCCATGTCTGCTGGGTGCAGTGGCTCATTCCTGTAATCCCAGCACTTTGGGAGGCCAAGGCAGGCAGGTCACCTGAGTTTGAGAGTTCGAGACCAGCCTGACCAACATGGAGAAACCCTGTCTCTACGAAAAACACAAAATTAGCCTGGTGTGGTGGCGCATGCCTGTAGTCCCAGCTACTAGGGAGGCTGAGGCAGGAGAATCGTTTGAACCCAGCAGGCGGAGGTTGCATTGAGCCGAGATTGTGCCACTGCACTCTAGCCTGGCAACACAGCAAGACTCCATCTCAATAATAATAATAATAATAATAATAATAATAATAAAATAAAAAATAAAAACCATGTCTTGATGCTGGGCATGGGGGCTCACATCTGTATTCCCAGCACTTTGGGAGGCTGAGGCAGGCGGATCACTTGACGTCAGGAGTTGAGACCAGCCTGGCCAACATGGTGGAACCCCATCTCTACTAAAAAATACAAAAATTAGCCAGGTGTGGTGGCTCAGTCGCCTGTAATCCCAGCTACTTGGGAGGCTGAGGCAGGAGAATCACTTGAACCCAGAAGGCGGAGGTTACAGTGCAAGTGGACTTTCTAGTTGATTGGGACCATCTTGTCTGCTCCTTGACAGTACACGTGGCTGGCAGAGAAAGGAAGATGGAGCTGCCATCCTGCACATGTCTAGTCCTTAGTTCCTGCCGGCATTCACCCATGCAAGCTCCTAGCTTGCAGGCAGCTCTTTGTTAGAAAATGATTTGGGGCTGTTTTTCTGTTTTTCATTAAAAAGAAAAGCCTTATCAAGGACTCCCATGCCCTTGCTATCTGCCTAATTTCTTCTTAACTCCTATATCATAAGGAGAGGTAGGAGATTAAGTCAGTGAAGTAAGGAAAGAGGAGACGGGAGGCAGGTCACGTAGGACCTCATAGAATCCTTGTAGAGACTTGGGCTTTTACTCTGAATGAGACAGGAAGCCATTGGAGGGTCTGAGCATTTGTTTCTCCTCCTTTGAAGAATAATTTTTTTATTTGCTTGACAATAAAAAGGGTTAGCACATTTCCATTTTTAGGGTTACCATTGGCCTTTGTGTTGATGGTTCCTTCTGGCAGAAAAATAAATCTGCCCTTGTATGTCAGCTTCCTTGGGTCTCCCACACACTCGTCAGGTTGTGGAGAAGTTTGAATTTAAAACAAGCATTTCACAAATGACTCACGTTCCAGGTGGGATGATGTGTTCTCTGCCTACCACAGAGAAGGGAGAAATCAGTTCACATGAAACAGTAACCTTTTCTTTCTCTCTGCATTTTCCTAGGAGCAGAAAAGCACACAAATGCTTTCTTTCTGATTGTGTATTTGGAATGTTCCTTAAGATGGATCTCTGTTGAATTCCCAAGTGAATACTCCAATCTGTATTTAGTCTCAAATTCTGACAAAAAAGAAAACCTCTACCTGATGAGGAGCCCCGTCTCTCTGCTGTTTTCTTTAGGTCTGGAAGATCAGGGATGCTTCATAACTTGGTGCCAGAAGAGAAGGGAAGATTGATTGGGGTTTTATGAGGTGGCAAAATACATAGCTAAACCTGGGGACAGGGATGTCATTTAGCATGACAGAAACAGCAGAAAACAGGAATAGTGCTTTATTTTGTTGTTTTTGTTAAAGCAATGTGAGACTTGTTATTTCTACCCCCGTGGTCCTGGTTGTTTTTGTGTTCAGCACAGACGTTCAGGAAACAGATTCCAGCACCAACACCTGTGCGACGCTGACCCAGGCCTACCTCGCAACATCCTCCTCTCTTACTGTATCACACAGATCAGCTTACATGTCACACTTATTTCCTCTCCCCTCTGCTCATCCATCCATAGCTATCCACTGAGCATTTCTGTCCCTCCCTCTGAGTTCTTGGAATTAAAGAAAAAACAACATAGAGCCCAGTATCTCAGTGAAGAGCCTGTTTTTAATGGACGGATACCACCAGCCTCTTTCTGTTCAGAAACATCTTATGAATCACAAGCAGTTTTGCAGGCTTGCAAGAAGCTGGTGCCCCACAGCACCCGTCATGTAGAATAAATAAATGAACAGTTGATTTCGGTGGGGTGTCGGTGTCCTATTTTTAGAATACCATGTTTTCTGCTGGGGCCATTCAGGTAGTTCTCGTTTTAAAATTCTAACATCTGCCCAGCATACATCTTCTGACATCTGGCTTCCACTTGCTACACAAGTGAGACACTTTGACTCATTTCCCCATCTTTGCAGTGGGAGAGTACCCATTCCTGACATGCTCTGAAATGGGGCAGGTAGCAAATGATTTGGAAACAAAACCCACAGAATCAACATGCTCATCACATTTTATTATTAATTGAGCTCCCAAGCGAGTGTTTCCTTGTAAATCCCAACAGGCTTTTATTTGATAGAGTCTCTCTCTCTCTCTCTCCCTCTCCCTCTCCTCTTGGCTCAGGAGGGGGCAAAGCTGCCCCTCTTTTCCCAGCCCCAAATCTCTGACTACAGTAGGACTTAAGCACAGCAGCCTGAGCTGAAGCATGTCATCCCTGAAACAAAGCTACAGAGGCATGGTGCCAAGGCAGCCAGGGAAGCACAAATTACCTCTCATGCCTGGTGGGTGAGGCCCCTAGCCCCATCCCTGAGTCCATTCCTCCTGGCCACTGGGTACGTAAGTACCCATCAGGAAGGGGCAGAGCCTCTTTCTACTAAGAGTAGTACAGTCCAAATCATCAAAGGAGACCTCATCAAGACTAGCTCACTTGGAGACTTCTTCACCAAGGAGCACAGACTTAAATTTACAGTTGATTCTCTCCACAGCAATTTTATGTCTTCAAAGAGCTCCCCAATTATTTTTATTACGTTTTCTTGGTAAGCAACCCATGGTGAGGTAGTGCACAATGAACTACCTGAGGTATAAAAGAAGTTAAGTGATTTACTCAGAAAGAGTGGTTAGCAGGGTTGCCTTTGAATTCAGAACAGCATTCTCGGTGATTGCTGCTTGATGGAGCTGTCATCTTGGAGTTAAGTTCTCGTATATGCTTTTGCAAAAACACCATGGTGTGTGTTTGGCTCTGGCAAAACTTTATCTCATTGCTCTATTTTAATGGCAATAATCACTGGAAATCAGCACAAAGTCTTCAGCTTCTTAACCTGGGTGACATGCTTCAGTTTTGTGCCTTCTGTGACTCTCTGTAATGATGGCCTACAAGAACTGTAAACCTCCTAGAAGGTAAAAAAAAACAGGCTAGAGTATTGATTTCAGGTTGTGTGAGGAAGAAACAAGGTGGGGGTTTTTGTGTTTTTTGTTGTTGTTGTTGTTGTTGTTGTTTTGTTTGTTTTGTTTTGCCCCTCAGCTTGCAAATCAGTTGCTTATACCCAGGCGATTGCAGCCATTTACACCCTACTGAGGAGCCTATGTGGGGTTCTTTAACCACTGAGCCAGGATTGATTGACAGCCACTGTCTTCAACTACAACAGAGATGGAGTGAGCGCTTATACAGACTCAGTGGGGTGGGACTTCCCTGTTGAATGCTGCTTTATGTCTTTTCAGGCAAATGCCATTTACATCTGCCCACCATTTGAAGTCTCTTTTGACTTTCTATTTCTTTCGAAAGGAAGTAAAACAAGTGTTGCAGGAGCCACAGATAGCATCATGGCATTTTCTTCATTTTCTCAAAATGCACCTTTTGGGTGTTTTGTGAGCAAGATCTTAAGGAAAGTAGGTCTTTTCAGATGAAAATTTTGTGAAGTCTTACTATGATGTAAGCTAATGAAAATTTGGGGGAATGCATTGTGAGTAGGCAGGGCTATAATTGTTTTTTAGCCCTTTGAACAAACCATGTCTACATATAACATGTTCATGGTGCCACATTATTAGTCAGGTTTTTTTTAAGAAAAGTAATATATGTATGCATTGATAGATAAGAACTATTTTTTTTATGATAGTTTTGATGTTAAATAGGCAGTGGTGATAAGGATGAATTTAGAGCTATGCTATTAGATGATTTAGGGCACTTAATTTACAGATTAAAGTTGAAACTAAAAAGATTGTTGTACTTTTAAAAAAGCTTCAGGTTGGAATGTAACACTTTATAAATGGATATTCATAGAAAGTCACAATAGCAAAATATAGATTTACAAAATCAGTGTATTTTTTAGGATACCATTTATTTTATTATTAAAATACTGAGTTTATTTTACATGTATATTTTTGTTTCTCTACCAGTTTCATGCTTGACTACCACTACTACTATATTCTATCATAATATTCCATACATCCATTTACTTTAAAAATGTGTTCAAATATCCCTGATCTCATCATCTTTTCAAACTTCGTGGGGATTTTATATTTAGAAATGCAACTATGGTGCCGGGAGCAGTGGCTCACTCTTGTAATCCCAGCACTTTGGGATGCCGAGGCGGGCTGATCACCTGAGGTCAGAAGTTCGAGACCAGCCTGACCAACATGGTGAAACCCTGTCTCTACTAAAAATACAAAATTAGCCAGGCGTGGTGGCGCATGCCTGTTATCCCAGCTGCTAGAGAGGCTGAGACAGGAGAATCACTTGAACCTGGGAGGCAGAGGTTGCAGTGAGCCAAGATCGTGCCATTGCACTCCAGCCTGGGCAACAAGAGCAAAACTCTCCGTCTCACACACACACACACACACACACACACACACACACACACAAAGAAAAAGAAAGAAATGCAACTATGTTGAAATAATTATATAATCATTTTGATGACCATCCAGTCCACAAGGTTGAATTAACCATGTAGTTTAAAATAGTTTCTGTTTGAGAGTATTGTAAAGTAAGAAAAGATTTTTGGTCCTTGCAAAATCCTGAGTAGGTAGCTCGTTGTCATCCTAGTCTCAGTGTGTAGCTTTGGAGAAACTGATCACAACTTTTTTGAGACTGTGTTAAAACTTGCATCCAGGAGGTTTATAAAAAAAGATTGGGCTGTTCTGGTCTTCAGCACCTCATGACTTATTTTCTAAATTGTGACCCAGTCTTTCTAGTTTATTTCTTTACTCATATATTCAAGAAAACGTACTAAGCACCTACTTGTCATAAACATTTAAGACTTCCTGGTAACCACCATTTAAAGTATTCATATTGTAGTATTACCAGAAAGGGGTCCAGATCCAGACCCCAAGAGAGGGTTCTTGGATCTCGCAAGGAGTTTGGTGCAAGTCCCTAGAGTAAAGTGAAAGGAAAGTAAAGGAATAAAAGAATGGCTACTCCATAGGCAGAGCAGCAGCTTGAGGTGCTAGACTAAGGATACTTACAGTTATTTCTTGATTATAGGCTAAACAGAGAGTGGATTATTTATGAGTTTTCTGGGAAAGGGTGAACAATTCCTGGAACTGCAGGTTACTCCCCATTTCAGACCATGTAGGGTAACTTCCTGACATTGCCATGGCATTTGTAACTGTCATGGCACTGGTGGGAGTGTCTTTTAGCATGCTAATGTGTTGTAATTAGCATATAATGAGCAGCGAGGATGACCAGAGGTTACATTCATGGCCATCTTGGTTTTCGTGGATTTTGGTTGGCTTCTTTACCACATGCTGTTTTATCAGCAAGGTCTTTATGACCTGTACCTTGTGTTGACCTCCTATCTCATCCTGTGGCTAAGAATCTCTTACCCTCCTGGGAAAGCAGCCTAGTAGCTCTCAGCCTCATTTTACATAGCCCTTATTCAAGATGGAGTTGCTGTGATTCAAATGCCTTTGACAGTAGCATACAGTGAAATGATGATCATGGAGCATATTGTTATTAACTAATGGCGTAATCATTTCCATGAATTATTCAGTCATTAAACATTTATGTTCTGAGTGTCCATTATGTGCCATTCAATACACAGATATTTATTGAGCATCTGCTAGGATCAAGGACTCTTCTGGGTTCTAGAAATATACTAATGAATGTAATAGGCAAAAATTTCTGCCCTCGTGAAGGCCGTATTCCAGTGTTCCTCATCTACGTTTTTAAATCATTTATAACCATTCATCTGTATATGAGTATATTTTTAAGGGGTGTAAAAAGAGTTGACACTCAGGCCGGGTGTGGTGGCTCATGCCTGTAACCCCAGCACTTTGGGAGGCCAAGGCGGGCGGATCACGAGGTCAGGAGTTCAAGACCAGCTTGGCCAACATGGTGAAACTCCGTCTCCACTAAAAATACAAAAAAAAAAAAAAAAAAATTAGCCAAGCATGGTGGCACATGCTTGTAATCCCAGCTACTCGGGAGGCTGAGGGAGGAGAATCGCTTGAATCCTGGAGGCAGAGGTTGCAGTGAGCTGAGATCGCACCATTGCACTGCAGCCTGGGCGACAGGGTGAGACTCCACCTCAGAAAACAAAAAAAAAAAAGGAAAAGAAAAAGAGTTGACACTCACTTTTGCTCTTTTGTGTTGGTTCTTTCAGATGAAAAGAACAAATAGTCATCTTAAAGAGTCTGTAAAAGGGTATCTAAAGACATCTGCTCTTATGTATTAATGGGTTATAAGAAAATTTTTAGCAAAATTGCATTAGAGACTACTAACATGTCACGCTAGTCACCATTGTTATGTAAGTGACACAAATTCTGATTAACTCAAGAGCGAAGCCATCCTATAAATAAATTTATAGGAATAGCACTTTGTCCAAATGCAACTTTGAAACCTGAAGTTTGCTCCTAGGTAATTAAAACCAGAATACCTAAAATATCCATTTAATCGAGGAACTATAAACTGTCAGGACAAATAACTGCAATACAATAAAGGAACACTGCAATAAGTAAATAAGTGAATGATTAAATGAAATGTTTCAAGTAATGAATATACCTAATTCTGTAATGACATTGGACATGAGAAAAATGAAATTATTAATTATTGAAACACCTTTAAGTGGAATTAACTTCTAGAACTTTTTTCTCATTATTATAAAAACAAGAATAATTTATTGCTTATACTTGTATTACTAGCTGTTTAGTATACTCTGAAAATAGTGATGGTTCAAGCTTGACTTACACTTAGTTTTTAGAAGTCTATTTAATTAAGATTATTGTTATATCAAGGCTGAAGATAATTTGAAAATGGCAGGGCTGACCTTGATATTTCAATTCTAGCCAGTTTGATAGCCCTGAAGTTATTATGAAAATTTGTCTGCAGTTCATGTCTTCAAGGTTGGTGTAACACAGATGAGGCCCACATTTTTATTTAAAAGACATATACAGGAATTAAACTATGCAGCAGAAGACACAGATGGAAATAGTGTTTTACAGCAAAAAACTCTGATGACATTCGTCTGTGTGTGTGTTTGTGTCTGTGTGAATAATTATCCAGAGAGCTGCTTCTATAATACGGTGACCTCACACGTGAGGACCTACGGTGTTCACATAATAACTGTGGTCACTGAAGGTGGATGCTATTCTAACTTAAGTACTGGCATGCTTTCAGTTCTGTTCCAAGAAGCCATCCATCTGCACTTCACTTGGCTCACAGTTCCACAGAGAACAAACAGAAGGATAAACTGCAAGTTTAGTTCAGTGGCAGGAGGAAGGAGACCTGATTTGCCCAAGGCATCACCTGATTTGGCCAAAGTTCCAAAGATGATGGGAGAAACTTTTGGGTAACTACCCACATTTTTTTCTGTGAGACTTTCTTCCCCACAATTCCCTGAAAATTAGTCTTTCAAAAAAAATCTTCAGATTCTTATCCTTTAATGGTTAGATCCCACCTTGTCCTCTTTCCTGGCCTTTCTAAGCATGCACCAGCCCACAGCTGGTTAATCTTTGCTCATTCTCCAGAGTGGCATTGTCCAATAGAAATATGTGAGCCATGTATATAATTTTCAGTTTTCTAATAGCTACATTTTTACCAAGAAATTAAAAATGCTGGTGATATTAATTTTATATTTAATTCAGCATATCCAAAATACGACCTCCTGGGTTCAAGTGATTCTCCCACCTCAGCTTCCTGAGTAGCTGGAACTACAGCTGCGCTACCATGCCCAGCTAATTTTTTTTTTTATCTTTAGGAGATGAGGTTTTGCCGTGTTGCCCAGGCTGGTCTCAAACTCCTGAGCTCAAGCGGTCCTCCTTCCTTGGCCTCCAAAAGTGCTGGGATTACAGGTGTGAGCCACCACGCCTTGCCATTTTCCGTTATTTATATCCAAACCCTTCATCCATTCCTGCATTCCCTGGCTAGGTTCTTAATTAATATAGGCTGCTAAATGAATGAATGATCCATTTTCATTGGCTCTATTGTTTTAATCTTTTAAAGTTTACATGGATGTTATTAAAGACTTATAATTTGTTTTATACCAAAATATACCAGAATTATTTTTCTAGTGTAGTCATATTTATAGCTTTATGAAAAACAGCAGAGGCAAAGCAGTCAACCATAGTTAGGAGATGAGATTTGTAATCCATATTTTACTGACAACTTTCTGTGTGACCTGGAGGTGATCATTTAACTTCTCTGGTCCTCCCATTCTTCTCATCTCTAAAATGCTGTGGGATTAGATTACTTCTAATGTCCTTTCTCATTTTCTGATTGTATCATTTATTTTTGAACAAAAGTTTTTTTTTATTTTGACAGATCATATTATATAAGAATAATAGCTCTCTCATTCTGACCTTCACATACAAACTTTTGATCATTTTATGTTACTTCTCTAATCCATATTCTGTATTTCATTTTCAAAAATTTAGATTCTTATCCCTGAAGATGATGCATTATTTCTGTATTCTTAGCCCGTAGGATAATAAAGCAGCAATAAATGTTTAATGAATTTTTACTTACATTAAAAACTATTAGTAACAGTTTGCTTCTTGGAGACAAGCCTTTTTCAGCAGGTGGTGAATGTTTCAGCTGTCTTTTTCCTTACTAAAGAAGGATTCTGAGTAGGTTTCACCCTCAAAATCTAGATATTATATATTTTTTGTTATTCACCTTTGTGTTTCCTGCAGCCAAAACTGTTTTTCCTGCCTTGCTCTTCTGATCATGTTATTTCCATGCTCAAGACTCTCTAGTGCCCTAAGAATAAATTTGAGGCTCCTTAGCTTGCCATTAAATGGGCTGCCCACCCTCCACACCTGCCTCAGGCACTCATTTCTCAAATCCCCTGCTCCTGCTCCTGCTCATCTGGCCCCAGATTGCCTCTCCTCTTTTCCAGTCATCTGATTCATTCCTATCCTTTAAGGTCTATCAGAGTGAGGTTTGAGCCCTATCTTCACCCCAGTCCATAATTTAGCAACCTTTGCTAAGGTAACCTTTATTCTTATTTGCCATTATCAAACACAAATACTTACACCAATAGAGTTCAGACTACTTCTTCAACTAAATTGTAATGTTCCAATGACAGGTTAATCATTTACTCTACTGGATGTTTACTATGTGTTGAATTCTCAGCCAAGCCTCACGAATAAAAAGAGCAAACATGCAGACAAATAGTTATAATATAGTTCCAATAAGTACAGAATTTGGAATATGTACAAGATATCTTGATGGACCAGAGAAGGGAGTAGACAACTGTTCCTGAGGGAAATCTGGGAAGGGTTCATGGAGCTGGTGAGTCCTAAGCTGGGAGTCATTTCAGGCAGTGAGAGGTACACAAATAAAGCGTAAGTGCTCAAGAGCTTGAAGTGTTTCTTGTGGCTCCCTGTGGTTGTGCTTTAGAGCAATATAGCATAGTGGTTGAATGTGTAGACTGGATCAGACTGCCAGGGTTTAAATCTTGGCTCTGTCGCTCACTAGCTCTATCACCTTGGGCAAGCTACTTCAGTTAGGCTTCAGTTTTCTCAAATGGAAAATGGGGATGATGCTGATGTTGATGATCATAATTGTTTTTTATCTCCAAGAGAAGGTGGGGGGGAGAGAAAAAGAGAGAGAGATGGGAAAGGGGGATTAAATGAGTTAGGTAAAGAATGTAGAATAGCAAGTACTTAACAAATGTTAATTATATCTCTTACTACTGATTCTCACAGTGTTGTGTACATAGGAGGTACCCAATGAATATTTACTGAATATTGAAGATTTTCACTACGCAATCAGTTAATATATTCACACGCTTTGCTATTACTGCATACATTTTCTAATGATATCTCTTAGTGATATGCTACTTTTTTGAGGATATAGGAGGGGTGTATGTGTGTGTATCAGTGATATGTGCCAGATTCATATTGGCTCACTAGGGGAAATTTTCCAATTCTGAGATCAATGACCTAAATCTCCTTGTCTACTATGATTTCCAGCTGTCCAGATTTCCCATATAGCATGCCCTAGGCAATGTTTGCAGATTTGTTGCATGGAGAATCAGTACACAGTGCACCTTGTAGTTTTACATTTTTCATGTAGGACTCAGTTTCTTTTCTAAAGAAATTTTTGTGAAATTAATAACAGGATGCCATGAAGCTTTCCTAAGTCCTTTGAACTTAAATCATTTGATATTATTTGAAATTGCCATTCATATAATGAACAGCATTTTTTCTCAGAGTTATGCAATGCCTACTGCTTCACAAATTATAAACTACGAATATTTTTACTTAACATATAACAGGTCCCTTATCTTAAAATTCATAGCATTTTTGCTTTGAATGGAGATCATTGCCAAGTTTTTGTTAGGCACCTTTTCTTTACAGAGCTTGTCCTTTATTATTAATGTCACAGTAGTTTTTCAGAACAAATTGCATTAAAGATACGGAAAAACAAAGGCTACCTTTTATACATACATTGGTTTATTGAAGCAATAATTGAATAATAAATAGGATGATATTATAGGGCCAAAATTTTACTACTAGTTATATGACAGGTTTTTCTGTTATAGCTATATTTTTGAAGCATTTTAAAATAAAATAATTAGGGTTATTCCTAAAGATTAAAATTCAGAGTCTACTAGAATAGTAATGAAAATCATTATAATTGTACTTTCACAAACATGTGCCAGACCTTTTAAGCTTGGTGCCTAAATAGGCTTCGACAACACTTTTTCATGTACTCCTACCAAATATCTTGGGGATAGGTAGGGAAGCTGTTCCACTGATTTTACAGATGGGCAGACTGAATCATAGAGCAGTTAAATGATTTGCCCAGGGTAATGTAGTAATTAGATATCTGTATCTGTCTGTGCTCTTTTCATTAGTTTATTCTGCAGCTCAAAATGTTTGTTCCTATAAGCATGCATATTATTTGTACATTAATAATGCATTTTCTATTTCTATAAAAGAAGAGAGAATAGCAGATAAAGCTCCAAATAGAGAAGACACATATTTTAGTAAGGTAGCTTTAGCATCTAGTTCTTTTTTATATATATAACATATCACTAAAAATGTATCCTCTTCGAGTGTAGGGACACATTTTGCTTTACTTAACAGCATTCATTTAAGAAAAATGCTAGTTTCATTTCAAGTCAGTTACTTTAAAAAATAATTATGTTAAAAGATATTTTAGCCCTTGTCAGTCTGTAATTCAAACCTTAAGAATGAAGCTCTTTTTTTAGTTAATTTAAAAAATACCCTCTCTTTAAATACTTTCATCCTGAACAAAAAAGACCTTTCTTTTGGGATTCCTTCTCTGCATGGCAGAGTTCCTTACAACAAAATGCTCGAAGAAAATAGGAGGTACTTCAGATACTTCTTATATAACTGATGTTTGAAAATGTTAGACTGATTGATGTATAAAAGTGAATTTTCCATAATGGGATTTTAAGTCATGAAGAATGAGGAGAATTGCCTGATTATTAGTTTAAAGGTAGCTAATTCAATGCATGCTGTAATACATTTTAAAAGCTCTGCATTGCAAATACTGAATGATGTAAAATACAAAATACACATCTTTTTATTTCCAAAGAAGATTAGAAAACAATAAAATATTAGAAACTGAAATTTTTAATTTTTTAATGGCCTTTTTAATGGGTAAACAATTTAGTAATAAAAAATATTAATGGTTATGAAGATAATAATTTTAAAGTGACTGCTGATAGCTTGGGTTACAAATAGCCTTATCCTTAAGACCTTATCTCTTTATAATTTAAGTGCTTTTACATATTTTGCCTCATTTACTTTTAAAGCTTCATGATACAGTGATTTGTGTGGGTGGCACAGTTCTTACTACGTAAGTAGTGAAACATAGCCATAGGTTAAATGATTTACTCTTAATTTTATGCTGACTTTTTCAGGCAATTTCTGAGGCTTTATGTTGCCTGTATTCTGAGCAACGAATGATTGAAAACAGCGAGGAATTCTGGAGATAGACATCGGAACACCTCTTCTTAGAAGATCACATTATTCAGAATCCTTAATGATTCTTACCTTTTGAATGACAGATTTTTAGTGGACATAAAAACTGCTAATGAAAGTAGGATGGTTAGAACTGTTGACATTTTACGTGAAGGCATTGCAACTGGGCAAAACATATTCAAAACATCAGGTAGTATTTTGTTCACTGTGCACCGAAGGCAGATGACTTCATTAACTGGTGACAATTTTACCAATCCTGGAAGCTTTGATCTTGAGGGGAAACGATCCTGCATAGTAGACAAGTTTATTGGCAATAGATGACCTGGTAGTAAACAGTGGAGTTCACAGCTGAAACTGCACCCTGTGCCCGCCCTTTCCCAACATGCTGTGATGCATTTTGAGCTCTTCCATTTTAGCTTCCATTATCCACCACCCAAGTTCTCAATTCAATTTCAGACTCGGGCAAAAGCCTGTAATTCTATTTGTTTTGGGTAAATTTAGCAAGCTGCTCCTGATTACACCTTAGCCAGAGACCATCTGTTGACTGGCGTGCCTCTCTGAGGAGTGGTTCCTGTAGGCAATGAATGGGAAGAGGGTTGGAGTGCTGCTGCTATTAGTAAGCAGATGCACCGTATCAGAGATAGTCCTTCCCGCCTTTCAATCTGCCAGCTCTCTGTATTGATGGAGTGTCGTATGCCTGCGAGTCGTTCCATCCTGAGGCAATGAGAAGTGCTCTCCTAGGGTCCATTTATCAAGTGCTTCTACTGGCATTTGATGGAAAGGAATTTAGAAGTCATAGTTTGATACACTTCGAGCACGGCCACGTTCTCCTTTGCACGTCCTGAGTATGTATGTATGTGTGTGTATATATCAACCCCATGTACATGCTTTTCAGCAGTTATGTGCTGTCAAAAGCCCCACAGATGAAACAACAAGATACAGCTGTGCTTCGTAATGTAATGAGTAAACCGCCACAGCAATTGTGTCAGGATCACAATTCTTTAAGGCACTGCTTCCTAAAATGATTGCCGGTTCATTTGCATCAGATAGGGAAGATGTGCTAGATAAATTCAGAATGTCGAGGAACAGTTTGATGTTGACTGTGGCATGATGAGGGATCTTTCTAAATGATGATACTGTTAGCTCGTGGCTAAGACGAGACTGGTCTAAACACAACAGAGACGGCAGTTTCCTGTTGCAGTGAGTCATGAGAGGAAATGGATAAAATGAACATAAATTAACTGCATTTCGTTTTCTAAGAGTTGGAGAGGGAAGGGAAGGAGGCAGTGGATGGCCAGTGTGCCTGAAAACTGGAATTAGATCGGTGAACTGAGAGGATTGGTTTCTGCCCTACGTTGGGTGAAGAGGGGCAGTCCTCATTGCTAACAGCCGCAGGTTGGTGTAATTAACTAACTTCCGTAGGCAATGCCCGGTGTACATCTTGAAAACCCATCAGATGGGGTATTTCTCACTGACATCAGCTTTTAAAGGGAGGAGGGCTCATAGTTGTATCACAGCTGCAGTACTTTTCTTTAAGGCAAGAAACAGTTTAAATCAGAGAAAATTTCACAGGATTCTAGATCGACTACTTTTTTCATCTAGTTCTATTATTTTGACCTTATGGCCGTTTTTTGTTTGTTTAATGGCGTGAATTAAAGTGTGACATTTCTGTCCATCTTTTCACGTACAAAATCAGCATTCGTTAATTCAGGTTATGAAAATAATTGCTGCTTCAACAAAGTGAGGCTTAAAATACCACAACAGAAATGTAGCCGATAGTATGTATCTTAACTTTTAGTTTATAATGACTGTATTAAAATGATATTACAGTTTTAAGTTTTTCAAACAAATAGTGAATGGTTGTGCAAAATAAGACACTGAAATATTTTTTAAAGAATTAAAATCACAAATGTTGAATGAGAAAAATAGTTTCTGAGAATTTCTTTGCTAAATCAGGGCAATTTGGTTTATTGCCAAACTGATTAAGGAGGGGCTGATTTCATAAGCTATAATATCTGTACTTTTATGTCATCTCTGATATAACAGTATATAATGTATTTAAGACTGCAGATCATCATTAAACCACATAATGATTGTTACACAGATAAAATAAGAAGCTTAATTTGTAGCTAAAGACTGTATCTTATTGATTGTATAGTTGATGTTGTGTTGTGCAGGAGGTAAGAAATATCCTAAGTAAGAAACAGAATATTTTAAAAAAATATTTACAAAATCATATAGTTGAGTCAATATCTATAAGTGAGGCTTAATCCATGCAAATAAATTGTTTTAACAAGGGCCTGTGGCTTTAAGAATGACACTTGATCTATATGCTGTAGAAGGCTTGTAGAAGTTGTCCTCATATTAGTTTATACTATGCACACAATATGTCCTTATCTAGCCTGATGCATGCTCTAAAACAGGAAGCATAAAACCAAGACGACACCAGGTATGAATAAATAGTAAGAGTTAGGAGCTGGAGCTGACTCCACTGTGAATTCTCCCACTCACTTGTTCACAGGTTTCTTCCTGCAGGCTTCAGGATGAACAATCCTGGCTGAAATGTTCACAGGAAACCTTTTTGTTTTGTTTTTTTTTAATGAATATTTTTTAGGTACTTGCTATTTGAAGAAACAAAGTCAAGGTGATTTAAGGGCCAGGCAAATATCCCTTAAAGACCTTTGTTATAATATAGCCCTTTTATTATATTTGAATATATGCTCAGATGCCTGCAGAATTTCATGTTCCAGTCAGGGTAGAGCAGGCTAATTTTTAAGGGACATGTGCTTCAGTACACAAATAGGGTAATAAATAAGACTAACAAGTGTGCATTCAGGCTACATGTATAAGAGGGTAAGAGGTGAGACAGCCACACCATATGAGGATAGGGTTGGGTGGAAACAAAGCCAGGCTAATGGAAAGCCTTGCCTGCTCTCTTCTAGAAAAAAATTGAACTCAGGTCAGTAAATAGTGCTGCACTCTGGGAGAGACAAGTATATGACAGGTCTTTGCTTTATGTGAAGCTTACAGTGGGACTAGGCTTACCCTGGCAAAATTATTACAGAACAAGAAAGACTTTGCAGTAAAGAGCAACAGAAAGAAGAAATGCAGAGCTACAAATACTTTCTTTAGCAGATATACGTATACATTGTAGGGAAAACGTAAAAGATCAGCCTTCGTGCCCTACAGACCACAGTTAATAGTGATGTTTGTGGCAGTTTTTCCTTATTGCAGATTATAAATAGTTCCAGGGAACAAATAATTACTAATGATCAACTTATAGTTGGAGATATTATATTGCATTGGTCTCTCACAATGGAGGTTCTGCTTTGACACTATCCAAGAGTGGCATTTGGGTGAATAAAAAGAGAGGGGAATAGAAAAGCTACAACTGAAGCATTAGTTAGAACACTGTCAATGCCAAATCACAACTGCTTTGTGCTGTGGATTCCTTTCTGCAGGCTGCAGGATGAATGATCCGGGTTGAAACACACACAGTACACTGCAGAACTGAGACTGTGACCCATGGGCTTTCTCCTGCTGGCCCCTCTCAGATATTCCAGTTGGTGTTGCTAGCTTTACAGTCTCCATGGGCCTATTTACCTTGGTAATTTGCACCTGATGCATTTATATTGGTAATTTTTTTTCTCCCTGGAACCCTGGGATCTCATTTATTCACTAGTGCAATGAAGTGGTGGAGTGAAAATCCCTCCCTAACTCAAGGAGGGGAAGAATTGTTTAGGGAAAATAGCAACCCTGCTAACTGCAGCTCTAATTAAAACACCAAAAGAAGACTTGTTCTTATTTAGACGTTGGCTAATACCTGTATCTCTGTGCACATATAGGCCAATGCTAGTCCATCTGTGGGCATCACTGCTAACTTGCTAACCCTTTAAAAAAATCCAGTGTCAATATGTTTTTGTTTCAAAAGAAAACAATGACAGCCCTAGGATGGAAACACAGGAATTCTTTGGCCACAGCTTGCTAAAACCATGCTTGGTAGTATGTGCATGTAGGGAAAATTACTTTGAATAACAAAAGCACAAACAAGGACTCATAGAATAATAAGCAATTAAGGTGGATTAACAACAGTTGCCGAATTCCAGCTGTTGGCTGCAGATGCAGGCTCTTTAATTCAAACTAGTTGCAACCTGTTGTTACTCAGAGACAGAAAGGGAGAAGAGTATATCCCTGGCAGTGCCCATATCAGGGCAGGTTTATTGTTGTGCATTGTGGGAGATTTAAGTATTGAGGGTATGTTTACTTTCTCCCGATTTAAAAAAAAATTTCATCTTTCTTCTCTTTTTTTGACATCTTCCTATATATATTTGTGTCTTTCGATTTAGAATGACTAACCAAAATCTATGTGCTTGCTATTTGGTTATGATAATGAAAAAGGAGAAGAGAGCAAAGCAGGTGTCTGTTTCCAATGGAAATCTCACAGTAAAAGAAATCAAAGACTCCTTTGGCTGATACACATACATACATACATACATACATACATACATACATACTTATATACATAAAGAAAAGCACAGGCCCCAACGACACAACCTGGGGAAACTATATGAACAGGTAATTTACAGGGTAATCACCATATGTAGTCTATCCCCTGCAGCCTTATCACAGTGTGTACATTGGCATCAAACCTACCTCCTTGGAAAGCCTCATTATTAGTATTCAGGAATAGTCCCTCTAAGCATATTGGCCAGAGGTCTGAGGTGCAGGGCTAGCTTCATGGCATTCAACCTGTGCTGTCACACAGGGCCCTGAGCTCAGAAGGGCCCCATACTTGGCTTAAGGCTCCGCTGTCACTGTCTCAAAATTCTGAATTTTATCTTTGAACTAGTGTTTCATAAATGGAGCATCTTCATGAGCCGAGGCGATGTGTGATATGTTTGTTTGTCCATTGTGGCACTATCTGCATATCACATTCACAGTTTTTCACAAATACAGAATTCTGATAGACTATGATGTGTGGGGGTCCAGGGAAGCTCCAGGGGAGTAGAAAGTAAGTGGATTATGGAAGCTGTCTGTTCCTGTAGTGTGTTGGTATAATATGCATGAATCAAGAAATTTGTGAGTGAGTTTCAGTTGAGTTAGTTGTGTAGTGTTTCCACTGCCCTAGTAAGAATGAAATAAATATACGTGTATGAGCTATGAAAAAAGGTTGTGTCATATTATTCCACATGTAAGTTAAATGCTCTTATATTTGCATTGAAACTGTCACTGTACCATATAAAGATAAATTGTAGGCCGGGCTTGTTGGCTCACGCCTGTAATCCCAGCACTTTGGGAGGCCGAGAAAGGCGGATCACTTGAGGTCAGGAGCTCAAGGCCAGCCTGGCCAACATGGTGAAACCCCGTCTCTACTAAAAATACAAAAATTAGCTGGGCATGATGGCACATGTCTGTAATCCCAGCTACTTGGGAGGCTGAGGCAGAAGAATCACTTGAACTCAGGAGGCCGAGGCTGCAGTAAGCCGAGATCGCGCCACTGCACTCCAGCCTGGGTGACAGATTGAGACTCCGTCTCAAAAAATAATACTACTAATAATAAAAATAAAGATAAATGGTAAACTTCATGCTAATAATTAAATGTTTTAGTTTTTCTCTCCTTTGTTCAGAATGACTTTAAATAGCAAATAAAAAACATCATGAGAAATTGAAAGTTTGTGGAAGAAAGGAAAAAGCTTTAGATGTTAGTGTTCTTAATGGCACTGTTTTTTTCTTGCTTTTTGAACAAGGAGTCCTACATTCTCATTTTGCACTGTGCCCTGCGTGTTATGTAATGGTCCCCACAGAGGTGGTCTATAGCCTCAGATTTAAGTGGAACAAACTGAAGAAGTTGCTAAGATTTTCCAGCGCTCCCTAGGTAGCCGTGAGATGCAGACACCAAACAAGCATCTTATGCCTTCTTTAGAACTTTAGCTGATGCAAACCAGACAGGTTCCCATTTAATCAGATCTCACCACATTTCAAAGTTTCTATCTATTCAAAAAATCTTTCCCAGCCTTTACGTCTTAGGCAGCCTATCTTTACATGACTATTATTTCTCCAGTATTATTTCTCCATATAAGGCTCCGTTTACCTTCTAGATGTGGTTAGCAAAAGGAGTAATTTTATACCAATACAGTTACATAAAATAGCCTCCCTGCCCAGGCCTCTGCCTCTGATCCTCTCCTGATTTTTTGTTTTCAGCAGAATATGAACCTGTTCCTACAAATGAGTTAGGAGATGTAAATGTGTTGATTTATTTGTCCTCATGTACATCAACAATTTTTTATAAAAGATCACCTACTACTACAGATAGCAAAGCAAAGCCGACTAATGCTTTGCTCGCGATACCATGGCAACTTACTAACCAGCTTCTAGGCCCAAATTGTCTTAATAAATGGAAGCAACCTCAGGGAGCTGGTTCTGAAACTACAGGTGCCTACTTTGGGACAATGAGAATGCTTGTCAGGAGGAGGGCAGGTGGTGAGCCATGCCAAAGGAGTCCAGGGGACATTGTCCCCATTAGCATAAAGCCAAGACTCTAAATGGATATGACTTGCTCCTAGGAGCCAAACACATGAACTGTCTACTTGGTACTTTCTGAAAACTACTTTGTCTCATTCAGGGAGATTATGGCCTAGTCTGAAGGAGGAGAAGCCAAAAGCCCTGCTACATCTGGGTTTAGTCCTAGGTTTGCTGACCCACGTTTCTTCTCCAGGATGTTCCTCCCCAGGAATGGGTCATCCACTAATGGAAGTTGCAGTTATTGTTTAAGCGCACTTTATTGCTTAGCAAGCCCCAACAGACAGCACCAGCTGTTGTCTGGGGTAGAGTTGGCAACATTTTCCCACAAAAGGCATCTTTGTATATTCTGCTACAAATCTGTGTCAGTGAGAGCAGGAAGGAGGAGAGGGGTAAGACCTACCAAACATGTAGGTAGCGTTGTGATAAGGTACTTCTCAATCCCTCCTAAAGGCCAAATGCTCATCCTCTATGGAAACACAAGCAGCTGAACTGGAATAACTTGACATTACCTCTCAGAAACATGGGATGAACGAGACTCTCTGATCTTGTCTGTAGCAAAGAGATGCTGGGTAGTTGTTGTTTTTTGTTTTTTTGTTTTTTTTTTTTTTTTTGAGATGGAATTTTGCTCTCGTTGCCCAGGCTGGAATACAATGGTATGATCTTGGCTCACTGCAACCTCTGCCTCCCAGGTTCAAATGATTCTGTTTTCCGAGTAGCTGGGATTACAGGTGCCTGCCACCACGCCCAGCTAATTTATGTATTTTTTTTTTTTTTTTTTTTTTTAGCAGAGACAGGGGTTTCACCATGTTGGCCAAGCTGGTCTCGAACTCCTGACCTCAGGTGATCCACCCACCTTGGCCTCCCAAAGTGCTGGGATTACAGGCATGAGCCACCGCGCCAGCCTGCTCTAAGTAATTTTGGGGAAATTGGGTTGACGTTAGAGGAAGGACAGAAAAAAGAGGCCTGGACAAGCAGTCAGGAGGTGGATTTCTTGATTTTATCTCAAGCCAGTACAGGAGGTGGCTAAAGCTTGCCTCCTGCCTTTGACTACAGAAACTACCTCTTCCTGATAGGCTGTTCTGGAATCCACTTCCAGGCAAACTGAACCCAGCAACCCGGTCAACACCAGGCCTATAACCATTGTATATAATAGGCCATGGATACTAGAAGATCCTGACTTCCGGGGATGCTTGGAAATGTATTTTTAAATGTTGTTTAATTTGTTTTTTTCCTCCTTTTTTGGTGGAGAGGAGGCGCCAAGGAGTTTCAAACTGCTTGAGAACATGGCGTTATTTGTCATACTTCCTCGTGTTCCCCTGAAATATCTTACACAAGACTGCATATTCTGTGGAGTCAATAGATATTTGCTAAAAATGAATAACGTTAAAAGTTTAAGAATTCATGGATGCTTACTGCCTAAGTCATGACATTGTGTCCAGAATTGGTGGGTTCTTGGTCTCACTGACTTCAAGAATGAGGCCGCGGACCCTCGCGATGAGCGTTACAGCTCTTAAGGTGGCGCGTCTGGAGTTTGTTCCTTCTGATGTTCGGATGTGTTCAGAGTTTCTTCCTTCTGTTGGATTCGTGGTCTCGCTAGCTCAGGAGTGAAGCTGCAGACCTTCGAGGTGAGTGTTACAGCTCTTAAGGCGGCTCGTCTGGAGTTGTTCGTTCCTCCCGGTGGGCTCCTGGTCCCGCTGACTTCAGGAGTGGAGCCGCAGATCTTCATGGTGAGTGTTATAGCTCATAAAGGCAGTGTGGACCCAAAGAGTGAGCAATAGCAAGATTTATTGCAAAGAGCGAAAGAACAAAGCTTCCACAGCGTGGAAGGGGACCTGAGCGGGTTGCCACTGCTGGCTCAGGCAGCCTGCTTTTATTCTCTTATGTGGCCCCACCCACATCCTGCTGATTGGTAGAGCTGAGTGGTCTGTTTTGACAGGGCACTGATTGGTGCTTTTACAATCCCTGAGCTAGACACAAAGGTTTTTCATGTCCCCACCAGATTAGCTAGATACAGAGCTAGACACAAAGGTTCTCCAAGGCCCCACCAGAGTAGCTAGATACAGAGTGTTGATTTGTCTAGCACCCTGAGCTAGACACAGGGTGCTGATTGGTGTGTTTACAAACCTTGAGCTAGAGACAGAGTGCTGATTGGTGTATTTACAATTCCTGAGCTAGACATAAAGGTTCTCCAAGGCCCCACCAGAGTAGCTAGATACAGAGTGCTGATTGGTATATTTACAGTCCCTGAGCTAGAGACATAAAGGTTCTCCACGTCCCCACCAGACTCAGGAGCCCAGCTGGCTTCACCCAGTGGATCCCCCAACGGGGCTGCAGATGGAGCTGCCTGCCAGTCCCGTGCCGTGTGCCTGCACTCCTCAGCCCTTGGGTGGTCGATGGGACTGGGTGCCATGGAGCAGAGGGTGGGAGGCTCAGGTATGGCGGGCTGCAGGTCCCAAGCCCAGCCCCACGGGAAGGCAGCTAAGGCCCAGCGAGAAATCAAGCTCAGCGCCAGTGGGCTGGCGCTGCTGGGGCACCCAGTACACCCTCCGCAGCCGCTGGCCTGGGTGCTAAGCCCCTCACTGCCCGGGCGGCAGGGCCGGCCGGCTGCTCCCAGTGCAGGGCCCGCCAAGCCCACGCCCACCCGGAACTCCAGCTGGCCCTCAAGCGCCGCCCGCAGCCGCCCGCAGCTCACGCCTCCGCCTCCACACCTCCCTGCAAGCTGAGGGAGCGGGCTCCGGTCTTGGCCAGCCCAGAAAAGGGCTCCCACAGTGCAGCGGTGGGCTGAAGGGCTCCTCAAGTGCCGCCAAAGTGGGAGCCCAGGCAGAGGAGGCACCCAGAGCGAGCGAAGGCTGTGAGGACTGCCAGCACGCCGTCATCTCTCAACATCATAAAAAAATGTTGGGGTAAAAAATGTTTTACATTTCATTTCTGCTCATTTTAAGAGCATTAAACTCATTGCAAAATAGGGTTTAGGATGCAGACTCTGGAGCCAGCCTGCTTCCGTTTCAGCCTCCACACTAACACTAACAAGCAGTGTACACTTGGGTAAGTGCCTGTGCCTGTTTCCTCATCTGTGACATGTGGGTAATAATTGTATAAACCTTATAGGTTTGTTGTGAATATTAAATGATAGACTGTGCCAATGTTCAATACATACACACTGATAATACTCTGAAGGCAAAATATACCAGTTGTGGCCAAGAGAGTTAGAAAAAAGGGTCTACAGCTCATTATAAACCTTGTACAGGTAGTTACTGAAGTTAACCTGTTTGCCCATGAAAATTCCTTAAAAGTACATGTTAATATTCTCCTGCCACTTAGGAGTTTACAAATCTGAATAAGTACATTGTAAATGTAAGACTTCGGTTTTCCAGAGTCTTGTAATATACTTGTTTGTTTTTGTTTTTGTTTTTTCTTGGTAAAGGAATTTAGGCATTGGAGCCATGGTATTTAGGCAACTTTTTCTTTTCTGCAAAAGCAGGCTGGTAGGAACAGTGACTATTGGTAGGGCCTAGCTAAAGAGAAACAAGGTGTGGAAAACACTGCAGTTACCGCACACATTCAGCAGTCTGGGTCCTTTAACTTTTTTTTTTAATCAGTAATTCACTTCAGATAACAACTCTAGAGATAAAATATGCCTTAGGGGTTGGCTGAAGGGAGAGAGAACAAAGGTTTTATTGGTCTTTATCTCCTATTTAGTAGAAAATATTTGGTTGTAAAAGATAAAAAAAAAACAAAAAACAAAAAACAACTATGGTGTTTGCTCTAGAAAGTGAACAAATAAAAGTAATTATTCTGGAGAGACATTATGTAACAAATAGGATATATCTCCTTTTCTCTAGGTGGTGGCTTCAAATCTAAAATAATGTATATATTTTTAAGCATTTTTTTAGCTTTCCTGTTGAAAAAAAATCTTACAAGAATAGATCTTAAAGATGTATTTTTTTTTTTTTTTGAGATGGAGTCTCTGTCCCCAGGCTGGAGTGCAGTGGCGTGATCTCTGCTCACTGCAACCTCCGCCTCCCGGTTCAAGCGATCCTCCTACCTCAGCCTCCTGAATAGTTGGGATTACAGGTGCCCGCCACCACACTCTGCTAATTTTTGTATTTTTAGTAGAGACGAGGTTTCACCATGTTGGCCAAGCTGGTCTCAAACTCCTGACCTCAGATGATCCGCCCGCCTCGGCCTCCGAAGGTGCTGGGATTACAGGCATGATCCACCGTGCTCGGCCAAGGATGATTTTCTTTCAGAGTGAAATTGAGAGCCCTAAGGTATCCTTAATTTTGTTAAGGTTCTGGTGGCGTCTGGTGGCTTCTTTCTCTAATGGGAGTCTTGCCTGTGAGAGTGACTGAGGTGAGAATAAACACATTCCTGAAGCTTCTTAAGTCATACTGAAGAGAATGAGATGATCACAACTGATAAATGAAATAATGTGTATTTACTTGAAATGCTGAACTTTTGTCAAGCATACCTTAGAGGGAAAAATAACATGCTTTCCTTTAAAAACACATTATCTATTTTTTAAATTCACTAACTTTTATAATGTCAAAGTAGGTAATGATCTTTCTAGCTGAATAGTTATCATAATAAAAGGATGACATATAACTGTTTCTTAACAGTGTCCAGGTGCAGTGTTTTAGATATAAAATCTTTGAAGCATTTTTTCCAAAATGTATTTTGAATATTTTTTTTAAAGGTTAGATTTTTAAAAAGTTTTTGTAACTTTATAAGACTGAATAATTTTTTTTAAACATGGTTTAGGAAAGTTTGTAGTTGTTTTGCTTTTATTTGTACTTTTAAAATTACATTTTTAGGCCAGGGGTGGTGGCTCATACCTGTAATTCCAGCACTTTGGGAGGCAGAGGTGAGCAGATTACTTGAGGCCAAGAGTTTGAGACCAGCCTGGCCAATATGGCGAAACCCTGTCTCGAATAAAAATACAAAAATTAGCCTGGCATAGTGGCGCGCACCTGTAATCCCAGCTACTCGGGAGGCTGAAGCATGAGAATCGCTTGATCCCTGGAGGCGGAGGTTGCAGTGAGCCGAGATTGCACCACTGCACACTCTAGCCTGGGCGACAGGGTGAGACTCTGTCTCAAAAAATTAATTAATTTAATTTTTAGTATTTGAATGTATAATACATATACCTGATACAAAACTTAAAAGCTATAAAAGGGTATACAGTGAAAAACATGTCTTCTTCCCACTCCTATTTTCCAACTATTCAGTTCCCCTCTGAAGAGGCAATCTTTGCACATAGATTTTGTGGATACACATATAAAGTCATAAAAATTGCAGACTTCCCTTATTCCAGTCACCAAGAAAAAAGAAAGAACAGTCTGGGTGCGGTGGCTCATGCCTGTAATCCCAGCACTTTGGGAGGCCAAGGCAGGTGGATCACCTGAGGTTAGGAGTTCCGGACCAGCTTGGCCAACATGGTGAAACCCGTCTCTACTAAAAATACAAAAAGTAGCCAGGCATGGTGGTGGACACCTGTAATCCCAGCTACTCAGGATGCTGAGGCAGGAGAATCACTTGAACCCGGGAGGCAGAGGTTGTGGTGAGCTGAGATCACGCCATTGCACTTCAGCCTGGGCAACAAGAGCGGAACTCCATGGAAGGAAGGGAGGAAGGAGGGAGGGAGGGGCCGTCTGTATTGCCTTGAGAAAATGCTAGAATTAAGAGTTCTGCTGCCTGAAGTATATACCATGTTATAATTTTTAATATGCCTGGAGGTGGGGACTTGTCCTGTCGTTGGAGGCCGTTTGGCCAGACCATGGAAAAGCAAGCCTATGTCCTGTCCCTAATGGTGACAAAGCCAAGAGTCTCTGAACATTTTATTACGGAATTCTGATAACACATGTGCTCTCTAATTCATAAATCACTTCATATCACAATGTGGCTTGAATGAGAATAAATGTAAAATGTGTTCTTAAGCCTTAAGCAAGTATGGAACCCAGTTTGCTTTCTAGGAGCTGAGTTTGAAGATGATTGAAAGTAAAAGAGTTAATGAAACCTCATCTTGTTTTTAAATATATAATGAGCAGGATCTCTGCAAGATACCTTAATTAATACTGCCCTAATGGTTAAGATCATGTCCTGTTAGAGTATGTGTAACTAGGATTAATACTGAGGTGCTTTTCCCCACTGGATGGTGACACAGTAAGTAAAGAGGAATCTGAGTAGCCGCTGTAAGGCATTGGTCATGACAGTGCACATGCAGACTTCTTTACCTGTATCAGTGTCCTTTACCTATGCAGTGACAAGCATAAGTCAGCGGTTAATGTTCCCTGCCAAAGGAACTCTCATGTTGGATAAACTTTGCAGTGCAGGTGGTAGCCTACCCTGCACTTCCCTGAAAGGTGAGGGTGAAGATTTCACCCCCTCGCTGGCAGGCCTGCATCTTAATGCTGCAGGGTGAGGATGCAAGAGATGCTTGATTTCTTTTGAAAGGATTCATTTGATGATTCTTTTTTTGGAAAATGTCACGCAATTCAGGGAGATAGAATAATTGTTTAACTGAAAGCATGGGTGGGATGTGTTAAAAGCAATAGCTGGGCATGGTAACGTGCACCTGTAGTCTCAGCTACTTGGGAGGTGGAGGCAGGAGGATCCCATGAGCTAGGGAGTTGGAGTCTAACCTGGGCACCATAGGAAGATCAGGTCACTAAAATACATAAATAAATAAACAAATAAATGACATAGTGTGAAGCAAGTTCACTATGCACTGGTTACCAACTTCTCTGAGTCTAGTGAGACAGAACACCCAAGCACACAAGTTATACAAAGCGGGTTTATTATCTATAGATAGGCATCAAGGAATAACATAATCCTAGAATTAATTGCTAGCTAGCTGGTCCCCCATGGTTCAAGCAAGCTGCCAAGGAAAGATGGAATCTTGTCCCTGCATGCCCCACTTGTACCCCAGCTGAGGGACCCTGGAGATCCACCCACCCTGGGTTTTATACCCTGAGTCATGAGATCTTCTGGGCTAAAGTGTTGAAGGACATCCTGTTCTGGGGACATTGGAACTAAGTCCAGCTGTTTCAGCCAGGTCCCCTCTTATCTCAGGATGTTGCATTCCTAGCACACTGGTACAGTTATTCTTGAGAGCTACAAGCAAGAAAGAGCATAACTGAGTCAGTGCAAGGCCACTCAGAGAACTTTCCTGTACATAGTCCTTGCTATGGATATGTTTTCTCATTTTGCCACAAATAAATGATATGAAAAACTGATAATGTTCAGTTGCAGGAATGAAACATTAGTGTTAGATCTTGGTGGGGGGGGTAGGTGGGGTCAAATCAATCACAAAATGCTTGGAAGCTTTAGGGTCCAGTGAAGGCACCTGAGGTTCCAGGTACCTTTTAGAATGTGAACTTAGGTTCACATTGGACTAAAACTTTTTTAGGTATGATTTTAACATTAACCCACAGAAAATTTTAATCTGTTAAGTTTGGTTTAAATTTTATCTGGTCCAGGACGGGCACGGTGGTTCATGCCTGTAATCCCAGCACTTTGGGAGGCCAGGGCAGGCAGATCACCTGAGGTCAGGATTTTGAGACCAGCCTGGTCTTGGTAAAACCCTGTCTCTACTAAAAATACAATAATTAGCCAGACATGGTGGCACGTGCCTGTAATCCCAGCTACTAGAGAGGCTGGGGCAGGAGAAATGCTTGAACCTGGAAGGCGGCGGTTGCAGTGAGCCAAGATTGCCCTACTGCATTCCAGCCTGGGTGACAGAGCAAGACTCCATCTAAATAAACAAACAAATTTTGTCTGGTCCAATACATGAGTTTGCAATAGATTAAATGAAATATTGTAATGATGGTAATAGTTAACTTATTGATAACCTATTATATATACCTTGAATTTTAAATCCATATTTTATTTTGGGAGGTATAACACTGAATCCCTCAGGTACAGGCTTTGGACAGTATCTTAAAAGAGGTTTTTTTGTGGCCGGGCGCAGTGGCTCATGCCTGTAATCCTAGCACTTTGGGAGGTGAAGGCAGGCGGATCGTGAGGTCAGGAGTTCAAGACCAGCCTGCCCAACAGGTGAAAACCCATCTCTACTAAAAAATACAAAAAATTAGCCAGGCGTCGTGGCACTCGCCTGTAATCCCAGCTACTTGGGAGGCTGAGGCGGGAGACTCGCTTCAACCCAGGAGGCAGAGGTTGCAGTGATTTGAGATCGTGCCATTGCACTGTAGCCTGGGCGACAGAGCAAGACGCTGTCTTGGAAAAAAAAAGAGTTTTTTTGTTTTTCGGTCTTAATGTTTCTTTTAAGGGCTCACTAGTTGTGTGTGTGTGTCTTCTTAAGAAGTGAGTCATAATAAAACCAGGTATAGCTTCTGAATGGAGTGCTCTTTTAAACTTGGGATTTGTAAAATAATTTGATGCTTGTAGGATTCCCTGCTGACAGCTGGAGTTTTAAAAAGGGTACTTCAACAAGAGGAAGCCCCTGCAAACCCTTTCTGATAGAGAATAACTAGAGATATCTGGGAAACCCAAAGCAGAAGAGTCTAGCACATCATTTCTTTACTTCACTCACCGTCTTTGACTTTGGGGATTAATGTGAAACAGACAATAATCTAAATAGACTTGAATAAACTTCAGAAACATTACTTTATACAATGTAAGAAATTTACAAAAATAAAACCAATGAGTGAGTGAATGAATCAATCAATCAATAAAAAAATTGAACTAAGCCGCAAGATGGGGGATAAGATAACATTTGTATACAGCGGTTAGTATTTCTAGCTGCTTTTAGCTCTAGTATATTTTCTTTTGTTATCTCCCACATGGGACTCATGTACTCCCTGAGAAAAGCAAATCTTCCTCTCAACATTTGTGTTTTAAATAGACCACCATTTTTCTGGGACCCCAGGCTCAAAACATTAATTGATATTAGAGACCCTAAAGGCTGCTGACTGGAATATTAGACCATCTTAGATTTCTATTTTCACATTTCCATAGGCAATACTCCCCTTTAAGTCCATTTCCCATGTAATGTTGGATATAATACAGTAGTCTGCTAGCTGGTCTATCCAGCCTCATCGCATAGGGAGTAATCTTTGTAAAATTAAATTCAGCAAATATTTGTTGGCACCTGTTATACAAACACTGTGCTTGTTGCTATAGGGGATACAAATATGATTAGGACACAAACCCTGTTTTCAAGGAGCTTTACAGTCCAAGGGGGAATAAGATTGGCATAAACATAGCTGACATTCAAGGCACAAGGTGCTACAGGGCTGAACAAAATTATCATTTTGCTGCTCATGAAGTTATCATGATTCCCTATTACCTTTTGGATCAAGTGAAAAATTCTCATTCTTTGTAATTTGACACCTGCTGGCTGCTTACATTTACATTTTACTTCTATCCAACAAACCTCTACTCTGCCCCTGTCATCTGCCTAATACTCTCATGGACACAGCCATGCAGATATTCCTTCTTTCCTTTATTCATTCATTATTTCTGCAAATACTAACTGCTTGTCAGATACTGTGCTAGATGCTCTGGGGGAAACAAAAGTGAATCACTCACTGCCTTGAGCAACTCACTATCCATTGGAAGGGGATTAAACAAAGTTTTTAAGGAACAGTGTTTTGTAACAGAATGCACAAAGTGCTGAGGGAGGAGAGAGGAGCTGAAGGCCTCACAGAGGAAGTGAATCCTGCCAGAAGTTGGTTAGGTGTTCACCCGGGGGGAAGAGGGAGTGGGGGCCATTACAGGCACAGCAGTGTGTCCCAGTTCATGGAGGCAGAGCAGAATGTGGCTCAATCAGAGTGCTGACGGCAGGAATACAGGATGGGAACTAGTGGGCAAAAATAACATTGGGAAACAGAGCCAGATACCATGGGCCTTGACCCTATGCTAAGGAAGTTGTTCTTTATCTTTTGTGCCAGGCGATTCCATTTGAAGTTCAAACAGAGATGTGAACAGATGTAGGTCTTAGAATGCTCTAGCAGCAATGTGGAGTATTTGAGAGATATTGGAGGCAGACAGGTCAGCCAAAGGGGGAAGGAAACTAAAGTATAAATACACTGAGGAGACCCTAAAATTCTTTTCATAGTAACTTTCTCTAGCTCCTCCCTGCCTTGGTATCTATATTTGTCAGGACAGAATATATTGTGCTGCAGTAACAAACAGCCCCAGGATCTCAGGGGTTTGACAGAGTTTATTAAGGCAGGTAACTATTATCTGTGTGTGACTCAATGATAGAGGCCTCTTCAGTCTTGTGGTTTTGTCATCTCAACACAAACCACCACATAAGAGAACACTGAAGAGTCTTGCTTCAGCCCAAAAGTGACTCATGTTCCTTCCGCCCACAACTCTGCCTAACTCTAAGGTAGTAGAGAGGTATAATACTCTCATACGCCCAGAAGGAGAAGAAAGTTAGATATGGGTGAACTCTATAAACTGATGTCTTTCTTTTATCTTTTATAGCCTCAGGATTTCCATAAGTTACCCGAACCACTCTCCACTATGTAGTTATGCATTTTTTTTTAGAATTATCATCATAAGTTCTTTCTTATGGGTGTGTCTTGTTTCTCTAGCTACCTGAACCTGATTAGGTTGTATCTTCCATATCTTTTAGCTTTTAAAGTTCCTTACCAGTCCTACTCCTGAAGGAGAAGCCGGTAGGCTAAATAAGTGCCTGTGAATATACATAGGGTTGAATTTGGCAGTGTGGCTTTTTTCTAGCAGGGCCTGGGTGCTCTTTCACACACACTCAGGAATCATCTGATTTGTTTTTTCCTTTGTTTGCTATTTCATGTCCATCAAATTATTGGAATTTTATTTGAGTTAAAATGAATCAATAAGGATTGGTCTCTGTTTTACTGTAACGCCTTTAATGTCATTTCACCTGCGAGACACTCATTTCTCGTCTCAGCCTAGTGAAAATTGCACATTTACCCTCAACATGACATTGTCTTGGCACGTTTTAAAGGTGAACCTGAAAGTTTAAGGGCATCTAAATATGCCGTGCTCGCTTCAGTATCCAGTTGGCGAGGTTCAATAGAAAACAAATCAATTGTCATCCCCTGTTGAAAATAAGCACACAAAGATCTAGCTTAAAAAAAACGAACATTGTAAAATGAATTCATACGCAGTAGAAGGTGAGGTCGAGACCCGTGGAGAACTTTATCTGAGACAGTGTTTGTTTACCTAGACCGAACATTTCATCCTTTCTTGGTCAATCTCTTTGACTTTTTCTTTCCTACTAAGCCTGACTTTTAAAATAAGTGAGAGTCAGTGAAGCAAACCCCAGTTCCGATTAGTTCCCCATAGCATAAAGACAGAATAAGTGAGTATCTCTAACTTTTGAACATAATCCATAGGAAGTAGGTATGGCAATAATTATTTCTGGTCCAGCACAGAAAGCTAACAGATCAATTCACTCTTTCTCAAGGACCAATTCTATCACAAACATTTTCTTCCCAGAGAAAAAAAGAGAGAGAGAGAGAGATTCATTCAGTAGTAATAGGACTTGCTGTTTATCTGTCATCCCCAAAACTTGAAACAGTTACACTAGCACACCTCAGGGGGTTACTTGCTGGCTTCCACTTCTGCCTGAGAATTTGCTACTGTGAAATGTGTGTATAGTCTTGCTTTCTTTTTTACATTGAATTTGCATTTTAATGTTTTTCATTCTTCATAGCTAAGAGGGAACTTTCTTTTTTCTAGTCATTTCTACCTTGGGACTGCTACAAGTTGAAGTCTGGCTAGAATTGGACCATCTAGTGCAGACAAAAGTTGAGATGCAGAAAAGGGATTTGAATAGAAGTGCAAGGAAAAAGAACAGGATTAGGAATTCAAACCCTCCTCTTAGATTTGTATTTCCTACCTTTTTTCTTTTTTTAAAAAAATCTGCTTTGTTTTTTCATTTTTCTCTGAAATTTCTTAATTTGTATTTCCTACCTTTTTTTCTTTTTCTTTTTAAAATCTGCTTTGTTTTTTCATTTTTCTCTGAAATTTCTTCATTTTTCTTTCATCTCTCCATCTTCCAATTTTCTACTTCTTGTTTTTTGTGGTACCTTTATTTTTAAGATGTGTTTCTTTTTCTATAAACATCTGAATTGGGTAATTACTGTACCTGCTTGCAAATATTCCTCAACTCAGAAATCTAAAAAAAAAAAATACAAAATCATAACTATCACAGTTAACAGCTCCTCATCTTCCCTGTGCTCTACCTAGGTACCCTGAGTGTTAGATACAGTATCTCACTTAATTCTTCACCACCATCCTATTTAATTAATTTGCCTGAAGTCCTACAGCTGGAAAGTGGCAGAGCTGAGTTTCCTAGTGGTCTTACTCCCAGTGCCAGTGCTCTTAGAGTAAAATCTTGGGCAATTATACAGTTTGTCTCATTGGCTCACATATCTTAAACTCAGAAGAATTCTCAAGAGACCATCTGGTACCACTCTGGCTCTGATTAGTTCCTCTAATTCCAGTGTGCCAACATGCAAAACGTCTGTTGCAATGGATCCATTTAAATCTTCCATGTTAGTTCTGAATCAGATCCTCAAAGTTATTTGGCAGCTGTGCAGTAAGAGAAATTTCTCCATTGTTACCGTTGCTGGAAACTGGCTGCTTCTTATGCTGACTCTATTAGTAGTGGGAACAGCGGCTTGGAGAACCAGGCGCCCTCTCTCACTGTGGGCACCTACTCCATAATTCTCAGAAGACTCGAAACCATTAACCTTGGGAGAGAGCAGAGAGGGCTCCTGAGCTTAGCTTGATATAGATGCTAAAGGTGTTCAGCAGTTGCAGAGTCGCAGCTGTGTTACCTGTTTTGCACTAATTAGGAGTTACCATGAATCTGTTTGACAATTAAGGACAGAGTGAACTTTAAGGCAGATGGGTACCATGGGACAGTACACAGTTCTCAGGCAAGCAAAATGAAAGTTTGCACCAAGTCCTGTGTTTTTCCAAGACTGTAAAATTCTTTAATAATGTGGATTCCAGTGTATAAATAAAAGTCTGAGGTAGGTTTCTGCCACCTGAAAAGTGTCTCTCTCAGGGAGTAACTCTGCTCCAAATCCTTAGCAGTGCAAGTAGTTATTTGTGTGCAGCATCACCCACCAGATGAATAATAATTACTTCAACACTAGCCTTACCCAGTTCTTGGATTTCAGTTTGACTCTACCCAAAATGTATCTCATAGCATTCCAGCAGCTTAGCAACTAAATATTTATCTAGAATCAGAAAGCACAAAAAGTTCAATTTCTCTTAAAAGTCATACTTGTGAGCAGTATTTTAAGATAAAACTTTTGTAAGTTAAGTATCTTGTTCTTCTTTGCTCCCCTGACCACCCAACTAATTTGTACACATATGTATCTATTTCCCATCCCCTGGCTTTAGGTCAGGAGTTCTCTTAAATCATGTTCTTTTAGTAGGCTATAAAAATACTGGAGGGGAGATTTATCCAGGCTCTATTCTTTGAGGACCTGATGCTGAGTTTCAGGCAAGAGTGCCTTGTCACCGTCTAGAATCCGAGACGGATACAGCAGCTGGAGTGTGACTTATAGCTAGGATTCGGGAAGATGTGCAGAGTTCAGGGAAAACCTGCATGCCATGTGGTGTCGTTGAAAACTGTAAATATAATTAAGCCAGGTGGATTCCATGACAACAAAGAGGATTAGGGCCTGGGTGGATCTGGTAGACCATTGAGACCTATGTGAATAGATGTCAATTTATTTATATCCCCTCTCCCCAGGGGAAAAAAACAACAACAACATAGTTTGATGTCTAAATGAAGTAATCTCTGGAAAGAAAAGGGAGATTATATTTGTTAAACTGTATAAAAAAATCAGAAGATAATATGGCTTTGTTCACACTATTACATAAAGAAGATTAAAGACGAGGAACAAGCTGCTTAAACACTGTAAACTAATTAGTTCTACGAATTGTTTTCCCGAGGTTCATGAGATATGAAACATTGGCACCAGTGCGTGAAATACACTCTGCCTCAGTGCTCTTTTCAATTTATTTTTCTGTTAGTGTCATATGTATGTGTGTGTGTGTGTATGTGTATATATGTATGTATATATATATATATATATATATAGAGAGAGAGAGAGAGAGAGAGAGAGAGAGAGAGAGAGACAGAGACAGAGAGAGAGACAGAGAGAGAGAGAGAGAGCAGCCAAAAAGAAAGAGGTTACAGAGGGAGACCAAAGCCTGTGGGATGATTGAGGCTGACATTTTGTCACTTTAAGCCTGGTGCAGGGAGGGTCCTTCTCTAATACCCTGTATAAATACCAGCTTAATTTTCTGCCATCACAGGCTACATTGCGCAAATGATATCACGACAAGGCCCAGAGGAATTCCTGATGCTGCTCAGAGCACTCTGGCAACTCCCAGTGCAGCTAGGTCCAATCCAGCAGATGCGCCCTTAATTTGTTTCCCAAGATCTGGGTCTTATCTGAGAATAGGTGAGAAGGACTTGGAGCAAGAGTGGGGCCATGTGTCTGACAGACTTCTCATTCTCTAGTTTAAACAAGAACTATTTCCTTGTCTTAAAACAGACTATTTTCTAGATGGAGGACCAAGAAATCAGGTTTTTAGTCTTAAATAACAGATAAGTATATTTGCCTAATTTAAACAAAAATAGCATTTTTTTTTTTTTTGAGACAAGATCAACTCATTTTGTCACCCAGGCTGGAGTACAGTGGCACGACCTCGGCTCACTGCAACCTCTGTCTCCCAGGCTTAAGTGATTTTCCCACCTCAACCTCTCCAATAACTGGGACCACAGGCGCATGCTACCACACCTGGCTAATTTTTTGTATTTTTAGTAAGGGTTTCCCTATGTTGCCCAGGCTGGTCTTAAACTCCTGACCTCAAGTGATCCACCTGCCTCAGCATCCCAAAGTGCTGGGATTATAGGCATGAGCCACTACGCCCAGCCAGCATTTATTTTTATGTAGCACATTTTATCTTGTTCAGAAATATGTCTAACTTAGAAGTGTATGATTACACAAGACAGTGTTTGTTTTCTAATGTTTAAAGCTGTATTGTAATGAGACCTTATTGTAACCCTGACTCTCTATCATCCCTTTTCCATTTCTTTTCTTTTTTTTTTTTTTGAGATGGAGTCTCGCTCTACCACCCAGGCTGCAGTGCAATGGGGTGATCTCAGCTCACTGCAACCTCTGCCTCCCGGGTTCAAGTGATTCTCCTACTTCAGCATCCTGAGTAGCAGGGATTACAGGTGTGTGCCACCACACCCAACTAATTTGTGTTATCTTTAGCAGAGACACGGTTTCACCATGTTGGCCAGGCTGGTCTCTAACTCTGACCTTGTGATCCACCCACCTTGGCCTCCGAAAGTGCTGGGATTACAGGCATGAGCCACCATACCTGGCATTCTTTTCAGTTTCTTTTCCTGCATTTATTGTTCAAAAACAGAGGACATCCTCACTGCCAACCATCAGCATTCCCAGATCTCCTGGTCAGAATGAATCACTACTTTCTCTGTATTCTCAGAGAACTATGTATCAAAATACCATCCTTTATTTCATTTTAATAACAAACTTCTCAAAGGCACACTTGCTGTGATCTCCTCCTGCTGGATCCTGGCCCAGTGCGATGGAGAAGGCCATCTCAACAGTCACAGAAATGTCAAATCGGTTAAGTTCAGTTCTCATCCAGCCAGATTGTTTCCCCAACTCACTCCTGTATTCAGTGTTGTAGCCTCTCTTCTCTCTTCTTGAAACTCTCCTGAATACAGGAGAACCGAGGGTTTTTCTCATTTGCAGTTGACACTTCTCAGTCTGTATTTCTGGCTTTTGCCTGTCAGCAGGAGAGTCTAACTTTACCCTGTTGCTTGCTGCACACCTCTTAGTTTGTTTTGTTCACTCTTGTACCTCTGGATCCTAGAACAGTGCCTGCTATGTAATAGGAGCTCAGTAAATTTATGCTGAATGTCCCCTGCCAGCTCCTCAGGCTCCACAAGTCAGTGACCACATCTATTTCTCTTGTCTACCTAACATACTTCTTATTTATTCTGTCATATAAAGCTGTCTCTTTGTTCAGACCTGTTATTTCCAAGTTCTCCTTCTGCTCATTTCTAGGCAGTCACCCACCCTTTGAGACCTGTTTGTCCCCATTGCTCGTTCCTTCCACTTGCCTTCACTCCCAGTACAAGGCCTTTGGACAAGCCCTCATTTTGTCTTTCTGGGACCGCTGACTGCAAGAGTCTTGTATCTGTTTTCCCTGGCTTCTGTGTATCCCCAGCCCTGCTCATGGAGAGCTCTGTGAAGCAGTCTTTAAGGCTTTATTTGCTTTTTATACACTTAAGAAAGGAAGCCAGGTATTCACGTAATTGGTGTATTGGATACCTCCCCTCTCCACTAGAATGCTCCTGAGGACAGTGCCTGTGTCTTTAGTCTTGATCCATATAGTGCCTAGGCCAGCGCTTTACGTATAGCCTGGCGCATTAACATTTTTAGGAACTTGAACTCTACCCTTTTTTACACTCTACCAGATATTATAGTTGATGCTATTTCTTGTGCCAGTTAATAAACAATTTCTTAGAAGCAGAGAGCATCTTTGATACATCTTTGTACCCCTTCACAGGGCAAGAAGTTGTAGGTAGATACAAAATACAGTTGAATTTAATTTTAAATAAAAGTAATGACTATTGAGTGGATAAAAGTGTATACTGTTTTAGCAATACATTGATTTATGGAAAAATTGAATGTGAGTATTAGTATATATTTCATTAAGCATTCATATTAAAATAGTAATCTGTTGGCTTTTCCCATTTTAACTAGAGCTTTGTGAATATGAAGCATATTGGTGGGGCACTTGGGACATGGAAATATGTATTATTCTTATTTTCTCATGACTTGTTTTTACTTATATAAGCAGGTACTTAGAGGTTTTAGACATCACATTGTAGAATTAAATCAGTATGATTTCAATTGAGTTTTGGTATTTAATCTTTCTTTTTGAAAAAGGGTAATTTCGGAGAGTACGAGTATTGTACTCAGAATCTTCTTTCCTTTTTTAGTTTTTTAAAATATACTGGTGTGCATTTTTTCCATTACTTTAAGATAGTGTAGCAAATTAAGACCATGAGCTCTGGAGCCAGAGTCTGAGACTCAGTTTGTCAGTGTGATGGGACCAGTAATGATTCTTTTTCATCAGGATGTTGTGAAGACTTGAGATAATACCTGGAAAGCTCTTAGCAAAATGCCTGTCACACACTCATTCAACCCCTGGTTAGGTAATATATTATTCTTTTGTTTTAATTGGAATTTGCATAGGGAGGGAGTTGTGTATTCAGTGGGGAAAAACCTCTGAATGAAAGTCTCATGGACTTTCTGGTGCCTTCTTGTTCATGAACACCAGTGGCAATGAGTGGCTCCCTAGAAAACTTCCATGTCTCGAGTAACCTCAAAACCCACAGCGACAGTAAATCACTTGTTGGCCTGAATAAGGATAGCTATAATTTAGGTTGTTTTTTTTTTTTAAATGTGTTTTCATTTATTGAGGTCAGTGCATTTGTGTCAAACAATTGAAACCTGACAAGAAAAATCAAGGGTAGCCTGGGCACTGCTCAATTATTACTCTGATCAGATTTTAATTAGCACCATATGTAAAAGGAAGTGCTATTTTTATTATCCATTACCATGCACTTGCTTACATATTTACCCCTGGGGTTAGAAGTGTTTCATTAATTATTTTTGTTGGCAACTAAGACAGTATTTTGACTTCTGAATTGAAAATTGCCAACTTGTTTAAACACGAATACCCATCATAAGAAATGAACAGTGCTGCTTACCAAGTGTGAACAAATCTCTACAAACTAAAGTAATTTATGGTTAAGATAAGGTCATTAGCCTTAATTTTTATTCATAATGTCATTCCAGACTCTGTCATTTACAGATTATTTTTTAATCTAAATTAAAATTACTTTCTTAAATTGAGCCCTTTCAATCAGTATGAATGGTTAACATGTCTTTGCATCTCTTTTGGTATAGTATACTTTCCTGATCAACAGGTTAGCAGTGCTTAATTGTATGTTTTTGGAGCAGGCTTAGAGAAGTATAAAAACTTCCATAAATAAAACGAAAAGTTTCATTTTAGTAAGCAGACTAATGAAATATGAACCTATCTAATGACAATGGTAAATAGAAGCATGAAAATAATCATTTTACAAAAATAATTAGATACTACAGGATTTCTATTGGTTCCAGAAGTAAACTCAGGTGACCTTGTCCTATTTATTAAGACCAATGAGCTCCACTTGGTACGTTTCTTCCTTTGCCCCTGCTACTTCTCCGTACTTTTTACATGCTGTCTAGAAGTTTTCAACTTTCATGCTGTATATTTTTTCCTGTCTGACTTTTATGACTTCCCCCATAAAATGTATTCGTTGTCTGAGTCTCACAAATCCTAAACTACTTAATGGCTATGGCTGCATCCATTATGCTGCACTGTGTGTTTGCGTGTGTGCTCTCCCGACATCTGTGTAGATATCTTCTGAAATTTACAAAACCTTTGTAACTAATCCCATAGGTTAACCGGAGTAGGGGCAGTATTTGTTGTTGCTAATTACACAGTGGAAGCCTTTGGGAAATAGGCCCTTTGTTAATGATAAATTTGAGCAAGCAACTAAACATTCCTGAATAATGCTGAGAATATTACTCGCCTAGGTCTTTATGACTATGGATCTCTTGCCTGCCTCCTCTTTCTCCGTAGAAGTCTGGCCACTGTGCCTGATATGCATATTAATTGCTGGATCAGGAGGAGAAGCAGGGAGCTTCCTTTGGCAACAGGGTGTAACACAAACAGCTGAGTAATGAGGTACATGTGGATTATTAGGTATGACATAATGAGTAGCATTTCTATCATGGCATTATATATCTGTCAGGGTTTTTGGTCAGGCTTTTTCCTTCCTAGGGTTTAAAAACCCTGCTCATGTATTTCGGTGGTTATCACTAAAAATGGCCAGAAATCCCACTGCTACCAATCAGTTATGCTACCTCTAAATATCAGCCTCTGATTGATAGCTTGTTAAAGTGAGTTTCAAAACCAAGGGGAACTCTCTTTAGAGGAGGTATGTATTTGATTTAGGGTATATTGATTTGCATAATTTAGCAAATAAAGTACTATATAGTTAAAGGTCTGGAGACATTTACTTTTACCTAACTTAAAAAAAATAATATATTGTGGCCTAGATTAGTCACATAAGAGCCACCCTGTAAAAAGGAAACAGTGCAGGTAGAAGTTAGTCAAGAGAACACAATAGCCACACCTTGAGAAACCTTTCACCTGTGGCTTAGTTATTACTATCAGGTTACCCAAAAGAAAGAAGGGTTATATAGAGAAATAAAAAAGATTTATAACATGTATCCCCAAAAGACACCTGAAAAATAAGAGAATAGGATAAATGTAATTGCCAGAGATCCTTTTACAGTTATAAATTAATGTAGACAATTTTCTAGAGCAGTAATACCTCATGTAAGAAAGCCCTTTGCCAATATGTATTTTCTGCTTGTTTTAAATCACATATGCGACTTTGGTTCTAGATTTGTACCTTTAAACAGTCCAGAAAGATAAGAGTTTCTGCAGATATTATTCTATTGATTGCTTAATTCAAAAGATTATAAATTACTTCATCTGTTTTAGTGGAAGAGAAAGTCTTACATAGGTACATAAATATCTATATGTTAATATTATGATTAGTATCTCTTATCTACACATTGACCTATTCCTTATGTTTCTCCGTAGCTTCTTACCAAGACATTTTTTTTCTCTCTTGATAAGCCAGTAACCTCCCTTTTGAAACTGTGTGATGTTTCTCTTTTTGTTTTGGTTACTAGGAGGCTCAGCTGGCTTTCGTGTTGAGTTGCCACACAGCCTTTCCTGTTCATTGTCACAGACCCAGCAGCACCTAGCACATAGTGATACAAATGCTCAGCAAATAGACACTAAATCAGCAAATGTGTGACTTGAAATAGTTTTTCATTATGACTGATTTCCTGTCCACTTTATGTCTGGCTTTTTTGTTTTTAAGCTATATAAGGTGTAATGATTTCATTCTGTCTGATTCTGATTTGTGAACCACATCAAATCATTTCATCAAGGAGTCAGGGTATAGTATAACCTGAAAGGAATATGCCTCTGTTTTATACACTGTGACAACACAGTTTGGATGTTCCTGTGAGAGAGAGAGAGAGAGAGAGAGAGAAAGAGAAAAAATAAACATTTTAAGGGCAGCTAAATGGACTAAGAATAAAGCATTTCTGTAGGGACTTCAAATCAGAGAGTCCTGATACATAAAATTACAGGTATTGGACTTCATAGAAAGCTAATGAAATGTTTCTCCCCAAATTCTGTCAGATATCCCTATTGAACTGGTCATTTTCATTTGTTTTATATTTAATGAAACCAGAGGGAGAAACAGCAGGAATAGAAGGGTCTGTTTTGAAACTCTAAACAAGCCACCTGATGATTTTGTTTATCACTTGAACAGCTCTGGGTTCTTGTTTTGAAAATACAGATGTGTAAAGGTTTACATAGTTCCATTCTAAGTATAATATACTCTATTTTGCTCTCAAGAATATAGTTCTTGACTGGGCACAGTGGCTCACTCCTGTAATCCCAGCACTTTGGGAGGCTGAGGTGGGTGGATCACCTGAGGTCAGGAGTTCAAGACCAGCCTGGCCAACATTGTGAAACCGAATCTCTACTAAAAACACAAAAAATTAGCTGGGCGTGGTGGCAGGTGCCTGTAACCCCAGCTACTCGGGAGGCTGAGGCAGGAGAATTGCTTGAACTTGGGAGGCGGAGGTTGCAGTGAGCCGAGATCGCGCCATTACACTCCAGCCTGAGCAACAAGAGCAAGACTCTGTCTCAAAAAAAAAAAATATATATATAGTTTAAAAACTCTCAAGCCACCTTGGTATCTTCCATCTCATGTTTTATAGATGTTCAAACTGTACCATTTCAAACAGGTGCCGTGCTGTGAAAAACATGAACACAGTTTGAAATTCACTCTTGTAAAATATTTTGATATTAGCATTTTTAAAGGATCTGGGAAGTGTTGATATTCATTAACAACATCTCATTGCTCCAGAAACAGTTCAGCCTGGGTATTTTGAGGCTGAAGTCATGTCATCTCAGGTAGAACAACACAAAGGGCTTGCACTTTGGGGTAGTTCTCGTGAGAAATATGTAATCAGATTGTGGATACCCTAGACAAATCTTCTGTCTTAAGATGTATAAGTCTTATGCAGGGTAAGAATGTTGCTGACATAGTCCTTGAACAGCCTTCAAAATTATACTGGCTTTTCAGGCTCTGTTCCCCTTTAGCAATGCAGCAGATTGAAATAACTTCTGAAGCACTTTGAAAATATTGTGCTACTGAAAGCCTTAGAATCTCTTGACATTTTTCTCCCAGGATCCTCACCAGATCCTTTGACGTGGACAGTGGTGGCATTTTGTTTCTCTTGAGTTTCTTGAAAAGTTCATATAAACCACCATTCTCTCCCAAAACCTTTTGCAGTTTTCTGTGCTACATTTTCATAGGACATTACTGAACACTACAAACCATCTGCCGTTTCACACTTTGCTAGCTGAGGTCAGTGATACTGATAGCTGGGTAAGTGTGAAGTATGTGAAATGATTAGCCATCTCACAAGGGTGGGGTTGCACCAGTACCTGTTTGAAAAGCTCTTGTATGTTAATCCACAAAGACAAATTAATTATTAACATTTAATATCGTATAACTTACAGGGAGAAAAAAGGATTGTTTATTCACTGTGCTACTGTGACACCTTTGTTCAACAGGGAGCGTGTTACAAATGCCACAAGTAGTAACTTGAGGATACATCCTTTAACAGCTTATTAGTAGTCATTTCCCAGTCAAGTAAACATCTTAGCTCAGAAGTTTGTTTAGTAAAGCACAGTCATATTGTGGAAGCAGGAAGTAACCTCACATTGCACAAACACTGTCTTAACAGTGGGACAGAAACTTTTCTAATGACAATGATTTTTATGTAAATTGTATAGGCCTTGAATGGTAGGAACCTAGACAGTTATGAGTCAACATAATTGTCCTTTCCCTTAGAATGGCCCTTAATTAGTCATTCATTTATGTTGTCTTAGATCTTCGGGGCTTCTTCTTGCCTCTGGCAGGTCAGCCAGCATCATTCTGGAACATGGTGGCCTCTTGCTAAAAATATTTAACAAGATTGAGGTGGTGTTTCCTGTGTTAGCCAATATTTGATACCAACAGGCCTGACATATTTTAACAAAGTTAGTGGCCTAAAGATACGCCCTTCAACAGGATAAAGCCATCCCAGGATGCTATAGGTGGGTGAATTGCAATTAAACCATTCCTCGTTCGTAATGCAAAGATGCATGGTTGCATGACAGCACCTCCCTGTATTGTATTAGTCATGCCTGGAGGAAAACTCAACAAGGGTTTCTGATCCTCTGGGAAATTTTTACATACTAGATTTGAACTCAGACTGTTTGAAATCCTTGAAAACTCCATTGTGGCTGTTCAGTGCTGATGACCATTTCTTAAAATGGAAAACAATCTGTAAAATATTATTGATTACTTGGTATACTGAAAAGTGACAAAGGCGTGGGTGCTTTGGCAAGGGATGCAAACTTTCATGGCTAATGCAGCCGGCAGGTACCTAAGTGAGAAAATCAGACCTGGTGTACAAACTGGGTGTCATCCACTCCAGCAGAATATTTCTGTGTAAGAAGAATGTGGAGCCAGTGGCATCTGATCATCCAAGTTTTCAAGAGAAGGTAGAAACATGTACTTTATTTGAAATCTCTGGGTTTCTAAATATTGGTTCAGATGACTCTGAAACATTGTACTGGCTAAACTCAAGTGTACAGGGCCGAAATTGATTCACAGGCCATCAGTTTACAATCTGTCTTTTATGGAGATCTGTGTCAAAAGCATGATAGTCATGTATTTGCTATGTGGATGTTAAAGTCAAATGAGGCCAGGCATGGTGGCTCATGCCTGTAATCCCAGCACTTTGGGAGGCCGAGAAAGGCGGATCACGAGGTCAGGAGATCAAGACCATCCTTGATAACATGGTGGAACCCCATCTCTACTAAAAATGCAAAAATTCGCTGGGCGTGGTGGCACATGCCTGTAATCCCAGCTATTCAGAAGGCTGAGGCAGGAGAATCACTTGAACCCGGGAGGCAGAGGTTGCAGTGAGCCGAGATCACACCATTTGCACTCCAGCTTGGGCAACAAGAGCGAAACTCTGTCTCAAAAAAAAAAAAAAAAATTCAAGTGAAAATCCGATTGTTAATGAATTAGAATATCGGATCATAACACGTTCTAGAGCTGGAAGAATGTGTCATGGTTTGGCATCTGTTCCACACCAAATTGTAGAGTGTTAGGCTACCTGTATTTTCAGATTCCTTCTGCTTTGAGAATTAAATCTGTTGTAGTCACATTCTGACTTTGGGCATAGTTCTATTTGCCTCCCCAGTGAGCAGACACCTGGCTCTTCTTGGTGTGTATATGAAAAGTAGAATAAGTGGAATTCATTAGAAGCTGGCTGCTATCATGTTTAGGGAATTCAAGAATGATATCAACAAGGAGAATGAATAAAAGAAATATTTAAAGACCCAAACTCCACTAAGATGAGTAGACTCAGACTGAAAAAAAAAAAAAAAAAATCAGACCTGGAAGCAATGGGGAATGATGTGGCTTTTTAGAGTCAAGATTTGGGTCGAATAGAGTGTAAGTTTCAGAGGCAAAGTTTCAACCAATGTCAGCAGTACAAAGGCTACAACTTCCAACATCAGATCTCCATCAGTAACAACATCTTGGAAGAGGGCAGAGTTGTTTGCAGAAAAACGGTGGCTGGGGTCCCTGGAATGAGTGAGAGCAACCCCAGGAGGTAAGGTATAGGTGAATGAAGAGTTCAAGCAGGTGCTGGGGGGAGGGAGACTGGGGGCTCCATTTACAGTGTTGAGATGCCTGCAGGGGCTAAGAATATCAAAGGTTTGTTCAAATATCCTTCAGCCTTTTCATCAGCTCGACATTTGCATCCCTTGGTCCTACCAGCTTTATTTCAACAGTGAGTACACTCAGATGACTGAGCCAGCTCACGTTACTGATCTCTATCTGTTTGTCATTCTAGCTCTCTTACCTCCCACATGAGTTGTACCTTTTTGGTGCAAATAAGCTGCCAGAGCTGGCTTGGCTTGATCTCTGTGCTGCAGATGTCTCTAATTAACTTGATTGAGACAGGTCCATGGGATCCTGTTGCACAGTCTGACAAGTCCCACTGTCCTGGGAGGCACTATCCCATCACCTGAAGCATGCCTTTTGCTAATGTCCTTTGGGCAAAGTTTATTAATGACTAAAGTCTTCAAGTACCCATAGTTTTAATATGAAAGCTGTGGAGTGATGGTTGCTAATTTGCAGCCAGGAGTGTAAGAATTATCTCAAGTTCTCATTTAAATTCTGAGTAGAAATCTCCAGAGACCTTTACTAACAACTTCTAGTGTTTTTAACATCCAAAGTGTTACAATTTTTATCATCACTAATACTATTAACATTATTATTTGCAGTAGCTGAGAGAAACACGGTCTTGAGTCACTGCAAGTATAGACGCTTACGATAAAAATATTTGATGACGCCATCGTAACCTAGTGACAAAACATGTAATAAAACAAGTGTTTGGAAGTACTGGTTTGACTAGTTGTGAGATCTGCTAGATGTCTAATTACTGTAGGTTAAATTAGCCCCCAAGCATTGTAGAGAATGGATTTGTCTTTATTTCCTTTAATATCCACATTTACTCTTGTTTTTCTGGAATAATAAATTATTCAATCAAACTTTATATTTTGTGTGTATGGCTTTGTGCATGTGTTTTCTGTGAATATCTATAGCTTTTCAGAACTTGTGTATATCACTGCAGACTTAAGGCTATTTGCACTCTTTGAAACAATATAGCAGTTATTTCTAAAACGTATGGACATGGATATAACTTATTAAATGTTAAAAGAAACAATAGATAAATCTTCAACTACATGTAAGAACTACTACATATGTAATATCACTGTCTTTATTATCCCCTATAGCTACAACACCAAGCTATGAAGGAGAATACTGTATTCTTTGATGTTTAAATTCTTTTTTCATTAGTTACCATTCACATGTGGATGGATCACCAAATACATCTTTTCAGCTGTTGTAAATAATCACAATCCATGGTCCAGCCATCACTAAGCAACATGGCCTTGCCCTACCCATAATTTACAAGTGGATTCACCTATTAGTAGAAGTAGTTCATTATCGGTTATCCAGGCTACATTATTCAGTTGGAGGATTAATGTTTCTATCATCAACTGACTAGCATGAATTTGTAGACCATGTGCCCCAAAATGAAGGATAAAGACAAGATAGTGACATGATCCTTATCAATGCCAAGGAATATAAAATGTTACTGGGACCATGTCTCAGATTTAGAAAAAATAATCTCTGTAACTGCACACATTAAGTGTAATAATATCCTCAGTCCTGTGCAGTCTCAGAAAGGGAAGAGATCTTGGTGGGCTATGAAGGTAATGAAAGCTTAACAGAACTTAACCACTGAAGAAAGCCCAGTGGAGGAGTGAGGGAATTGGAGGCAAAAAGGGGGAATCAACAGAGGCCTGAAGGTAGGAGTTTGCACAGCAGGTGAGAAGACCAGGTTACAGAAGAGTCCTGGGAATTGAGGCTGGATAGGTTCCATGCTACCAAAATATGGGGAGTGCGAAGGACCAAGCACAAATTAGAATTGATTTTACAGAATAGGGAGTCACTGGGGTTCCTAACCTGGGAAAGCCTGATGAATTGGGAGGCGATAAGGAGACAAGTGAGACCAGCTAGAAGGTAATTATACTAATTGCATGAGTGACAATAGTATTGCATGAGCCTGCGGTATTAAAATGGGTTCTGAGAGATCTGAGAAGGATATCAAGAAAGAAATCATCAGAACTTAGTAGATGGGTTTTTCTTGAAGAAAAGAGATAAAAAAGACATCTTACTCCTGATTTCGTGTATTTTTATTTTTAATTTTTTTTAGAGATAAGGTCTTGCTATTTTGCCTAGGCTGGTCTCGAACTCCTGGGCTCAAGTGATTCTCCTGCCTCCGCCTTGTCCTGATTTCATTTCATCATTCTTGTGGACATGTCCACCACAAAGTACAGAATAGAGAAGTGAAATTTCAAAAAGTTTAGTTTATCCATTATCAGCAATGTTAATCTTTAAAATATTAAAGGGGAGAAGAATTTATGAATTGTTGAAGGAGTGCCGAAATTGAGAATTGATATAGAATTTAGAGGCACATTTTAAAATTCCCATCTATGCATCATTAGGAGAAAACTTCAGCAACTGACTGATTCTATCAGCTTCTCTGTTTAGTCCTCCAATTTTAATCAAATAAGACTGACACAGACATTAATGGTTTCACTGCTATTATACCATTCTCTCTGGTCAAGTCTCAATGCTGCCATGCATATGATAATTGGAGATTAGTCATTTCCTTGGATATACTTCATCATCCTCAGAAGCCGTATAATAACAATTGGGTGTCATTTGCTTTGGGTCCAGCTTGGAGGCTTAAAATAGCATCTCTGGCTATTCAGATAAGCCCTATCAGGATCTGAGTGCTGTATGGTAGCCCCAGAAGCAGCAAGTTAGTGTTCCCAGGACCCTCACTGTTGCCATTTTTTGGGACTAAAAGCAGATGGCAAGAGAATGCCAGATTTGGCACTTACAGGGTTATTACAGCAAAGGAGCGGCTCTCCAGCTGTAGGTGTGTATGTGAGTTTCAGAGCCCCTCCTAATGAATTTTAGACTGAGAATCTCATTCTCCTGGAACTATCTATCACTTGAGAATCAGAGTAATTATTTCCTATTGCCCTTTGTGGAATACAGTTATAATTGCATTACTGTTAACGGTGTTCGCATTAACACTTAATTGTTAATGTCCTCCTAATTTGGAGGAAATCATCACCTCTTCATATTTCATTGCTAGAAAGAGTTGTTAAAGAGAATAATTTGAAGCTTCCAAATGGAGAAACAAGAAATGATGCTAGAATTCAGAGGTGGAATTTGTGGGATGACTTCTCTTTCTGGTATTTGTGTGTGCATGTTTGTTTTCTTTTAAGGTATTATACGTCTACTTCCTTTTGAGATTAAGCCACAATGCACAGTCATTCACTGGAAAGTAACAGGGATTCTTGTGATGTGGAAACAGCTCTTGGGTGCGTGGTAAAAAAAAAAAATAAAGGGGGGGCAGTAACTTCTCTCATAGTTGACATCCTGTTTGAGTGTTGAAAGACACATTAACAAGAAAAGAAAGACACCACTGTGGCAAGGTCAGTCAGAAGGTGGTGGGCTACAGGCCTTGACTTTCAGATGATTGTTAACTTCTTCCTTTACAATATACTGAACTGCCTGTTGTTAACAACCAAGCCATTCCTTGGCTTAGCTCCGCAGCAGGAAACTGAAATATTTTGAGAAGTCTTTATTCAGGCTTGCAAAAAAAAATAAAAGAAAGAGGAAATACCAAAATTAGATCAATCTTTGAATCTATTAAGGGGAATATTGTTTAGGGCATTTGAGGATCTATTTTCTTATGAATGTAGGATGGGCAAGTCTGTACCACTGGTTTGGTACTTTCTTAGGGGCCTGAAAGTGTAACTGCAGTTGAGGAGCGCAGGGAACAGCTTCATGGATGCTGGGCTGGGGTAGTCACATGGGACCCAGTGTTCAAAAGGGCCTGGTGTTTGGTTGAATGTTGTGCTGCTACCATCTTGAAATTCTTAATAATGTTTTAACAAGGGGCCCCACATTTTTATTTTGCACTGGATCCTGCAAATTCAAAATGCTAAGCACTTAGTTGGTCCTGCTAAACATTCATTGGTGGTTGTGGCAGAATGTGGTTTAAATTTTACCAGGTGTGCTAGAATCTATATTCTCCTCCATCACCCATAAGTAATTAAATTCTGTGCTCCTATCAACACATAAACTGGTTTGACAACAACATTTCAGACTTGTTCTTTTTAAAAAATGTCATTTAGTGAAGCAGCTGTATTTCCTTAATGCTTACATGATGCCAAATAACCTGTATGGCCTATTTTTTTTTTCCTTTTCAATTGTTTATTTCTACATCACATGTAGCTGATGGGTCCTTGTTAAGAAAACACAAAGAATTAATTAATGAGTTTAATTTCATGAGTTTTAATGTAAGCTTTCAACCAAAAGAACTGTGAAAGCTGGTAGAGTGCCAACATTGGTGAGGTTTTAACTCTTGCACACCCAGGAACACATTCCTTAATTTCTAAGGGTGTGATTCTTTAGTCCTGGAAGATTTCAAAAGCACCTCCAGGCTAGGAGTGCCTCCTTCTAAGGACAGTCACCTGGCACCATTCAGTTCAGAATGGACGTTTCAATGATTGCTGCTAGCAGAGCTTGATTTCTTATCAAGTTATGCACTGTCAAGTGAGGAACTGCACCATTCATTTTATTTTGCTCTCTGACTCATTAGCTTTATTTCTTATAAACACCCTTCCCTTCCAAGCACAATCTAAAAATTTCTGTCATTAAAAGCAATTTTGTTTTTCCTGCCTAAGGGTGACTATTTCCAAGAAAATATGTGCATTTTGACAATGTGATTCTTGCCTATTTAAAGCTACAAGTATAATTTCTTTTTTATTGGGTGATAAACTTTCCTTCTGACAAAACAAAGGGCAGTCAAGATTTCTTCCCATTTTAAAAACTGTGATTTTGCATTTCTTCACAACATGTTTTAAAGCACATTTTGCATAACTCTGCTTTTAAAAAGAATGGTATATGGCTTGTATGCTATCCGTTCTACCAAGATGTCAGTGATATTGAGCATTAAACGAAGTGTGATCATGAAAATAGAACAAAATGCTATGTCATAATTGAAAGTTTGGCTGTAAATGTTTCATTCTTATAGCTATAATATGATTATGAATTTCCCATGAAAAACCCTAAGCCTGATTTTGATGTCCACATGTATGTAGCCTATGTTTGTTACCTCTTTCTGATGATTTTTGATTTGCTGTGCAAAGGAAAGGACCTTGGACAGTGGGTCACTGGTCTCTTTCCTGCTTCTGCCTGGGAAAGACAGCGTGGTAACATTTCCATGCCCTGCCTCTGGGTCCGCTGCCATTAGCACTCAGAGCTGGCTTTTCCTGCTGACTCTGACTCTTATATTTTACTTCTAGGTCAATAAAGCCCAAAGGTAAAGCTGCCTGATGAACAGGCTGTGAGACCGGATTTCTCACACTTTGGTTATCCACGTGCCACCTTCACAACTTTTGCCATGTGCGCATATCACCTATGTCAGAATTTGCTTAATATTTTTCTTTCAAATAGACACTATTTTTTTTACCTAATTTTTTTCATGGAAACTTTATAGCCTTTTTCCAAATGTCCCTTTGCTATGAATGTACATATTATTGTCATAAGCCAACAAGCCTCAGATCCAGAAGCCTGCTCTTTCTCTCTATTGAAAGGAGAGATTAGCCAGTGCTAGAGAGGTGTTAAAGACCTATTAGCACTATAGTGAGACTTTTTTTTTCTTGACTGCTTGAGAGAAGATTCATAGAGTTACTTTTCTCATTACATCATTCATTGTTTGTTAATGCCATATCCACATATCACCTGTAGTTCTCCTCACACTGCTAAAGGTCTAGGTATTCACTTTGAAAGTACTGCCCTAAGTGATGAGATTTGATAGATGCTGAGATGGCCCCTCCACTTGGCATGTTGTCTAAAATTCCACCATTACAATCATTCCTTTAGATTTTTATTTCGATTTTGTTCAGTAATTACCTATTTAAATGTAAATTACTGTGTAACCTCTTAGTAATCTTCTAAAGATTGGTTTTCCTTATTATTGAGACTAAGGCTCCATCAATGAAGATAGGCTTGAAATCTGAGCTGTGGAAGAATAAAAGAAATACTTAAGACAAACCTAACGCTCTTCCCAATTAATTTAGGATTGTTATCTCTTCTTCGGTATTTCTCTTAGCCTAGTATAGCGCCTTCCATTTGCCCCAGCTCCAGCTATCACACTTCCCACAACATTGGAGTCAAATGCCAATGCTTCTGGAGCCCTTTCCTGATGGCCCACCCCAAACGCTCAAGCCTTTGTGCATCTCACCTACCAGACTCACCACACTAACTTACAGACTAGGGATTTGTGAGCTTGCCTTATCTCCTCTTGTAGACACCGAGTGAGTGGTGTACAAACAGGAGATCTGACTTCATTAACTGTGACAGAAAGTGAGAAAGGCAAGTGTCTCAAAGCAAATTTCTCTAAGTCGATCTCGCGAGAACATTCCTCATGCCGCACAGCTGGGAAGGGTAGCATTCCATTCACCCAGATTTGGCCCCGTGACATCAGCCTTGTTCTCCTGTGCATGAATCATTAAAACAGGCAGACACTGAGACTTGCTGAGGTGTGGGAGTGGAGAAGGGAGTCTGGGAGAGAGAAACCTTTCCCAGCATTTCCGCTCTGGTGCCCGGCTCTGCTTGAGCTATCTTTCTCCAAGCCTAGCTGACTGGGCAGGGAGGATGAAGTATTATCTCTGCAAAGCATAGCAATGACTCAGCATTTAATACCTGCACCTTTGACACATCATGGCTTAACACGACTTATGAGCCGTCTATTGTCTCTAAATCCACAGTGGAACTTTGGTATCATGAAAGAAGCTTTGGCAGTGCAGTGGCAGACTCTTTTAGCAAAGGGCTGCATCTCTAAATAACTCGAGCACCGTCTTTGGAATCAAGGTGTGATGAAAAGTGCTTTGGAGTCACAAGCACCTGCGGTTGGGTCCTAGCTGTGTGCTTAGGAGCAAGGTGACTTGATGTAAGTTAGTCTGCCTCCTCCTGCTCCCGACTTTCTCCTATGAGTGAGAGCTGAAAATGAGATACCCGGTCTTGATTTCACAGTGTGGCTGGGTGTAGTGGGCAAGGCAGGTGGTTGCAGAGCACACCGCACATGTCTGGTACCAGTAGCCGTGAACCTGAGTTCATTCCCTTTTTCTTTGTTTTTCAGTGAGGATCTCAGGCTCTATCCTGCTTGGATTGTGTGTGTATCTTTGTGAGGGGCCTTTTTCTCCCCTCGTGATATACTAAGACACCATGGCAGTACATTTAAAATGAGGGAACATCTCTGCAAGCAATCTGGACTAGCCAGAGATTGAACAAAGACTGTCACCATGATTGTATCCCTACATTTCTTACGCTGCTGTGATGGATTTGCATGAGAATAAAACCTCTGATAGTTATTTAACTACCTATTTATTTGATTTTCAATTATGTTGGACTTAAGTTCTCAGAAGCTAACTGTCATCACTCCATGATCACCATGTCAGCTTTGCTGTCATATTGGCTCATGCTTTAAGAGGCAAAGCCACATTTACGTGGCGTCTTTGGAGTAAAGCGGTGAAACCTTGGTGTTCTGCCATGTTATGAGCTGTCCAAGACTCATTTTTAGGACTCACCTGTCCATATTAACTCTTCTAATGTTCTACATAAGTTGTGACAGAACAAGATCTAGGAAACAGGGAGAAATGACTTTGGGTTGTCATGTTAGGTAACCGTCACCCATTATCTTTAGAGGCTTAAAATGTTGATGTTCACTCTTTCCAGTATGCAAGAAAAGACGGCCTTCGCAGGGCCTTGGAAAGAAGTGAAGGTGAAATCTGGTGTAATGTAAGTCATAAATTGGGTCACACTTGAAAATGAAAAGCTTTGCTGTCGCTGTTGGTAACCATTGGCCTAAGGAAAAGCAGTGGTTCGGAAACTTCCCTTGAATTGTTTTTCTTAAAAAAAAAAAAAAAGCCTCACACAGAATGGAAAGTTTGGGTCACAGGTGTAAACCCTTAGGCCGTGCTTCCTCGGTGAGCTCAGTGCTGGTCTCAAGGACAAAAAAGAGAGAGAGAAAAGGAGTTTTGCATTAAAAACAGATTTACCTCTTCAGGCAGAGGGATGGCTGCGAACATAGTCTCTGTCAGGACGCAGAGTGAGGAGGGAGAGTTGGAAACAGTAGTTGTGGACTTGAGGTGTTTATTTTCCCCTCTCCTCTTTCCTGGCGTGATGAATTTTGCTTATGGATTTGGTTTTGCTTCAGAATTCTTTCTGTGTGATAAGTGAGGGTTAGCTATTTGGGGACTGGTAGTTAATTTGAGCCTATGGGCAACTCCCCTCTTGCCTGGGATTGTATTTGTAACATTTTCCTCTGTAGGTTTAACTAAACTGTCAGGACAGCAGAGAGCTGAGTTATTGGACTTCATTGTAGAAAGCTCAGGCAGGAAATGAAACTGTTCACCTTAGAGAAGGAGCAGTGCAGCAGAGAAGGAGAAGGTCTGGGCTCAGAATCCTCTGTGATGCTTTGTTTCTCCGGAAAATTAAGTGCAGAATTTCTCCCCTTTGCTCCCCGAGGATGTACACAACAATCGATTTTGAAGCAGCAGCATCACCTCCATGTCTTGCCCCACCTTTGCTAAAGTACAATCTTGCTGTCTTTCATTTATTCTGGGGCTGGGGCAGGGGCTGCTTGTCATCTTCATCAGAAGGTATCCCTGGGCCTGGGTTGTGACAAGGGTAGTGAAGATTGGAGGGATATTCTGAGACATATACCCCTGGAGGACAGGAGAGTGGACCAAAGCTTCCTTTTGGTGCTAAATTGCTGAAGTGCTGCTGGTCCCGGGGCTGAATTCTAGCCAGCCCAGACTCCAGAGGTTAGGAGGTTAGGGGCAGGGTGTGCCTCAATTATTTCCCTGCCTCTTTTTGAATCCCATGAAATTCCTACTGTCCCCTCACTGTAGTCATTGCTTCTGGTTTAAAGATTCATAGTAAAACTTCCCAAAAGCTCTCCTGGGCTTTGAAATTATTTTCTTAATGCATTTAACCCACTTCCCATGCTGCTGTCATACAGAGTAAACTGTGATCTAATATGAGGTACTTGATGCCACACAAAACATTTTCCCAGTTAGGTACTTAGATGCAGCTCGGTGAGTGTGACTTCATGCCTTTGGAGTCAACATTAGAAACTTCAAATTGTCCTCACTCACAAGGAACCAAAGTGCATACTGCATTTGATGGAAAAAGAGGATATGGAAGCATATGGAAAAATACAGAAAAGCTCACTCACTCTTAATGAATTTTAAAGTGATTATAAGAAAATTCTTATAGCTATAGCATCCCTGAGTTAATTCAAGCAAGTTTTAATTATTTTGTGCCCTGAATTTACATTATCAGAATTCTTATAATTCCTCTTTATTTACTCTCTAAATTGTTTAGATCAATTGTTTTTACCAAGTATCACAATTTCTTACTGAATCCGAGTGTTTTATAAATTACATATACACATACACAAATATGTACCTATGTCTCTAGTTTTTATTGGAAAAATATTGGAAGACAGTCCTGAAAATATCAGGTGTAGTAGTTTGGCTCTTTAATTCTAATGCTATCTTTCTGATTATAAAATAAATGTATTATTGAGGAAAATCAGAAATATATATATTTTAAAGTACACTGATGAAAGTGAACTTTATTTATAATGCCACCATCCAGAATATGTTATATATAAAGTATGAAATATATGTGTGTGAATTTGTTAACATGATTAAAATTATTCTATATATTTCATTGTAATCTGCTTTTTTATTTAGTGATATGATATTTATTTTACTGGAAAAATGATCAAACTGAATTACCTCAAAATCTTTGGAGAATGGTTGTGGTTAGATTTTAGAGCAAAAATAAAAGTAGATTAACTTTGAATTAAAGACTATAGAACTGGAGCTGCCCTTGCCTCTCTATCTAATCTCAGCTACTCCATCCCCCGCTTCATAGATGAGGAAACTGAACCCTGGAGAGTATATGACATATTCAGCATCAGGATGGACGCCAGTGACTGAATGGGGACTAGAACCCACATCTCCTGCCCACTAGCAAGCTGTGTTTTCTTTCCAGCACAAATCACTGTGTGGTATTTCTCCTTATTCCCATGAATGAACTTCAGATTCATAAACCTTAGAATCTTAGCACAAAGAAAAAGGTGTGAACCATTCATACAATGGATTTGGGAGTGTCAGGAAGAAGAGAACCAAACTTGGTTTAGCTGAGGCCACTGAGTTGCTTATTAAACAGATGTGATGCTTTTCCATCTTGGGGAACAGGCATTCTGAGTAGCACTGTCCCACATAGCAGGGTGCAGCTTTACATTTTGCCAGGTGTTTTCATCTCTAATCTTATGTTTTGTTCATCACAAAGTCTCTGGGAGATTGGTAGGGTTAGTGTTTCCATTGGACTAGTGACTTAATTCTGGGAATGAAAGAACATATTAGCTCTACAAGGGCCATGCTGTGTGTGATGCTTTAGGTCTAACTCATAGTGTGGACCCATAGCCGTTTACCATGGAACTTTCTGCACTATGGTGTTTATTCTGGAGAAAAGTTTCTATTTAACATGAGGCTATCAGTTCAGCAATACAGCATTTGTCCTGTTTGTTCATTTGTTGTTGACATCAAATAAAAGTCACAATCCAGAAGCTATTTATATAAACAAAAGATGATCTTTGATTTTCTCTTTTTTGCTCATCTCTTCCCTTTTCTTTCCTTTCTTTCTTGCTGATTCTTTTCTTCAGCAAACCTCCTCCCAAGCACACTCTATCCTCCTTAGCTTTTCTGATCTTTCTCAGTTCTTCACTCTTTGCAGTGAAGATGACAACTTCATGCAGTTTTAGGACCTTGGCGTTTTTGCGTGGGGTGTGTGTGTCTGTCCGTCTGCATCCTGGCATTTTCTGGATTTCTACAGTGATCCCAGGGTCTAACCACACATGCTGCAAAAAGAACATTCTGAAGAGTTGCAGGAAATAATTGATGAAGAGGTTGCTCTGTGCAGGGCACATTGGAATTTAGTTAATGTGTAGCCTGAAGCAGAAAGTACCGGGCTGCTTTCGGGGCCCTTTGAAAACATGTACAAGTATTTGGTGAGAACTTCATAACTCAGTTAAGCTGTCTTTGATTCCAGAGATATCCCTAGAGCCAGTGAATAAATTACAGATGCTTTTTTTAAAAAAAAATTTACTCAATGCCTATATTAAATAATTGATTCTTTATGAACCAACATGACTAAATAGGTTAATCAAGTTATTGCTGGATTTGCTTAATTTTCCTCACTTTTAAAAATAATGCCTTGTTTAAAGAGGTAATAACAGGATCTTTTGCTATTCTCACATAAAATTAACACTTTTGACCTACAGAAGCAATGCTGCATCTATAAGCTGATCTAGGTTCATTTAGTTGAGTGCTGGTTTTCCCCTTTTCTCTCTTGCTTAGATCACAGTCTTTCTCCCCCGTCCTCTCTTGCCTCAATTACAACCTGTAGAAAAGGTCTTTTTTTCCCCCCTCTATATTTAATGTCTGACACATTGGGCCTCTCTTTAGGGGTATATCGGCTGGATTCCCAAAGATGCTGTTTGGGGCTTGAACTCAGTGACTTACTAAGTGGTACCTTGCTGCCCTTAAAGAATTCTACTGAATAGCTTTCTCTCTACTGTTAGGCAAGTTCTGTCTCTATGTGTATATTCTCTGTCCTTGCTTCATCTGAAAACTGCTTAGATGTTGTGATTATGGATATTTTAACACATGCTTTTACTGTAGTCTCTCTTTTTTAGGAAAATCTTAATCTTTGTTCTTTTGCTTTTTTATTTTTGAGTTTCAAGGTCTCCTGGAACCTGGGAATTAGAAGAGATAGGAGGGGTCATCATCTAGTCTGATTCCTACCTCTTTTACTTAAATGTGCATGTGGTCAGAATTTGAAATTTCCCTACTCTGAAAACACAAAGAAATACAGGGCAAGTTTCAGAGATGCTGGACTGTTGTGCCTGAGGCTGTGATTGTTCTCTTTGGTTTTGATAGCTACACCCACCGTATTTGCATGATAGATGTGGAATGAATACCGTGTCCTTTTGTTTTTCTCATTGAATATCCTAGGATATTCTTCTAAAGGGGAGGGGTGCTAATAACAAGCTTATTTTCCCTTGTTTTAATGACATAGGCATATTCCTCTAGCAGTCATAGATGCCCATGCAAAGACACAGCTTTCCTTAGGGAATTTGAAATTGATTAGCATCTCTGATGAACCTTTAAGGTTTATGGTAACGTTGGTACCATTTGTCTTCTCCCTCTCTTCTGTTTTTTGGTTAAGATATCAGAAGTAGGTCAGTTATAGTGAAAGCTACTTTCAGGGTTTTTTTTTCTCACATTTTAAATTACAAAAGATCTTAGTTTGCTCAAATTTATTTTTTACCAAAAAAGTGAAGAAACAGCTGATACCTTCCTTAAGAAAGAGGCTTTACTCACTCAAGTTTTCGATAAATCAGCTACACTGATATGCTTGCTGTGTGACAGACTGCAACTGAGCCTCATTATTCATACGTGTCTGTGTGATGTTACTGAATCAATTTGTGCTGTATCCATTTTGCACTCATGGATAGTTCATGGTCCCTTATGAGCAGAAATAGTCAGCAGGCAATAATAGAAGACATGGAGCAGAAATGGTTAGGGCCGATAATCCTTTGCTCCATGGTGCTAGATCCATGTCTTAAATTCATTTTTAGTGTCTTAAAAAAAAATTCTCGTCTCATCAATATGAGGATGGCATCAGCAAAATCAAAAAGGAGATACTTTCCAAGCCTTTACATATGTTCTGCTTTTATTCCAATACAGATTGTTAAATGAGGGCACAGAAAAGGTCCCTACCTCTTGATTAGCAGAGTAGGCCATTCCTGCATGGAATTCCTTATTGGCTACAGTCATCTTCTGTATAACACAGTAGCCTTTCCTGATTTTAAACCAGAAAAGCCAAAATTGCCCTAAAAATGTTACCTCTGCAGTGGTTAAACAGTTCCTAAGGCTAAGCGTTTGAGGCGTGCAGAGTGGAAGAGAGATGAAGTGGTGATGGCCACCTGTAGCTGCTGCTGTCTAGCTGACCCTGCTGTTTGTTGGCAACTGGAGACAAAGTTAAGGCTATTAAAGCTGACTCCAGTCAAGCTGCCCTTATCATCTGATGTTTCCTCATATGAGATTCCAGGTGGTGCTGCCCCACTGAGACAGTGTGAACTCACCAATCATTGCTTGAAGCTAGGAATTTTCTTCTGCTGTGCCATTGCGTGACAACTCAATTCTGACCACTTTCCTTCCACTCCTGTGGAGCAGAGGAAGAAACTCTCAACTCTCACAGGGTCTTCAATTTTTTTTACATTTACAGAACTCCAGGAGATAATTTTTGCAGCACTGTCCTGGAATTCAGGAATTCACTCTACTCTGAGCTTTGCCGTTAATGAACTTGGCAATGTTAGCCAAGTGACTTCACCTTTCTGGGTGTCAGTTACTCAACTATAAAACATGAACATAGGATAAATGATCTTCAGGCCCACTTCACTTTAACCATCTATTTTTCTGTAGTTCTAGCCTTTGTTCTGCTTTGTTGTTCTACATTTCTTTTTTTTTTTTTTCATGTGTTCCAATTGATTTTTTTTGAGATGGAGTCTTGCTCTGTCACCCAGGCTGGAGTGTGGTGACGTGATCTCAACTCACTGCAACCTCCACCTCCCAGGTTCAAGCTATTCCCAATTCCTCCACCTAATTTTTTGTATTTTTGGTAGAGATGGGGTTTTGCCATGTTGGCCAGGCTGGTCTCAAACTTCAGACCTCAGGTGATCCACCTGCCTCAGCCTCTCAAAGTGCTGGGATTACAGGCGTGAGCCAGTAGCCTCCAATTGATATTTTGAGGTCCTAAAATAAAACAGTTAATTTAAACGTAAATTTGAAGGAAGAAATGCTCCTTAAGTTAAAGAACAAAGAATTGTCAGGTATACGTTTATGGAAAAGTATATTTTGGTGTCAAGGTACAAAAATCAAAATTTGTGCCTAGAAATCCTTTATAGAGAATCAACAAACAAAAAAGATCTAGACTGCTTTTATTAAAATATCAGCAATATCCTGAAGTTTTCAATAAAAAAAGACTAAAATTATTCTGTCTCTTCCCCTGATGTACAATGGATGATTAAAGTTTCTCTTGCACACAATAAGAAAATACTTCTTAAAAACCACTGAAGTGATTTGGTTACTGTAACAATTGTTTTAAATGGTGTTGTGAGATAGACAGCGGTTCAATGCATAGTTTCCCTTACGATTTAAGCAAATAATTGAGGATACCCATACGGAGGTTTTCAGCACTCTGTTTTCTGTATCACAATTTTTTTTTATAATGATGTACTAGTTTATAACTGCAGTTTATTGTCTCACGACTTCCAAAAAGGCTTTAGCACTCCAGGTTCCAGGCACCTTGTTTCTCACCTTTGTACCTTTTGGTTTCCTCATGCTGCCCATCCTATCTAGAGTGCCTCTGCCAATTGTAGATAACTCCTGCTCAAACTTTGACTCGGGTAAGCCTTTTCTTATCTCCAAGGCTATATTTGGGATCCCACCTTTACATCTCAAAATGTAATTACAAGTTTATGGGTCTGTCCCCCTGACCAGGCCGAAATCTTTGAGGAAAGGAATTATTTTCTATTCATCCTTGTACCCCACAGTCCAAGGTGATACATAGCACATAGTTAAAGCTCAGGGAAGGTGTTTGAATGACTGATTAAAGGCATATCAGATGAAACTGTTCAAATAATTATAACAACTGTAAAAACTGTAAAGAGGTCAGAGAAAACAAATATATCAAAAGTAGTATCTTACTCTCATTGAGCATTACATTTAGCTCTGACTGGTAGCCAAGCCCAACAATAAATATGATATGATCAACGTATAGTAGAAAATAGTGTGGTTTAGAGGGAACAGCATGGGATTTGGAAGAGGAGATAAGGGGACTTGAATCTTGGTGCCACTATAGAAACCTTGAACACGTTCTAAAATCTCTCTTTGTCTGTTACTACATCTGCAAAATGAAAATAACAACACCCACTTCTTAGAGTTGTTTTAAGGAGCAAACGAATTAACATATGTGAAGTGAACATAGTTGCTGCTCCTATGTGAAGCAATTCAGAGGATCACTATGTTTTTGTTGTTGCTGTTTTGTTTTAAATTAGTAGAACAATTGTGTGTTTATAGAAATTGAGCAGATAGTACAGAGCATTCCCATATTCTCTCTCCTGCTCACACTTTTCCTTATTATTAGCTATTTTTTTAAACTAGGTAACTTATTCAAATAACATGGTAAAGTAAATACAGTCGGCCCTCCTTATACATGGGTGCCACATCCATGGACTCAACCAACCTTGGATTGAAAATATTTGAAATAAAAAGTGTCTGTACTGAGCATGTACAGACTTTTTTCTTGCCATTATTCTCTAAACAATACAGTATAACAATGATTTACATATTTTTACATTGTATTAGGTATCATAAGAAATCTAGAGATGATTTAAAGCATACAGGAGAATGTGCATAGGTTATATGCAAATGCGATGCCTTTTTATATCAGGGACTTAAGCATTCATGGATATTGGTACTGTGGGAGGTCCTAGACCTTCAGAGGCTGAGTCAAGGATCTAGAGTGCCTTCATCAGGCTAGAGACTATTCCTACCACCTCTATGGAGTGCAGTATTAACACGAACTTTCTTTTGGAGAACTTTAGATCATAACAGGTCAGCAATGAATGTTAAAGCAAAAAACATTGTGCGAGTTGTATATTAACAGCATTTGGAATTTTAAATTCACACACTTTACATCTGTTAAAAATGACAAAAGGGGCCTTTCAATTAGAGTTAAGTGGGCCACTGAGGCTGTTCATTGGTAGGTTGACTGGAGGGCCTGTGACCCTGTGGGCCCAGCTAATCTTGGGCAAAGAGGAAAGAGGTACAGAGTTTGACCTGCAAGAAGAGACTCCTCCCCACTAAGAACACAACAGTAAGCGTGAAGGGAAGCAGTGTACACTAGCAGAACAACTGTGCTAAGGGTCAGAATGAACATTCAGGGTTGTGCAGATTCTTGGGATGCATTTTGACTAGATAAGTAGCATAGCATTTATAAAGGAAATGGGCTTACAGACCCCAAACATCAGATTTCCTTCCCCAAATTTCTTCTATGGCCATATTGAACAAGGGGGCAAGCTAGACCAGAGAGCTCATCTGGACAGGAGGTGAGCATTAGAGATGCAAAAGGGTATAGATCAGCCCCATCTAAAGCAGCAGCAAAGCCAGATGATTTGCTGGGACAAGTGTGGTTTGTTCAACTAGTGTAGAGACATGCCCCAACCACTGGCACAGTTGCAACAGCACTTGGTTTCAAAACATCTCTCTTAAAAGGGAATGTTTTTCAGCTCTCTAGAGGCTTAGCAAGATCTGAAAAGATTTTGCTGCTGTTTGCTGGCTTCTACACATGCCACTTTTTACACCTTTACCTAGATAGATGGAAAGCACTGTAGCCCACTTGCTTTGCATGTTTGAACAAGCCTGCATGGATAGATGACAGTGCATGAACAGCTGGCTTCTTCAAGAGCTGATCTGCACCACCCTAACATTACCTAAACAATCATTACTTACTTTTTTTCTTCCTTCAGTGCTTAAGCAAGTTTCAGCATGTTAAAAGAGAGAGCTGTGGGAAATGGCCTAGAGCTCTGGGATAAAAATATAAATCACACCCTAGTTAGCTTAGGTTAAATTAACTTTAGATTGATATATATGGACACCTCCTTTTAGGAGCTAAGCCACCACCCCATCACCCCAGAGCTCTTAATTAGCCCTCTCCATGTGGAATATGGACCTGTAACCATTCACCAGGTTCCTAATTCTTTTTCAATTAAGAGTTCTAAGTTAAGAGACAATTAATATCTTTAACATTGTATTAATGTCTGTCAAAGCTAAAACTGTTAATCAAACAACAGCAGAGTATGAAGCATTTCTAGGTAGTGGATGGCATTTTCCTGCAGGAAGCACTCAAAATCAGAAGTTTGGCTGCACCCAGTCAGGGCAGCTGTGCATTAAAGTTGTTCTCAACATATGCTAATGCTAACTGGACCAAAGTGTTAGTTTTATAGTTCATTATGAGGCTTGTGAAAAAGAATAATTCACACTGAGTAAAGTGGAAAGAATTATCCATAACCAGGTTGCAACAATAAACTTTAAGAGCAAAGAAAGAGACATTCTGGGTGCCTCATGTCTGTGCATTGTCCTAAGGAGATGAAATAAGAGAGGTTAAAGACAAGAATGAGGAATTTTTTGCTGTTGTTCTAATCTGGTGCAGTATTTTAGGTAATTTATTTGATAAAGGCAACACTCACTTCTGAAGGTCTTCTTCCCTCAACTGAAGATTTGCAAAGGAAAATGCTGGGTGGACTTGATCACCAGCTACTCTTGAGTTTCCAGTGTGGCTGGTTAGTAATTCCTTATCCCACAAAGAATTTTAAAAATGTGCCAGCTTAAGGAGGTCAGAGGCTAAAGCATGGAGGTGTTTAATGTGCATTTTTTTCTATCTCACTAATAGACTGTTGACATGGGTCTTTTGTGAACTCCCTGGCTAACTAAATATATTCATGATCCGAGTGAAGAGGGGGAGTAGAGAATGCTCACGTTTCAGGATGTAAGGTTTTGTTTAATTTCAGTCAATCATTTGTTGATGGCAAGTACACCAGATGAAATGCATCCTCTGAAGGAGCTCTGAGATCTTTGGGTCTGTGTATATAAATCATTTGCCTGCCATGACACCACATCCAACAAACCTCGTTGACACTGACAGGGACCAGATGTGTAAGGCCATGGAAAAGACGTTAGGTTTTGACATCAGCTGACTGACAGTTACATTTGGAGGCACCAGTTGAGGGTTTGAGATTTTGTTGAGTCCAGCAGGTAGATGGAAATCTGCATTTAGTGTTATCACATGCCTTTAAACACTTAGCTGAAGATAAAACCACCTCTGTTCATGGAATGGAGCTTAAAATAACCCAGTTTCAACTCTTCAGACCTAAAAGCTTCCTTCCCTCTCTACTTGCTCTTGCTCTTGTTCCCTCTCATTCTCTCATAGCCACAGTGGAAAGAAAGTTTAAGTAAAAATACAATTTACAAAAGATTTATACATTTTTTTCTGAAATGTATTCTTCCTCATTCCCTCCCTGCCTATATCTAAATATACTAAATGTGATACATTTGTAAGCAAATAAAGTATACATTTTACATTCTCACAGGAACCAAATGACCTTAGCTTTTTTATGGGCACTAAAAAATGTTAGTATTTGCATATTATAAAATTTCCCCAAACTTTCACCTTTAAGAGCTTAATAACTTCAGGAAGTTTAAATTTCTAAATCTTGAGATTTAAAATTTTCTAATGTAGGAATAATAATTGAAGTAAATTACCATTTAGTCTAAGTTTAAGATACTTTGCACAAAACTGAGAGACTGGTCATCTGAAAAAAGAAGCAGACAATCACAAAGTAAAGCTTCAAATGATGATTACAGCTGATTTTAATGTAGTCCTTTGGATGATTAAATATATATTCTTAATCTTAATTTTAAAAACAAAGGTATAATTTTTATACATTTTCATTAACATATTGATGAAATAGTAGCAAAAGCTTTAAGAAAAAATGTTACTAATTTATCTTAAAACGATGTCTTGTTGAGTTTAATATAAAGTATTTTAAAGTAACTACTCAAAAATGACTTGTAGAATTGTATGACTTCAATTTTCAGTGACAAAATATGAATGCATTTGGACTTTTGGAAAGCCTGAATATCAGCATTTCCTTTAGATTGTATAAAAGCAATTATAAAGTGACAGAAGGAAAAACGTTCATGCTAGTTAGCTATGAAGGGAATTATTGGCTTTTGTTCATATTGGAACCCCTTTAATGTTTTAAGAGTGGGTTAATATTGATCTGGCATTCATTCTGCTATGCATCTGTCACACACACACATACACACACACACACACACACTCACACTCCTTCAGTTTGCATTTTTGCCTACAGGCTGCTGAGAGCTGATTATTCTTCTAATCAAAACCGTCACAATCAGGGGAGACAATTAGTCAGGTTAGGCCTCTGCTGATTTTGCTTGTGGCCCTTAGCATCAGATGGCCTTGAGCACTCTTGAATCATATCAACAAGTATTTCAATAATACCTCCTCCGCTCCACCTGCTGCTGCTAAGGTCTTCCTTTCATCTCTGGCATTGCTTGAATTTGTGATTTCTCATGTATTTTAAATTGAGACCACAAGGTATAGAAATGTTCAAAAGTAGAAACTTGGCAGACCTCATTGCTAGTGCCACTTAAAAATCACCTAGTCAACTCCAAAAATCATGAAATCAATTACCTATAAATAGGTTTCTATTTGTTTCTGTACTTATGCACTTGTAGAACTCAATTTATAGAGTTTAATTCCCATGTAAAATGAATATACATAGAGTGCATAAGAAAGAGTCCCATATATAATAGGCTCAGCATATTTTAAGCTATACTTAAATCAGAATGACATACATAAGACCCAGTTGGTAATAATACATTTTTATATTTTTCAGATGAAATAAATTTTGTTCTGAATATAAGATTTATTTATTATATTATTCTGGTGGTCATTGTCTGACTTTACCAACTATAGGAAGTTTTTAAATAAAAAAGCAATGATTTTTATCAATTCTTTTAATATCTAATATGTCTAAATAGCCTTCACATCTTTCTATCTGAACATTCTGTCAGTTTTAGAACTCCATCTAGAATGTGACTATGTTCTAGGGTTTTGTAATAAAATATATGTTTATGTATTTCAATATCCAGTTAAATAGTGTATTGTTATTGAGAAGTAAAGTGTCTTTAGAAAGAAGCCAGAAGATCAAATAGAGATTTATTTAAAACAATGCAGGGCTTATTATTCTTATATGGATACAACATTCATATAAGCTTTTTTAAAAAGAAGAAAGAAAGAAATCAGGCCAGGCAAGCTTTTCTTTTCACTTATTTGAAGGATTAAGGTGTTTTACTGAAATATTTTGTGTTTTGGAGTTAAGCCTTTCTGTGTATGCATGTCTGTACATATATGAGTTTTCCTAGGTATGTAATGTAATAACCAGAAGCTCAAGTAGAAAATGACTCTTTAAAGGTTTAAAACATAAGATATAATAATTTGTTGTATACAAGAGTTTTCAAAAATTTTTCTGAGACAGGGTCTCATTCTGAGCCCAGGCTGGAGTAAGTACAGTGGCTCAATCACGATTCACTGCAGCCTTGACCTCCTGGGCTCAAGCAGTCCTCCCACCTCAGCCCTTCCAAGTAGCTGGGACTACAGATACATACCACCACCCCCGGCTAATTTTTTAACTTTTTTTTTTGAGATGGGGTTTCACTGTATTGCTCAGGTTGGTCTCAAACTTCGGGGCTCAAGTGATCCTCTAGTCTCAGCCTCCCGAAGTGCTGAGATTACAGGCGTGAGCCATTGTGCCCAGCCTATAAAGAGATTTTTCTTTCATCATAGTGCTGACTATTAAGTGAAAATAGGCTTGAATTTCTGTAAATTAATGTCAGCTGTATAAGTCTGACTTTTTTTTTCTAAAAGAAAAAAAACGGGATACTTGTGCGGAACGTACAGGTTTGTCACATAGGTATACGTGTGCCATGGTGGTTTGCTGCACCTATTGACCCGTCCTCTAAGTTCCCTCCCCTCACCCCCAACCCCGGTAAAAGGCCCTGGTGTGTGTTGTTCCCCTCCCTGTGTCCATGTGTTCTCAATGTTCAGCTCCTACTTATGAGTGAGAATATGTGCTGTTTAGTTTTCTGTTCCTGTGTTAGTTTGCTGAGGATAATGGCTTCCAGCTTTATCAAGGACACGATCTCATTCCTTTTTATGGCTGCATAGTATTCCTTGGTATATACGTACCACATTTTCTTTATCCTGTCTATCATTGATGGACCTTTGAGTTGGTTCCATGTCTTTGCTATTGTAAATAGTACTACAATAAACATACGTGTACATGTGTCTTTATAGTAGAATGATTTATATCCCTTTGGGTATATACCCAGTAATGGGATTGCTGGGTCAAATGGTATTTCTGGTTCCAGGTCCTTGAGGAATCGCCATACTGTCTTCCACAATGGTTGAACTAAGTTACCCTCCTACCAACAGTGGAAAAGCCTTCCTGTTTCTCCACAGCCTCTCCAGTACCTATTGTTTCCTGATAAGTCTGACATTTCTTAAGTGGGTCCAGGCTTGTTTAATTTATATGCTTTTTTCTATGCATTTGTTCACTCATTCATTTAGGTTTTCACTTATTCATTCATTCATTCATTCATCTATTCACCATCGTTTTCTCTTTATAGATTATCTGTCTATCTATCTAAATGTATACTGAGATTATTTATTCTCTGCCTCCAAAACAATGAAGTAGTTGATATCTCCAAGTATATTTTTAAAGGACTTTTTTCATTTTGTAAAATTTAGAAATACTGATTGAGTCTATTTGTGGCTCTTAGGAAAAAATTTTTTATTCTAATTTTTGCAGTTAATGACTTGAACAGTCTTGCTTTTTATTTATTTATTTTTGCTTTACACATATGCATAGACAGCTAATACAAACCAACGTAGTTGATTTATCCAGTTGCTCTATGGGCAATTAAACCAAGGGTATTATCTCAGCAGGAATAAGTGGGCAAATTACACATGTGAAGTAAATGGATCTTTGAAGCTTGAGTACATAGGTATTACTGTACAAGAAGCTACGCTGAGATTCCTGTGGAGATCAAAGGGGATTTATTGATGAATATCAGAGAATAGGGAAGTGATGTCATAAACTTTTAATAGTCTAATAAACTATATTTAACGTTTTCCATCTTGGTAAGACCTCCAGCTTTTATGCTATAGAATAGTGTGGTCCTCTAGACATTGCAAAGAAAGCTGTCTGACTTCCCAAGGGATTAACCTTCAGGATCAAATGCCAAGACCACGTAGCTCTCAGTTTCTTGCAGTTGTCTAAAGACGATGAAAAGCCTCCAGAATCATTGCCTTTGTTCTCTTAAGAAATGGGATAAATGATAAAGCACTGTGACTTTTTAATATTACATTTGAATTGCCACACATAAGCATAACTCTCATATCCTCATTGGTTTGAGTGGTTTCTGACTGACCTCAACAATACCATATAATTTTAGAATTCTAAACACCCCCAGCGTCTCTTACAAAACAGAGTCTGGTTCATGTGAAATAATGGATACTTTGTTGGCGTATTTAGTGGATGAACCACATACATCCAGTGCCCTGGCTTTCACCCTTATCCCTCTAATTGCTCAGTGTTTCATGCTTTTATCAATTATAGACAAAATTTTTGGAGCAAAAGTAGAAAAAACATTGGAGTTACTGAGCAATACTTTGAGGCATTAGGCGCTCTTGAATGTTATGTGTGAATTAGTGCTTTGCACATGCTTAAGGACACTAGGAGGAGAAAATATTAGTCGACAAAACTAATTTAGAAAGAAGGGAAGAGAGGGAGCATGGCAGGAGGCATTTCACAATTCCAGTTCTGTGGCTTTACTTAAATCTTGTCACAATGAGGCTGATAGCACCAGTTTTCAAGGAAGTGAAGATTTTGCTGTCATCTAGAGGAGCAAAAAAACTTTGCCTTTGGAATCCTAAACAAACACGTGGAGGTCCCAGGGTGCTTAAAAAGCCATTTTGTTTCAGTGAATCAAAATGACCAAAAAATTTTTGTGTGGCATATCCCGTTCCCTCTCTCACAACTCCCCTCCTTCCTTCTCATGTGGAAGTCGAGGCATATAAATATTTCACGGCTTTCTGCCGTCGTTAATACAAATTTTTTGGCAAAAATAACCCATCGTTTGCAAGGAGATGATTTGCTTCCCCTTTGAGATGTGCAAGTCTATCTGCCATGCAAAACAACAAAAACATTTATGTCAGCATCTCCTTCATCAGAACCAAAAGGGAAAGTTAGAGAAACAAAAGAAATCACCTCCGTCTGCTTAACATATTGTCAACAATTTCAGACCTGGACAAAATCTTAAATTTTCCCTGCACTTAAGGCATCTCATTACCCTTCAAAAGACTTTGGAAGAGGAAAAGTTTACTTCTCCAGAGACAGTAATGCAGATGTTTTCTTTTCTATCATTTTTAGTAGGAAGGAGCAGGTGTAAAACAATTTTGATTAAGTGTACGTTATTTATTTATATTCCTCTGTCAGGAATGTTGGAACTTAGAGAGCTTCTTAAGGACTTTGGATGTGACAATACTCCATGAAACAGTGCAGAAAATACTTGGGGAAAATTATTAAATGGTGACCTCACTGGTTTTTCTCATCATTATACTTGTCATTTCCTGTTGTGCTGCTTTGGCTGTTGGAAGGGTTCAGAGCAGGTGTAGTTGGGGGGGCGGGGAGGGATGATGTGATAAGCTACATCTTCTCTTGTAGCTTTTCATCGATGGTGACATTTCTATTAGTTGTCATCACCTAAAGTGTCCCTAGTTCTGCCACTTACCATCAGGGAAGAGTAGAATCCTTATTTTTTTTTTTTTATGGTTTTAGCCATATTTTTGGCTTCCACCCTTCCATACCAGTCACTAGACAATCATTATGACCTCCTTGTGCCTCTAGGCGTTGGACACTCTGCCAGCTTTAGCCATTTGGTTATAGCTGCTCTTCACTTGTTGAAATTGATGTGATGAATGGAAATCCAGGAGCAGAATTAGCCGTAGTCTCAGTGTTCCACTAAATCGTATCATTTGGCTTCTGAAATAATTCAGTCACCAAATATGTGGTGACTATTTTCTGCATGTTCCATGTGTGAAACTGAAAGTGTTATAGAACCTTTAGGACACCTTATTTTTCATTTATTTATTTAAAAACTGAGGTATAGGGGAAGTATTTAAACCCAGGTCTTTAACCTCACATGCACTACTCTTTCAGACCTTCACCCCCACTCCAACCCACCCCACATTGCCCTTCATGGTGATATGTAAGAGCTGCAAAATAATGAACAAATGTTGGGGATTATTTTTGTTTTTATTTTATTTTATTTATTTATTTATTTATTTATTTATTTATTTATTTATTGTGAGACAGAGTTTCACACTGTCACCCAGGCTGGAGTGCAGTGGCATGATCTCGTCTCACTGCAACCTCCATCTCCCGGGTTCAAGCAATTCTCCTGCCTCAGCCTCTCAAGTAGCTGGGATTACAGGCGCACACCACCACATGCAGCTAATTTTTTGTATTTTTAGTAGAGATGGGGTTTCATCATGTTGGCCAGGCTGGTCTCGAACTCCTGATCTCGTGATCCGCCCGCCTCAGCCTTCCAAAGTGCTGGGATTACGGGTGTGAGCCACTGCGCCCAGCCCTGGGGATTATTTTTAACCTTCCGATGTTCCTCCCTCTGTGTAACTTTTCTCTTGTCCATCTCCTTTTCCTTAAGCCCACAAATGACCTACTTTAGGCTCTTGTCATGTCTATGCAGTCATAAGAAGCTGAAGTGAAGCCTTTATGTGTATTATTTTGTAGCTTTCCACAGTGCCAGTATCTAGCATTCAATAGGGCCTCTACAAATAGTCGTTTAATGGAAGAATAAGTGAATAGTTTACTGGCAGGTGCCAGGGAGTAAGGAATTCTCAGCTGAAGCTGGCAAGGTCTGTGTGTTTGTTTGCCTGGTCTAATGCAGTAGACTCCTTAATGATCTTACTACTTCGAGCTTTCTCTCCATCCAGTCTGTCTTCTCCAGGACTAACAGAGTGATCACTTTAACATACAAATCCAATCATGTTCTGCACCTTCTTAAAAATTTTCCCTTGTTCTTGGCTGGGCGCAGTGGCTCATGCCTATAATCCCAGCACTTTGGGAGGCTGAGGTGGGTGGATCATGAGGTTAGGAGTCAAAAATTAGCCCGGCGTGGTGGCAGGCACCTGTAATCCCAGCTACTCGGGAGGCTGAGGCAGAGAATCGCTTGAACCCGGGAGGCGGAAGTTGCAGTGAGCTGAGATTGTGCCACTGCACTCCAGCCTGGGCAACAGAACCAGACTCCATCTCAGAGGGGGGAAATAAAAAGAAAAAAAAAAATCCCTTGTTCTTAATTGCCTGTCAAACTCCTTTTTCAAAATAAGGTTCTAACCTCCTTTGGTGGTCTCATTTGCTGTCAACACTGTCCTTGCTTTCACATTTCTTTGGGTCTGTACATTTTGCCTTGCCTGAGAAGCCCCCCTCCCCTTCGTCCATCCTGCAAGTGCTGGCTCTTCTGTATGGTCTTTCTGAACTCTTTTGAAGTCTTTTGCTGTTTACTATTTTCTACAGCATTTGGTAGACGTTTCTCTTACATTTATAGCACTTTATTGGAGTGATGTATTTGGATGACTGCCTTCCCCACTAGACTGTCAGTTTCTCCAGGGCAGGACTATGTCTTGGTTCATTTCTGTTTCTCCACCTTTAAGTACAAAGCCTGAGCCACAGGAGGCTATCAATATACTTGTCTTGAATGAATTACTTAATTAACAAGGGAGCCAGGACATAAATATGTGAAAAGTCAATCAAATTAGGAAAGGTTGGAGGGTCAGTCGAATATCATATTGCTCAAATGCGTAATTTTAAAGTTTAAGTTAAAACAGGCCTTCCTGTAGAGAAACATCATTTAGTCTAATGCAGTGTGAAGACACTTAGTCTTTTGAGCTGACCTCAGCAGAATTGCAAAGTCTCAGTGTTCCTCTGTTGTCACCCTGTACCTCTGTCATTCAGTCTGATTCCCCTTTCCTGAGGCCCCTTTCTCATAAAAACTTACCCACTGTGTTCACCAGTCTCTCAGGGGTCTTAACTCTGCTGGGTGACAGGTATTAATGGGTCAGAGAGATGAAAATATGTTAATGCGTTAGCTGGCAAGTAAGATTTTCCTCCCAAGCAAAGTAACATTTTACACATATTTAAGGATTGACATTCACTTTTGGGAAGGCAGTTTTGTTTAAAGATGGCCTTTGTGTCCCAGAATTACCTCACAGAGGCAACTGCCCACCCTTCCTTTGTGTATTTATATATCCTGCATGCTTCCAGAAGGTGACTGAGATTTCTTTGTGAGTGCATAGACAGTCCCCTTGAGAAAGTCAGTGTCTTCTTCCCCATTTTCTGAAGTTTTTATTTTTATTTTTTTAAGTTTTTTATTTCTAAAGTTTTTTGTCACCCAGGCTGGAGTGCAGTGGCGTGATCTTGGCTCACTGCAACCTCTGCCTCCTGGGTTCAAGCGATTCTCCTGCCTCAGCCTCCTGAGTAGCTGGGACTACAGGCGCCCGCCACCATGCCCAGCTAATTTTTTGTATTTTTAGTAGAGACAGGGATTCACCGTGTTAGCCAGGATGGTCTGGTCTCGATCTCCTGATCTCGTGATCTGCCTGCCTCAGCCTCCCAAAGTGCTGGGATTACAGGTGTAAGCCACCAGGTCCTGCCTTTCTAAAGTTTTAGAAATCACATTTCCTTTCTTCATAAACAAAAATTACACTCTACCTACTAAAGATATGTAATAATGACTGTTGAAATTTTTATTTTGCAGGATCTTTGAGATTCTCAGGATGCTTTTCAAATAATTAAAATTCATTTTAGTGGTAAAAATAATACCCTAAAAGTTCCATAAATAGTATAATTGAATATATTCCTCTTACTTTGTTTTAATACATACTGAGCACTTAATCATTTGTCAGGCACTGTACAAAGCACTGTACTTTTAGTCATCATTTATTTGTTCATTTAGTTTATACATTTAATCCTAACATGTCCTAGGAGTGAGGTGTTATGTTCTGATGTTACAGGTGAGGAACCTGAGATGTGGAGAGGTCATGGAATGTGCCAAGATTACACAGTTAGTAGCAGCAGAGCCCAGATTCGAAGATAGGCAGACAACTGTGTATTCCTTTCTCTTAACCTCTTTCCTGAACTGTCTGCCACAACCAATAAAATAGTTGTTTATTCTCAGTTATCAGATGGATGTCTATAAAGTCTGAAAAATGAAGATAAAGTTGAAACATCTTTAATCAACTCTGATTTACTCGATAACTACCAGACATTAACAAACTTTATGTACCATATGTGCTGAAAAAGCCAGGTGCCACAAGAAGGATTAGAGGTGAAATTTTCTTTCCATTTTGATTTCCACTTTTTATTAGTGACACCTCCCAAGTGGTTCAGAGGACGCCTATTAGTGTTCGTGGACATCTTGTGCTATTTGCAGCCATCCTTGGAGAGGTCTGGGTGGCTGAACTCCACACCTGCTAGGTGTCCCTCTGCCTCTGTCGAACATCCCTGCCTGAACAACTCTAGCATCCTCAATAAGCTGAGAAGCCTCCCTTTTCGTGACTTGTGAGCATCTTGCGATTTCTCCATTGTCAAGTCTCTGAGGCCATAAATCACTTGGAGGATGAGAACAGATCAGATTCTCACTGGACTTTTACATTTTCCCTCTTCCTTTTTGGACATAGTGAAGTGAAAACCAGAAGGAATAGTTATAAACCCTTCAATAGAGCACATATGTGCTCTGTACAAAGTGCATTAAAATACTCTTTGGGGTTTAAAGTTATATCTCAAATGGCAATCTTTGAGGCCAGGTGTGGTGGCTCACACCTGTAATCCCAGCACTTTGGGAGGCCCAGCCAGGCAGATCACTTGTGGTCAGGAGTTCAAGACCAGCCTGACCAACATGGCAAAACCCTGTATCTACTAAAAATATAAAAATTAGCCGAGTGTGACGGTGGATGCCTGTAATCCAAGCTACTCGGGAGGCTGAGGCACAAAAATCACTTGAACTCAGGAGGTGGAGGTTGCAGTGAGCCGAAATCACACCACTGCACTGCAGCCTGGTTGACAGAGTGAGACTCTATCTCCAAAAAACTTTTTTTAAATGGCAATCTTTATACTCTTGTCCTATGATTATCAGCTTTTATGTCACTTAATATTAAATAAGTTATTTTATCATTATTCCTGGAACTAAAATCAGATTTTGACCCCATAAACGGTAAGCATTTAAACTAATTAATATGTATATATATTCCCAATGAAGCAGGAAATCAAGCATTCTTTGAGTCTGGGAGCAAATTCATAGGAAACCATGTCTGAAAATTATTCTCCTAGGGCTGTGTCCTTTTGCCAGTTTTCATAGTAAAGAAAATTTTACTTCTAAGTTTGACTTACACAAATGGATTTGGAAAAGGAGGGCCATTCCTGTCCTACATGTAGCAGCTGTGCTTACTGGTTTTATAAACTGTAATCTCAAATTGCGCTTCTATTTTAATTTCGGCATGCCTGAAGCACAAGATTCTTTTCAAATGTTCAGCCATGACTATTTAAAATTGAAAAGAGAAGTTCAACCATTAAGTATTCTCATCTTCTCTGAGATTTTCTTTCTGATGCAATGATGTGAAATACTTTTTCATGTTGCCCATAATTTCTACTTACACTGTCTTGCTTATGCAAACTTTTAAATAGGCTATAGATGCAAGAGCATGTAAAAATCTGTACAAATTTTGTCTGCCTTTGCATTATTGTTAAGTCAGCGAGGATTCTAATGGAGTACAGGGGATGAGACAACAAGAATCCAATCAATAGATGCAAAAGGCAAATGAACTTGCATAAATTAGCACTCTAATAGGAAAAGATAAATGCATGTTCTCTTTCATCTTTCAAGCAATACACACTATTGAAAGAGGTCTAACAGATATCACCCTGATTTATCTTTAGCTTTTTTCAGGGGTGCAGAAATGAGAAAATGCAAGTATATTGAGCATTGCGGAAACTGTTCTGAACCACTTACATCAGATCAGTGCATCAAATATAGTATGTAGCACTCAGCATGCTGTGTCCACATGGATGATGTTATCATCCACGTTCCTCGTAGATAATGTGAATACTCACCAAAGATCTCTAGAAGAATAAGGATTGTTCCATTACCAGAGTTTGTCTTGGAGGACCTAGTCTCTGATCTTGACATTCAGGCATTTCAAGTGTACTTTACATTTACACCATATCTTTTTGAAATTTATTTTATTACATTTTACTTTAAGTTCTGGGATACATGTGCTGAACGTGCAGGTTTGTTACATACGTATACATGTGCCATGGTAGTTTGCTGCACCTATCAACCTGATATCTAGGTTTTAAGCACTGCATGCATTAGGTACTTTTCCTAATGCTCTCCCTCCCCTTTTCACCCAACCCCCGACAGTCCCCAGTGTGTAGTGTTCCCCTCCCTGTGTCCATGTGTTCTCATTGTTCAATTCCCACTTATGAGTAAGAACATGTGGCATTTACACCATATCTACTGCAGAAATGGCAAGAAGAATTTTTCAGATGTTGAAAGTTTAAGCGCCTAGAAAAAGGGCAGTCACAGATCATCTGCCACTACAGCACTGTACAGTAGTTTCATTAACTGTCTCCAGTTCAACACAAGAAATGCTTGGGGAATGATACTCTGTTCCCCCTTGCTCTAATTATGCTGTTCTTGAGGGGGTATAGTGGGTCTGGCATGCATGTCAGAGGACAGCAAGTGCCTGGCACTGCAGCTTATAGTCATCATTTAATTAGCAACACCCAAGAAATTTCTCTTTTGCCTGTTCTTTCCAACTCTTTGTTTACTGGTTCTATCTATGGAAAAGGAGCTGGGTATATAAGGAACTGCCAAGTCATCTTCATTGCCTTTACTAAAAGGCAGAAACCTTAGCTATGGATTTGCCATCTTATTTGGGCAGCCTCCTGCCCAGCACAGCATCCTAATCATTTGTGTTGCTGGTCGATTTAATATAGGCCAATAAGCAATGCCCCTAATGGTTTCATAATGGTACTTTTCCAAGAGCTCATCTACAGACAGGGAGAAACCTGTACCCCAGGGAAAATTTGGATATCTTCTTCCATGATATGAAGAGAATACTCTGGTTTGAGGTAGGTACTTTTTAAGACATATTTATAATTCACAGGGTTTTTTTTTTTTTTTTTTTTTTTTAGTACCTGGGGAACTTTCGCTCCTCGGGAAGTTTTCTAGAAATTCTGTCTTGGGGGGAAATACCATCTGTATTGTTGGAAGAGAAAGAAGAAGTAATTTGTCAGCGTTGTTTTGATCCCAATCCAGAAAACCAAAAAGAGAAAAAAAAAAGTCTTCTGAGTATCAGCATTTCTTCTTTTTCTTTGCTTATTTTAAAAATAGAGCTTTCCTTAGCTCGCTTCCATTATGGTTAACTGTAATCAGTACTTTATGGTTATATTATATAGCTTTGTTTCATTAGGGCAATAAAATGATATTGAACAATAGCAATATAATGCAGGGAAACAGTTTGTAATTCAGCTGGAAATTGCTAATGCAATAGACAGTTGATAATACAATCAGCTCAACTTTCCTAGGAAAACATAAGCTACATTTTCTATACATTTCTCTCAAATCTTCTTACAGGGCAGGGTTGAGGGGATTGCTTTGAACTACACTGGAAAGCTGGATGCCCTTGAAAAGAGAATTTCTTTATGTACTGAATTTTGAATGACATCTATAGGTCCTGGGAAAGAACTACTATTTTAGAATGAAATTCTCCCCTGGAGATTTTCAAAAAAAGAAACTAGGTAGTTAAGAGTTCTAAAAGGAAACAGCTGGATAAGATGATGGCTCAAACTTTATTTTACTAGTATATCTCTCTATAGTCTTGATTCCGAAGTAGGGTTCTTGTGAAATTATTAAGACTAAGTATCAATGGGAAAAAAAAAGGCCATCTCTTTGCAAGCTGATGTCATGCATGCTGTGTATATTTATATAATTACTGTAGGTTAAGACTAGTGAACATCAGTAGTGTCTAGGATACAAAGCCAGGTTATTGGTCTAGAATACAAAGGCAAATAACCTGGTGTTTTCAAGGAGTGGTGAGTTAGGATTTTGTTGCTCTCAACTCTAGTAAGATGGTTGTAGCTGTTGTTGAGTCAAAACCTTTATCAAAAGTTTTATGTAGGAGGATTTCTTAGATTCGAAGAAAATCAGGAGTGATATGTCTAATTTTGAGTTGTCCAGTAAGTTTTTTCATAATTAGAATCAACACAATTTTCCACATGTGATACAAATTTTTAAATGTCCTAATTGTCAAAGAAATGCAGTATTTCCTGTTTCCATATACTTGGAAACATCTCTGACATCTTTAGAGATATTAGTTATATTCAGAAGGCACCACCCTTATTTAAAAAATAAACTAAATTTAATGTTCTACCAGAAAGTGCTATGCATATGTAAGTATATTTCTTCAGCTTTTATGCCAGAAATTCATATTTAAACTAAAACAGAAAAACAATAGGCACCTCCCACAGCTCCTAATTTTCATTTCCTCTAGTGAGTTGGAATAATTTGTAACTTCTTAGGATTCAGAACTAAACTGAAGTATATGTAAGCTTCAGATCATGTCCCAGTTATATGGTGGGAAATGCAATTCCAGCACAGCTTCACTGCCTACACAAGGAAGGAAAAGGTGTTTCTGCAGATAGGACGCTATCCTTCCTTGCTCCAGCCCTGAATATTAGTGCATGCTTCAGGGCAGGTTTAACAGCACCAAGAGTGGGTATACTCTTTATATTAGCCTGGTAGATTGTGCTTCTAATCTGCTCACCTGGCCAGCACATGTCATGTTATTTTCCCTAATCACGTTTATAGAACCATAGTAACCAGTACTTTCAGTGACCATGACTTAGGGTTTTTAATTAATGACTGGATTTAAAAACATCCTTGAGTTGGTTTTGGCTGTTGTGAATCTTTCTCAGATACAGAGTGTCCTGAGCCAGAAATCTGAGATATACCAAGGTGAAATCCCTGTTTACCCTATGCCTTTACTTCTCAGAGAGAGGGTTGAAAGGAATACTTTATATTTGTAGAACTGAAAAAAAAAAAAAATCCAAGTTTTTTTTTTAGCATGCAAAATGGGGTATGATTTTGATAAATATTTGGCATGTACAAGGTAGATACCCAGATGTTGAATTAAAACATCAACAAGTAAAATTATCCTATTCTGTAAATAAATCAATTGACGTGCTATATTAGAGTAACATTTACCATCACATAGCATACAGATTCTGTGCTTAGTCCCAGGCTCATTTAATATCTCCCATAGGTTTTGTAAATCCTGTGTTGTTTTTTGACCCAGCTCATCAACACTGAGTTTGTGACCAAAAACAGCTCACATTCTCTCTTTCTGTCTGCCTTGAACAGTGTGAGCAGCAATAAAATGTTAATGTGTACGTCGTGAAACTTTGGGATCTGGGATTGCACTACTGAGTACTGAAGAAAGTAAGTTGTGACCCTGTCTTCTCAAAGCTGACAGTGCTGAGTTTTCATGGGTATGGAGTGCCCATTATCATCTGCTTATTTCATCGTCTTTGTGTCTTGACATTAACCTTGCCTCAGAAACCTTGCAGTCCACACAAGTGGCTCATTCAGAGCTTCTGGCAATACCAAAAATTCTGAAAGTTCAATAGGAAGATCATGTGCACTCCCTTTGAACTATAGTTCTTTTCCAAGGTAGACATTTTGAAAGTAGAGTTTATTAAGATGATAGGTGGAAAAAGAAAAACAACTATATTCTCTGTCATTGAGATAGACAAGCATTTAAGTAGGTAGAAATATTGTAGTACTTGAGAATCCTCTAAAGTGCTTAGATTTATTTCTGAGAAATAAATGGTGAATTGTTTATTTCTTTCTCCCGCTTATGTTTCCTTGGGATAGAGCAATTAGTTTCTCATTTTTTATGATTGCATTTTTCTTGCATATATCTTTCTGTGGTCCAGGCTATAAAAGTAAATAGAGGATCCAGCTGTATGAATGGATATCCTTTTAATGAGTGTGGGGAGGAAATAATAATACTAAGTAGTGCAAAACCATTTTTATGTGATGAACTGAAGTACCTTTGTTCCCCAGTCTAAACCACAGGCCACCAATAAATGTGTGCATGAAATGACAGTTTCATGTATTCTGGTGTTAACAAAGTACCTCGTGGTTTCTTTTGCCCCTAGAATGCACTTAATACAATTGTTGAAGGGTGGTGGCATATTCTGTTTTAATTTCCAGGGTCAAGGAAAGGTAAAATGGAATATGTGACTTTTCTGTAACACCCTTCATTCTATCTCTGGGCAAAAGCCTTTGCTAAAACAGCGAGATAACACAGTTGCCAGGTGATAATACAGTCGTTTTTGTAGTGCCATGAGTTAATTTCAGAGTTGAAACTATGCTTACTTAGAAAAATAGTGTGCCTTCTCGCCTCAGAGCAGCCATTTGCTCAGAGCAGCAAGTAGATGCTGAGTCTCTCCCATGTGCAGGGTATCATGAGAAGTGCTGGTAGTGGCATAAGTCTGCCATCTTCCTTCCCCCTTGCTCCCTTCCTTTCTGGCCATTTTTACTTAGCTGTTCTTTATTGATGTTTATATACATCTGAAGTCACTGAGAGCAATGTAATTCAAAACCACCCTATCCCCCACTGTATCCCTAATTTAATGTTAAACTGCTCATATTAGTCTGCTCAGACTTCCATAACAAACTACCATAGACCCTGTGGCTTAAACAACAGAGATTTATTTTCTCACAGTTTTGGAGGCTAGAAGTCCCAGACCAAGGTCTAGCAGAAGTTGATTTCCGGTGGGGGGCTCTCTTGGGGCAGCCATCTTCTCCCTGAGTCCTCACATGGCAGAAGGAGAATGAGCTCTCTGCTATTCATATAAGGACACTAATCCTGTTGGATTAGGGCCCCACCCTTGTGACTTCATTTAACCTTAATTACTTCCAAAAAAGACCCTGTCTCCAAATGCAATCACATTGTGGGTTGGGGCTTAAACATGAATTGGAGTGGGAGAGACAGACATTCAGTCTGTAACACTGCTAAAATAATAAGAGAAAAAAAATCCTAAAATAGAGAGCCATACCATGACATAAATGTAGCAGTTACTAAACTTTTAACCTGATGCTCTATGCTTCCTCCACCTCACAGTGGCTCATGCTAACACATTCTGATGATGGTTGCAGGGAGGACCTCAAAAGTTCCAGGATAAAGCCAAGTGAAGAATATAAAATACCTGTTTGCCTTCCCACCTTCCAACAGTGGCCTGGAGCAGTTAGTACAGGGATGGAAGGAGAGATTTCTAACCCCCAGATATGCCAGGGATTCTGGCCTTGTAAAGCCCAAGGACAATGCATTGGTTCTAGTCTTTCTCTCCAAAGATCCGAATCTATTTGGTAGCTTTGTGGTGACTCTGGTGGGAGCCTGAGAACGCTGGTTTCCTCTCCTGATCCCAGCTTGAAGAACAGAGACTGGATGTCAGGTAGGTGGAGAACAGTCTGTATTCCCCATGACTCCTGCTAACTGGAGCAAACCCCTGGACATATCTCAGTCTAGCTGAGGCCTGACCTGAGCAGGAGGGAGCCCCAAAACCAAAGGAGTCTCTGGATTTCCAGCTCATGGTTGCTGGGACACAACTGAGAGCAAAACAGTGGTTGGCAGGGGCTGAAAAGGGGTCTTGGATGTTTCTGCCAATGTGATAGGCGATTGCAGGATGTTTGTGAAGCAGCCTGATGAACCCTCTCAAATAGAGGCACCTAATGCTGTTCAGCTGTGTAATTGGGATGGCAATGGGCCAATGAGAGGCAGAAGTTTGTGCTTAACCTTTTGTGAGTCTTGTTTCAGGAGGCTGTGTGGGGGTAGGGGGTAGAAGCATTACAAATAATAAGCTTCTCCGCCTGATTTGTAATGAATTAGTAATAAATGTCCTAGCACTGTACAAAAGTCTGACGATTACAGAGCAGCTTTGGCTAAGTGCACGGGACCACATCTTATTTTGATCAGCTGTAGCATAGCAAAGACGTGTAATTATCATAATCTAACAATTAGCCTGGCATCACTTTCCAGTGTTTAATTACCCCGATAAATGGTAATTGAATAGAGGACTTAATGACAAGAGAGAAACTTTCATTCTGCCTTAGGTGCTTAAGTTGTCTACTTGGTTAGGCATAATTTTCTAGCATTGCTTGAACAACAGTCCTGGTTATCATTTTCCTTTTTTGCAGCCTGCCATTATTTTGTTTCCTGATCTTGACCTTTGTTTATAATATTTAGCTTCTCTCAAAATTTTATACTGGGACCCAGAACACAGGAAGAGATTATTGGATGCTTTACACAGTTCTTCTGTTTTTAAGCATCACTTCTCATACCCTTCAGCTACATTCCTCTTCATCGAACATCTATGTAGTCGCTACTATGTGCAAACATGGTGCTAAGTGTTGGGGATACAGAGACAAGTAAACACCATTACTATTTTCAAGGAGATCTATACGTAAAAAATAAATCTATATAAAACTAGTATAGTAATAATTACAGCAATTTGCATTCAGCAAAGTCCCAGTTTTCTTCTAAATCTATACATTGACTTTGGATGAATTCAGTACTTTTTATGACTACGATCACCACCTCGTTTCTAATGACTGCAGAGCTCTTTTCTTTGTATTAGCCTCATTCCCAGTCCCAGATTTGTATCCAACTGCTCACAAGGTCCTAACTGGCCAAATAGAAGTAATTACCTTGCACGTGCCAATTTCCATAGAAACAGCCACAATTTCTGCTTTATTGTCTACAGTTTTGTATGAAAACATTATTATTATTATCATGCCCTAGCATTACCAAATATATGCTTCCCCTTGTCTGATGAAGATAAAACATAAAAGAAAGCCATAAAACCCATGTATTTTCTTTCTTCCAATTTATTTCTTGTTTGTTTAATAAATTAACAGATTAATTATCAGATATCTCAATTTTTTAAAAGTGTGGGCTAAATTTCAGATTTAGATTGTAATGATTCCAGTAAGTTATCATCAACCCATAATACAAACATTTAGTTCACTCTTTGCACACCAAGTACTTAAGAACTATTAAATCACTCTTTTCCAAAAATCTCTCCTTGAGTTGGTCAATAAAAAGGAGATTTACTTATTAACCCTTTAGTTATTATTATTATTTTTGAAACTGTGAATAGCCTGAAATTCTGCTGGGTAACTCTCCTCTCTTTTGTATCTAGAAGATACAAAAGGGCTACATGGAAGTAAGCAGTTTGACAGGTGGCTTATTTGTTTGATTGACGCCCACATCCCCTGATCAGAGTCAGTTTGTTTAATCCTGTTCTCCTTGGACAGTGGCTAGATAGCCTATCTGATGGTTGCCTGTGTCTCCTTTTGCTGGGTCTGTGTGTATGTGGCAGGTGCTCTGCTTCATGTGCTTGAAGTTGGGGCTGGGGGGTGTAAAACTCTACTGGCTTAAGACCTGAAGTACAGCTTTGATAGGAAGCTCCTGGCCAGCAGGAGTAGAGGAAAAGCGTGTTTTGCATTGTGGGAGTGACGTCTGTTAGGACTATACTGATTGCCAGACATTAACTATTTCTTTAAAATCTCCTTTTGAAAGCCATTTGAAGTGATCTGTGATGTGTTAGGTCTTTAGAACTCTGCCTGCTTAATTCTTTGGCTGACTTGGCCCTGTTGACGTTGACACACTCTTACTCCATGCCCGAGGCCTCTTTGGGGGCTTAGAAGCAATTAGACTGTCACCCAAAGCTTCCAGCCCCTTCCTGAGGGAAAGTCTTGTTTAGGCTCTGCCAATTTAATGCTTTCTTTCCTTTGAAACTCCTCCATCAAGCTAATAAAACAAACTCCAAATGAGTTACAACACTGGAGGAGAGAACATTATGTGGGCCTGGGCCTTTTATATGAAACAGGTGCAATTTCTGGGAGATAGCAGTTTTAAAAAGTCATTCAGACTGACATGACTTGTAGTAGAAAAGCAACAGGCAAAAGCTATGTGAATTTTATCTATCTATCTGATATGAGTAATTAGTATTGTGGGATTTTTAAATGTTTTGCTTTTAAAGTGCACACACATACATACAAGAAAAAAAGTGACAGGGTAGTATAATAAACTGCTGATGAATTCTAAATATTTGGCCAAGAAAATGATGTCTTCTTATCATCATCAACAGTTACTGAACTTAAGGTAAAACTCTTATGCTGCAGAATTTTTAATTATCAAAACATGCACGTGCAAGAACTCTGTTGGAACTTTCATTAATGTATAAACACAGCACCAACTCCAGGTTCCAAACATTTTGTCAGTATATATTGTAGCATACTGCATTTCTGCTGCCAAATAAGTAGGAAAAATCTTTGAAATTTATCCTTGAATACTTTTTTAACTTGTGAACCTTCACTTCTCTAGGAATATTCATTGATTTTAGCATGTTCTAAAGCCTGGAAGAGCTGGATTGGTCTGAAATTATGTGTTTTGGTCATCATATAAGGTCTCATTCAGCCTTCACACCTGGTGGGGTAACAGTGAAACTATCCATGAGTCCTCTTCTCTCAGAGCTGAACATTGAGGTTGATTACCAATACATCTGAAAGATAGACATGTTTCAGTCCATGAGAGAGAAGAGAAATTTAAAATTAACAAAACAAATATTTGTTCAGCCCTTAGTGATGCTAGTATTATTTATCTACCCTGTTTGATGTGCTGTTTGTATTCGATGCTTTAACCTCCACAGAAAAGCAAAAAAAAAAAAAAAAAAAAAAGAGCATCTTCAGATTTAGAATAGGAAAGCCATAAGGCTTGCATTCTGTGCTGAAAGGAATAACAGAAGGATGCAAGAAGCAGCATGTTATACAACAGAGACTGCTGTCCTGCCCATCTCCTCACAAAAACATATTTATAAACCAAACCCATATCTGTTGCAGGACCCATTAGCCCCTTTTGGGACAAATGAAAAATTATACTAGTTAAAAACAGACATCTTGTTCTGAAATTAGCCTTTAAATCAGTAATAGTAGAATTTGAAGACAGTGCTCCCAAGATATATTCACTCTAGAATTAGTTTAAAATTTTGGAGGAACCCTAAGCTGATAAATTTGCTTAATCTTTGACCATAAATCATATCCTTCTTTTACATTTCAATTTCAGAATGTAATACATTAGGTTGCCTTGTAATTAAAGAAGTGACATTGGATTTCTGTTCAAGTAGGAATATTAAAACAATCACCTCTTTGACAGATTAAAATATATTTAAAATGTAATAATCAACTATCCAGTTCATGAGAAATAACATTTTCATTATTGAATTCTTTAAAACATAATGTGAAGGGGGATGAAAGTATCTCACAGCTTCCTAACCTCTAATAACACTGTCTCCTTTCAGTAATGCTGTTTCTATATTTATGGAGTGAAGAAACTTCACTCAGGAGCTTCTTGATAAAATACCTCCATACATATTTCCCTGGAAGCAGGTTCTCTGCTGTGCCAGCAACATATGCTAAAGGCCAATTTAGAACATTTTAAATATGCACCATACCCTTCCTTTTCCAGCTACTAAAATGAAATGCATTTTGGCTTTAGCAAATGAGGATGGAATGAAAGGAGGAAGACTGCAGGGCAAAGTGGCTAAAGATGAACTCAGAGAAGGAGGATTATGGTGCTGCTCCTCTGCAGCCTGAAGCCCAGGGCACTGCCTGAGTGTCCTTTCAATGTGGCCTCCCCAGCTGTCAATATCCACAACACAGGAGTGTGGGGTCCAGGAGGAAGTCAGGTCGGCACCATGAAAATCATAAGGAAGAAAAGCGAGGTGGTATCTACTTACCTTAGTAAAGAGGAACCAAGAGACAGGGTCAGAGTACGTTGAGAACTTACACTTGAGACTAGTAAAGGACCTAGACTATTCAAGTAGTAGATGTACCTTTTTCAGCCACCCAAGTTTGAAAATGAAATACTTAGGAGGACAAAGCTCTTACAGCTTAGGCTACCTAATGTCATCAAACAATGCTTTGCTTCCTCAGTAGAAAGTTGAGGGCACACTGGTGAGATCTAAATGAAAAGTTAGTTGTCAACTGTTACCTCACTTCTCTTGTCTTTATTTCATCTGAATTCTGAGACTCAAGTCATGACTTACTTCTTGCAGATAGGTTCAGTACAGGGAGCAATTTTTTTTTTTTTTTTTGAGACAGGGTCTTGCTCTGTTGCCCAGGCTGGAGTGCAGTGGCACAATCTCGGTTCACTACAACCTCTGCCTCTGAGGCTCAAGTGATCCTCCTGCCTCAGCCTTCTGAGTAGCTGGGACTACAGGCACACACTACTATGCCTGGCTAATTTTTTTAAAAAAATGTTTTATAGAGATGGAGTCTCACTATATTGCCCAGGCTGGCTCAAACTCCTGGGCTCAAGTGATCCTCCCACTTCAGCTTCCCAAAGTCCTAGGATTACAGGCATCAGCCACCATGCTCAGCAAGGGAGAGATATTAACAGTGGCTTTAAATTGAAAATTAAAATTTATTCAGCATATAATGGAATGTCATCAGGTAAACACTGAGAAACAAACACACTTTCCAGAAGCACACTTTTTCAGCTCTAATCCCAGCTTCAGTTGTTACTTTTGCTGTCAATAGCCCTAGATACGTGCTTTTTATCCAATGCTCCAGGTGGCCTCTGGTTTATCAAGAACTACCATAAAGTACATAATTCATTTTTGGTATTTGAGATGATTGCAAAGGACTAGTTGCCATGCTGAATTTTATTTTCCTAAATTAACTAAAATTACCCTTTTATAATATATATGACATTGATTCTGAACCAGTCTACCACCAAATTTTCATAAATGTGTACAATGTATTCTTGCCATAATAGAGTACATATAATATGAAGTTTATCCTTGAACAATGTGGGAGGTTAAGGTCACTGGCCCTGCATGTAGTTGAAAATCCAGGTATAACTTTTGACTCCTGAAAACCTTAGCTACTAATAGCCTACAATTGCTTGGAAGCCTTGCCATTAACATAAACAGTCAATGCATATTTTCTATGTTAAACATATATACTATATTCTTATAATCAAGTAAGCTCAAGAAAAGAAAATGTTATTAATAAAATCATAAGGAAGAGAAAATATATTTACTCTTTTTAAGTGGAAGTTGATAATCCTAAAGGTCTTCATCCTTGTCTTCACATTGAGTAGACTGAGGATGAGGAGGGATTGGTCTTGCTGTCTCAGGGGTGGCACAGGTAGAAGCAAGTCCACGTGTAAGTGGATCCATGCAGTTCAAACCCGTGTTGCTCAAGGGTCAACTATTTATGTTGCACAGAACATTGACCTAAGTGGCCATGCAGCCTTCTGGGGAGCAGTGACCATCTTTTTATGCATATGAGATGTTTCTTGACTCTTGAGACTTTTACACTGTGAAAACAGGCAGGGCCGTAATTGTTTGACTCAAACACAATTGCTTTTCTAAGTATGGTAACTGAGCATGCTTTTAGATTGTGAAGCACTGTGATAATTTAGTAGAGATTGTATTGTAATTATTGCTGGCTTGGTGTACAGCCAGAAATTCTTATAGTTAAAATTATGTGGTGATCTCAGATAGAGGTATAGAACTGCTGATACAATGGATGGAATTAAGGATAAGACATAAAGAGAAGACATTTACAAGAAATTTTCCAAGAAATTTACAAATATGTTAAAGCAATGGCTGTGTTACCCATGGCATTTGTAAATATTGGCATGCAGAATCAGTCTTCCTAGATGTCAGTTTCCTCTTTTAATATGAGCTAGAGCTCATGAAAGCTGCTTCCTGATGGAAAAAAGATTCCTTTATGTGAATGGCTGCTGAGCCTAACAACATGTTATTCTGTGAAAGGATGAGTCAGGAGCTAACCCTGCAATCTGAGGCTTATTCTAAATGTTGACACACCCCTCAGCTTTCCAGTTTAGGAGTTTGGGACAAACCTCATGGAGGAGACAGTAGGGCTGGGACACCTTGTTGCAATGCTCTGCTAGAAGACCAGTGTAAATATAAAGGTAACCCAACTCTTAAGAGGGTCGTTACTACAGCTGGTGAAGCTTTGGAACCATTGTGGTTAGGAGGACAAGAATATGCTTCAGAACCATGTAAGACTTGAGTTCAGATCCTAACTCTGCTATTTATTAGCTATAAAAAGTTGGACAATGCCCTCTCTGAATGTCCTCGACTCATTGGTAAAGTGAAACTAATTAAAACTACAAAATAGGGTTGTTTCGAGGATTTCATATGATAACATATGTAAAGCCCATAGCAGATCCTGGATGCAGCAAATATTTGTTGCATCCGTGAATGAAGGAGAGAACTGAAACCTCATCAAGAATGAAAATGGGTCCCTCTGGAGGAATATAGTGCTGACCTAAGGACTTGGCTCTAGCAATTTAATCTCTCACAAAATGGAAAAGTGAAGAGCTTTGGTTCTGAGGTCAGAGTGGGTTTGAATTCTGCCTCCCCCTTTTCTTTACTAGTTGTGTAATATTGGGCACGTTGCTTGACTTCTTAATCTCAATTTCCTCATCTTTAAATGGGTGTAGTAATAATAGTGGCTATTCCGTGGCATCGTAATAGAGATTAAGTTGAGATAATGAATGTAACATAATAAGCACTCTAATATTAGCCATACTTATGTGCTCCTTCACAGTATGGCCAGAAAAGAATGGTTCCATTCTACTTTATACCCAGAGAACATGATTTGATATATTAAGGCAAAAACCGCAATTACTTTTGCACCAACCTAATAGGATTAGCATATGTGATCCTAAACTTTTCTTTGGATTATACTTGAGTACGTTATATAGCTGCCTTTTATGAATTCCAGTTTGTCATTGTTTTTATATTTATATTGTCCACCCTTTGAAATGTACATTACTAAACTATATGAATTTAAGATCTGAAACAAAAGTGTAAATTGATTCTGTAGTGAATCATCATCTTTTCTTCGTCGTATGGCTGCTAAAAGGGTAGAAATACTAATTGTGGCCGGGCGCGGTGGCTCACGCCTGTAATCCCAGCACTTCGGGAGGCCGAGCTGGGCAGATCACGAGGTCAGGAGATTGAGACCATTCTGGCCAACATGGTGAAACCCTGTCTCTACTAAAAATACAAAAATCAACTGGGTGTGGTGGCGCATGCCTGTATCCCTGCTACTTGGGAGGCTGAGGCAGGGGAATTGCTTGAATTAAGGAGGCGGAGGTTGCAGTGAGCCGAGATCACACCACTGCACTCCAGCCTGGTAACAGAGTGAAACTCCATCTCAAAAAAAAAAAAAAAAAAAAAGAAAGAAAGAAATAATAATTGCTGGGGCAATCGCATGTTTGAAATAGGTACCACCGTAATTCACTTAACACTCCATGCAAAATAAAATGTCATCAGAAGGGATAGCTGGTCAACACAAAGTAGAATGGGTCTTCAGCCTCACAGTTTGCTTTAGTAAAAATTTAGCAACATTAACAGGGGTAAGAGTTAGGAAAGGAGAGCAAACTTCTAGGCATGAAGAAACTGACATTTTTTTTTCAGTTGTGGAATAAAGGAATTACAGAATAAAGGAGTAACAGAATGGGTCCAGACAATGGCAGTTTTAATTTTTACTTTCACTTTGAGCAGTGCCAAATGCTAGTGGAAGCTAAAATGAGTGACACTTAGGGAAAGAAAAAACTTCCCCCTTGAATCTCTTTAAAATCTATAATAATAATATAATAATATAAAGTGCATCTGGGCATTGCCTTCTGCTGTTCTTGTCTGGCTCTTATCCAAAACTGTCAGGCTACTCTGAGTGCTGATGCTTCATATCCCAGCACCCTTTTATCTGAACTTTGCAGTGTCTTTTCTCTGTACTTTGGCAGTGATGTTAGCTTGATGTTCAAAAATCTTTTAAAAGCAACACAGGCTTTCCTTGCATCTTGACAAATCATTGTCTGCTAGTAATGAAGAAAAAGTAAACTCGTGGTCATTGCAAATATATAAATACTTCCAAGTGTTTTCGGTTTTTAAAAAAATGGTTATGTAGTTTGGGATCCTCTAGCTGAAAAGTGAATATTCTGAGAATTTGTCCTTATTTCTCTTGTGTAAATCAGCATGCTGCTTTTCAAGAGCAAGGGTCAAGTGGAGTTGCTATGGATCATTTGACATTTAAGGACAGAATTTAACATTTCTATATGATTTTCCTTTTGGATTTTTAAAAGGGGAAATATACATATTATTTTTATCTCTGTTGTATGTTCTTACTGCTATTATTTTAAAATTAATATTTTATTTACTTATTTTAATATGCTTTGGTATATCCTGATGATGGTAACAGTGGTTTACATCTACACAGTTTGTTCCATACATTTCCTTATCTAAGGCTTGAAGCAGCCACCAGAGGCCAGCAAGGCAGGTTCTCATGATTAGCCCAACTTACATATGAGGAAACTGAGGCTCAGAATGATTTATGACTCTCCCACTCAACCAACAGCAGATCCAGTTCTTAAATCTAGGTCTACTTAGTCAAAATGAATGGTGTCTCTACTTTTTCACAATGTTGTCTCTCGGAAGAGTATCTTGGCTTGTCAATGAATATTTAGCATCCAGAGTGAAGGTGGTCTATTTCTTTCTTTTTTCTTTTGTGAGACCGAGTCTCACTCTGTCACCCAGGCTGGAGTGCAGTGGCGTGATCTCAGCTCACTGCAACCTCCGCCTTCCAGGTTCGTGCCATTCTTGTGCCTCAGCCTTCCGAGTAGCTGGGATTACAGGCATATGCCACCATGCCTGGGTAATATTTTTTGTATTTTTAGTAGAGACAAGGTTTCGCCATGTTGGCCAGATTGGTCTCAAACTCCTGGACTCAAGTGATCCGCCTGCCCCAGCCTCCCAAAGTGCTGGGATTACAGGCGTGAGCCACTGTACCCGGCTAGAAGGTGGTATATTTCTACTGGGGTGGACATTGGTCACAAACTGTCAGAGGTCGTTATTATGTTTATGTTCGGGTGCTGCATTTTATGGGGAATATACTGGGAAACTGGAGACTATGAGAAGGGTCAAGAATCTAGAATGATGAGGAGCCTGGGAACTATACTAGAAAGAACCAAGGGAATCAAGATTTTCAAATGTCTGCAGAAAGGAAGATATAGAGAGATATAGCTGACATCTTGAAATGTTTTATGGACTCCCTTGCAGAAGAGGAATTTGATTTGTTTTTTGTAATTCCAGGCAGCAGAAGTAGGATCACTGGGTAGAAATTACACAGAAGCGGATATGCTGAATATAAGAAGAAACTTTCCAACATCTAGAGATGTCCAAAAATGGAATAAACTATCTCACTGCCACTGGGAAGTGTTCACACTCAGACTGTCCAGCTTGGAGATTATATGACTTTATGAGCATTGTATTTCAGCAGTAACACAATTTTATGATGAAATTTCTGAGGGCTCAGAGAAGAATTTCCTCACCAGCTAAAAACAAAGGAGTTTTGTACGCTTTTCCACCATGATTTTAGACTGAGAAAGTTGTATGCATAACAGTTCCTGTTTCACACATCGTTGTGTCTTGGGAAATACTGTTCGACTGATGGGGAAAGACACATTAGTTAAAACAGATAAGCAAAACTTTTGTGAGATGAGAATTGAAGCAGACAGTGTGGTGTTTGTGGTGGGAGGTGTGTGTATTCAGGTGTGTACATTTTTAACTAGGATGAATTAGCCGTGGTTTTGGCTATTTTCATTTGGCTTGTTACTTTCATTACTCACCAGCCCAGCTCTAGAACATGACCTGTTGAGGGATTAAAAGAAATGAGGGGAAGAGCCATTTGATTTAGATGGGTTGTTTTCTCAGTATGGAAAAGATGCTGCATCAAAATCGAGATGCACTAAAATAAGTTTCTGACGTAGCAGATCTAAGAAAAGCACTGAACTGGGATCCGAAGTCTCCATACTAGGTTTGGCTCAATCACTCACTGCTTCATCTTTATGTCTTTTTATTTTTCTCTAAAATGGAAGTGTTTTAGGAATTGTCTTTCTAACTGTAAAATGTTATGATTCTAATTCTCCCAATTTTATGGCTGTAATTCTCATTTGCATAGAAAGTGGAAAATGGCCTCAACTATAACAAAAAACAATTCGGTCATTTATTTGTTCTTTAATTTCCTCATTCATTTATTCAAAAATATTTATCAAGTGAAACACTATTATAAAAATATAAAAACTTTGTTTTAATATATGATTTTTAAGAATGAAAGGAAACATGGAAAACAGCACACTAGTACCTCTATAGAGTTCCACAGTTTGAAAGAGTGATATTTAATATAATATTTAAAATGAAAGCAAAGCACTTAGTTTGTAGGATATTTTGAAACAAATATAATGGAATCTCACTGTAAAATGGCTTTTTGTGGCTTAGATTGGGAACTGCAACATTTCAAACCATGCCCCAAATCATAATGGCATTCAGTAAGAACTTACTATACTAGATGCTTTAGCTCCAAAATTATTGAATGGCTTAACCACTGATTCCAAGCAGAAAGCCCTTTCTCTATGAATTATCACATTTTTTTTTCTTTTTCTAACAGATTCCAGAGGGGTGACTACCATATTGATGTCTGTATCAATGACTACCTGGATGTTTTCTGCCCTCACTATGAGGACTCCGTCCCAGAAGATAAGACTGAGCGCTATGTCCTCTACATGGTGAACTTTGATGGCTACAGTGCCTGCGACCACACTTCCAAAGGGTTCAAGAGATGGGAATGTAACCGGCCTCACTCTCCAAATGGACCGCTGAAGTTCTCTGAAAAATTCCAGCTCTTCACTCCCTTTTCTCTAGGATTTGAATTCAGGCCAGGCCGAGAATATTTCTACATCTGTGAGTATATAGAGATTTATCGTGTTGTAGGGCAGCTGCAAGAACCCAGACTAATTTTTTACCCATGTTTCAGAGAATTGCAGAGAGCTGGACTCTGCATTACAGATATCTCCTTGTAAATGCGTACATCAGGATCCCTAGATACATTAGCTGGGAATTGAGAGCACAAATTAGATTAAAGACAGAGCGCGTCTCCCCCTATGAAATTACGTGTCAGCCTGTTCACTGAACCACTGCTGACTTGTATTTTTTTTAAATGAAAATTGCCAGGACTTCTCCAAAGCTCAGGAAAAGAAAAAAAGACTCCTGAAAAAAAAATTAAAGGAAATAATTAAATTTACATAGCTTGGAGTCATTGGATTTCTTATTCAGGTGTCAGCAATATCCTTTCAATCTTCCACATTTTCAGTGGAGGAAGCCAAAACTCCTGGACATGTCAGCATGTTGACGATAAATACTCTCTTTGCAGCAAGGAGAAAAGATAATTATTAAGAGTAGCTCTGTCTTTAAACAGGAAAGACTTGTGAAGAAGTGTCTAGAAGGGGTTCCAAGGTAACTGGTATGAGCGAGTTTCCGACCTGTGAGCATTGAGTGACTCTGTCCTGGGAGAGCTCTAAAACTTTCTCAGTAGACTTCTGTATTAATCAGAATGCCTGGCCTTGTTTCTTCTCCATTATATACCCATCACTTCTTCATACCTCCTACTATCATATGTTATAGGTAAATGCTTCTCAAACTTCACCGTGCATAGTGTTATCTGGGGATCTTGTAATGCATTCTGACTCAGGAGGTCTTAAGGCAGGGCCTGAAATTCTGGATGTATGAAGCTCCCAGATGCTGCTGCTGCTACTGAACTGTGGACCACACTTTGAGTAGCAAGATTATAGGTGGTAGCTACTTTAAGCAGCTTGTTGTGTATCTGGACTTTAACTAGTATTTATATTTAAACTATCTGGCCTTTCCCATGTATTCTCACTGTCAACTGAAGAGGTTAAAAGTTTACTTGTTAAAAAATACATTTATTGGACAGCTTAATCTGAGCTGAGAAATGCTGGGGGATGCAAGATGAAAAGATATTCCCTGTTCTTAGGGAGTGACCTTTCACTGGGGAGCAGACATGTAAATAGGCAATTAAAGTATAAGTCGACAATTGCTGATGATGAAGATAAATTCAGGGAGTAGTGAGAACATGGAGAAAGTTGTGCCTCACCTGCTTGGAAGAATCAGGAAATGCAACCACACACAGTGGGTAGAGATCCAAGTTATACCACTCAGTATGCTTAGCATCGACTTTCACCCCAGCTTGCCAGACAAACAAGAACATTCTTTTTTCTGACTCATTTCTTCAGTCCAAATGTCCCTACCCACTCACAACTTACACGGTTTAAGTCTACAGGGATTTCTAGCTCCTCTCCTTCTCCAGAAAACAGAATTTTATAATAAGTCAGATTTCACCATCACAATGATAACTGTCACTTATATTGGAATTGAATTTAAAAAGGAAATTGAACAGTACCAGTTTTATTATTTCAGTACATATTTCAGTCATTAGTCATGAGAAAACATGCAAAAGCCTTGATACTATCTCACATTTGATCCATAAAACAAGAAAAGGAATATTGAGTCCCACAGATGCAGGAAGCACTGGCATACAGTGAATTCACACTTCTCAGGCAGCATGTTCTTGACTTTTATTGCTTTTTTACTTTGTGAAAGAATCTCATTCAGCATATGAGAAAAAGGAAAGAGGAGGACTTCATTTGTGGGACAGCAACTCATTAGTTGTCTCACTGTAAAATACTATACCAATGTAAGAGAAAATTCTTGCTAGTTTTGAAATTTTCTTACTGGCTTCTCAGATTAAAAAAACAACAGCAAAAGCAAAAATCAAAAATGAATAGAGAGCACCAAGATGAGGAACATACCCACTAACTAACTAGTTGATTGCCTGATTATTAGAAATTATAGAATTCATTCAGCTTCATAAGCAAGATGTTATTATTCAAATATACCCATAGCGCTTATGACTGGTTTTTCCTCATTTGTGGTTAAATTCAATATTTCACTAAAAATCATTATGTGACTTCTATAACATTCATTTAACGGAGTCATTTAACTGTCAAGGGCTTCCGTCAAAGTAATTGTTCCAAAATGCTTCAAAATATGAAGAGCTTTTTGCTGTTCAGCTGAGTTTAACTTGAATTACTTTTTTTAATGAAAGGTAAAATAGCACAAAATTAGCAGCAAAAAGATGTTCATTAACAAGAAGCACAGTGGCTTGGTGTTCAGTTAAATTGAATTTTCAACCATGTTTTCGACCCGCAAAGGCATCCTTCCCTGTCTTTTTAGTAATGAAAGGGTTTCTTCTCTTCCACCACTGCAGTCAGGAGCAGCAGAGCTAACATGGTTGTCTTACAGACGTTTAATGTACTGTGGTCATAATTAAACTAAAGGATTCTTAGGGGAGAATTGGCCCTCAGTTGAATTTTCCTCTTCCCTAATGTGTGTGGAATGAACAAGATGATTGGGAAATAGCTATTTTCACACTTACTACGTTACAAGATGCTCTATTGCTGATCTCAGGAACAAGCTTCACTGCCCACCAGTCAATTTTACAGAATGTTCTTGCTAGGACAGCAGTACCTCTTAGCTCCTCATAGCCTTAAAATCTCTTCTTACTTTCCCTAGAAAAAAGAAAGCTGGCTGTGCACAGTGGCTCACATCTGTAATCCTAGCACTTTGGGAGGCCGAGGCGGGTGGATCATGAGGTCAGGAATTCAAGACCAGCCTGGCCAAGAGAGTGAAACCCCATCGCTACTAAAAAAAAAAAAAAAATACAAAAATTAGCTGGGCATGGTGGCAGGAGCCTGTAATCTCAGCTACTTGGGAGGCTGAGGCAGGAGAATCACTTGAACCAGGGTGGCAGAGGTTGCAGTGAGCCGAGATTGAGCCACTGCACTCCAGCCTGGGTGACAGAGTGAGACTCCGTCTCAAAAAAAAAAAAAAAAAAAAAAAAAATGAAAGAAAGAAAAAAGAAAGCTATAGCTTTTTGGCCATCCTGCTTTATGGTGCTAGGAGTAGGCTTAAGTATAGTGAAGACTGTGGAGTGCCAAAATTCAGATACAAACACAGATTTGGAGGAAGGGAAGACAAGGATTTCATAACAAGCTATTCACCTCATTACTTAGAGAGGACATGAGTCAGAAGATTCTTATCAACATTTGCCTTATCCTCAACCAGATTTCTTTTTTTCTTAATGTCTTTGAGTTTTATAAAATTAAGAAAATGTGGTAGTTGAAAATATCCTAAATGAAGTTTCCAATTTACTTTAAAAATAAAACATGCTTTGCAGTTCTAGTCCCTTTATTTTAACTCCCAAGAATAACTATGCTATATTCTCCTTTCCTTGGGAACAGACAGTATATTAAGTTGTTATAATTGCTGATTATTGCTGAGGTAGACTGGGGCCATCTCTGAATCTGACAAATACTGTTTTTAATCTACAGGAGTTATTTTGGTAAGAGATTGGCATACTAAAGTAATTACAGAAAGTTGGCGGTATTTATATCAATGATAGATTTGCAGAACTGCCAGTCAATTGATTAAGACAATAGTTGTTTATATAGACTTCCTAAAGGAAACAGTAATTTTAAAAAATTCAAAAATACTCATTTTAGCTGGATATGGTAGCACATGCCTGTAGTCCCAGCTGTTTGGGAGGCTGAGGTAGGAGGATTGTTTGAGCCAAAAAAATCAAGACCAGCCTGGGCAACATAGCAAAACCCTGTCTTTTTTTTTTTTTTAATACTCCTTTTAGAAACTTAAAAAATACTCAATTTAGAAATGATACTCTTAAATATTAACCTAATGAGAATATGTTTGATAGAAGTTTTGCAGTTATTTTTACATCAGAAGGGGTAAAGGGAAATCCTTTTAATAAGTTATCTTTGTAATTCCATAAAACACTGATTTGAATATATGCTTTTATAAAGTAAGGAAAACTGAGTCCCAGGTCCTTTTCTTGACCTAACTAGCTGTATGATCTTGAGAGAATCATTTCATCCATCTGGAGTTTGAACTCTACATCTGTAAAATAATGTAATTATAATTGACTTCAGAAATTCTTGGAGCTTTAATATCCTAATTTTATTATATTTTATCTGAGGGTCTGCAGCATTAGGGTAAAAGATAACATCCGTACAGTGGTCCAGGTCAATACCTTGCTTAGTAGATGTTCAATAAATCCTAGTTAAAGGTACATTTTTAGGGAAAATGCAGAATGGAGAGGCGTGTTAGGGTTATTGAACTAGTTCTCTCCCAGCTGCTCTGTCCAAGTCATCATTATCTGTGGTCTCTACCAGTGCAGCAAGCTCCTGTTTTCCCCACTCATGGCACTGACAGAGCAGTGCCTCACAGCCTCAGAGCTCTGTCACAGCCCTCCAGTGACTTCCTGTCTCACCCAGACAAAAGTCCACAGTCTCTAACCTGGCCAGCAAGGTCCTCCATGGTTGAACTCCTTTCCCTGATTCCCTCGGCCTCTGACTTCTGCTACCACCGTCTGCCTGATTCTGGCTACTCAGCTGCCAGCCCTCCTCCCTCTCCTATCCAGTACACTCCTACATCGGGACCTGGGGACTTTATTGTCCCTCTACCTGGGCTTCCCATTGCCCCAGGCATTCACGTGCCTTGCTCTCACTTTCTTTAGGTCTGTGTTCAAACAATGTCTTTATCCAAGAGGCAGCGACTCTGACCTCTCTATATAAAAATAACACCTTGTTCTCTGCATTCTCTATACTTTTACTGTGCTTTATTTTTCCTCAGGCACTTATCATCCCTGACATTATATATTTATGGTAGGTTGTTCACAGCTGTTCCTGCTTTCTGCCCTGTATTACATTGCTTGGCACATGCAGATGTTTAATAAGTAAGGATAACTAGAATTTATATAGCATGTACTGTGTTCCAGGCGCCATCTGAAAACAGCACTACGAAGAACTATTCTTTTTCCCTATTTACAGGTGAAGAAACTGAGGCCCAGAAAAGTTAGGTAACTTGAAAAAGGTTCACACAGATGAGAACTAGCTGATCTGGGAGGAAGTTAAGTGAGTAAGCAACTAAAAGAAGAGGGCCGGGCGCAGTGGCTCATGCCTGTAATCCCAGCACTTTGGGAGGCCAAGGCAAGTGGATCACCTGAGGCTGTGAGTTCAAGACCAGCCTGACCAACATGGAGAAACCCCATCTCTACTAAAAATGCAAAATTAGACGGGCGTGGTAGCTCATGCCTGTAACCCCAGCTACTCAGGAAGCTGAGGCAGGAGAATTGCTTGAACCTGGGAGGCGGAGGTTGCAGTGAGCTGGGATCGCTCCATTGCACTCCAGCCTGGGCAACAAGAGCGAAACTCTGTCTAAAAAAAAAAAAAGAAAGAAAGAAATGAGGAGATAAAGTCCTGGGGTCTATTATACTTGAAAAAATACACTTTATATTTTTTAAAAACAGATTAGAAACAAATAGCACTCACTCTGACATCATCTACTGTTTAGAGAATTCTACTTTATAAACACTTCCTAGGAACCCCGAATCAGATGGTAGAAAGATAAATTTTAAACATATTTCTGCATTTTTTCCTCTCCAAAGGATACTTTTCCATCTCCAGAAGATATTTCAACTGTATCTTCCCAAAGCGTTGACCTTTTTAACTCAGATAACTTCAGAAACCAGAAAAGTTGCATTTTCTAAGAAATTCTCCTTAAATGTCCTGAATATTCACCATCCAGACTGAATTACGATTGCACACTTGATTCAGGAATTAGTATGTTTTAATGAGAGATCTATAATAAAGAAGACAATTGTCATTTTCTGAAAATGATACTAAAAGAGAATTTTTCCAGCATTTGTTATATCTGAGTTATTACTAGGACATTCTGTGTTACTATGGACATCATTTTTAAATCTATAGTCTGTAGATGCTTAAATGTATGTGGTTAACTGCTAATTCTCAGCTTTAGGTATTTAGATTAAAAGTTTACAGTTTTATCTTAAGCCATGAGGCAATTTTAATATTCACTGTACAATTTTTAAAACAAAGTAACCTAAGTTCCTAAGGGCTATCTTATTAAAATGATCAAGATCAGCTTCAGAAATCATTTGATTGTACAATACAGTTATTGGCTAACCTTTTAAAAGTATAAGAATATTCAGTAAAACTAGTAAAACAGAACTAATTTGAAGAAAGTCCTCATTTAACTATCGATGTGTTTCAAAACCTTATTTGCAGGTGAGTTGTTTAGAATTCAGAATATAGTTTTTCGTAGAAGTGCAAGTTTTCCATAATATGGATAATCTGCTTAGCCATAATATTGATGAAAAGCTATATATTTCAAAGAAAAATTGCAGAAAGCAGCATCTAGAAGAGTTACTCAGGAAATATTTATTGCATGGATAAATGCCATAATAAACCACATATGGCAAAAAACCAATTAATTTTTTAAATTTCTAATTTTGTTTTTTAGAAAAGCAGATAAATTACAGGGCTCAAGTTTTACTGCACCCTCTCCAGCAGTTCCCTCGTATTTTAGTACTTTAAAAAAATAATATGCTAGGAATACATAACATCAAAGCAGAGAGTGGAACATGGTTGTTGTTGTTTGCGTGTGTTTTTTTTCTTTTTTTTTTTTCTTTTTTTTTTTTTTTTTTAAAAGCACAGACTCTGGTTAAGTGTAGCTTTGGGTCTGAATCCTCTTTCTGTGCTCTTACTAGCTGTGGGAACTTGGGCAATGTGCTTAACTTCACTGAGCTTCAATTCCTTCATCTGTAAAATGGGTGTAATAATCACAACTCTTTTCTGATTTTTGAGTCTCGATGAAATATTGTTTAAGGAACCAGTTGATTGCCAAAATAACAACTTCAGTAATCCAAGTCCAAAAAGTTTTGCATTTTTTGAAAAGTTAAGGCAACTTGAATATCCCAGATTGATATTTTAGTTCAGTAAAAAATTTCATAAATGCATAAAGATTAAGTTTTAAGACCATTTCCTATATTCTTAAGGAGCATTATGCTAGGATTACTATGCATAAGGAATTCTTCATTCCTCTTGATGTCTGATTTTTCAGTGCCTTACTTTAGTCATCTACATTAAGAATTGTTTTGCTCTGGACAGTTCACACCAATCACCTTTTTTACATAGTTTTTCTTATTGAAATAGAAGAGTGTCAAAATGGCACAATTATCAAAGCAGGAGGTAGTCTTTTTCACTGTTCATTGTCTTTTACTCTTGCAGGGGAAATGACTTGTAAGTACAATGTACTTTCTGACAATGAAACACTCGATATTTGCTTCAGTGTGTGTGTGTGCATTTTACTTTTGTTATTGAAAAATGTTTTTGATTACTGAAGTCTTATTTTAGCATTATTTACTGTAGCATCAACTTCTCTAAGATTGAAGAGGTTTATAACTGAAATGTTCTGTAGGACTGTGGTCAAATACTGGTGCACCTCCTCTAGTTTTTCAAGTATGTGTACTAGCACATGGTGTTTTAAGACACACTTGTATTAATACAGAAGAGTGGAAGGGCAGTGTTGGGAAACCGACAAATTTTAACGTTTTCTAAAGGGAAGAGAATACATATGGCACAAAAATCAGATAGTAAGTACCCAGATATAGATGCAAAGTACATCTTAGTCACCAAAAACTATTTAGTTTTTCTTTGTAAGTTTTGTGTTATTTTGAAAATAGAATGGAACAATTTTCTCCCCTTGAAAGCCAGCATATTTTTTAAGAATTATATCGGGTCTCTATTTGAAAATAGTCCTTCTATTCGCTTTGTATACTCCCACAGGTCTTTAGTGAAGCTGCAATAATGCACCTTTTTATTTAAAGAATGAGTTTAGGGAATTGTGTCTGTTTCAAGTTGTCCCTAGTCATTTTTTAGGAAAGCATGAATGAATTTCAAGGGCTCTTAAATGAAGGTTAAATAAAGAACATGAAAGAGGATATTTAGGGACTTGTGGAAATTATTCTGTTAATTGTAATTTCCTCTTATGAAAACAGTTATTTACTGCCAGGTGCCCTCTTAACCTTCTGAGCATGCATACGCAGCATCAGCTCAGGTGCTGTTGGAGCTAGACCTGTACCTCTGCCTTCTGGTAATGGCTTCGCCTAGCACACTTCACATAGTTTGAGTGAAATCAAAGGTGGAGGAGGCAATTCATAGGAACACAGGGTATTGAAAAGTATTTTTAAATTTGTTGACAAGTTATTTGATCAAGTAGCATGGATTTTAAAAGGAAATGCATGCCCTGTTAAGTGACTAAAGGATGAGTCTAGTTTAACTCCTGTTTAAAAGAATCAGAGAAATTAATGCCAGGTCTGTGAAAAAGGAAAATAGAGCAGATATCACCGCTTAATAGATTTTTACATTGGGACCATCTTGAAAGTTTGCAAAAGGAGCCTTAAAAGTTACTCAATAATCAGGACTTGATGGAAATTCACGGTATAAAGCCATAAGAAACTGAAGACTCCTAAGTACCCTTCCCATTGTCTGAATTTTTCAAAGGCTGTGACACTCAGACGAGAAGTTCAAAACCAAAATAATTTTTATTTGTACTGCTTTTAAGAATTCAGAATGCTATTATGAGACAGAGGAAGCATGTAGAGTTCTGACCTCCTAAGGGAAAAGGAGGAATTATGTCACCTTTTGCTTCCTTTACCCTACTGAGACTCAATGGTGAAATGGAAACAAATTAAAGGATTGTTCTTTTTATCCTTAAATGTCAAACGTGGTTGCATCTCCTAAAGAAATAATGCAACTGATTAATTGTGTAATTTCACAGGGAAGCAGTAATTCTCAGCCTTATAAACATGTAATGCACTAATTTGGTTTCAGAGTTAACTGAAACAGTTTAATGAGCTGCTGTATCACGTGTGTGTACAGTGTTACATAGAGCAGATGCCAGGAAAAAAGGAAATAACACACCAGTGACACTTGGAATAACAGTGTTTATACTTCATTGACTTTGGGTTGTCAGCATGCTATTCTCTGTGTTTCTCTTAGTAACTTATTAAGGCAACTGAATTTCAGTGTGATGATGTCTGAGTGTCATTTCTTGTAAATTACACAAGCATGCACACACCAAATGCATAGTCAATCTTTGGGAAAAAAATAATACTTTCTAGAATAGACGACCAAAATATTATCCACAAGATACATACACACAGAGTGAAAGGTTACTCTCTGAACCTCGTGCATGCTGGAAGAACAGCATTTGGGCCTTTCATCAGAAGAAATACTATTTCTACAGACTTTCCCACTCATCTATTCTTGCTCTATTTTCACCAAATGGTCATGTAACTCTTGGTTTGAAAGTTGTCATACAGCCTTACAGCAGGCTTATATTATCTACAGAGTTCTTTATGGGGAAATATAAATCACCACAAATGAGACTTTTCACAGCCAGAGATATGTAGAAATTTGTGTCAGTGCTTTGCTGGCTTGCTAAAAAAATATCTCTAGGCTCCGAAGCTCTCACAACTCATCCTTGCTCCCTACCCTTTTGGGAAGCAATTCTCAAAACTTGAGATTTATGGTCCAGAAAGCTGATAGTGGCTATCAAGTTTTCTGTTTTCTCTTTCTTTATTATTAATGCAGAGAACGAGGCATTATCATTCATTATTTTAGTTCATGAGTATCCTTTGGGCTTGAAATATGGTTTCTGGGGATATGGCTTACCTCTGTTTAATAGGGGAAATATGTGGACTTTGGCAACAGGCTTCTTTTCCATCGAATATTTTAAGTCAGATTGTATAAAATCCACATTAGGAACAGAACTTTAATATGTATGCTATGTATGGGTTTGGTTTTAAAGTTTAAAGCTTCACAAAAAAATTAATTCATTCTGAGCCTCAAAAGTAAAATATCATGAATTGGAGAACAGCCAGCCAGGTCTATTATTGTTGGGAATTGGAATGATAATATCTTTTCATTTTACTATTTTTAGAGATATACAATATTTCCAACTAGCTTTATCTACATTAATGTTAGCTAAGTTTTAGTTTTTGGTTAACATTCCCTTTTGCATGTAAACCCATAAAAACAAATAACATGTGCTCTGAATCATTTTTAAGAAGAATGTATATTGTTTTTAACTTGCCCAATTTTTAGTACCTCCAATATCAGGCTTCTAATGTAAATTTGCTTTGTCTGATTTTTTTTTTCACAGACATTTTTAAAAGTTCATTTTCTCCTCCAGTAAATTGTTACAAATTCTGACTAAAATCTGAATTGATTAAGTTTTACTGCATGTTTTGCTTTAACAGTTTCTGTTGGTCCTCAACCTTGATTTCAGACATACTTGCTTCATTTTAGGTGGAATTTTTAATGGGCAAATCTAAGTAAGCAAGGAGAGTAAATTGGAGGCTAAAAATGTGAACAGGCAAATTTTTTACTTTTAGTATATTGCTTAGAGGTCTTACTATATACAGTGGGGGCAGTTCAGTTCAGTCAGTTTTGAAGCAGTATGATGAATACTGCAATGATTTAAATGAAGTTTAGTTTAGCCTTTTGCTAAAGGTTTACTCATGCTTTAACTAATAACTCCTCCGGTAACACTTGTTCTGATGGTTGTAATTAGAGTGATTTAGCATATATTGCATGTACTAAGTGGCAGGCACTGTACCTAGCACTGTATCTGTTTTAAATTGTTGAATCCTCATCTGTGAGGCCGGTACTATCATTATCTATCATATAGATGAGGAAACTGAGGCTCAGAGAGGTTAAGTGACTTGCCTGAGATCATGTAGTTAGTACTGGGGTCAGGATTTGAACCCATGTAGTTTGACCCCAAGCCTAGAGTCTTTATTCAATTATTTCATAATAAATATTTTAAAAGACGTTAAAAGTAGACAGATTTCAAGCATCATTGGCAAGTCGTTATCTAAGTTCTACCTTCACCTTGGAACTTAGGTAGACCCTGTTCTCAAGACAGCTAATGGGAAATGTATAGGGAAATTTCATGTCAACTTATTCCTGAAATTTACATACTAGGAAGTAAATGGGTTTATAGAACAAAGCAGAGTACTATTGAATGGTTTGTGGGGTCAGACATGATGACATAATGAAATGTGTCATTCACCATTCCTGTTTCAATTGTGATGAAGGCATTTAATGATTAGCAAGAGTATTGAAAGTATATGTCTCTTCAGTGCCCTGAGTCATTTTTCAGAGGTTAAATTTCATTAACAGAATCAATAGCACAGTGTAGGCGTTGGTGGATATATTGCAAAGCCTAGTGAACAACTGTCTCAACATTGCAGCTTGTTAACATGATGCTCCATGCCAGGGATTGCCTTACCTTATCTAGCCTTAAGCAGCACAGCAGCTGCAAATTATTGTTTCACTTATTGTAATTAGTTATACTTGCTGTTGCTATTGTTATTTAAAATCCACCAGTGTTTTACAGACTTGCAGTTACTATACATCTTTGCACAAGAAAGATGAGTAGGGCTCCCATAAGGGGAAAGACACTGAGAATTTATAACATTTGAAATCCTTTTGAATGAAGTTAAGGAATTGTAGCAGCCATGTGCAGCACCCAGATTTTACACAGAGGGGATCTTGGCACTGGTTCATGAGGGTGATTACCGGAGTCAGGGAGCCCACCCAGCAGCCCTCCAAAAAACAAGCTTCACACCGCTCACGTGGATTTCTTCTCTTACTGGCCTCGCCTCTCCTGATAAGGAATCAGAACAGCATAAACTCAGGGATCAATGAAAAGGTCTGAATGGAGTGGAGAGTATTTGGAAAATAAAAACTGGATAGATTGGGTCAGATTATGAAGCACCATTAATTCTGTTCTGAAGAGTTTTGAATATATGTAACAGGCAATAGGGAGTAGTAGTATATTCTTAAAGAGTAAACTGATTTGAGGCTTATCATATAAATACATTGAAATCATTTGTTTTATGACTAGGTGCTTGCTGGGTATATATTAATAGCTAGCATGTAGTAAGCACTTATCCATTCCATATGTATATATATATATATAATCTCATCCATACTTTATCACAGGTACGTGTTAGGCACTGTTATTGTTCCGATTTTACAAATGAGAAAAACTGAAATGCAAACAGGTCAAATCATTTGTTTAGAATCACACTGTTCATGTACAGTTGAGTCCAGATTTGAGCAAAGGCATTCTGACTTCAAAGTTCATGCCCTTAGCTCTTATCCATGTGTGAAAAGCAGTGTTCAAAAGCTTATTCTATAAATAGTACTGGTACTTATGCAGAAATGATTCTAATCTCAGAGATATTAATATCCTTTACTTGAGTTTCTCTTTTTTTTTAATTGCCTTTAGTTCCTTTGCAATAGGTATAGAGATTTTTGCATGAGTTTTTATGATATTTATATTAAGTGGAATTGCTAAATCAATAACATTTGCTAGATTATTAGTTTAATCAAATAACAGAATTTCTGACCTTTAGCTACAATGTGTTAGTTTATTATTAAAGTATATTTTAGATTTATTGTGGCAATTTTGTGAAATATTTGTATTCCAAATGCTATAAAACCCCTTTATTAAACTCTACTTGAGGCTGTTGGTACTTGTGCATCATTATATTTGTAGAAAATCTACAGTGGCTATAGAAGGACACACTTCAGTATTACATATTATTTTCTCATTAGTCAAGCAGTTCATCAGTGCTTACTGAGCTATGTTTACCTAGAGGGCCAATGTAGGGGACAGTGTGGAGAAAGTATTCAATATGATTTTTGTCCTCTAGGAGCTCACAATCCAGTGTGGGAAAAATATATTCATGAAAATAACAGCAAAAAGAGAAATAAAGTGAATTATAAGATTAGCACTTTCCATAAAAGAGAGAGAGACGACTATTTCAGGAGGAAGAGATCAGTTAAAGATGTAGTAACATATTGATTTGAGGGACAAGGTGGAATTTAAGTCTCAGGGCTTAAGACGCTATCCCAAATTTCGTGATCTGTCTGGAGATGATAGGTAAAAAGTCAAATTCTTGGAACCCACTTCCATAAAGTTTGATTCGTTCAACTTTATGAGGTTGCAATGTAGGAATCTATTTTTAATAAGCCCTCCAGCTGTTTTTCCTGCAAGTTGTACCACACTTCGAGAACATTGGCTTAAAGTAGGAATGGATGGGTCTGAATTCAAGACTTGAAAGAAGTGGGTACTAGAGGATTTGATTAAATGGAAGGGTCATGTCAACAGTACCATCAGTCTTGAGAAATGGCAGTCTTTGTGATGTGAATGTTGGTATAATCCAGGGAGCTCTGGTTAGGGAGAGACTAAGTCTAAGATAAAGACTAAAATAGACTAAGATTCTGGGAGTCATCTAATTCACAATGGTCATAATAAATCCTTCCTTCTGCCTGACCAAGTAAATTGTCTCATTGCTTTACCTGTAAATTAGACATAATTTGACCTTGCTGATGCAAACAAAAACCATAGAACCCTTTAGGGTTTTTGCATTTCTTGTACAATTGAACAAAATTTTTTATCATAAAATAAATTTCTTTTTCAAAGTGGCAAGCTGTGTTAGGATAAGAATCAGAAAGCCACATAAAAATAGAAAACAGGCAAGATATCAAGTGATAAGAAATATTCATTTTGGACCAACAGTTTCGAAGGAAAATGTGTACCTGGAGAGAAAGAAATGAATAATGAATAGTTCCTGTAATATTCTATTTATATGACATGAGGTTTTTGGAAGGAACACTGAAGAAGTCAGTGCCCATTGTCTGTGCCTTTTGTGCTTGTCAGTTTGTTTTGCTCTCCCTGATGTCAGTTAGAGTCTGATGAAAATGGAGTCAATTTAAATGGAGCAATGATTTGGTTATGATTAAAGGTCAACAGTGATCTGTACTTAATCACTATTTACCACTTCTGTATTGGGTTAGACAACAGTCATTTTTTTAACCATATAATATGCCCTGATTCTTAGAAAATAAGTCTATTATTTCATAGGTTCCTTTTAAAAGTATTATTAAGTTTTGAAAGATAGATGAGATGAGAATGAGGAGGCCTGGGTTTTGGCTTCACCATTCATTAGGTTTGGAGAGTTGGGCAGGAGACTTCAACCCATGCTTCAAGTTTTCCATGTGTAAATGAGTTGAAGTGCTAGTTTAATAAGTGGTTTTCTTAATATTGATATTTGAAAGGCAATTAGTTACTTTCCTAGTTTCTGTCAAAATTAATGGTAGCTTCCATGACAAATTTTTATGGGTACTTTTAATTATACATTTGCATGTGTCAAAAATAGTTTCTATCATCAACTAGTTTGAAATACACTGGTGGTCAGAAATAGCTCACTGTCATTTACTCACAAGGGCATTTTTCTTACCATCTTTGCAGAATCAAATATGGCCAAATATATTAATTGAGTTCAAAAAGTATTAATTCAGTTCACTGTGGTTCATTTAGAGTGTTCTACAGTGGTGAGGATGAAGAAATAATCAGTCTACTCACTTAGAGAACCATTTGGGGGTGACATCCAAATCTGTAGTGGTCAGTTGAACGTGTACAAAATATTTTCAAGGGCTAACTAGAAAATTGCCTGTCTGTTGGCAGGTTTTGTGCACCTGGTTTTTTTTCCCTATAGTCTCATACCTGAGAAACGTGGAGAAATGTTCTTTTTCTAAATTGAAAAACTCAGCTGTAGTCTAAATGAAATGGGATAAATTATCTTTTTCACAATTATCCATTAAAGAGAGAATCAGAATTAATATTAATCACAGATGTTTCATCAAGTTTTATTATCAACCAGATTGACTGCCAAAGTGCTTTCTGGAAGACATTTTCTCTCTCTCCCCCACCTGCTACTGAGAACAAACTATTATGGGTCCTTAGATAAAGATTAATGGTTTTGGCAATTCATTTGAGGAAATCTGTATTTTACCGTACATTCCAAGTCAGTTCAAGGCACCACTGGGAAGCATGGTTTGTCACTTCACTAATAAAATTACACCACGGAGACACAAGATAGAATAATTCTTTCTACCATCAGAAACAGGTTAATCAATAAGTCGCCCAAAGTTAGTATCACCCAATCTATATTTTTAAAATTTTGGCAAGCCTTATTTGTAGATGACTTTAAGAGCTATTTTTTTTAACCCATCACACTTAAATTAATATTACTTTTCATTTCTGTGTCTACACTCTGGAATAATTCATTGCCAAATGTATGATCCCTGTAATAATTATGAACATTTGATAATACCCCATCCATTTGCAAAGTACACCACAGATGAGTATTATATTCATTAAGGTTCTCCATTTATAAACAACATTTATCAACTTCAGCTAACTTAAACAAAAAGAGCCAAGTATGTTGGCTCACACCTTGTAATTCCAGTGCTTTAGGAAGCCAAGGCAGGAGAGTCGCTCGAGCCCAGCCTGGGCAACAATGTAAGACCCCATCTGTGAAAAAAGTTTAAAAATAGCCAGGCGTGATGGCCATGCCTATAGTTGGTGTGAGCCATGATTGCACCACTGCACTCCAGCCTGGGCAACCAAGTGAGACCCTGTGTCAAATACCAACAAACAAAAAGAGAGACTTTTCCTTCCAGAGTTTGGTTATTTTAACTGAAGACCTCAGGATGGACAGGAACCAAGACAGTGGTGGGGATCTTAAATATAGAAACAAGTAGATAGTTTCATCAAGACTCAGCCATTCGATTTTCTTAGCTCTAACATTTTTCAATTCCTTGTGTCACCCTACTCAGGACGCAAGTTCCTGGGAGAAGGAATTTGATTGGCTTATATGCCTGTGCTTTGGAAAGAATAGAGAATACTTTGACCGACAGCTCCAAGACTGCATGAGATAAGGAAAGAGGAGTTCTTCAGAGTATTTTTTTTGTTGGTTTGTTTTTTAGCCTAAGGAAGTTAGGTAGTGATGCAAAATAGGCAGAAACAACCACTGGCCAAAACCAGGGTGTATTTCACTGATGAACAGTACTGTAGAATATGTGGAATAGTTCAAAACAAAGAGAAGATTTATGCAGTTAATCCTTTAAGTGCAACAGGGGCAGAGGTCAATTTACCACTTATATTTCTAGTGTGTTGTACAGTATTATTTTATCTTTATCTAGTACTCTTATATTTTTCTAGTGCTTTTGCAGGTTTAGCTGTGGTCAACAAATTAAAGAATGTGGTTTATATTTTTCAGTTAAGATTTATCTCAAATTTAATTACTTTTCTTTCTTTTAATGGATATAATATGAAAAATCAACGACTCCACGACAAAGAATGGAAAACATCCTGTTTCTTAATTTCCAGCTTTATTTCATTGGCATCAACAGAATATAAGACATGCAATAGACTGGGTTAAGTCTCATTTCTGCCACTGCCCAACTCTAATCAGATCTAGGGCCAGTCATATAAGTGAGTCTGTTTTCTCAAATGTAAGAGAGGGAGTTAGGCTAGATTGAGGATCCAAAGACAGTTACAAGGAACAAGAAAATTATTAAGATGTTATAATTTCTGTTTAAATTTAAGTTAATTTTGTTAAAGTTATTTTTTTTCCTGAAAAACTTTCTGATGCCTTAAATATGATACTGTGTATTGTTAATTCTTCAAAGCGAGTGGTGCAATATACAGTGCTCACCAAATTTATTAGACCTGGGAACCCTTTTTTTATGGAGCATTTTGAGGGAACTGACTTCCATGGATTAGGTTAGATTATTTACAAAATCCCATTCACATTTAAAGTATACTAAGTATATAGTTCTCCTGGTCATAAAAATCCATTTTAATACCATTCATCATCTAGTCCTTTCTATCTGGTCAGTGCAACCAGACTTTCTGTATAGTTAAAAACACATCCTTGCCTCTAGTCTTCTTTTCAGATGAGCAACATATACAGACTAGTGTTCTCTTCCTTCAAAGACTCATGTCACTTATTGGGAGGCTGAGGCAGGCAGATCACAAGATCAGGAGATCGAGACCATCCTGGCTAACATGGTGAAACCCCGTCTCTACTAAAAATACAAAAAGAAATTAGCCGGGTGTGGTGGCGGGTGCCTGTAGTCCCAGCTACTTGGGAGGCTGAGGCAGGAGAATGGTGTGAACCCGGGAAGCGGAGCTTGCATGAACCGAGATCGCGCCGCTGCACTCCAGCCTGGGCAACAGAGTGAGACTTCGTCTCAAAAAAAAAAAAAAAAAAAAAAAAGAATCATGTCACTTAAATTCCTCTGGCTGTTCCTACAAGACCGGTTTTAAGTCTTTTATATAACTTTTGTCATCTTTCTGGAGTCCCATTTTGAATGCAGATCCAAAATGTGAGAACAAAACTTCTGATTAGATTTGATGAGTAGACCAGCATAACTCACATTCGATTTGCAGTCTGCTGTAGGCTTCATTTTTCCTGAGACATACTTGTACCTAGTAAGTGGCTTTTCTGTTCATGTGATAGGCTCTGTGCTTCTGACTCATAGCATGCCTTAACTGTCTTTATTGAACTTTGTTCCACTTTAATGAACAATTTAACTAGTTGGCTTCAATAACTAGTTACTGCACCCAAATAATTTTCCTTATAAACCTATTCGTAAGTCCATCTTACATTCTTTGATGAAAATATTAAGTAATACCTCAATTATGACTAAGCTGGGGGCTATAGAAGGACAGGCACTCACTAATACATATGCCTTCCAAGTTGGTTCTGAACATTGAGAATCCTATTTTTGCAAGGAATGACTAGCCAGTTTTGCAATCCCTAGCAATACTCAGTAGTTTCTCGTCTGGTATCTCTTTGGGACAGAAGGCATTATCCTACCTACATAGTTACACGAGAGCATTGTTCCTGCTGCATCCCATACACCCTTCCAATCTCTCACAGGCTTAATGTTTGGGGATGCCCTTGGTGCTTTTAATGGTTGGGTTCTGACTGCTGAATCCAAAAGGTTCCCCAAATTTTGATGTCTTCTGAAGCTACTCTGGATGTGGAAATGTAGGTGCTTCTAGCGCTGGTGATCCAAAGACGAAAGATGAGGCATACTCCTGTCTTTATGAGTTCATTTCCTAGGGTGGTGTAAGTATTTAGTCAATGCTTTTTGAACTGTCTTGCATCTGGTACTCCCTTCAGATTAGCAAGTGTATCCAGATTGCCAAGGGCTCTAATTGAACCTGACCCCTTGGAAGATTTTAATGTCTTTGTGTTCAAGCTTGATGTGGAGTTTATCACCTTGGACTGGGCCCCTTGGTTCAATAGTTGGTGTTACCACTCCATCCCATACAGAACCTTCAAACCTTTTGCTTCTTTCTTCAGAACAATGACATTTTCAAATTTTGTATTTTACTCTTTAAAGTGTAAGGCCCTGAGAGCAGGGACTGCATATCTTCTTTCTTATTGTAGACACAGGGGCACAAGGAAGGGAAGGAGGAATCGATAAAAGATGGTTTGGTCTGTCTGTGTGGGAGGCCAGGGCTGTCTCACTCAACATTTGCATAAGGGTCAGAGCTCACCAAGGCCTTACCAGGAGAAGTCTTGCTTTCTAGAATGAAGGGATCTGTGCCAATATAAAGAGAATGACAAGGCAGACGCTACCAAGTATTAGTAAAATTCTGTTTTTTATTCTAGAGAAAGTTTTCAACTGAAATGGAGTAGAAAGAAATAATTAATGTTGGTTTTATCCCCTTGAGGAATTCTGAACAGGTCTATATCATTTTAAACAAGCATGACATAAGAAAATTAGGATTTTACAAAAGATAAATTGCAGAGTGATTATTCCATTTACAAAAATGGAGTTCTTTTCAATAGCCCTAGAGCATTTTAAAAAGTGGTCTGTTCTAAAAATTCAGTTTACATATACTTTTCAGGATCAAATTGGTTGTAAGGAGCAAAAGTAGTTGAAAATTTTGAAAAGATAGCTGTGAGGGAGTGTAAAGAACATTTCTTTGAGATTGAGATAAAATTCTTGGCCCCTGAGAATTGAGATAAAAATTTTATAAGCCTTTTCCTTAGTAAGATGTGGTGGCAGCAGTGATGGTGATGGTGATGGTGATGGGTGTGTGTGTGTGTGTGTGCGTTGTTTTGCTGAGGGCACATTGTGGTAGTAGCTGTGGCCTTAAGTCATACATGTGTAGATACAGTATTACACTGTGCAGAGAATAGGGCCTGGTAGCCATTAGGAGAAATAACAGTTCCATTACTTCATTAGTTTTTCAAATTAGTATCACAGACAGCTCCCACTTTTCACCCCTGTGCTTTCTGGAAATAGAATCATAAAGCAGAGAGTTGTAAAATGCCTCCCGTTTTCCTTCAGGAGTAATATCTTAATTGAGACTGTGTCTCTGACCATATATTTGAGAAAAAATAAATCATAACTATGACCAACCCTATGTCAGAGGCAAAGATGCAGTAGCCATAACCTTTCATAGTTATTTAAAATGGTAAAATTATACTCTTTTCTCTAAAGGGGACATAAATGTATTATACACATTGATTTTGCGTGCACTCTAAAGAATATGTTCAGCAAATAAAAAGTTCAACTAAACTGTTTCATAAATTTTAGCAGAACTAGCTATAATGTAAATTCATTAAACATTTAATTCCTAAAAATTGGGTTCTTAGTATTTAAGAGGAGCTTTGGGGACAATTTCTTTATTCTAGTTCTGTCCTAGGTAGTTTGAGTGAACACTTCTCTTTTCTTTTGATAAGTGTCCCTGGCCCAGGTCATCTTGTTCAATATTCTTCTCCCAAGTAAGATGAACTTTGGTGAGCCACTTGATCTCTCTGAAATGCTGAAGCTTAGTTTCTAAATTTGTAAAACGAAGAGAATAAATTAAATGATCCCCCATAAACTTGAGTTTTGTGATTCCGAGATTTTAGCTTTCCGCTTGGTCTGAGGATGCGAAAGTGGTCATTGATGATGGTGGTAATGAGAATGTCTTCCAGGTCTATGTCACTCCTTAGACGTTTTCGGGCTAATCAGGGCTGCTGCTGCTCCTACTCGGCATTACTGCAAAAAAGGTCACCAAGAATAACCTAGGGCCTGCATTAGACTCAATGTTTGGTTGATAGTTTGCCATCATCTGCCTTCACCCTTTGCAGGAATGCTTTGAAAATAACTACCAAGTTATTAGTATAAGTTTTTTCAAAGGTACGTTTAAACTAATTTTGCTTTGCACAAATGTGAAGAAAAACCTAGTATATGTTGAAAAATAAGCTACTTATTCATCTTGATAGCTGATTTAAGAACCTACTTAAATTGCACGAAACTCATATGCCTAATCATATGCCAGTGATTAGACTTTTTATTTCACTTTTTTCTAATTTAAACTTGTGATTCTGCGGGCAGTTAGAGCAGATCAGTGAGAAAACAAGTGTTTTTCTTGAGGTGATGTTGTCTTTCATTCACTGATTCCTTCCTTTCTTACTTCATTCAACAGGTATTTTAGACTTTGTGAATACAACAGAGAAAAAAATAGGCAATGGCCCTGCTTTAATAGAAGCTACACTCTACTGGGGACAGGAGGCTGGGAGGGGATTAAATAAGCAAATAAATAAATATAAAATATGTCAAGTAGGTGGTAAGTACTATGATGGAAAAGTAAAGTAAGAAGAATAGAGAATGTGAAGCTGGGGAAATTGTGATATATATATATAAAACATACTTATTGTATGTGTATACCTGTGTGTGTGTATGTATGAAATAGTCAGGAAAGGCCTTTCTAATAGTTAACATTGGAGGAGGGACCTAAAGAAAATGAGGAAGCAATCCATGTGTCTATTTGGCAAGAGAGTTTTCCAGGTGGAGAGAACAGAAAAACATCCAGAGGCTGCAGAGATCGTGGGCCTGGAGAAGCACCAAGAAGGCCTGCATGGCTCAAATAGGTTGAACAAAGGGAAAGGAACGTAGACATGTGCAGAATGTGTATTAAGTTGGTGCAAATGTAATTGCAGTTTTTTGCCATTTAAAAGTAATGGCAAAAACCACAATTAATATTTGTATACATTCTATTAATTTAATATTTGTATACATTATATACAAATATATGTATTTGTATACATTCTATGTATATAAATACATAGAATATGTATACAAATACATGTATTTGTATACATTCTATGTATATAAATACATAGAATATGTATACAAATATAGGTATTTGTATACATTCTATGTATATAAATACATAGAATATGTATACAAATATAGGTATTTTTATACATTCTATGTATATAAATACATAGAATATGTATACAAATATAGGTATTTTTATACATTCTATGTATATAAATACATAGAATATGTATACAAATATATGTATTTGTATACATTCTATGTATATAAATACATAGAATATGTATACAAATATATGTATTTGTATACATTCTATGTATATAAATACATAGAATATGTATACAAATATTAATTGGTGCTATGGAGTATGGGGGGCGGTTCATCATAGACCATGGTAAGGATCTGGGATTTCACTCTGAGTCAGATTGGAGCCATTGGAGAGTTTAGAACACAGAAGTAACATGATCTGACTTAGTTTCCACCAGGATCACTCTGGACTGTTGCCCATTTGCCCCAAGTATAGCAGAATCCTTTTTGCTTCTTGGGCTAACTGAGATTCTGTGAATTCGGTCTGTTAAAGTAAGTAATTTTTGGCAAACAGATGGTATAGAAAAATGTTAACACATGCCATTAAATAGGACATTCATTGATTAAATACTTGCATTACAGAAGGAAAAAAATAGATACAAAGTCACCTTTGGTGTACCTTATTGACTTTAAGGTAAAAATGAGTGAATCTGCTGCATCTGTTACTTTTCAGAGACATCCAGAAAGGCCCTGGAATGTCTGTATGTAAATGGGGAGGTCCCTTCCTGAGACAGAGCCTTCTCAGTTGGGTTTGGATAACAGACGTTTCTGATTTGTATGTTCCTTTTGGTTCTCGTGGCACAGCATCATCAGCTAGTTTGCTTCTCTTTCCGGCCAGGGCTGAGGCATCACAGGAGTGGGAGCAGGCAAGGGCTGCCCAAATCTCAAGGGACATGCTGTGAGGTCAGAGATGGCAAGGCCAGGCTGGGAAATGTCTTCTTTCATGGCGAGTATCGCTGCCGGTTCTTCCAGTTTTCTTCTTGGAACATTAGGTTACTGTGTTTGTTTCCTGTTTCCTCCTGCCATAGTGCATGTGGGTACTTAGGAGCACATCATAAAGTCCTACTGTAGCTTGAAAAACTAAAATTTTAAAAAAGGAGTACGACAGTTACAGTAATATAATATTAAAAGGCTTTTTCTTGACATGCACCTGATTAGAAAATATGCATAGGGCATGTCTCTGCGGGCAAAATCACCATGCAGCTTTTTTATTGAAATCTGTTGCACATGCTTAAGATTACACAGTCAAGTTCTACCAAGTTTCAACCTCCCCCAGACTTTTCTGGAAGGGCCTTTAAGAGCTTCTGGGAAATTATGAAACAAATATTTGAAGTAGGGTAGTCAGGAAGAAAAGTATGATTTATACTGTAAACTGAGGTTGTATAGTTCTGGCATCAGGAAGACTTGGAATTGAATATCCGTTCCACCCTACACTAGCTATGTATGACATCGCCTAACTGCTTATCCTCCCTAAGCCTCAGTTTCCTCATCTCTAAAATGAGGATAATAATACCTGCCTCGAAGAAATGTGCTGAGGATTAAACTTAATAAACCTGGCACAGTTCCTGGTGCATGGAAATAGTAGATAATTGATAGCTGTTATAAAAATATTAATAGTATTGTACATCCTGAGATGATGTTTGCTTCCACCAAGCTCCATGTCAATTAAGAAATAATTTAATGTTTCTAATTTGTATTTGGTCAAGTTAAATAGAGAAAAATAAACATTATGAAGAAATAATATTCTAGAGTAATTGGAGTGAAAAGAATCCTAAAACAAAAATATATGTCTTGTTATTAATTCCTAAAAACGATCATGTGTAACCATTCTGCAACAGATTTATTGACTACAACATTGATTTAGAAATGCCAGACTAATGAGAACTCGCCATCACTTGTGATAATGGTCTATCATTTCGAGCTTGAACCATGTGTACTTATTTGGCCTCATTTCAGAATAGTAAATTATCTCAAACTCATTTCATTTCTTGAATATGTTCTTATGATTTAGGTCATAAGTTGGATTATATGAATAGTATCCCTATAATCCACCATCTGAAATAAGCTATATGATTCTGGGCTATTTTAAGATTGAGAAACTTCAGACATTTTTCAGAAATTACATAAAGGGTTTACAGGGTTTCTCAAGCCTCTAATTTACCTCTTTATGCTCATGCTTGATTGTTGTTCCATATTAAGGTTTATTTTCCTTTTAAAATAGCTCTGCACAAAGAGAATACACTGCTAAATACTACTGCAAGGGAATGTTTACAGATGCAAATGACTTCTATTTAGGGAGCTCATGATTAAAATTTGAAAGAATGTGGCACTAGAAAGCATGTGAATAACCTTTGAAAAATCTCACAATAGAACTGAATATGGGATATTTATATCTAGGGTTGCAGATATAAAGCTATGTGTGAATATGTATGTTCAATATGCGGCAAAGGACATCAAATTGAAATTTGTTAGTCTAATGTTACTTTAATTTAGACAAATAACTATTTTATTATTGTGAAACTGTAATGTAGAATGCAGTAGAAGGCTACTACACTAGGAAGAACTAGTGTTATGTTTGCCTGCAACGGGTGAGCCAGGCATTTTCCACAAATCTGTCTTTCTGATAAAGAGAAGAGACATCTAAATTCTTTCAATCTCTCATAGATGCTTGGATACTGAAAGTATTATTCATTATTTCATTTTTTATTGCTCACAGAGCAGGCTGCTAATAAAGTCAGAAAAAAACTGTAATCATTGGCAGACATAATATTTTCTGTCTATTCCTGTCCAGAGATGTGTTCTTGTTTTAAAGACTAACCTTCTCGGGTCATCAAAGGGATCACAAGTTGTGCAACTCATTTTGGTGGAAATCGTGTCTAACTCTTTTGGGTATAGTAAACACTCCTTCTGCTTCCCTGTGGATGGTTCTGGAGACTGGCGTGGTTCAGGCCCTGGCTATACAGGGGAACTAATGAACATGTCATGCGCATCTTGAGTTTTCCAGTCTCTGGCACAGCTGTGGCACTTCCCCCCCTGCTGCGAGGCACAGCACGCTGGCCATTTGTTGGCAAGTTCATATTTCACACTGCAGGGAATTGAAATGATTGAACAGACAGAAGAAGAGTTTTATTTGCAGTAGCCTACGTATCCCCAGACTCTGATTTGGCATAAAACATTTGCTTCATGATCTGCTTCAAGGCCAGTTCCTTTCCTCCCACAAAGGTTACGACTTCAGGCAAGCTGTGCTTCCACTGGCAGGAGGAAATTTGCCCGAAGACTTGATTTAGTCAGAATCAAAGCATCCTGCCACAGAATTTCTTTTTTCAATTATCTCCGAAGAGGCAGCCAGACTTTAAATGTATCAGTATAATAAATGTAATGAAATAAGGCAGACACTCCTTTCCCCCTGTTGCTATCAATGGAAGGTGCGTATACAGTAGTGTATCCACACCCGGAAGCCTGTGAAACTTACCTTGCTGTCAGCACATATATCTTGGCAACAGCACGTTGTAGGGATGGCTGTAGATTTCTTGTGGCATGATAAATAAATGCATGCATTGGTTTTACCTGCAGTGTTTACATCTTTCAGACTGTAAAAGCAAATTGGCATGATGATGCTGAAAGTAATTAATATTATTTTTCATAGTGAAGAAGCATCATATAGCCTTTGTTTTGTGGTATGGTCCTAATTACTAATCATATTTACCTGCATGATTTTGTTGTGCATAGTCATATTTTTTGTTCAAGACAGCCCTCGCTAGCCTTACAGACATATATACACAATTAAATCTTGCCATTTTATTATGCTAGAGCAATTAGATGCCATCCTTGTAATGAGAAACATGACATCTTCATCGCTCTTTTCTATATTTTCATGTTGTTTTAATGCAGACATTTACCAGAATTGAATACAGTCTTCCTCCTCCTCCTACACACACATACACCCCTAATTGAATATCTACATATCTCCAAGGAGTCCTGTCGGTGAAACCATGTATTCATCTTCTTTAGTTCTTAGGCCACTTTGGTTTAAGAGTAAGAACTGTTGCTTTTATGAAGTGCCTTTTTCTATAAAGTCAAAACCTCACAGCAGTGCACAGAAAGCCGATGGTATAAAGGAGCTAAGTAGAGTCTTTAATAGAGAGAGCTGGGTTGTAAGTGTTTTTGTTCCTACAGAGCAGATAGATTTGGCTCCATCTGTTCCATATTCATAACAAAGGAGCACACTTACAGGAGGGCCAACTTCCCCGGAGCCGCCTGGTAATGATCTTTTCACCCGAATGAAAGCATCTGAACCCAGTGGCTTGGCCCTGCAAAAGCAGCTAGCAGGATTGCCCTTCAGAATCTTGATTTCCTTGTAACTCAGGTTGACATAAATTTCCCCAATATATAGAGTGAAAAGAATTTACTGATTTCTCATCTTCCTACAGCCCTGTGTGGTTGGAAAGTTCAAAATGTATGTGTTTTACCTCCCCCTCCTGCAACCACAGAAGATTTGTAATTAAATAGAATTTGATAGTATGGGGGAAGTTTGCACTTGAAGTATCTGTAAAGGTATCACAGGGGAGAGGCTGTTCTTCAAACTTTTAAGTTGTTTCTATTCAGACTTTTTTAATCTTTTTAAAACTGGGGTTAATGAATAGAAATATGAGTTACACCAAATAAGGGAAAACCCCTGTTGAGTTTTGTAATTAGCAAACTTCAAAGCCAATTTCAATTGAGACCTCTTAGATTAAAAAGATAAGTTGACCCAAGAGTTTTCTTCCACTAAGCAGCGGCAAAATAGATTGATTTTTTCCTCAAAATGCCAAGTAATACAATAAATCTTCCTATTTGTGTGACATGTGGAGTCAGCATAGAAATATAAATGATTCCTTAAAACTTAAGTAGCACATCGGTATTACTATCATGGCTAATGGATAGAATACTTGTTTTTATATGTTAGCTGCAGAAATTTCTTAAGAAATAGAAACAAAATGTTAAAGGATGGTTATCCTTTTTTCCATTCTGCAGGCTTTTCATATGCTAGAAGCTCCTAAAAATGCATCATTGATTTATTTACTATACTACATGTTAAAGTTATAATTGTAATTTATCAATCTTTTGTTATCCATCTGTGCATTGTCTGATTGCTAAACTAAGGTTTCTGGGAAAATCAAATAGTAAACAAATCTCTCAATAAGCTTGCAGCAGTAATAAAGTAGGCAAAGTTTTCATCTAGCTAGCTATGAGATTGCTCTGTGCATTAGCAAGAGGAAATATAAAAGGTAATATTCACAGAGAGTGAAAAACATAGCAAATCAATCTGTGAAGATCTCAAGTTTCTGGAACACCTTGCTGCCTTTGGTTATTTTTTGTAATATATAACCTTGAATATTTCTGGCTAATTCAGTTTTCTGTTCATTCGCTTATTCACTCCTACCAAAGTGTTTCTTGGGTACCTCCTTTGTGCCAAGCACTATGTTAGATTTTAGAAACACTGTGATATATTAAAGAATGGTTCCTGCTTCTGGAGCTTACAGCTTCATCAGGAAGTAGACAATAAACCAGGAAACAAACAAATCTATAACTGTCAGTTATACTAGTAGGGAGCTGGATGCAGTGCCAGAGAAACATGGAGATAGCTTTCGATTAGGTGGTCATAGGAGGCTTCTCTGAGGAGGCAGCATGTAATCCAGGACCTGAAAGGAAGTGTCAGGATGAGTTTTTGATACACAGAAGGGTGGGTTTTATCTGTAAAATGTTTATTTAAATTTTACGCTTAAAATTTGATATTTGACTTATTGAAGTTATACATTTTTTTAAATCTTTCTAAAAATTTCAAATTTAGCCTATTCAGATTAGCTTATATGTTTTATTCTATATATAAGGCTAGCAAATGTAAATATTTGGATTCATTTAAAACCTTGGTGAATTAAATAGACTTTAAAACATTTTAAGCTGAACTTAGATTTAGTTATTCTCTATCATTTAAAAATATTTTAGTTGTCTGACTGTAAAAACTTATTTCAGTAATTCTTACTATAATAAATTAAATTTTAAAATATGATGAACCTTTAGTTCTCTTAAATGTTCCAAAACTGTACACGTAAATTATAGGTTTCATCACTGCTAAAATTTCACTTAGTCACAAATCTAAGTCGATTTTTCCATTATATATTTTAAATTAGAATTGCTTGTCTGACCGGTTACTCAAGTTGGCCAAAGTTATCCCACAGTTTAAAAGTATTAAAGTACCACATTCACAGGTGGCATTTTTTAATACACAAGAAATACTCGTTCTATGGTTTTGATTCTTTAAAAAATGCCTCTTTTAAGCTCTGCTGTGGTTGAAAGATAGTTGTATCCCTCAGCACAGTTTGGGGGGTTATGTTCTCATGTAACATCTGAGGTGCTTTAACTTGCTGAGAGGTTTCTCTGATCTTCATGATTAGAGGAATTCAGCAAGGACAATGTCACCCTTACCTGTGATCATGATTGTCCAGAGCCACCTTTTATCATTACTTAAAGAAGCCCATGGTCACTTGGATTCTAATCTCACTTTGCTTTTATTCTCTGTTCACTGGGAGGGGCCTGCAACCTGTACCCAAGCTATCATTTGATTAAATTCTACATATCTTTGGATCTAAAGATGCCCACGTTCCCATTCCTTTCTCTCTCTCTCTCTCCTTCCTTCCTTCTCTCTCTCTTCTTTCCTTCCTTCCTTCCTCCCTCCTTCCTTTCCTTTCCTTTCCTTTCCTTTCCTTTCCTTTCCTTTCCTTTCCGTTTCCTTCCTTCCTTCCTTCCTTCTTTAGTAGAGATGGGGTTTTGCCATGTTGGCCAGGCTGGTCTCAAACTTCTGACCCTCAGGTGATCTGCCCGCCTTGGCCTCCTAAACTGCTGGGATTACAGGCGTGAGCCACCACGCCTGGCCTCCTTTCACTTATTTCTTACTTCTTGGGACCCCACACTCTTACAGATATTGAAATGCTACCTACTTGAATTTTGTATATCCCTGGCTTTGCCTGATTATTACATCAGTTCCCAAGATCATTCTACAAGAAGGAGCCAGCAGTGTGGGCAGGGGAGACTTCTAGTTCTCGGACAAGGACCTTTTTTGTTTTCTTAATTTCTTTGACATTTACCACTACCCCTCTCTTCACTTTTGTGTCCTAATCCTAAATTTTGGTTCATATTAGGTCAACAAATCACGTTGCAGCTAGAAGATTTTTTTTTTTTTTTTTTTTTTGAGGCAGTGTCTCATTCTGTCACCCAGGCTGGAGTGCAGTGGTACAGACACGGCTCACTGCAGCTTTGACCTCCTGGGCTCAAGCCATTCTCCTGCCTCAGCCTCCCAAGTTGCTGGGAACATAGGTACACATCACCACACCTGGCCAATAAAAAAAAAATTTTTTTTTATATAGAGACAGGGTCTTGCCACGTTGCCCAGGCTGTTCTCAAACTCTCGGGCTCAAGCAGTCCTCCTGTCTCAGCCTTCCCGAATGCTGGGATTACAGATGTGAGCCACTGTGCCTGGCCTCGACAGATTTTTTTTAAATCCCTACAATAATTCTTCAAATCTTTATTAAACACCTGTTAGGAACAAAGCAATAGACTCCCCAGAACCTAGAACCCAAGAACACAACAACTTGGCATGGCTCCTGCCTTTGGGGGAATTTGCAACTCTAGTAGCAGAGATAAGATGTATTAACCAGTTCTAAAACAAAACAGAATGGGTTAAGTGCTAGTAAGGAGACAGAAACAGATCTCTGTGGGAACCTGGAAGAGGGTTATTGTGTTGGAGAAATGGAGACATACCTCAAGTGGCCAGAGGAAGTAGGGATTTTGAGAGGCAAAGGAAAGGTCACATGAGAAAAGGTGGACTTTCCAGGAGATTCTAGGAGGGAATATTGTTGGTACAAGCTATGAATGTATGCCAAAGAAGGGAAAAGAGTAGGAGGGATAAAGAGGGAGCCTGGGAAGTTGAGGCTGCAGTAAGCCCTGATTGCACCCCTGCATTCCAGCCTGGGCCACAGAGAGAGACCGTGTCTCAAAAAACAAACAAACAAAACAAAGGAGAATAAGGTTGGGACCAGATTATGGAAAAGGAAACCCTGGCTGCTGTTCTGTGGTATGACGAATGGGAATGCACAGCCATTAACTTTTCTGCAGATAATCCGTCTCAGAGACAATCAGAGTAAACTAGAATTTAGTCCCTGAGATTGGCTGTCCTTTTCTCCACTCAATCAACATAAAAGCCTTATCATGGAAAGCATTTTGAGTGTGAAACAAAATGTACAATCCTGGTATCTAACGACTCCCTCCTTGGTAAAATTTCATCTTCTACAGAGAGAACGTTAATTTGTTCAGGCCTCTAGGATTCCATTTGGAGAGCCTCCAGCCTAAATGAATGGATATTTCTATCTAGATACTTGTAATATCACCAGAAATGATAGGCATTGGGGAGAACATGGCTTACTGGTTAAGAAATACAACCAAAGAAATCATTGATTTGTGTAAATAAAATAGATAATTACCCCCACCCTTTTTTTTTTTGAGATGGAGTCTCACTCTGTCACCCAGACTAGAGTGCAGTGGCGTGATCTTTGCTCACTGCAACCTTCGCCTCCCAGGTTCAAACAATTCTCTGCCTCAGCCTCCTGAGTAGCTGGGATTACAGGCGCCTGCCACCACGCCCCACCAATTTTTGTATTTTTAGTAGAGGTGGGATTTCACCATCTTGGCAAGGCTGGTGTTGAACTCCAGACCTAGTGATCCACCTGCCTCGGCCTCCCAAAGTGTTGGGATTACAGGCATGAGCCACCACGCCCAGCCTGTTTTGTTTTCTTATTAGAGACAGGGTCTCACCCTGCCGACAGGGCTGGAGTGCACTGGCACAATCATAGCTCACTGCAGCCTCAGTCCTGGGCTCAGGTGATCCTCCTACCTCAGCCTCCCTAGTAGTTGGGACTATAGGCATTGCACCAGGCTAACCCAAATAGTATACAAAAAAAAAAATTAAAGAGTGGAGTGAGAACATTTATATATAGCAGCACAATATCCATGGACTGGTATGGGCATGGTGCGGGATCTATAGCCACCTCTGGGCTGGTTTCCTTTAGTGTCATCACTGTCATGTCTGGGTATACAGTTGCAAAAGCAGTCTCAACACCCAGCCTAGTTTCCTCTCTGCAGGATTTACATCCTTGTCCTACGGTCCCTCTAGCCTAATAGCATGCTCACTGCTCACACTCTTAACATGGATTGAAAAAAGAGCTCAGAGATCTTAACATATTTTCAAAAGGAACAGGATCTTCCAGCACCCTAATTCTCTAAATTCTCTCAGCCTCAGTGCACATCCTCACATAAATATCTTCATCACCACCCCCACCCTCCAACACACACAAAATAACAAGTCAAACTATGGTAGAATCCAGTTTTTAAAATTTATGCTAGAGAAGATCACACTTAATTACCCTTGTTTTTCTTATGACTCCTAAGTAACTTTTAATCACCACTATCCACACCTGAGCCCTTCCTCCTCCATATTTGCACTCAGAACTCACAACCTCAGAAGCCCTCAGCTGGGTGCCCCCTGCTTAGGGATATCCCCATGCAGAGGCCCCAGTAAGCGCAGAGCTGATGCTATCAATCTGTAGAATAGTGAAACAATATTCTAGATCTGTAGGGATCACCTGAGTTTCTAAGTGCATTATAAAATTGTACTGCCCCTCTAAAACAGGTCATACTTAAAATTTGTTTTAGAGAAGATGAAGCTAATGAGAAAACTGAGGCGTAGGCACGTTAAGCAGCTGGCTCAAAACCACAAAATAAGTCAAAAAGAATGAACCAGGGAGAAAGAGAATCATTATGCATACACTCAAACCGCTAAGTAATGTTTCTTAAAAGAGCCCTCACCAAGGAGAATAATAATGAAAGGGGTTTTGAAAGGCTCACAGAAATATTAACTTTTTTCTAGGAGCTTCTTTGAATTGTATTAACTTGATGATTTATTAGTAATTTACTGTCATGCTACATTAGTGCTGTCTGATAATGACATTGTTTCTGTTAATATCTTACGAATGAGGAATGGGATTTGTGGCTTTGCTTTCCTTGCCTAACGGTTAACAGCCACCCTCATAGGGTATCACACAGAGGGGCAAAGGGAGCCTGTGGAGAAGAAATAATATAAATAGTTCCTCTTGTGGGATTCTAGGAATTCTGCCTTTTGTTGGAGTTTTTGTTTTTGTTGTTATTATGGTTATTATGGGGCTTCCATCTGAAGAAGAGGTTTTCTAAGTGAATAATTCTGCCTATCTGGTTTGTTGCTGTTTTTGTCTTGTTTTGTTTTGTCAGATAATACCTCTCTAGTACAGTAAGTTCACCAAAATAACCACAAACAAGAAAGAAAGAACTGGCTGACCTTAAAGCCTGAGAAAGTCACTTAAATATTGTGTGGCCTTAGGCAAGGCGAGGTCTCAGAGAATAGTTAGAACACTAGTTGATAATAGAAAACTTTTTCTTAACTGTTCAAAGATGTTCATTGATTTTTAAAAATAGTAAAATATATAAGAAACTGAACTATATTTCTTCATGTTAAGAAATTTCTTAGACAATTAAAATGATATCTAAATATTATCTTGCTTTCTGTGCCTGTGAGGACTAGATTTCCCCACTCACATGACTGACAGAGGTGAAGTTTACATTCAGAATGTGAGATTTATTTAAAGCTGTCTTAAATTTTCCTTAGGCAGAACTAGAAATGGGCCAGGCATGGTGGCTCACACCTGTAATCTCAGCACTTTGGCAGGCTGAGGCAGGGGGATCACTTGAGGTCAGAAGTTCGAGACCAGCCTGGCCAACATGGTGAAACCCCGTTTCTACTAAAAGTACAAAAATTAGCCAGGCATGTTGGCATGCACTTGTAATCCCAGCTACTCAGGAGGCTGAGACAGGAGAATCGCTTGAACCTGGTAGGTGGAAGTTGCAGTGAGCTGAGATTACACCACTGCACTCCAGCCTGGGCGACAGAATGAGACACTGTCTCGCGGAAAAAAAAAAAAAAAAAAGAACTAGAAATCCTTCTTATAAGGGGACATTTTAAAATCATTCTCCAAAATCCACGTTATTTTTGGCTCATACCTAAATAGATATCAAACTATATGAGACAAATCATCCCCTTCTTCAATAAGCAGCAGAAACAAAGTTTGTTGTCACTGAGCTTTTAAACGCAAGTAAAAGTTTGCTCATACTTCAGATAAATATATACAAAAAGCATGTTAGTGTGCTATTGGAGTATTCCTAGAAATGAGTGGAAACTTGTCCTCAGCCATTTACTTGAGGTGGCTAAGAAAAAGTAATTGATCTACTGAGACTTACCTGCTGGAATTTAAATAATACTCAGGTTAGTTATTAGCAGTGAGAACTTTGCCTTAAGGGGGCAGAGAGATAGGAGGGAAGGCAAACAGTGGGTAGGATGGGTGGTGCTTCCCATTTCTCTTTTGTGTGTGGCTGCACAGCTGGAACTTATTTTACCTCCCTTGTCCTGAAGTTTACTCTAATTATTTTTTCCTTGTTACAGTTCCCTGGTGTTAAAACCAAGTTTTAACTTGCAGAATATGTTTTTCTATCCCTCTTGTTATGTGGTGGGAAACACATCCCTTTTCTTATTCTGGTTTTTAAAAGAAACATCCCCAGAGTCATATCAAAGTTTCTAATATTTACATGATATTCTTATTTCTCCAAGGCCTCTATCTTTACTTAGTGACCTCCTTTCCAAATTTTACGTCTTGGGCTCTGACCTTAACCTGCCCATGATTTAAGTCTTGAGACGCAGTGGGCTGCAAGAGAAGAAATGTGTTGGCAAATTTAGTAGCTCCTGGGGTGGCACCATGAATGCAAGCTTGGTAAACCGGGGCCATGAGCGAGTCATTAAAGCACATGACTTTTAAATCCCAAAAGTTAGAATGAGTGAGATGTATTTCATCATAACACATGATTTTGTTCTTTATATGAAAATGCTTTGTATGAAAATGCTTTTAAAAAAGGGGCACATAGCCAGTTGCAAATTGTTGCTTTAGTATTCTTCCCTAAGAAGAGGCCTAACTTTTGTTTTAACAAGTTTTCTGTGGATCTGGTAACCATTTTCCAAGTCCATATGGCTTTGATTAATCTCTATTCTGTTCCCACCACTTCTTCTGTTTCCCCACTCCACTCATGTACACAAACTGGATTTTATTGATTCATCAAATTCTAGGAGATATTTCCAGTAGTACCATGGATTTAAATGGGCTTTACTCTTTCAGCATTTATTGTGAAAGGAATATTAATGCTTAATTCCACCTTCACCTGCCTAATTTGCATATATTTGTGTTGTATGTTGAACTGCATGAAAAACCTACAGGGAAAAAAACTGGGCCGTGCTAACAGCTAATAGCCTATCTTTTCTTTTGACTTGCACGAATTGAGAAATATTGCCTGTGGCAAACATAATGGAAAACTGCATTTTTAACGCTCCCCCACACACTCATTTCTTTAAAAAGAAGAAAGCGGCTGAATATTCTTAAAAATAAAACTTCCCAAAGTACCCAGATTGACATGGGACACAGAAAAGGAGGATTTTGGCTTTCAGAATTAAGATTTGAAGCTGAATAAGGTTAGGCAGAGATGTTAAGTTTGACTAATGAGTACAGTGTTGGGCCTGAAAATGTGAAAGAAAACAATATTTCCTTCCTTTTCTGCTAAAACTTTGGTTCTTCATGAAGAAGAATGGTTGTTACCTTGATGATTAGGGAACTTTTGAGTTGTTTGAAGTCTCATAATCTTTGTATTTAACTTGATGGCCTGTGTAGAAGATAACTAATAGGAGTTTTTTGGTAGTAAGAAAAGTTTTAACTTATTTTAAAATCCTTTCATTTCAGGTATTTTTAAAGACCACCTTTCCATTCTATTTCTCCTATTTGAAGAAAGGCATTCTCCTTAAGATTTATGTTCACATTTTGTATCAACTCATTTTGGTTTACCCAGCAATTTGTAGTTAAAATGAGACATCATGCTAATTGCAAAGAACAGCACAGGTTGGCTGCATTAGCAAAAGCAAACTAAGTTGTATGCGAAGGAAAATGAAAAACACTTTTTAATACTGGAGTGAGAACATTTAAATTGATATGTCTTGTTGTATTTCTTCAACAGCAGCTTATAATTACCTCTCTTCAAGGCATATTTTAAGTGGACTTGTAACAGTAGCTTGAAATGTAAACTAGTAAGGGATCCAGTTGTTGAGGCATGGCAGCAGAATCAGGAGTGCACAGCTCTGTGGGAGCAAGGGCATGCTGGCCATTAGCAGAACATGCCAGAGTGTCTTAGTCCTTCAGTCCGAAGTCAGCTTTAAGCCTTTAACTACACAGATTTGTTAGTGTACAGCATTGTATCAGCTCTTAAGAAATTACCCCCAAATTTTGTGGCTAAAACAACGTTTATTATTTCACAGTTTCCGTGGACCAGGAATCCAGGTGCAGCTTAGCTGGATCCTTTGAGTCTCTCCCAAGGCAACGGTCATCTCAAGGCTCAGTGAGAAGGATTCACTTTGCAGCTCACTCACCCGATTGTTAGCCAATTCAGTTCTTTGTGGGTTGTTGAACTATGACATCAGTTCCTTGTACCTCTTGGCTGGAAGTCTCTGTTAGTTTCTTGCTACATGGTCCTCTCCATTGGAAATCTCACAATATGGTACCTTGCTTCATGAGCAAAAGAGAGAGTGTTCACTAGAAGTAAGGTACAGTCTTTTGTAACAATCAGAATGACATCCCATCACTTTTGCCATGTTCTACTCTTTAGAAGCAAGTTAATAGGTTCAGTCGCCTCTCAAGGGGAGGGGATTATACAAAGGACTGCCTACAGGAATGTGGGGATACCTGGGACCCATGTCAGAAGCTGCCCGCCACAAGCATGATGGCAGTACCCGAAGGGATGTGTTCTCTACTATGTCTGAATGATAGATCTATGGTGAATTGTGGTATGAATGTTACATATATTTGCATTGCTAAATATAACTTTTAGAAGTACTGATTTGGGGGCACTGAATATCGTCATTTTCTATACCAAGTTGGCTAAGTGCTGAGTCATGCTCACCTGAGCCCCAGGAGACCAAGATTTTTGGGAAGGCTCAAGTTAGAGCCCCTGTCTGAGGTCATGGAACAGAGTAAAAGTAAGGGGCCCTCATGGCCTTATTAGCAGAGTACTCGAAACACAGAGAACCAGAGAGTCTCCAGCTTGTATTTCATTATGTGTTAAAAGGTTTTGATTGGTACGTTGCAGCTCATTCAGGGGAAGGGACTCTATGGATTGATTTATAAAGTTGCTATTAAGATAATGGAATGGGACATTGTGCTTGTTTTAATTGTCCCCATATCCCTACTCCCAACTTCCTGACTCCAACTTACACTTTAAGCAGTAAACTGAGTAAATGGGTGTGAATTTGGATGATGTGACAACTGTTTTAAGACATTTCTCATTTTAGTTGAAAAATTCTATTAGAAAATCCATGTGTCTTTAGAGGAAGATTTCAGATCTAGATTTTTTTTTCACCTGTTTGCAAGTCACTGCCTCTTTTTGGTTGCCAAAGCTCTGGTTTGGAAATTTAGGGATAAAATGTCTTCTGTCCCAGTTGCTGCTGGTTAGCTTCTGGAGGACCTGTGAAGCCTCTGATAAACATGTCTGGGACACACTCTTGCTCCCTGCCCAGAGCTGTGCTGGCTCTTCATGTAAACCTCAGTTGTCACATGGATCCCTCCAGGTACGCTAAACTGTGGTTCATATTTATGTCCCAGCTTGAAGAACCACAACACAAGGGCAGGGACAGTTTGAAATCTTATATATCTTCGCATGCACAGCACCTAATAAAGAAGCTGATGCATAGTAGGCATTTTATTTTATTTATTTATTTTTGATACAGAGTCTAGCTCTGTTGCTAAGCTGGAGTACAGTAGCTCAGTCTCGGCTCACTGCAACCTCTGCCTCCTGGGCTCAAGCAATTCTCATGCATTAGCCTCCCGAGTAGCTGGGATTACAAGTGTGTGCCACCATGCCCAGCTAATTTTTGCATTTTTCGTAGAGACAGGGTTTTGCCAAGTTGGCCAGGCTGGTCTCGAACTCCTGGCCTTAAGTGATCCATCCGGCTTGGCCTCCCACAGTGTTGGGATTGCAGGCATGAGCCACTGCACCCAACCCATAGTAGGCATTTTAAAAGCATTTGAAATGATAGATGAAGCTGCAGTAATATGTAATGGATTTTTATAATTATTCGTTATCAACTTTCAACATCGACTATTCATTTTCTAAGGAAAGCAGCACAAGAAGTTATATATAGTGAATATAATTTATGTATATAAATTTATATATATTTATGTATATAATTTATGTATAAAATACTTACATATTTACTTTTAACTAAGATAAAGTTGGCCATGACAAAGTGATGTATCTCTAGAGCCATAAGGATTAATACTACCTACCTCCTGACAAAAACGAGGCATGTTTTAAGATTTTACTCCCTCATTTCCATCCTCAGCTCTATCTATTGCTCATAAATTGATCCTGAGATTTTCTTTATAAGTTTATTAGTGGGAATGTTACATGTTTCAATTCCTCTGTTATGTTTTGTTTTTAGTGCTCAGTCCTCTGCCTTTTGTTTACTTGTGATTAGTAATGCACTTTTATATTACCTTATGTCTTCAAATAGTACTAATAATTAATTATCTGTATTTTTTAGTTGGTATAAAGGCATCCTACATTTGTCAGCCAAGAAGTGTGGGGTGACAGAACCTTGAGCATAACATAGAGGAAAGCCACACTTTAACTTTATTAAACGTTACATTTAAAAAATGGAGTTTTGCTACTACATGGAAAACGTTTTCATCTTTTTGGATTTTTTTGTTTGTTTGTTTTTCAAGGTGTTAAATAAGAAACCCAAGTTATACTGACCTAGTAAGGCACACTTCTCAGGTTGGCTGTAAGGGTTAGGAGTTTACTCCTTGAGCTCAGGCCAGTGATGCAGTGATGATCGAGTGAATCCATGGCATGCAATCTGTGTTGTGTACTCACATATCACATTGTGTGCTAATATTCTTTGTTCACAAATTTTTCTAAGGATTAGAGTATAATAGTCACAGTATCACAAGGCATCAGTCACATTTCCTGGTGACAGAAAATGAGGAAGTAGTGGGGCAGGTTGTTAGGGAAGAGAGGTTTTTATTTTATGTGTCATTTAAATACAAATGTATTTCATATTTTTAATTCACAGAAGTATGGAGCACATCCAGTAGCTAAGACTGTGTCCCTCCTTGAGAGCTCATGGAGAGAACTCTCCAGTTTTTTCCTGGAGGCGTATCGTTTGCTGTTTAGTTATTGCCATGTGCCCTACAATAATTTTCATGTCCTGGATTTATTTCTCCTAAAGAAAAATCTGAAAGACCTGTACTAAATCCAAGAAGCTCCTCGCTAAACCAATTAAGCATTTGATTCTGTCTTCAGCCTGTTTATCTAGCAGTATCATCTGTAAAGTCAGTTATGTGCATGTAGCAAATCAAGTTCACAAGGCTTGAAGTGAGTTCATCTCAGCTCAGAAATTCATTGAACAGCAGTGTGAACATCCATGTGTCACTTTTTTCACACTAACTCTCATGAATAAGACATATACTCCCTCAGGAACCCGTGGTTTTCCTAATGAATTGGAGTCACCTATGTGTACTGTATTTGTGACATGCACATTTGCAGTTGAGGTCCACAGGAAGGACACCATTTCCTGGATCAAACCGCAGAGTGCAAATATTGTGCCCTAAATAACACACTAGTTACTGTAAATGTCAGTAGAGGGAGTTTTTCTGGCTATGATTTAATGAAAGCCTACAGCAAAGCCAGCTGTTAGCACTTCTTAACTGCTTGTCAGAGCAACCAGGGGAGATAGGGAGGACCAAAAACACTTTTTCTCTACACTTTTGTTTTAAAATTAAAGTAGTTTTCAACAGGTGTTGAATAGGGACACTGGGGACCCTATACTACTTGACATTATTTAGTTGGTGAATTTAGAAGTTCTCCTCCAGGAGGGTTACTTGGATCTAGAATTACATAAGGAGACTGTGTAAAATTTGTTTGGAAGTTTGTATATTGAATCCTCTCACCTGCAAAAGAAGCATTTTTGTGTTCTCAGCTCCCCATGAGGAATAATTTAAAAATAAAAATAAAGGAGAGAGAAGACACACCAAATGCCGATCCCTCTTTGTCACTTTGGGTATTGCCAAACTAATTGTAAGCCATGTGTGATTTGATTGATGTCATCTGCTTTTTCTGAACAAAGAAACCACTTGAAGCAAACACATAGGGAGGAAAGTATGCGACGCTCGTTTCTGTAATTTTTGTCATTTCTAGGATGCATTAGTAAATACATGTGGTTGTTAAGGGCCTTACTGCCCTTGGAAATTCCTTTGACATTTTGCTGTGTGTACACAGGGGAGATAATCTTTCAACCATAGGGAAAGTTTACAGTCTTATTATCTTGAAAAGGAGAAGAAAGTTTCTTCCTCAAGTGATTTATAACTTGAAACATGCTGTCATGTTTTGGTAAGCCCACTTTATTAATTCCATCCTTCTCTGTGGCAAATTGAAAAAAAAAATACATGTACCGTTGCAACATAGTACTTTCTCAATAGCATATTGTACTTATAATAGCATGATGGAAGTTACCGGGCTTGGGTTAGTCATATAGAATGCAGAGCCAAGTTCTGAGTAAAACCTCTAATTGAATTACCTGCAAAAGCACTGACAGACAAGCTTTCAGTACAGACAAAGCTCTGCTTTCCCCAGCAGAAATAGGTCACGTTTAAGTCTGCCTTGTAACTCTCTGTTATTGGTTTTTGCCGGCACTTTCACCTTGGGCCTCTGTTGGGCCCCTTTTCCTGCAGCAGAGGAGGAGCGGCTCTGTGAAAGCTGGAGGGCTCACACATTATCCTCTCGATTTAGAGAAAATTGATAACAGATCAAGTTAAATGGAAGAGACTTTGAAATAAAAATCCAAAGTATTTCTTCACAGATTACTCACATTCTTGCATGATTCTTTTATTGTATTGAAAAGAGAAACTCAGGATATGAAAGTAGCCTTTCTATAGCAGTGAGACCTGAAAAGTACTGTTTGTTTTAATTTGGAGGAGGAATTAGAGAAAGTTCCTGTTGTTCAAGTCAGGAAAGAATTTATTGTTCATCATTTGTATGTGAAAATGAAGAGTAATATGTTGTTGTTCTCTTCTTTCTTTCCTGCTCTCTCTCTGTGTTACCCACAGCCTCTGCAATCCCAGATAATGGAAGAAGGTCCTGTCTAAAGCTCAAAGTCTTTGTGAGACCAACAAGTAAGTTCACTAGAATGAGCTTCAGAGGGTGGCTTCACCGCGCATGCTTTATTGTGTGGTCTGGTTCACGGCGGTAAAACTTTTTTTTACTGTTAAATCTTGTGTGGTATCTGTTTTGTATATCAACATTCATATTTTAGTTTTCATCATATTTTTTCTCATTCTTCATGATGCTTTTACTTAAGTACACAGCAGTTGCTAACTTGTTGTTTCTTAGACTGTTGTACATGCAGAGCAAATGGGAACAATATTGGCATTTGGAACATGCCATTGATTGTAAGACAATCTACATAAAAAAAGAAAAAAAGGAGAGAAAGAAAAAAGAAAGAAATGGGAGTTTAAGGGTGTCTTCACTAACATATTTGGCTGTTATCTCTATTTTTGTTATAGATAGCTGTATGAAAACTATAGGTGTTCATGATCGTGTTTTCGATGTTAACGACAAAGTAGAAAATTCATTAGAACCAGCAGGTTAGTATGCTTAGAGAATCTCTTTTAACAAATGCATCTATTTCTCTGGTGCTTCCGTATTTTTTTCCTTTCTTCTTCTCTGCATGTTTGCATGTTATAGTTGTTGTTCTGCTTTTGCTCATTGCTAGCGATGCTAATATGACTTATATTCTACCTCATTCCTCCAGTATCTTTGTGCAATGCATGTTAGGTAAAATAAAATTTTCTTTTTTGGAATGGGTTTGAGCTAATGCAGTATCCTAATATAGAAGCCCCATCGGAATGCTAAAATCTCACTGCCTTTTACCATATCCTCAGAGCATGCTGGTGAATCACTGTGAATATTAAAGGATCTGTTTTCATGTAAGACACAAAACATTTCTATGTATATGTTCATAAAATTTTATTTTTTATGTCCAAATCTGTAGATAAAAGTAATAAGACTATTGCACAAAATAGAAACTAATTCAACATACTTAGTTTTCTCTAGAAATTTACATGCATCATTGAACTGACCTAAGGAACTTTATTTTATTTAAATATTTTTGCTATTGTCAATAGTAATTGGTCTGGAGAAGTATAATCACATTGCCACCACAAATTCGCACATCTCTTGTGCCACAAATGTACCAGTAGCCTGTTGAGCCAAATGTGATCCTTGATTACCGAGGCAAAATAAGTTTTAAGGATAAATAAAACTTTTCTACGATTGACTTCCACACTCCTAATGTTTCCCATAACTAAAGAAAAATAAAACCTACCAAAGCACTCGTTGAGGCATTAGTCTGTCGCATACTATGGATAATAAGAACCTGTAAATATCCATTCGGTTATCAATTCAGTCTGGCCATTTAATAAAACTAGATTAACTGAGAGGAGTGGTCGCCCTCTACCAACTGCTTATGGAGGGGTGTGCCTGGAGGCCCTGTGTGTTTCCTTCCTCTGTGGTGTCCTCTTCTCCCCGACCTGCTCCAGATCTTCACTGGTTTCCTTACCCATCTCCCTTGATCATCTCAAAGCTTAAGGGAAATAAAATTATTTCCTCTTCATGGAGAGATTTGAGCCCCCTTATGTAAATGGAGAATTTTTTTTTTTTTTTTTTTTTTTGTAGAATTTCTCTTCCTTATGGTCCTAGAAACTAACGGACATTAAGGTCCACTTTTTCCTCCAATATTGTAACCAGGACTGCATAGTCAATGAACCTTAGGGAAACTTACCCTGAGTAAATGCTGTGCCTCAGGACATACAATAGCTTTCCTGTTAAAACTGACAGGAAGAGTTAGAGTTTTTTCCCTGAAGCATTCTTGTTTTCTAAGGCAGGCATCTCACCCAGAGCGCAAATGAGAGGTGTGTACAATGAGCTCTCCGAGGTCTTAGTGGCTCCCCAGGGATCAGTTAGCTGCTTTAGAAAGTTTTAAGGAATGAATGCTGACATGAAGGCATTTTAATTGTGTCCTGGAAATCTGGAGCCATGACTTTGGCTTCTTAAGGTACCAGAGTCCTCACAAGCTCAGGGACTTGGGCCACCAGAGGATCTGCAAGTTACTCAGTATCTCCCTTAACAACCCCAGACTCTACACTCTTCCTTCTATGGCTGAGGAGACTCACCCATGCCACATTGCTGATTAGGTAGATCCAGGTTTAATACTCAGATCTTCTGACTCCTATTCCAACATTAGTATCAAAGTAGTGGTCTCTTACCATTATTAGAGGTATGTTCATAAAGAGGACTTAAGTCTCTTGTCTTTGTTAAGAAGCCACGAGAAGAATGACCAGCATGTTCTAAACAAAAATTACCCAGGATTATGATCTCTTGATACACATTGTGCAGAATGTAGGCATATCTTTCCCATGGTTTTTTTTCCAGGGAATCTCCACTGCCTGTCTATAGCATAGGAGGCTGCTTAGACACCTAACAGATTGCATATTTTTCTCTGGTAATGAAGAGGCACATGGAGGACTATTCTGCCATTAGGAAAATTACCTTTGAATTCCACTAACGATACAATGCAAGATATTGAGATGCTTTCATACATGAACATATACCACTGTCTTTGGGGAAACAAGGTTTTTTTTCACTAAGCATTTAAAATGCACAATGGCCCAAAATTGATGGACATATAACTGCTGGAAGTTTGCAAAAGTTTGGCAGAATGTAGTTCAGTGTGTGCATACGTGTGCTGGGGAGTAGAGCGTAGGTGTACATGCAGGAAAAGCTCCTTGAGTCAGTCAGAGCTATATTTTAAGGGCTTGCTGGTGAGTATCTTCACTAACAAAGTGAGACAAGGTTGAACCACAATTCCTGGCAATAAGAAAACAATAAGAAATGTGTTTCTTACAGGTGTGAGGCACTGTGCCTCACACCTATAATCCCAGCAATTTGAGAGGCTGAGATGGGTGGATTGCTTGAGGCTAAGAGTTTGAGACCAACCTGGACAACACTGTGAAACCTTGTCTTTACCAAAAAAAAAAAAAAAAAAAAAAAAATGTGGTGTGTGTGCCTTTAGTCTCAGTTACTTGGGAGACTGAAGTGGGAGGATTGCTTAAGCCCAGGAGTTCGAGGCTACAGTGAGCTATGATCACGCCACTGTGCTCCATCCTGGGTGACAGAGCAAGATTCTGTCTCTAAGAAGAGAGAGAAAGTCTAGTTGGATTTGCAGTTCTTCACCACTGTGTCGAGCCACTGAGTGAAAGGGTATTTACCTTTCCCCAGCTCTGGGTGTAGACCCAGTCTTTATGAACCCAGCAAGTCTGAAAGGATTCCACTGCATGATCTCAGCGATGTGTACTAATTCACCTGTCTTTGGAATGTATTTGTCTTTTTTGTTTGCTTGCACACTCTGCCTGCCAGTTTCCTATCATCAGGGATGCAGGATGATCTCAGGGCAGACATATGCCACATAACATGCTCCAAAATATCGCTAGTGTTCTCTCCGTTAACCATTGAAACCCCCATGTTGTGGAATCCTGTAGCCAGGAGGCAAAACTTGATTTGACTTCTGAAGAGGAACGTTTTCTTTCTTCTTCCAAGCCTGTGTTACAAGCGTTAGAAATTCTCTCATGTTTAGGTGTAGTTTCCATTGGGATAGATTTTACCTATGAATTCCTCCTTAGAATTCTGAAATTGCTCAGATTTACCCAAATGACAGCCAGTTTCTCATTTCACATTTGGGGGCTGTAGAATCTTCCAACATTGAGAACCTGTTTTAATCAAAGGATGCTTTGTGGAATCCTGAATGAGGAACAGCATGTTGCAGGAAGAAGAGAAGGATCCTGATGCCCTAATGGGACTGATTTCCTTTTGGGGGGCAGGAAGATATATATTCGTTGGGTGCTTATAAAAGGTTAATTCCAAAGATTGTGTATGGTTAAAGGACTGAAAGTCACACTTAGCCTCATACTTCACTTAGATGAAAAACAAAAGCCTTCCTCTCCATTACCTTGTAAGATCTATTCCTTGTGTCTTGTGCTGAGTGGACCTGGAATAATGGATAGCCCTCACTGAGTACCTAGAAGGGACTAGGGTGGTGATGAAGGGGTTCACACCGAAGATCTAAGTGCTAGCTGGGTACCTTTAACAGTACACTTGCAAGCTATACAAGGAGAAGGATTGGGTAATATGCTAGTAAAAATAAGATGGAGAGGAATCCAATAGCTGATGCAATTTCAGGTGTTTAAGTATGTGATATTGTGAAATGAACTCTGGAATCCTCAGGGTTTGTGGTTATTTCACAGTTAAGCCTGAAGTGCTCCATTGTTTTGATTGACAACATATTGGTGCTCTTAAGAAAGTGATTTGGATTTTAATTTCAGGGCTATTAAGGGCCTTTACTTCTACTTCCTATTAACTACAGATTTAATTAATACACTTGCAAGGCTGAAAAAGAGCAGAGAATAGAAGAGGGTCTGAAGGTACTTGGCCACATTGTGGAGGACTTTATATATATTTTTTCTGCATCCATTTATCTTACCATCTTGCTTCCTAACCTTTTCTAGTCTCCTAAGCTAAAATCACTCCATGCAGATTCGCTAAGGTCCAGGAAAGGGGAGCACATTTGACAAGGGGATGCAGTAGCTTTTATTCGAGGGGAGGCTAAAATGGTAAGAGCACTCCAGGTCAGGAGACTCAACACTGAGAAGACCTTTCTCATTGGGAATGGATGTGATGGACAAAACCATCCCAAACGAGCATATCTGAAGCAGGGGTCAGCCTGTGAACCTGAAAAGTGGTTACTTTAGGACAAATATTAGCGAGTGTGATTCTACCCAGTGAAGGAAAAGCACCCTTATTGTGACACGTGTGGTAGGAAAATACAAATGAGTTTAAAATAATGGTTAGTTAACCCATTAAGGGGTTTGAGGTGGGTCATCCAGGGGTATTTAGGGATTATCCTTTGAGGTCAGTATAATTGAGAACAACCACTAGAGCCTTGTTACCATTCTGTCTGGCCCTTGAGCAATTCCCAGATGGCAACTGCTGAACACCTGCAGGAAGTTACCCTGATGCTGAGATAAAATTTGCACAGGGGCTCACTATTGGCCCCCAAAATGTGTTATTCAGAGATCCTTAGTCTAAAAGCACAAGTGGCCAGGTATAGTGGCTCATGTCTATAATCCCAATCCTTTGGGAGGCCAAGGGAGGAAGTTGGTTGAGGCTGAGTTTGAGACTAGCCTGGGAAGCAAAGGAAAACCCTGTCTCTCTAAAAATTCTTAAAATTAGCCAGGCATCGTGGTTCACACCTGGAGTCCCAGCTACTCGGGAGGTTGAGGCAGGAGGATTGCTTGAGCCCAGGAGGTCAAGACTATAGTGAGCTATGATTGGGCCACTGTACTCCAGCCTGAGCAACAGAGCAAGACCTTACCTCTAAAAAAATATTAATTAATTTAACTTAATTAAAAGTAAATAAAAGCATAAGTTAGGTCAGGTGGAAAGAAGAAGACAGGCAGCCCTGGAGCAGAGCTTGGCTCCTAGGCAAGCCTCCAACCTCTCTTTGGTACTAATTGCTTCAGAGTTCCCATTTGGAAGTTAAGCCTGTTAATCATGCAGATCAGGAAGGCTATCCAAAGTCAGAGGCAGCCTCATAGAACACTTTATAGCTAAATAAAAGAAGCTTAACTCACTTAATCTATTTTATTTAGAGGAAAATTTGCATCCACGCTGATAATTTATGTGCCAAGCTTCAGCCCGATAAAAATAAAAATAGTCAAGTTCAAGTAATTTAATCTTAGAAATACAGGGTTTGTAATAGAAATAGCACCATAATTGACACCTAATTGCAGGCAAACTAGTGGGCATACGTTTATTGAAGTTTACTAGGCATGATGTATAGTTTATCCAAAATGCTGCTGTTTTGGCATTTAGTTTTTCATGTTTGAAAATTCGTCTAGGCATCCAACAACCAGGCATTCAACACTAATCCTATGAAACAGCTAAAAGAAGGGAAATGGGCAGCGCATTCTGGTTAACCACTACTGTGCCAACATAACTGCCCCTTCCCCCACCCCCACCAACATGTCACTTGCTTGCCTGTGACATCTTAGGTTTCAAAGGTACATTCAGATATCTGAAATTTGTGCAAGGCGTGTCTGACTGCTGGCTAACCAAAGCAGCTCACAGGCCAAAGGTTACGGTGTATGCATAATTTTTCCCCTCAATTTTTAAGGAAAGTATTAATATTGCTGAGAAAGTCCAATTTTCTTTGCCTCTTCTTTGTTTGCTGTAAATAATGAGTGATTATGCAGACATGAAAGTCAATGGTGGCACAAGGTTCATTACCCTACTTTGCAGAGGGTGGCGAGGTCTGTTAACAGCAGGCTGCTGCAAGAGAGTTATTAAGGATGTGAAATCTCATTGGAATGTGTGCTTTCTATTTGAACAGATGACACCGTACATGAGTCAGCCGAGCCATCCCGCGGCGAGAACGCGGCACAAACACCAAGGATACCCAGCCGCCTTTTGGCAATCCTACTGTTCCTCCTGGCGATGCTTTTGACATTATAGCACAGTCTCCTCCCATCACTTGTCACAGAAAACATCAGGGTCTTGGAACACCAGAGATCCACCTAACTGCTCATCCTAAGAAGGGACTTGTTATTGGGTTTTGGCAGATGTCAGATTTTTGTTTTCTTTCTTTCAGCCTGAATTCTAAGCAACAACTTCAGGTTGGGGGCCTAAACTTGTTCCTGCCTCCCTCACCCCACCCCGCCCCACCCCCAGCCCTGGCCCTTGGCTTCTCTCACCCCTCCCAAATTAAATGGACTCCAGATGAAAATGCCAAATTGTCATAGTGACACCAGTGGTTCGTCAGCTCCTGTGCATTCTCCTCTAAGAACTCACCTCCGTTAGCGCACTGTGTCAGCGGGCTATGGACAAGGAAGAATAGTGGCAGATGCAGCCAGCGCTGGCTAGGGCTGGGAGGGTTTTGCTCTCCTATGCAATATTTATGCCTTCTCATTCAGAACTGTAAGATGATCGCGCAGGGCATCATGTCACCATGTCAGGTCCGGAGGGGAGGTATTAAGAATAGATACGATATTACACCATTTCCTATAGGAGTATGTAAATGAACAGGCTTCTAAAAGGTTGAGACACTGGTTTTTTTTTTTAATATGACTGTCTTAAAGCATTCTTGACAGCAAAACTTGTGCTCTCTAAAAGAAGCCTTTTTTTTTTTTCTAGGAGGCAGGTTGGGTGTGGAATGCTAATACAGAGCAGGTGTGAAAACAGAGAAAACTACAGGTTTGCTGGGGGTGTGTATGTGTGAGTGCCTCTAATTTTTTTGGTGACTGGGCAGTGCACACCAGATATTTTTTCTTTGAATACAGATCACCATGGTGCTACAACTTTTTTTTTTTTTTTTTTTTTTTTTTTTTTTTTTTTTAAGAAACTCAAAGAGGCATTTTTATGAATAAAGTGACCTTCCCCAAGGCTGACAAGCCAGGGTTGATGAGTGCATAGTGGAATAGCTTTGGATACTCCTCTGGGGGATGACATGTACCAAGGAGAGGACCGCAGTGGCCAGAGGAGACATGATTTGGCTTTGCTGGAGCGCCAGTGTGCTGTGGCCTTTCCCCGCCTCCCACCCTAGTACCCACGTTTTGCTCCACACTCCTTGACCGCAGGGGCTCGGACACAAACCCCTGTCACCAGGAGAGTCAGTCAGCACTACTTGGGAGGGCTAAAGGGAAATTTGGAAATAAAATTCCAAAGTTTGGAGTAAAAAAATTCAAGTGTTGATTTTATATTCTTTCCCTTTCTGACACAGCCTAAAGCGTAGGGGGAACATGTGTTTATCTGTGGGAGATAAACAAGATGGAGTCCCAAAGACTTTAACAAAATATTTTTTTAAAAATCCACTAGAATAGAAAATACATTATTTAGATATACTTTATGCTGAGAGTGAGTATATATGCTTGTCCTATTTAAACTTGTGAGAAAAAGTGGTATCCCTTGATACATTTAGAAATATGGGGGCTATCTTGTTTCATTGTGGGGGTGGGGCAGAAGGAGAATAAATGCAGGATGACCCTGTTGAAGGAATCTTAGCATGGCCAACAGGGGACGTTTCCAGTCGATTACCAGGAAATGCAAGCCTTGGGGTTTCTACTGGTGGTGGGGCTGTCATGAACTTTAAAATCCAAAGCCTAGACAAGGAAAAGTGTTAGACCAATTGAAAAGCAATCCAGCCCTTTTTTTTTTTTTTTTTTTGGCTTTGCACGACATGTCAACAGAAACCATGCCTTTCAATATAAGAAATAAATGTGATGATCATGTAAAATGTGAAAAATTGAAAGCATTCCAGCAAAATAAGAATTTTTTATATATTTGTTTTTTAAGATGTATATGTTAAAAAAAGAGAAGGTCGCATTATGGACAGACTTCGTGAATGGGAATTTGCTTAGAATTGTGAGTAGTTCTGAATTAGAAAAGTATGTGAAGGAAAGGCAGCTGTAAACGTATTGTGCCCTGGAGAGTTGTACACATGTTGAAATGTAATCTGGGCTTACCTGATCCATTTGGAGTGGATGTCACTGCCGAGTCTGTTCTCACATGGAACCATGTGTGTGGGGTTGCCAGCCTCACAGATACAATCAATCCTATTCCCCTCTGACATAAGGAACTCCTCTGGAGTGGCAGAGTCTTATCACAGAAGGCAGCCACCATTTCACCAAAACAAAAGTTCACGGCATTCAATTCCTTTTTCCTTTAGCTATTTATATATGCAGTACTCTCAGTCATATGCAGAAATACTTTTTTTTTTTTAATTAATAGTTACAGGCTTGTTGGTCCAGTGGGATTTGGGTAGGGGGAGAAAGATACCTTCTAAAATGGATCAATAGAACCAAAATAATACAGCATGTTCTATAACCACAAGGAAATCAAATGATCCTGTCATGATTCCAGTTAGTCATAACTATGTTAGCAGTGCTAAATGCATTTTAGAAATGGTGACTTCTGTGGTTTTCCTAGCATTTGTCTCTAACAAATGGTGAAATAATTACTCATGGCCCTCTCTGCCATTGTCTTTCATTTTTTCACAGTGAAATTAGACCCCTTTACTTCACCATTCTGCCACTGCAAATTAAGTATAAAGAAAATAGCAAGAGTGTCCACACCAGTAGACAGTAAGCTTCTCTACCTGTAAGTGATGAAATCATAGCTAATGCACTTGCCATGGAGTTTTCAAGATGATTGGTGTCAGACAGTTTTCACTTTGTTTAAAAAGTGTTGGTGGCCTTTTGTGGTGGTGTTACAATCCTCTGGGGGCTTAGGAGGATGTTGATGCAACTTTTAGAAGCTTTTAATTTCAAAAACAACTCAAAAATCTGAAGGACAGTCATAGCTGCCACTCAGCCCCAGTTAGTCAAACCCCAGTGACCTTTGCCCCTGGTTGCCAAGGGCTTTGCAACATCAAGCAGGGAAATAAGGATCTGTCTGTTTAGTGGATACCGTGTATCCTTTAATAGACCAGGTAACAGTTCGTGTTAGTTTAGACTATTGTTTTGTACTGTACTTTCTTGGGTGGCAGAGGAAAGAAAAGTAAAACATTAAAAAAAAAAAAAAAACTGCGTTCTTTAAATTCTGTATTATTAGCAACCTCTGTTGTACATAGTGTTTGATAATAAAGTATTAATTTGATTCTTATGTCTTTTGTAAGTGAGAACAATAGACTTTCAGGATACAAAACATGCATTGAGGCTTTGAAACATCCAATGTGTACCATGGCTGAAAAAAAGAGTCACAAGTGGCTGAGACACTGCTCCATACAGGACTCATGTGTGGTCATTGCCCACCCAATCTTATGACTCCATCATCTTGGGACCTGGAACAACATGACTTTTTTGATCGATATTTTGTCCTCGGTGTTTTCAAGGTCTGATGTTGGAGCCCTGTGGCCCACCCTCCCTTCTCCACCAGCATGTTGGTTTGAAAAGGATAGGGAATTTAGAAACAGTTCTGTACTTTGGTTTGGTTTGGTTTTCTGTTTGTGATTGTTTTCATGGACTGTTTTATTTTTTCCCAGGAAGAGTCTTTATCAATATCATGTGCAGCTCACTCATGGAAATGGTTGCAAACCAATCAGTGTAGGAAGCTTAAATGGGGCTGTTTCCCTCTCTGTGTCGTTGTGAAAGGAAGAGTCACACAGTACCTGTGGATTTTCAGGGACTCTGTTTTTCTCCGGTGCCTTAGCAACGGCAGCAGCCATTTGTATTATTTTCAAATAATTAGAAAAACAGTTTTCAACTCCTCCTTTCCATTCATTGCTCTCAGAGTTGTGGTCACTGACTTTTCTTTTGAAAACCGCCTCCACCAACACCCCCGTTTGCCTACACCACCCCCCTTTTACTTAGTATGTTTATTTTTTGTGTGTCTCTTGCCTTCCTCCCACGTTTTATTTCCCCTCAGAGCTGTGAATGGGCAGGTCTGTCTCTGGTTTGGCATCACTGAGTTTTTCCCATGCATTGGCCCCAGGGCTGCTAGGATGTGAGACAAATCTCCCTACAATGGGCTTGCTCCCATTGTCTGTACAGTTTAATAGATGCTGGCATGTCGGAGGTTACCCATGAGTCAAAATCCGCTCTCCATGCTTACTCTTGACACCCCATTGAAGCCACTCATTGTGTGTGCGTCTGGGTGTGAAGTCCAGCTCCGTGTGGTCCTGTGCTTGTACTGCCCTGCTTTGCAGTTCCTTTGCACTTACTCATCGAGTGCTGTTTTGAAATGCTGACATTATATAAACGTAAAAGAAAATGTAAAAAAAAAAAACCCACACACAAACAAACCCATACGATCTGTATTTGTATATACACGTGTCCGTACAAGTATAACTAAATAAAAATTAAAGATTTTCATCATTTTAATTGGATCCCTCCTTCTACTTGTTTGTTCCTTGAATGATGCCTTTATTTCAGGGGCTACTTGTACTCTGCTGATTTTTCAAAATCTTTGTGGACAGAAAAGATAATACAACATGCACAAGAGAAGGCCTGGGAAGCTCAAAGAATGCAGAGTTAGAAATGGCCAAGTATCTGGGCGCATTCCAGTTATTCTGATGAGAGAATAGTGAGATTTCAGCCTAGTCTCTGTATTTGAGCCTTAAAATAGGCACTATGACAAGCCCTGCATCCTAAAACGACTGTTAAATACAACAGGAGCCAAATACAAATTGTATTCTTTTACTTTAGACATAGTTTTTTCACCCCATCAAGAAAAAGACCAAATAAGCATTTTCCCAGCAAATATACTGGAAGAAGAAAAGAATAACAGTAATGATAATCATAATCTCTTCAGTACTGCCCAAAGCCTCAATTCTCACAATCAAGGAAGAATTAACTTACTACTGTGTGACCTTAGGCAAGTCACACGATATCTTTGGGACTCAGTTTCCTTATCTGTAAATAACAGGGCTGTATGAGAGATTGTTCCATTTTCTAAATTCTACCCTTTTGGGGCACGTCAAAGCCCATTTTACATCTATGTGATGTGAGTGTGTTTTTGTCTTTGATGATGACATTGCTATAAGCACAATTTGACAATTTCATCTGTAGAAGAAAAAAACATCAAATATCTGACATAATAGACACCTAATGCATTTCAAGACTTGGCTTTAATTACCCCATGTTAACATTAAGCTCATTGAAAGCTTTTTATTATACTTAATTATTTGACAGGGCACTAAACACTAATTATAACTTACTGTAACCTTTTTTTGTTAATGAAGAATGACAGCTTTATAGGATGAGAAACAACTTACATTAAAAAATATGTACTAGACTCCTTACATGACATTTTCAAACCAGAACAGCATTACGTTATCATTGTCATCTTCACCATCATCATCAACAGCATTTAAGTGATCATGACATTGTGCTCAGTGCTGTGCAAAATAAAGTTAATGTTTACAGTCTGTACTTTCAAAGCTTACAACATAAGGCAGACATTACGTGTAAGCATGACATAATAGTGATTTATAGAGAAGAAATAAAATCCAAGCATTTATATTATACATAAATAATAGGAGAGATAAATACTTTTTTAAAACGTGAATGGGAAAAAGTTTGGGGTTATAGATTAGTAAGATTGAGTTAAAGGAAATTACTTTTAAAAATAGTCAAGATGGGGTTAGGGACTTCTTAGAAAATAGAACACTTGAGTTAAAAGCATTGTAGGCTTTAAGAGAGTGGAGAAATGCATGGTGTAAATTTTCATATTAGCCACAGAGGCTACTGTAAAAATGTGAAAACCCATAACACCATCTGAATGTCACTGAGGCAAATTATGGGTGTGCTGGTCCAGAGAAATCACGCATTTCTTCCCCTAAGGAAGTAGGGGAAGTGAGGAGTAGATGACAATTTCAGATTCTGCTTTATGGAATAGTCAGGTAGCTGCTCCTGAAACTGAGACTGTATCTACACCTAATTGTGAGATGTCTAGAACCTCATTGAGTGGGAAGGCTGGACACACCCACACACAGATGAGGGAAATGGTATAAAATCCAGAACGTGCAAACTGTTGCACACGCTAATGGAAAGCTGACTGGACCAGAGATGGGACAATGAGCAGTGCTGCACCAACACACCTAATCTGGTAACAAAGCATTTGGAATGCTCAAGTAATCTAAGGTGTTGTATAAAAAGAATCACAGGGAAAATGTTGGAATCTAGATGTCCATGCATGTGGTGACTAAAACACACATGTATGTACCTGAATGTCTTATAGGAATGTCTATAATCTAGGTGTCATTTTAAAAGTTCAATATAATCCTGATGAATTGCTCACTGACCATTCTAACAGTTTCTTGAGAATTGTTTGCAAAACAATTTCTTAGAGATTGTTTGCAAAACAATTTCTTAGAGATTGTTTGCAAAGATTAGTTTTGTATTCTGCTGATAACTATCCTTCAGGAAAGCATTGGCAAAAAATGCTATGAAAAGCATTATAATTTTTGCACATTCCCTTTGGAAAACAAGTATTTCTGAAAATCATTAGAAATAATCTGGCCAATATTCTCCATCAGTTTTTATTTTGATACATTCTGCTATATTAATCAAGTCATTCAGTGGTTAAATACATATGAAGGCCTATTTTTAAAATGGAGTTGTAACTGCTGGACCCTGTGAGCAGTACATTTGTATCAATTGCGTGTCTTTGTTTTATACAGATGATAAATGCATAAGATTTTTTTTTTTAAAGGAAATTGCATTGCCCAAGGAATTAGTCAAGGGCTTCACCAAGGGTTCATTTGGTTTGAGGGAGGAGGTGATTAGCCAAGCCACTCTTTAAACAAATAGTACCTAATTAAAAACAGTGGGCTTGCTGAGAAATACTGCTTCCAGGTAAGTTCCCTTCCCACCTCCTCCTTTCCAAACAGAATGCAGTTTCTAAGCCCTTTTATACAGAGTTTCTGTAGCCACTCCTAGCACTGGAGAAAGAAAAAGGAGTAAAGGCCTCATGTTCAGCATATTCCAACATAATGACCCTTTCAACAATTTTCTTCAGAGATTGTCACACTCCCTTCCCAAGAGCCTCAGTACATGCTGAGAGTAAAACATGATTTCACTACTTTTTATTAAAAATGCCCCCCTCTTTCTCTCTAAGTATCCCATGAGTTCTGCCATCTCATCCCAGAACGGCATTAGTTGGTGTTCACGCTGATGGCAGGTCAACAAGGCAGTGCTACCCACTTTAAATAAAAAGAAGTTTCAGTTCCTCTTCTTGTCATCTGCTTTTTTGATCCAGAGTTTAATTCCTAAACATGTAGTTTTCTGTAATGTTAATGAGAAAAGCCTTTCTAGCTCCATAACCCTCATCATAACAGCCCTGGGAAGAAGAGGCCAGCACCAGGGCTACGGTAGGAACCTGGGAGGCCCTGACCGTTTAGGGTAAACGTACCTTGCTGAGGCTGTCAGTCTTTGTTAATTCAGAAGAATTCAATCTAGTGGGTGGCTCTCCAAGTCAATAATGCGCTTTAAAATACCCTGGATTTTAGTCATGATTATTCAAGCAAGAACTTTATGTCACTTGGTAACACATGGATGCTTGTCAATCTTGACAAGAAAACAAAGGGAGGGACAAAAAAAATCTGGAAGAGAGATTACAATGGGAAAATAGAACAAAATATTTTTGCATGCTGTTTTCTTGCAAGTGCCAGGTGCTCCCTCAGACCGCACGTACGATTTGAAATGCAGGTAGCCAAAGTCATTTTCTTTCCTTCACAACCATGAAACAAGATACTAAAATAAGAGAAAGAACATGTTTCTTCCCACATACATCCTAAAAGGCACATTTTATCACCACCCTGGTATCCTCTCCATTTTGTGTTCAGAACTTGTTCTTTTGGACCAAAAAATAACCAAACTGAAACAAAACAACCCCCGCCCCCCACCATGATTTGTGTAGCAGAGAGTATGGAACAAGTAACTCCTCTGAAATGTGTGTTCGGCTTTACTAAATCTGAACACATTTTCTTCAGTAGACGGAACAAGACGATCTGTGTCTTTTTTATTTTTTTCTTAAAGACAGTGTGCCAGCCAGAAAGCTGACTCCATTTGTTTCTCCTGCAGGGAGCCAGCATGTTCCTTCTCTTGGAAGATGCAGGTACTTAAAATAGTAATAGGCTTTGTGGTTTATCAAGAGTATTTCATCCCAAGATCTTACAGGCATAAAGAATAAAACATAAACTAATGGCTCTTTCCAACAATCTTGGGAAGAATTAACTGGAAAGGAGGATTGTCATCATTTTTTCCTGGAGAAACAGGGAAAAGAAAGCTGCTTAACTCAGGTAGCCAGGGAAAGAACGAGAGTCAAGTTGATCCAGGATTTGGACAGAGGCCCCCGGTTTGTTACTGTTCCTTCCTAAGAACTTAAGAGCTCCAGCTGAAGGAAAAACAAATGACGTATTATCCCTTTAGGAAGTCTCAAATGCAATGTAATTGGGAGAGGGGCACTAGGCAACTTCCAAATGTTTCTTGTGAGTCTTGCAGCTTTATCATAAAAGTGAACTTTTCAAGTGTAATGGTCTTCCATAATTTCTTAAGGTGTCTTCCTCCTGTGCATAGCCAAACTTAATCTGTAAAAATTAGGAAGAATTGAAAATAATAATAATTTGTATTGTTACTTTTTTTTTTGAGAGGGAGTCTCACTCTGTTGCCAAAGCTGGAGTGCAGTGGCACCGTCAGCTCACTGAAACCTCCATCTCCTGGGTTCAAGCAATTCTTCTGCCTCAGCCTCCCCAGTAGCTGGGATTACAGGCACCTGCCACCACACTCAGCTAATTTTTTGTATTTTTAGTAGAGTCGGGGTTTCACAATGTTGGCCAGGCTGGTCTCGAACTCCTGACCTCGGATGATCCACCCACCTCGGCCTCCCAAAGTGCTGGGATTACAGGCATGAGCCACCGCGCCCAGCCATATTGTTACTTTTTAAAAGCAGTTTCCCCTGCCTCACATACATACGTCACATACTTTTTAACATTTTCTCTAATTTGATAAATCCACAGCCTTTTTCTCTTGGCATTGTCTGTACTAAGCAGTGTTGTATTTGAAAGGACACTAGAGAGTCACTTTAGGCACATTTAAACACCAGTCTGTTAACACCTGAAGCCATAGGGCAAAAGTGTGGTGGTTAAAAGAAATCACACGGGGGATGGCCAGCCAGGTACTATGGTATTCACATATCTGACCACACTGAGAATTTCCCAGAGCCCCAGCAGGAAACAGAAAACCATCTACTCTGGCAGGGAGCATCACTTGGCATTTTGGATCCTTGGTGTTTTCTCCTTGACTCAGCTGACTTCCGCACCTACAGGGTTCTCCAATATTCAGAGGCAGGGCAGTCATCATTGTTCCAATATTTGACCCCCAAACTTTCTTAATGGGTGTAGCTGGCTAAATGTGAGAGTGTGCAGACTCTGAGCAGGAAAACTAGGATCTACTCCCATAAACATGTACAATTATTGTTATTAGTATGTATCAGTAAAAAGAAAAAAATTTAAAAAAAAAAAGAGGACTAGGATCTGCACCTTTAAAGCTCTGACCAGTCTGGGCACTTGGATTCACAAAGATGACACAAAATCCTGTAGGTTTAGGGCTTCCTTAAATTCACTCTCTAGGCTTACCTTAGTCTGGACTGGATGTTAGCACAAATTACAAACCCTCAATTTACTACTAGTTCAGGTTTTGAGGTTATCACAAATTAGAGTGCCCTGCATTCTCTGTGGGTCCTGCCCTTCTCTGGTCCCTGTCAGTATTCAACAAAGCAAGTTAATCTCCCTAGTAAGTGACAGCTCTGCCTCTTGTAAGTGGCATGGAATCAATTTTTTTAACTTGATTTGAGAAGTGAGGAGAGTATCAAGAATTCAGTACTAGCTGGTGGATTCATTAGCAAGCTGAATCAGTTTTAGCTGAAATCAGTTTGGCTGTCCTCATCTCTTAGTCCTGCTTTTTCCCCCTTCCTTTTATCATTGATTCTGCCCACAAGACTTATTACCTACTCTGTCTGTTGAGGATGCCAAGTTCCTTTGCTAAGCTGTTCACAGCAGACAAAAACACACCCTAGTGCTCTGATCCACACTTTCACAACTCCATTGAGAGGAGAGAGAAAAAGTGGGTTCCACAGATATTGACCAAAACTCTCCAGGATGCTCTGAGAAGCCAAAAAGATAACATAGAAGGAAGCAAACGTAATTGTCATCAGGACCCCTCATTATTGTATACAACAGGTATACACAATCTTCCAGAAGCAGCCACCCAAACACAAGAAAGTTCTTCTTTCCAGAAATATGGAAAGAACCTACACCAAAGGAATTGAGATTTTTTTTTTTTTTAGTGGGAGATTTGCAAAAAGGAAGATTAATTTTGTAATCACTACAATATTTCCCCTGCTTCTAAACCCATCCTCTGCCCTGATCAAGTTTGTGGATGGACAGGCAGGAACAAGTGAAAATGATGACTGTGTAATGGGAGCCGGTCCAGGGAGGGATAGGCCCTTGTCCAGCACAAATCTGTTCTTGGTGCTGCGTGTCTACATTGCTCACTGTGGTCACAGAGTCTCGGTGCAGTTTTCATTTGGGGACAATCCCACTGGGAAATTTATGTAAGGAACTGAAGCATAGTGACACAGTGTGCCTGCAATTCCTGTGGCGGGGGGGCGGGGAGGCAATGCTGACCTATGACTTCCCATAGACCCCATCATCCCTGATGTCTGTCCATGACCTTGAGGAGTTCACGGTTTAGAGGAAGTTCTCATTTGGAGGGAGGCTCTCCAGACTTCTCTCTAAAGAAATAAACTCTGACTCCCCCTCTTGAAACCAGAATACAAATTTATAGTCATCAGAACTGCTTGTTTCTGTAGTAGCTAGCAGAGTTTTATTCTAGTTTCTTAGGAAGAGTGACTCCAGGGTATGAGAGAGAATGACTGGAGTTATAGCAAGTTTCTCATCTTAAAATAAGGTTTGGCCTTCATGTCATATCACATTGACTTGCTGACTTTACTACAATGGCTTGATTCTCATAGATCAAGGAAAAATTTTTTTCTGAAAAGGGCAGAGGAAAAGTGAAATACATCATGTCTTAGAATCCAGAACCTTCTGCAATTTCCTGCTGTTGACAAGTAAGTGATATCAAATCATACGCAAACTGCAAGTTACTTCACTTCACCCAAAACTAGCCCCAGGAAAGAAGAATATAAAGATTTGCTTATTCATTTAGTCACAATTTATGGAGCATCTACTATATGCCAGAACTTGTGCTCAGAACTATGGATATTTTTAAAAGGAGACTAGCTGCACCCGGGTAAAGCTCCCAGTCATTATGGGGCTGCACACATCAGTGAGGAAGCTTGTGAGGCCATAGTCCCTTCTGAGGAAAGAAAGAAGGCATTTATTTACTGGGCTGCCATGTAATATGCCAAGTCATCACACTGATAACTGATTGGACAGGGAGTGGGCACCTGACCCAGAAGCAGCCAATCCTCAGGCTAGTCAATGTCCTATATATATTCTGGCAAGGAAAGAAATATTTCTGCCATTACTTGTTATATAATAATTACCCAGAACAATTAGTATATCCTGCTTGAAAGGTAATAGAAATAGAATAAATCAGAAGAAAGGGAGATAAACAAAAGAGAGCAGATATGCAGAATGTACCTAGTGTCATTTCTTCTAGCAAAGCCCTAACTTTGATTGTGCAGTTCCATAGAGCTGCTTCCTTAAGCCCAGAACAACCTCCTAGTTCTGGTCACTGTAATGCCTGGTCATTATTTGACTTCTATTTTGAGAGTTTCATAATATTCTGACTCCATTATTAGCATAGGCGTCCTTAAAATAAGCCCTCATTATTTGAGGCATCCTGTGTGAATCACAGTTCTTTGCAAGCAAAATAGTCTATTAAACAAATATAGGATAAGAGGGCTGGGAAGAAAGTGTGATGAAAGCACAGAGGGAGTAATTAATGCTACTAGAATTTCAGAATCTGATTTTGAATTTCAATGTATTACCGTACTGAAGACTTTTGCCATATTTCAAAGGTCACATCTAAATTGACAAAATAATTATATAAAATGGTTCCCTTGATTTTCTTGAAGATTCAGACTTTTTTTAATTTGATGAGATCGGGTACAAAATAAAATAAATGTCCCCACTGATACCTCATTTCAGTTGGCACAGGGAGGAGTTACAAAAAAGTAAGATTCCGATTAGAGAATCAATGAGAAGGGCTAACAAATGGTAAGATGAATGCCAAACACTGCCACAAATGAGCTCAAGGATCAATAGTGGAAAAATAAAAAAAAGGACCTTTCTAAGTCCTAAGTCCACAGGAGCAGACCAAGGAAAACTTTCCTTAATTAGTCCTCTGCTTGGGAACCTAGCGCGCTTCCCCATTAACATGTGACATTTCCTAACGAAGTGATGTACACATCAGCCAGTCTAATGCTTGGATTGGTGGTAACTTGTTTCTACTTGGCATAAACCCTCAGGGAAATCAGAACTTGCTGAGTAGTCTTGAATGTTACCAGTATTTTCCAGCACCTGTTAGCCGTTACGCAGGGAAGGCAACTCATTATCAAGCATAAATGCTGTCAGTAATGGCGGGGAGGAGTCCTAAACGAGTGCAGGCCAGGGGCAACAACTCCTATTGGTATAAATATTTTCTTCCACAAGTTCATATCGTTTAAAAATTCCTTTTCAATATGGATAATCTTTAAGGCAGGAAAAAAATGTTTCAATGCAATAATTTGTGGTGCAAAACAAAAGATGTCTCGGTGGTTTAAATCTGTGCACCCTGGATGGGAGGGGGTGGCAGTGGGAAGGCACATTATTCCAATTCCACTTGGTTGCCGCAGAAGTTTGCTGGGTTCTCTTTCACTCCGAGAAAAAGCTCTCAGCACTGATGGGAGAGTGCACAGTTTAGATAAACTGGATTAGAAGAAGAGAAAGAGATGGATATAATTCTTTCTTAGACACGAAAAACGGCATGGCTGCCTGCTATAATAAGTCCAAGAAAAGGGCCATGCTTATCTCAACTCCAACCTGATGCCAGTAATTATACAGAACATAAGAAGTGAGGACCCTGTTAACCAAAGCAGGGGGTTTATCTGGCCTTTGTAGGCTCCTGGATAAATCCATTAGCATTGCAGCCTCAGGACTCCCCCTCTTGTAGCACAGTGTTTACCCTTATCTTCTGCTTGACACAAAAGCACAATCAAGACAAAGCCAAGGAATGTGTGGCTCTTCTTTGCCACTAAATGCCTTCCCTGTTTTTCTCTTTTAATTATTATTTATATTTTGCATTTGTTTTCAGGTTAAAGTAAAATAAAGTGGAAAGGCTATCCTGCATTTCCTGGGCTCTGGTCTCATTAGCCAGATTTCCTTAAAACTCTGGTACTTCAGAGAAGTTTTGCCAAGTGGCTAAATGAAATGCACACAATTGCAAAGTGTTATGAATATTTATGATGGTTTAATGATGGGATTTTTTGCATCCATGAATAATAAAGATTTTAACAAGAACAGATAATGAGATGGGGACAAAACAGTGAAGTGGGTAATACAAGGACTGCTCTCGGAGGGCGCCCACTGAGAACAGCAGGAGCTGACCACCTCCCCGTCCTCTCCACCACAACTAAGTGCAAAAGGGGGCACAGGGTGTAGGCTCTTTTCTTCCACTCTCTTAATCTATATCATCAGCTAAAATAGGCGTTTATCCACACTTTGTGCCTAAGCTCATGGCCTCCCCTGGAGGTGCAGGAAGCTCAGAGTGATAGACAACACCATTGTAAAGTGACCTTCCACTTCTAACAGCAGTATTTATTTCAGCCTTGGATCTCCAGCAGAAGTAGCTGCTTTGCCTTTTCTGAGCCAACTACTAATTAAAAAACACTTGGTGGAGGAAAAAGTTGCTGGGTCCTCTCTCTGGAAGCTGATGACTATCTCCCAGGCCACCAACTTCAACTTGGGGAGGGCCTTCAACAGAATTTTCTAAAAGGCAAATGTTAAAGTTGCCATCCCCACCAATATTTTATGTATTGAAGACAAGTAATTCCCAGTGTGACTCTGCCGGTCTCTGGCATTTCAGGATGCTCTGTGTGTCCCAGGGCTTGGTCCCCAGCAGCCTGCCCTGGGAGCATTATGCCTCCTTACACACAAAACCTGGCAGTGACTCCAAAGAGAGCCATTGACATAAAGGGGGTTAAGTGGAGGAGTTCTGGGTTAGCTGCCGCCTTTGGCTTGGGTGGTTTACTCATCAAGTGAGGCGAACATTCCCTGACCTCCCAAGATCATTCATTCATTTATTCAGTAAATATTTATGAAGCACCTACTATGTGCCACAAGTGTTCTAAACATTTGTGATACGTACATGAACAAAACAGACAATGGTCTATTCTCAAGAATCTTACACACTGGTAGGTTTCCTGCACAGCAGGTTTTAATGAAATTGGCAGGCAGGGATATCGGACTGTGTGAGAATATTGGTGAGGAATCTAGCGATGGAGAGTAAGTAAAGGGATCATAAGGGCCTTCTGATGCTGGGCATGCTTTCTCTGCACCGAATTTACTCTAAATGAGTTTCCAGATAAGAAGTGTTTTCCCATGAATTTGCATCAATAGATTTAAGACAGAATATATTTAATAAAACGAATAAGTAAGTGGTGGATCATTGGTAAAGTGACCCAGGCAATAAGGACATAGAACTTCCACATTTATCTCGGTAACAGGCTTGCTTTATGTGGTAGATATAAAAAGTCCAGAAAAGTTGCATGGAAATCAAAGGATATTTTTAAAGTCCTTAAAGAATGTGTGAGTGCGTTTGTCTTATATAGAATTACACGGTGAATTCTTTTGTTAAATAATGACGATGTCTTGTTTTATTTCCACTGGGAATTTGAGTTTCCATATACTGCTTTTTATACACAGACATAAATGTCCACTCTTCATTAACTATCCTTGGATTGAAAATCGTTAATAAGCCATAACATTGCCTAATATTTGGTTGACACCTTGTGTTGGGGTGTGCGCATCCATGCTCTTAAATCTACTGATGCAAATTCATGGGAAAACAATTCTCATCTGCAAACTCGTTTAGAGTAAATTAGGTGCAGAGAAAGAATGTCCAATATAAGAAGGCCCTTATGATTCCTTTACTTGCTCTCCATCCCTAGATTCCTCACCAATATTCTCACACAGTGTGACATTCCTGCCTGCCAATTTTATTAAAGCCTGCTGTGCGGGAATTTCCTTTCTCTGCTTTACTAGCTACCAAGACAACCCCGTCAACGTGATTTTTCACACATTTTCTCTTCCTGTGTTCCGCATCTCAGTGAAATTTCATCTCCCTGACTCACTGTTAAGTGTTTCTCATCTGAAATCACACTCACTCGTAATCTCACATAAAGTGCAAAAAGAGGAAGTTACAAAAGGAGAAAGACAGACCAAAGTCCTTCTCCTTCCAATGATTCAGACATTAAGCAAAAGCTACGTGGGAATTGTCCAGTCAACCAAGACTAGCAACTGAGCACCAACATCCACAGAACAGAAGATTAGGCTTGGTGTACCACACTCCGCATGCCACAGTACTTGTCCCTTAAGGGAGCACATACATCTGTCTAGGTATTCAAATCTGAGGAACCGATAATAGGTGTTTCATAGACCAAAAGAGTCATTGCAAACTGGATTCCCACAGGATAGACCCTGCAGTGCCTCCTCAGGCAATTAGAAGCAGAGCTAGAGGAGGGACAGCCAGAAGGAACGGAGGCAGAAGACAGGAATGAAGAGGAAGAAAACTCATAGAACAGAGGCTGAGAAGTGGCTTTGGAAGGAAGTTCCCTGCCCGTGCCACCTTACTGTCAGAAAAACCTCAAAAAAGTCTCTTAGAGGAAATAAGCAGCCTCCTATTGTTTATCACAAAAAGCAAAAAGCTTTAATACCACCCAAAGCTGAGGTCATGTAGGTACATTCTAATTCCAATATTCCCAGCACCTCCAACAATATGTTTATGCACATGTCCAGTAATAGCCACATCATCACAATGTTAGGACTAGGAGCTGGAACCTGAGTCTGACTTGCTTCTGACCAGTGTGTCATGGTTACACTTGGTCAGTTGGAAGTCCTTGCATTGCATCAAGAGCTATGTGTAGCGCTTAGCTATACATGAGTTCTACTATCGAGGACTTGGTATCTAAACTATAGATCAAACACCTATGATGGAGACTGGAGGAAACTGATCAAAATAGGCTGTTTGTGTGGTTATGTGTAGTCAGAAGTCAGGTGGAAGGAAGACTTCCTGGTTTCTTGTTCCTTTTATCTTAATTCACAAAGGAAGCATGGGAAGGGATGCATGGGATGAGAGGGGAAAAAAATACAGGAATTGAAACCCTAAGGCAATCATGACATGTAGAGACACATCAGTGGTCATCTTTGTTGATTATTTCCATCATCAGGCATGCAATTACTTTCTAATGGTGACCATCATAGCATAGAAAGTATTAAGGTCCTGGGAAAAACAAATGTGAACCAAAAACCTATGTAGAAAATACACACACATTTTAAAGGGGAAGTTAATCAATTAACCAAGACAGCACTAAGTAGTACTACAATGGCTAACTGGTTTCAACCTAACTGAGCTGGTGGTTCCTTTGCTCCCAGGCATATTCTTTGAGCTCTTAAGAGATGGGCCAAGGCTTACCAAAAAAAAAAAAAAAAAAAAAAAAAAAAGAAAAAAAAAGAAAAAAAGGCACCTGATGGAATCAGCAGAAATCATATAACACAGGCTCAGAGTGACAAACAGATTGTCCAAATCCCCTGTGGAAGTGTCTGAGTTGTATCTGAACTTGCTGTCTTCTTAAAAATTACATGAAGTGCTGGTTTCTGTTAGCTTCTTGGTATGGTTTGAGAGAGCACTGGCTTTGGAATCAGAGAAACATTGAGTTTAAATCCTGTCTAGGCCATCTATTTACATAAAAATTCCTCCACCTCTTCATCCATAAAGGACTGGTAAGAACGTTTGCCTTAGATGCTCTCATTAGAAGGATTATATGAGATAGACCATATCAAGTAACAAGCACAGTGATTGGCTCAGGGTAAATGCCCAATAATAATTGTCACCAACAAGAACATTTGAAACAATACCTAGGAAATATTTGAACATAGGAAGTCCTTTGGCCTACTTTGCTTTTGGTGCTTGTCTTTTCCTGTTTTCTGTTTCTTATCTTTATTTTTTCTTAACTTGAGATACAAATGTGTAGCTTTCTCAAGTTCTCAAGACTCTATCCTAGTCTCTAATGCTTGTCATACTTCCTAAAATGGAGGAAATGATGAAATGATGAAAATGTTTTTGTCTAACAAATAAGGAAGGCTCAACAGATGGTATACTTGAGATGACCTCTTCATAAAAAGAAATCCATCCGACGTATCCCCCAAACGAGAGTACTGCTTTAGAACAGTCCTCTGGGAGGCCATACACATATTCTCAATGTTGTTACCTTTGTTTACAACTTTTTAAAAACATTCCCCTTTTGTAACTGCTTTCAGAATCTTTTCAATGTCCAATGATGATAAATTTTTGTGCTGTGAAGGTGCATTTAATTTTGAGAAGTAGCCAAAAGTCCATGAAAGCAAAACTGATCAGTATAAAGTGTGAGCTATTTGGGTAGCACTGTTTTTATGCAAAAATGAGATGTAATTTGTAAAAGATCAATACGATTTCCTTGCATGGGTTTTAAACGTTTCAGAGGGGAAGTCCAGTGATATTTGAAATAAATTCAGTATTTCTAGAATCGATACTGGTTTCTAAAATTACTCCTTTGAAGGACATCTATTTTGACTGTTTAAATCCCTTTGTGTCTGGTTAAAATGTACACACACAGAGTCAGCATTCATCACTTTATGTCACTCCTAATAGAACCAGAGATGGTGACATTTCTCACATCTGTAATACACCAAGTAATAAAAAATGTGTGAAAAATTTAGCAATTAGAAATGCTTGCTATGGAGTGGATCAAACTTCTTATTTTCATCAGCTCGAGATGTGCATTTTATATGTTGTGTGACAAAGTAATTATGGCCTTATGGAAACCTCTTGGTCATAAAGCTGGTTAACAATACTTGCAAGGCGTGTGAAGGTAGACGGTGTTGAATACAGCAAACTTCTGTTCTGGGTATCCTATTAACAGAACCCTCTGTTAAACTAAATTTTTTGGTAGTGCAATGAAAACCTCCTACAATTACATTGACCACAAGGTTGTACAAGATAGTAAAATACTTTATGAACGAACAAAAGAAAAAAAAAGTGCCTTTTTTTTTTTTTTTTTTTTGAGATGGAGTCTTGCTCTGTCATCCAGACTGAAGTACAGTGGTGCCATCTCAGGTCACTGCAACCACTGCCTCCCAAGTTCAAGCAATTCCCCTGTCTCAGCCTCCCATGTAGCTGTGATTACAGGCACTCACCACCACACCCAGCTAATTTTTGTATTTTTAGTAAGCCAATTTCTCCATATGCCAGGCTGGTCTCAAACTGCTGACCTGAAGTGATCTGCTCGCTTCTGCCTTTCAAAGGGTTGGGATTACAGGCGTGAGCCACCACACCTGGCCAAAATGATGTTCTTTACAGTTGTGGTGTTGAATATATTTTATTATAATTATATTCTTTCAAAATTGCTAATTCATGTTGAAGATTCATGCACAGTATGTCCAGCAAATTACTATCATGGCACATGTTTGGTGAACCATCCCATCCCACCAGGCAACAATAAAGGACCAAGAACATTGTCTCAAAGTCTCCAGTTGGCATATAGTTCTCCCCTTCTCTCCCATCACTTAACCAATTTCTGAGCCACTATGATGTGGTAGGTGTGTTCCTTATGTGAAACATATAAGATGTCGCACGTCTTTGTAACAACACTTTAAAGGTGAAGAAACTGAGCTGCAGAAAGTGTGGATCCTTCGCCTAAAGCCTCCTGCCACCTAAGCAATAGGGCAAGGACTTGAAGTCAGCTGGGTGTGGATACAAATCCAGACTTTACCAAAAGGCCCTGGTAACTCAAACTGGGTTGAGCAACAGTCGTGAGCTGAACTCTGGAAAGGTTACAGAACAAGAGGAAGAAGTTTCAGTATTATGTAACCAATTGGCAAGTTTCGTGATTGTTAGTGATGCATTTTGTGGACTCAAAATCCCCTCCCCCTCGCTCTTACAGGTTGCATTAGCCATGTGCTTTCAGGCAGCCTTAACTCTGGCTTTCTTCAGAGTTGACATCATTAACCCACTCTATTAGGGTAAGCAGGGAAAGGCAAAATAACAAACTTAAAAAGATATTACCTCAATTGTTTATCCCCAAATGCTATATAATTCATGCTAACACACTCAAATATTACAATGTTTTTCTTGACAACTTCCTTTAAACAATGAGAAGAATTCCTTCTGTGTTTTTCACTTATGTGAACTATAATGTTCTTCTGTGGGTGAGTTTGTCTACAAGCAAAGAATTTGAGATGGTTTGGAAAAGTACTTGTTTTCTTCATTTACTTTCACATGTGAAAAACTCAACTGACAATTTAAGTGGGGATTTTTTAAAACTCTGAAAATTGGTGTTTAATTTGAGCATCTCACCAGCTTCCTCTGTTTGTTGTCATTCCTAATAATCTAGTATCCCATTACAATGAAAAATTAAGGGTTGCCTCATCACAAAAGACTAATGAGTAATAATACACATGATTAATTGGTCATTCTCAGTATAGCTGAGAATAAAGAATGAATGACATTATTGATTATAGGACCATGTGTTTCTTTCCATATATTATTTACAATTCAGGCCTTTGAAATGACCATATATTTATCTTCTTAAAAAGTGATAAAATAGGCTAACAAAGAGGACAGGGCTTGGACATAACCAACGTAAGTAGGTAACTGTGAGGAAGATTGCATTTTAGGAGGTGAAGCAGGAACCCCTAGTCATCAACACTTGGTTGAGTTTATGAGGGAAAAATAAACACAATGCTTAGTTACCTAGACGATAAACATTCTCAACTTTTTAAAATAATATCAAAATCCCTGGCTGGGGACGGTGGCTCACGCCTTTAATAACAACACTTTGGGAGGCCAAGGTGGGCGGATCACCTGAGGTCAGGAGTTTGAGACCATGGTTTCACCATGGCCAACATGGTGAAACCCTGTCTCTACTAAAAATACAAAAATTAGCCAGGCGTGGTGGTTCACGTCTGTAATCCCAGCTACTCGGGAGGCTGAGGCAGGAGAATCGCTTGAGCCCAGGAGGCGGAGGTTGTAGTGAGCTGAGATCATGTCACTGCACTCCAGGCTGGGTGACAGAACCAGAATCCGTCTCAAAAGAAAAATAAAAAAATCAAAATCCTTGAATTTATCTAGGGCAGAGATAATTCCTAAGCCAGAAGTTATGGTCAATAAGATGTAAGCAAAAATTGTTTAGAGAGCTGAGGAAATACCATAAAAGGGTAACAGTCAGCTAGGACCTTTTCACACGCACTTTCTTTCCTACCTGGATGTGGACATGATGACAGCACTCATGTTAGACCAGGGCGCAAACTTGAGGATGAAAGTTGTGCTTTAAGGATAAAGAGGCAGAAAAATGGAAGGAGCTTGTATCCCTGATGACCATAGAGATCCTAAAACCCTGGATTGCTTATCACTAGATTTCCGTTAATGTGCGAGAAACCCACTTATTTAAGTCATTCTTATGTCAAGTCTCTGTTACTAACAAACACAAATTCCTAATGGATACCTGGAGTAAAATACTCACCGCTGTCTATATTTAAAAAGCAATGGGTCCTGTTGGTCTTAAGCTTTGATCTTCGACGAAGTGCAGAATCCCCTGGGAGAAATAACATATCGAGTTTAAGGTCATTTCTGCAGAGCAGGTTTTGCAAAAAAAAGTGCAAAAGTAGAAGACTTCAGAGTGAAGAAAGGGTTTCAGAGCGGGCATGGAGGGCGCATCCCATAAACAACTAAAAAGATAATTAAATATCAGCTTATTTTAATATATATGGTGGAGTGATAAAGAGACTTTACACTGAGATTTTCAGAAGATTCCAAAGCGACTGGAAAAAAAAAAAAGTGTTTCACCTTGGTAGGGGCAACCTGTGCTAAGCCAAGAGGAAAGCAATGAGGTCCTGTTCATCTGACATGTGTCTTCCTTGAATTTTATAGTCATATTTTCCCCCCAGCAATGGAGAATGACTAGGCAAGAAGGCTCCACGTGGGGGCACCTTCTTATCACCAGATATTCAGCCCCTCCCTGTCACATCCTTAAATTTTACTATGTTATTCTTACATTGATCAGCCCCTGCTGGTTTTAAGAGTCAGGGATTTTTCCAAAAATATTTTAATACCTTTCACTCTTCTTTCTCTTTGAGGTTTCAGCCATTATAACTCAGCTATTTCTTGGCTCATAAACTTGGCAAGGCTTTCTAGAAAAAAAGAAGTCATCTCACTGGCAGGGAGGTTTCTCATATGCTGACAGTTTAGCTTATATGAAATTGCTGAGTAATAGGAAGGATCAAATAAGGATTGTAAGGGGAACAGGAAGTGCAATGCCCTCCTTAAATGAATCCCAGAGACTGATTTTGCTTATCTAAGAAGATGAAGGGCCTTTCTTTTGAAGCAGCCTTCATTGACCTCTTGCTAAAACTGTTTATTCAATGTGACTTCTCCACTGGATGGAGAGTGGTCTTGTCTTCTTCCCCAAACCTTTCTGTAAGTACCATTTCAAACATAATTCTGTACAGTCCTGTTGTGAGCTGCCTTCCCTAACCCCTCTGCTAAAGAACACAGCTGCAGGCTCAGGACCGCTTAGGAAGCCTCACACTCAAGCAGCCCTTCATCTCAAAACAAATCTCTTAAAAATATTCCTTGGAGCGCATCTTTGTAGAAAGAGCGCATCTTTCTATTTGTGACATCTCATAAAGACCGAAAAGAGGAAGCTTTGTGTATCTCCAAAGAGTGCCCATCTTCATCTCTGTGTCTGAAGCACATGGAAGCTATTAATTAGCTGAGTCCTTGAGTACACAATGCAGGAGACATCTGCCCTCGTTTTCTCGATGCTAAATCCCTTTTCCATGCTTACTATAACTAAAAAAATCACAGGAAGTAAAAACTGTTCAAATTAAAAACATTTTCTTTCACACAACATCCTGTCCTGCTTAACAGTGCCATAATTCTACTGTACTGTAAACAATTAGATAGGGATATTGTAAAATTAGCTCCAATTTGCATAATAATGCTTTACTGTTATAATTTAGTGACTGCATTTGCACAAATTTAATAACAATTCAGCTTACATTTTTTGTTTTAATATATTTTATACAAATAATGTCGTATTTATAGATTACTAGGTTCCCCAAAGCAAGCCAGATGAAGACATTGCATTTTTTGCAAGTTTAATATACCACATGATATGATAATTCTAGCCTTCTTAAATTAAAGGTCACCTCCTTTCCTGATTCTGGCTTTTTCCCCTTGTTTAAGGAAAAAAGTTTTTGAGACTCCTAATGACTTGGAGCAAAGAAAATTATACCCATTATATATCTGATGACATCTAAACCAGCTTAAAGTATTTTAAATGTAACTTTCCCCATTTTGTTTTCAAGGAACTATGGGATTTAATCCCCAAAACATTTTTAAAATCAGATTTCAAGTTTGAAATCAATCACATTTGGATTCTGAGCTGGTGGAGCAAATTGCATTAAAAGGTATTTTTATTGTATTTATTGTCACAGATGTTAATTCAACGGATCTAACCATTATTGTCTTTTGGATTTATAGCATAATTCCACCTAATAGAAATTGAATTGCCACATAAGCTCTACTCTTATCTGAGACTTTGTGCTCTCAGGGCCACTGGGTCAATGATGAAATCATTGCAAGTCCTGAATCAATGCTTTCCTTGAGGAAAATTTTAGTGATCATTGTTATAACAGGGCATCTCTTCTTCACAAATGAGACCAACAGTAGTTAACTTGTAAAAGTATTAGAAGGGTTATTAGTACATAGGGGTAAGTGACTTAGTTTTTCAAGGTAGTTGGTTAACTATTAAAAAGACTTTCTGACATTATTGGTTGTTAAACATGGGTTATTAAGAAAAACTATACAAAGATACAAAGACATATTCTTGGTGGTGCTTCAGGAATCCTTGATCCTGTTCAGAGCTGCTCTGTACAGCAGTGCGGGTTACTGGCTAAGGGAAGGACAAAATGGGAACTGAAGTTCAGCCTGCACTTCACTTGCCAACCAGGAGCTGCATAAGCCCAAAAGACGAAGTGTCTTTTCCACTTTGCACAAGGGTGATCCATGGGCTCATGGCAGTCCTTAGTCCTTATTCTGACTCTACAGGTTGGTATAAATGTGATTTAGCTTAACAAAAGAACTACTTTCTAGGTTCCCTCCATAGCACAATTCCGTAATTTCAAATAAAGGCCTTATGGGGTATCAAGTAGAATCATTTAACACAGAATGGTAATCTCACAATATTTATAGTAAAGGGAATTGTGGAAACCATTTGTAATATTATCCAAGTCAATCTTGTTTCAATGTACATTTCTATCTCCTTTCTTACTCACAGTTTCTTTGATAGCTTGTGATTATATCTGTACCTGAAAAGTGGTGGATCAATATGAACAATTGATCACAATAATTGGACCCGAATCTCATTCCCATACCACCTCCACCTGGTTCTAAGTAACAGCAGTTTTTCTGTTATTTTATTTTGTCTCAACTCTTAGATAAGTACTTCAATGGTACACTTTGGTTTTCCAAATAATCAGCCTATCCTTCAATCTTGCCCTCTCTGAGTGAGGTTAGTTAACATGGACCAAACTGCTTCATTCATAGATTTGTCTAAAGGATTTATCGATAAAAAATTGGTCCAGAGAAATTCTGCACTTTTTAAGAATCTGCTTGTACAATTATTTGCTATGTGAAACCTTTATTTCCATGTATTCTGGTTTATTTAAAGGCATCTGGCAAATTTAAATGAGCAGATAGAAGCACATGACAAATAAGTAGTTAATATAGATTTCAAGCCACAGAGGAAAAAAAAAAGGAGATAAGGTGATACAAAAGTATACATGGTTTAGAACATAAATTTTTATTTTATATGTGAGTCTTGCACATAGCTATTTCACTAGTGGTCTGGAAAATATATTTGAATTAAGCTCCTATCTCTGACACATTTTTCTGTAATCAGCTTTGCAGTTTGCAAAACTTTCTCTTGAAGATTACTTCGTATTAGCCTCTCCAGGCCTCCATATATAAACCCTTCGAGTGCAACTAAACATACTGTGCAGAAAGAACAAAGCATATGAATTTAGGTGCATGTATTATAAATACAATATTATGTGTAAAAGATATCACTGAGGTTCTCCTTCAATTAAGCCTAGAATGCTAGCTGAATTTCTATTCTGAATTTTTTCTAATGAGCATTGATCAGTAGTTTTTCTTTTTAATAGTAATACCCCATGAAGAGGCAGCTCTAGCTGAAAGCCCTGTAGGACTGATTTGAGGAGAAAATATAACTTTATGAGTGAATGCTTAAAAACTAGGCTTTTCTTCTATTACTGTTATACAGTATTAAAATTTTAAGTACCCATACAAAACAAGAAAGACTACATTCACTAATCTTCTAGGCCAGAGAATAAGAGATCTCATGTGCTTTTGCAGAAGCCTAGATAATAATTCTCAAACTTCAGTCCTAGAATTTCACAGTTTTATTTTAAAAATTTGTATAATCCCTGTATGATTTGCTTATATTTTTCCTTTTTGAAATGGCTCATGTTTTCAAAAAATAACTTAAACGTAATATTTTTAATAAAGAAAATGTGTTACTATTATAAAGGGACAGGTCACTGCACTTGCCCTGAGATAACTATAAAAATAAACATAATGAAAATAAACCAATCTTAGTAAATTCTAGCTAGGCAGTTTTGCTTTTCAGATGCTCTGACCCCTAGCCTTTCTCTTTGGTAAAAAGAGAAAGAGAGAGACGGAGAGAGGAGTTTGGTGAGGACATTTAAGCACCACCTGAGATTTTCTAAAGCCTGAAAGACCTTTGAGAGGAAATACATTCTTCATATGGAATTCAAAGTTATTTAATGTCAGGGCTCTCTAGCACTTAGAATCCTCTCTAATGGTAGTAGGAACATGGGTCCCAAACTCTTGGAAACAGTAAATCGAGGTTGGTACCATCACTGGCTGCTTTTCTGCACACTTCTGACTCAAACTCTTTCCACCTTTTACCATGGGTACTTAACGGAATGGCCTTGAAAGTGAAGAATCAAAAAATAATTACTCAACCTATTTATTTACTTGCTCGGCAGACATATAGGAAGTATGAACAAAGGGAAGCACCTTGCTAGCTGATACGATTGCAGAGATTCAGTCCTAGTCATTTAAGGGCCTAATCTAGTGGAGGACTCCTTCTTACCTAACATTTTAAGATTATAATTTTCAGAAGAAGAAGAAAAAAGAGAAACAAATTTGCATATCCTGAAATTGTTTTGTTAGGCATTTCTTCTTTCTAAAATATATATATATAAAATAATATATATTTATATGTATAAATATAAACACATAAATAAAATATATATTTATATTTTATATATTATGTAATATATAACATTAATGTATTATATATTATGTAATATATAACATTAATGTATTATATATTATGTAATATATAACATTAATGTATTATATATTATGTAATATATAACATTAATGTATTATATATTATGTAATATATCATAATTTATATAATATATATAACATAAATAAAAATGTTTATCTCAGATGATCACTCACAATTCTTAATTATGGTTATCCTATTCTCACATAGCTATTAGAAATTCTTTCTGAAATGTGTTAACTGCTAATATATGGAACTACCCTCATAGTCTGAATGGAAGAAAAAAAGCTGTCATATAAGTCTATGATACCAAAGCAATAACCCAACACTTTGGTTTATAATTTTTAGAACAGTGCCATATGTATAGTCTCATTTGAGTCTCAAGAGATTCAGATATAATTTGGAATCTCATTTTATAAGGTAAAGAAATTGAATATTCAAGAGATTGCTGGTTTGCTCATTGTCTCATGACTAATAGATGGGACTAAGTCACAATCTTTTGGCTATTCTCTCACCAAAACATTCTCTCATCATGTATTGTGTGGTGTATTGAGACGCTCCTTCCTCTATTCAACTTTCTTCTCTGTTTCAGGTCAGTATATGTTTACTGGGCACCTCATTTGTGCCAGGCACTGTGATTGATAGGTAAGGATAAGAAGATGAGTGATATGTCCCTAACACCATCTGCTTAATTTGGATTCTCCCAGAAATCAATGTCTGAGGCAAAGGACTTATGTGTCTTATATGCCATTCTTATTTGTGATCCCTGGGATTAGAAATGAAGACCATAGGGCAGTGAACTGGGGAAGGAGGGAGAGGAAGCCAAGGAAGTCTTATTCAGTTGGCCAACACCAAGTGCAACTGACTGCTAGATTCCTTAGAACCATCCCCTAGAAGGCTGGGCACGGTGGCTCACGCCTGTAATCCCGGCACTTTGGGAGGCTGAGGCTGGCAGATCACGAGGTCGGGAGTTTGAGACCAGCCTGGCCAACACGGTGAAACCCTGTCTCTACTAAAAATACAAAAATTAGCTGGGCATGGTGATGGGTGATGGGTGATGGGTGCCTGTAATCACAGCTACTTGGGAGGCTGAGGCAGGAGAATCGTTTGAACTCGGGAGGTGGAGGTTGCAGTGAGCAGAGACTGCACCATTGCACTCCAGCCCAGGTGACAGGGCGAGACATCACCTCAAAAAAAAAAAAAAAAAAGAACTGTCCCCTAGAAACTTTATAGTCTGTGTTTCAGGGCATCACATGGTGGAGGTTGAAAAGTTATAGAGAAAGGGCAACAAATTTATCTCCCAACTGTTATCTTCCATTGGCTGAGGGTGTGCTCCTTGGAGTATTAACTTCCTCACACTTTGGGGTTGCTCATTTGTGAGCACCTTGGGAGTCTGCCTTATTCCTTTTCTTTGTGTCAGGGAAGCCTCAGGGGGAAGAAAAGGGGATATGGAGTAGGCATAAAGTGATAACAGTGTCGGGTGGTGCCCATAGAACTTGCAGGTAATACCCCAGTGGGATGACAGAACACGAGTCAGAGTGGGTGAAGTGTGTCTGAGGTGGTACATGAAAGGAGTCTTGACATCATTCAATGTGAAGGTTTCAACACTCGTCATCCATATTTCCAGTCTTCACAATGCCTATGAGGAATCTTTACACAGGCATCACTCAGCATCTCCAATCTTACACATTTCTGAACTGAAATATTTGTCTCTTGTCCCTCAAAGTCAGCTCTCCTCTAAAACAACAAATAGTAACAAAAAGACTTATCTTTACTATGAGAAAGGACAGTTCACCCTTACTATTATACAAAATATCCCATGATATAGATAGATAGAAGAAAATGGGACATTCAATAAACATGGACCTAGAAATAAAACTTATGTCTAGTTTACTCAGTCACCTAACTAGGCACTAACATTCTCTGTATTAGGCTTTGTGCTGATAGGTGCTGAGATAAAAATGCTAATATCTTCTTGCCTTGGAGAACTGGCTGTCTCCATTGGATTTACTTATAATTCACCTGGGGAGCTTTAAAAATTCTGCTGACCCTAATGTCACCCCCAGAGACTCTGATTTAATTAGACTGGGGTGCAGCCTGGACTTCAGAATTTATAAAAGTTCCCATGTGATTCTATTATGCAGGCAAGGTGTTGCAATCTATAACCCAGTGAAAATAGACCACAGTCTAGCCTATAGGATCTTATACATCAGTGCATCAGAAGCACCTGGTGAATTTGTTAGGCATGCTGATTCCCAGATTCATAACCAGGGTTATGAGTCACTAAGTCCAGAGAGGGTCACACAAATCTGTGTATTTAACAAGCACTTTAAGAGAATCATGTATAAAGTTCTTGGACCTTGCTTTGAGAAGTATTTCAGATCTTAAGAGGTTAATGACAACAGTGAAATGATTTTGGAAGAGAGCACAAAGGTTGCTCATGGATTGAAAAATAGTATGAAGGGAGGGAAGCTGAACAAGTGGTTGAATAGAAGCCTCCATTTAGTGTCTCCCCAGCACAGGAGCACCAAACTGAACAACTATACACAACAAAAGCACCTTCAAAATAACCAAAAATCAGGTGAGCGATCACAGTACCTAGTTATAACATCATATTGAGGAAAGAGGTGCTGAAGCAGGTAAGAAAGACAGTCTCAAATCGCCTGCACCACTCCTTCCCCATCCCTGGCAGTGGCCGCATGGCATGGAGAGAGAATCTATGTGTTTGGGGAAGGGAGAGGACAGTGAGTGTGGACTTTGCATTGGAACTCAGTGCTACCCTGTCACAGCAGAAAGCAATATGGGGCAGAACTCAGCTGGCACCCACAGAGGGAGCACTTAGACCAGCCATAGTCAGAGAGGAATCACCCACCCTGGCAAGCCCTGCCACCTTGGCCTAAACAGTCCTGGGGTCCTAAATAACCTTGAAAGGCAGTCTAGGCCACAAAGACAGCAATTCCTGAGTAAATCTTGGTGCTGTGCTGGGCTTCAAGCCAGTGGATTTGGAATGCACACAACCTGTGAAATACCAGGTGGGACAGCCAAGGAAGTTCCTGTGTCACCCCTCTCCCAACCGCAGGCAGCATAGCTCACAGCTCTGGAAGAGACTCCTTCCCTCTGCTTGAGGAGAGGAGAGGAGAGGAGAGGAGAGGAGAGGAGAGGAGAGGGGAGAGTAAAGAGGAATTTGTGTTGCAACTCGAATACCAACTTAGCCACAGTAGAACAGGGCACCAGGCAGAATTCTGAGGCCCCCCATTCCAGGCCCTAGCTCCCAGACACCATTTCTAAACACAAGCCTGGACCAGGAGGGAATCTGCTACCTTGAAGGAAAGGACCCATTCCTGGCAAGATTTATCACCTGCTGACTAAAGAGCCCTTAAGCCCTGAATAATCAGTAGTGGTAGCCAGGCAATACTCACCACGGCCTTGGTTGAGATTCAGAGCTGTGCTGTCTTCAGGTGTGACCCAGTACGTTGCCAGCTATGTAGTGGCTATGAGGAGAGAATCCATTTGCTTGAGAAAAGCAGAGGGAAGAATAAAGAAACTGTCTTGAAGCTTAGGTACCAGCTCAGCCACAATAGGGTAGAGCACCAAGCAGGTTGCAGGGGTTCCCAGATCTAGGTCTTGGCTCCTAGATAGTATTTCTGGACCTGAACTGGGCCGGAGCAGATCTCATTGCCTTGAAGGGAGAGACTCAGGACTGGCAGCATTCATCGTAAGCTGTCTGAAGAGCCCTTGGGCCTTGAGTGAACACTGGCAGTAGCCAGGCAGAACCTGCCACTGGCCTAGGATGGTGGTGACATGGGGAGAGACTCTGCTTGAGGAAATGGGTGAGAAGTGTACAAAGGACTTTGTCTTGCTGCTTGGATGCCAGCTCAGCCACAGTAGGATAGAGTACCTGGTAGATTCAAAAGGATTTCAACTCCAGGCCTTAGCTCCTGGACAGGATCTACAAACCCACCTGGGGTTGAGTGTAACTTGCCACCCCTAAGGGAAAGACACAAGCCCTTGGGCCTTTCGTGAACATAGGTGGGGGCCAGGCAGTGGTCACTATGGGCCTTGGGCAAGACCCAGTGCTATGCTGGCTTCAGGTCTGACCCAGCACAGTCCCAGTGGTAGTGGTGACAGTGGTGCTTCTATCACCCCTCCCCTAGCTCCAGGCAGCTCAACACATAGAGAGAGACTCTATTTGTTTGGGGGAATGTAAGGGAAGAGAACAAGAGTCTCTGCCTGGTAATCCAGAGAATTCTCCTGGATCTTGCCTAAGATCACCAAGGTGGCACCTCTATGAATCTCCAAGAGCCAAAGCATTACTGGGCGTGTGGTACACTCTAAAGCAGATAGGGCTATAGAGACCAAAAACTTAGAATTCCAGGAATACCTGGAAAGCCCTCCTAAGAAGGTTGGGTACAAACAAGCTTAGACTGCAAAGTCTATAATAAATATCTAACTCTTCAATACCCAGAAACTGATGAACATCCACAAGCATCAAGACCATCCAGGAAAACATGACCTCACCAAAGAAACTAAATAAGGTACCAGTAACCAATCCTGGAGAAACAGAGATATGTGACTTTTCAGACAGAGAATTCTAAATAGTTGTTTTGAGGAAGCTCAGTGAAATTCAAGGTACTGTGGAGAAGGAATTCAGAATCTTATCAGATACACTTAACAAAGAAATAGAAATAATTTAAAAGAATCAAGCAGAAATTTTGGAGCTGAAAAATGCAGTTGACATACTGAAGAATGCATCAGAATCTCCTAAGAGCAGAATGGATGAAGCAGAAGAAAGAATTAGTGAACTCAAAGACAGGCATTTGAAAATACACAGTCAGAGGAAACAAAAGAAAAAAGAATAGAAAAGAGTGAAACACGCTTACAACATCTGCAAAATTGCCTTAAAATGAAATTCAGAAAGAAACCCTATTTACAATAGCTACAAAGAAAATAAAATACCTAGGAATAATCTTAACCGAAGAAGTGAAAGACCTCTACAATGAGAACTATAAATCTTTGATACAAGAAATTGAAGAGGACACAAAACAAATGGAAAGATATTCCATGTTCATGGATTGGAAGAATCAATATTGGTAAAATGTGCATACTACCTAAAGCAACCTACAGATTCAATGCAATCTCCCTCAAAATATCAATGACATTCTTCACAGAAATAGAAGAAAAAAATCCAAAAACTTATATGGAATCACAAAAAACCTAGAATAGCCAAAGCTATCCTGAACAAAAAGAACAAAACTGGAGGAATCACATTATTGGAATTCAAATTATACCACGGAGAAATAGTAACCAAAACAATATGTACTGCCATAAAAACAGAGACATAGACCAATGAAACAGAATAGATGACCCAGAAATAGATCCATACATCCAGTGAACTCATTTTTGACCAAGATCCAAGAACATATAGTTGGGAAATAATAGTGTCTTTAATAAATTGTACTGGGAAACTGGATATTCATATGCAGAAGAATGAAACTAGATCTCTATCTCTCACTAGATACAAAAATCAAATAAAAAGGCTTAATCCTAAGACTTCAAACTATGAAACTAAGAGAAAACACTGGGGAAACTTTCTTGGACATTGGACTGGGCAAAGATTTCTTGAGTAATAAAGCACAGGTAACCAAAGCAAAAATAGAAAAATAGGATTGCATAAAGTTAAAAAGCTTTTGCGCAGCAATAGAAACAATCAACAAAGTGAAAAGACAACACACAGAATGGGAGAAAATATTTGCACACTCTCCATTTGCCAAGCAATTCATAACCTGAATATTAAACATGCTCAAACAATTTAATAGGAAAAAAATTTACTAATCTGATTTAAAAATGGGCAAAAGATCTGAATATACATTTCTTAAAAGAAGACATGCAAATGGCAAACAGGTATATGAAAAGGTGCTCAACATCACTGATAATCAGAGAAATGCAAATTAAAACTCCAATGAGCTATCTTCTTACCCCATTTAAAATGGCTTGTATCCAAAAGAAAGGCAACAACAAATGCTGGTGAGTATGTGGAGAAAAGGGAACCCTCATACACTGCTGGTAGGAATGTAAATTAGTACAACCACCATGGAAAACAGTTTGGAGGTTACACACACACACACACACACACACACACACACACACACACAGAGAGAAAAAGAATGATCAGGTGATCCAGCAATTCCATGGCTAAGTATATAGCCCCAAAGCAAGGAAATCTCAGTATGTTGAAGAGATAGCTGCACTTTCATGTTTATTCCAGCACTATTCACAATAGCCAAGATTTGGAAACAGCCTAAGTGTCCATCAACAAATGAATGGATATAAAAAATATGATACATATATACAATGGAGTACTATTCAGCCATCGAAATGAATGAGATACTGTCATTTACAGCAACATGGCTAGAACTGGAGGTGATTATGTTAAGTGAAATAAACTAGGCACATAGAGACAAACTTCATCTCTTTTCACTCATTTGTCAGAGCTAAAAAAGTTAAAACATTCGAACTTGTGGAGATAGAGAGTAGAATGATAGTTACCTGAGAAAGGTAGTGGGGTTAGGGGGAAGTGGGACTGGTTAATGAGTACAAAAATATAGACAGAATGAATAAGATCTAGTATTTGATAGCACAACAGGGTTTCTACAGCCAACAATAATTTACTGCACCTTTTAAAATAACTAGAAGAATATAATTGGATTGTTTGTAACACAAAGAAAGGATAAATGCTCGTGGTGATGGATACTCCATTTACTCTGATGTGATTGTTACACCTTGTATGCCTGTATCAAAATATGTCATGTATCCCATATAGACACTATTATGTATCCAGAAAAATTAAAATTAAAACTAGAATGAGGAAATATTAAGATTATTTATTCTAATGACAGGGTCAAAAGAGGATTTTTTTTAAAGGATGTTAGAGATGGTTCCTCACAGAGAGGAAGTATGTTGTATGGTGACCAGCTGTTCTTTATCTTCTCCAGGACAGATGAAGAGGAAAGGCTTTTAAACTGTAGCATGTGGGTTTTAGGTTATGAGCAAAGAAGAATTCCTGGCAGTGAGAGTTGTTAAGCATTGATTTAGGTTATTAAGAAAGGCTGTGAAATTTTTTTCTCTGAAGGTTTTCAAAACCAGTATAGATTTTCATCTATCTGGGCTGGCTAAGGTATTATCCTATCCAAAGGCAGACGGAATAGACTAGATAACTCTTTAAGCTCTTGAATGGCTTATGACTGATGGATTTGTAACTTACAGAATGAAAGTTAAATGTGAGTGTAGAGGGACTTCCAGAATGGTGAGTGAGGAGCCAGAGGACTCTCTTCTCAGTAAAACAACTATTTAACTGATAAAAATTATGAAAAGCCATTTAAAAATCTCTGGAAATTGTCATAAGGTCACACAGCAAATGGAGAAATATTCATTCAAGAAAATCTATTGAGCAGTAAGAACAGCAAGAGTCTGTGACATTTGAGTCATAACCTTTGCCTCTAGCTCAGCTCTGTGTTTAGGAAACTCTTTTCTGGGTGTCCTACTCTATGCAGGTGCAGCCAAGAAGATGAAGGAGAAGAGAGAGTAGAGAGGAGAAGGGCTCCCTCATCCCTAGGCTCCCAGTCCAGGGGTATCTTTTCACCCTGCCCACCCTCCAGGCCCTTTGTTGCAAAAGCTCTATTCAGGGCAGGAGTGGCTGAAAGAACTAAGACTCCCATCCACCACCAGCCCCTACTCCCAGAGCAGAACCTCCAACCCAGGTGTGGCAGGCTGAGAATATATGTGCCCCTATCGCTCATGCCCTAGCAATGTGGAAGTTTTGTGCTTAGATGGGTAAGCTGAGATCAGGGGCTACCACCTCCTATTCCAGCACCCACCAGTAGAGCAAGGTTGTCAATCCAGGAGAGGTGAGCCACCATCCCTTCTCCCAGCTCCTATGCTGGGAGATTGTACTCAGTGGGAGAGGCAGGCTGTGAACAGCTCAGCTGGAGAGAACTGAGTTTATTTGAAACAGAATATGGAAATTCCAGGTCGCAGGGAGTGAAAAACAATGGAAATCTTGGTGGAGAGCAATTATGAGGCTGTTGGTAGCTCCATGATACTGGTAGCAACAAGTCAAAAAGCAAAACAGCCAGAAGTCTAGTAGACAGAACCATAGAAAGAAACAGCTAAGAATATTCCTCTGGATTCACAGTCAACTCTGTGGATCAGAAAGGGCCGTGCATATGTGTTAGGGATCTACTCAGGAGTGTTGCAGGAAGTCAGGGACCCTGAACGGAAGGACTGGATGAAGCCACAGCAGAAGAACATAAATTGTGACAATTTCATGGACATTTATTAGTTCCCCAAATTAATACTTTTATAATTTCTCATGCCTGTCTTTACTGCAATCTGTAAACATAAATTGTGAAGATTTCATGGACATTTATCACTTCCTCAATCAATACCCTTATAATTTACTATGCCTGTCTTTACTTTAATCTCTTAATCCCATCATCTTCATAAGCTGAGGACGTATGTCACCTCAGGACCCTGTGATGATTTCGTTAACTGCACAAATTTTTCGTAAAGCATCTGTGTTTGAACAATATGACATCTGGGCACCTTGAAAAAGGATAACAGCGACGTTCAGGGAACAAGGGAGATAACCATTGGGTCTGACTGCCTGGAAGCCAGGCAGGACAGAGCCATATTTCTCTTATTGCCGAAAATGGGTAAGAGAAATATCACTGAATTATTTCCCCAGTAAGGAATATTAATAATTAACAGCCCTGGGAAAAGAATGCATTCCCAGGAGAAGGCCTCTAAAATGGCCGCTCTAGGAGTGTGTGCCTTATGCAGTTGAAGATAAGGAATGAAACATGCCCTAGTCTCCTGCAGCGCCCCCAGGCTTGCTAGGATTAGGAAATTCCAGCCTGGCAAATTCTAGTCAGATGGTTCTCTGCTCTTGAACCCTGTTTCCTGCTAAGATGTTTATCAATGACAATGTGTGCCCAGCAGGACATGGACCTTCATTAGCAATTCTAGTTTCACCCTGACCTTGTGATCTCACTCTGACCTTCTGCCTTGTGATACTTTATTGCCTTTGAAGCATGTGATCTCTGTGACCCACACCCTATTTGTACACTCCCTCCCCTTTGAAAATCCATAATAAAAACTTGCTGGTTTTGCGGCTCAGGGGGCATCACGGAACCTGCTGATATGTGATGTCTCCCCCAGATACCCAGCTTTAAAATTTCTCTCTTTTGTACTCTTTCCCTTTATTTCTCAGACTGGCCAACACTTAGGGAAAATAGAAAAGAACCTACATTGAAATATTGGGGGCTGGCTCCCCTGATACAGGAGCAATCAGAAGAGGACTTGGACAGATTTGAAATCACTCCCCAAACTGCACACATATCTATCATCAACATCGAGCAGAAGATTCACTGGCACAAGGGTTTTAAGCACACCTCTTCCTGAACACTGGCTGAACGATAAGCTACCCTGGCCCAAAAATAATTCCTAGGAATTTAGGGTTAGAATTGAAAGCACATGCATCCCTGGCAGTTTGGAAGATAGTGTGCATACCCAAGGTGGTGCCCTCTCAGAGGGAATCAGAGACAAGAACTTCAAAGCTACTAGTCCCTGGGCTGATTGTGGGCAAAACTACCACCCTCTTGAGTTCTAATAGCAGCCCCCAAGCTACACACATGTACATCCAGTGCTAAAGGGTAAAAATCTAACAGAGCTTAATTTTGACTAATTAGTATCTTCTTTTGACCAATAAGTAGCTTATGCTGACTCTGGGGCAACCCCTAGGAAACCAGGCTAAAAGGTAAAAAACAAGGGGAAAATAATCTGAGCTGAAACTTGAGAGGCTACACACTACAGGAAAAATAGGCCTCACAGAATTAGTTCAGCCAAATCACCAAACAAACAAATGATCAATCAAACAACATCAACACCCAGGGGATATTCATATCCAAGTTTGCTTCAATATATTATCCAAAATGTCCAGTTTTCAACAAAAAATTATGAGACATGCACAGAAGCAGAAAAGAGTGACAGATACACAGGAAACATACTAGGCAATAGAAACTGCCTTTAAGGGACCAAGATGTTGGATTTAGTAGACAGAGACTTCAAAGCATTTATTAAAAATATGTTCAAAGAACTAAAGAAAATCATAGCTGAAGGATCAAAGGAAACCTGATGACAATGTTTTATCAAATAGAGACTATCAATGAAGAGATAGAAAGGCTTAAAAAAAATAACCAAATGGAAATTCTGAAGTTGAAAAGTACTATAACTAAAATGAAAAATTCACTAGAGGTGCTCAAAATGAGCTGGGAGAAGAATCAGCAAACTTAAAATTAGTTCAATAGAGAGGACCTTCCACCTCCTCTAGAATTAAGAACAGAGAGAAAAAAGAATGAAAAAAAAGAAACAACCAAACACCAGTATTTCAGAGAAACATGGTACACCATTAACCAAGGAACATGTGTATAGTGGGAGTACACAAAAGAGAATAGAGATAAAAAGAAGCAAGAAAAGCATTTGAGGAAATTGGCTGGGTGCGGTGGCTCATGCCTATAATCCCAGCACTTTGGGAGGCCGAGGATCACTTGAGGTCAGGAGTTTGAGAACAGCCTGGCAAACATGGTGAAACCCTGTCTCTACTAAAAATACTAAAAATACAAAAATTAGCCAGGTGTGGTGGTGGGCACCTGTAGTCTCAGTTACTCAGGAGGCTGAAGCAGGAGAATCACTTGAACCTGTGAGGTGGAGGTTGCAGTGAGCCGAGATGGCACCACTGTGCTCCAGCCTGGTGAAAGAACAAGACTCTGTCTCGAAAAAAGAAAAGAAAAAAAAAAGAAAGAAAGAATGGCTGAAAACTTCCGAATTTAATGATAGCCATTAATCTATACACCCAGGAAGCTCAACCAACTCCAAGCAGGACAAACACACACAAATCTACAGACATGTCACTATCAAAATGTTGAAAGCCAAAAATAAATAGGAAAGCTTGAAAGCAGTAACAAAAAAAGATTCGTCATGCACAAGGGAACCCCAGTAAGATAAACAATTAACTTCTCATCAGAAATAATGGAGGTAAGAAGGCAGCAGGACAATATATTCAAAATGTGAGTGTGCAACTGGGGACTGGACTTTGGGGACATGATTCCCCAATTAATTTATGCCATTTATTTTTTTTCTCTCTTTATTCTGTGTAATTTCTTCATTATTCCCCACACTGGTATCTCCTGACAGTTTCTAAATCTTGGAGAGGAAAATATTTCACTCTTCCAATTAGAACAGATTCATCAAAGTTTTCAAAAATAGTTTTGGACCTTCCACCTCCTCTAGGATTAAGTATGTATCTTTGATTGTTGTCTGAATAAATAAGATAAAAGTTTTCAAAGAATATTATCTTGTTTTTAGTTTGAGGGAATAAATTGCTCTGTTGGACATCTGCTCTTTTTTGCTTTCTCTGCATCTCTTCCTTTTTCTTCAGATGGTATACCTTGGTGACATTTTGGGGAACCACGTCTTCTTTCTTCTCAGTCCATGTGGCTTATCTGCAACTGATCTAAACTTCTGGCTCTATGTGAGCATATGACAGAAATGGACTCAATCAGAGATTCTCATTACTCTGTCCATACTTATAGGTTCAGGGGTGAACACATAACCCATGCCATACTGATGAGACTCAATTTGGGGAGTGTGGTTAGAATAATTTTGAAGAAGGAAACATTTCTTTTTTTAAGAAAAAATATTGTAAATGGAAAATTTATAGTTATATGTGTTTATGGGGTACAAAGTGATGTTATGATTTATAAATACAATATGAAATAATTAAATCAAGCTAATTAATCTATCCATAACCTCAAATACTCTTTTTGTGTTAAGAATATGTGAAATTTACTCTTTTAGCATTTTTGAATTGTACAACACACTATTATTAACTATAGTCACCACAGTGTATAATAGATCTCCAAAATAAAAAAAAATTATTTCTCCTCTCTGATATTTCCTGCCCATTGGCCATCATCTCATTCTCCCTACCCCCAGGAGACGACATTCATCAGGGTTACTCAGCTGGTAAGTTGTAATGCTGAGGGTGTCATGGACTACTAGGAGGAGCAATCCCCCTGAAATGTAGGCTAACACAGGAAAAAATAGAACTGAGAGACCAAGAGACAGAAACCTTGTCCTCATGGCATTATTTGAGCCCATGAATCTCTCTGTGACCAATGCCACTCCAATTCTGATTAAATGAACAATATGTCCTTTTTTGCATATCAAGTTTCAGTTGGGTTTCCATTAGTCACAAGTAAAAGAGTAATGAATAATGATATTTTCTTCTACACTTTTCATTTACCTGAGTCTGTGTTCATTATACAACTAAAAAAAAAAAAACACTTTCTACAAGAGACAAAACAGAAATAGGTACAAAGGCTCAAAAATAACTCAAGATGATATCTTAAAAAGCCATTCTCTCTTTTTGGGGATTTTTATTTTTAAAACTGGAGTAACTTCAATAGTGAATTCAAGAAACTGATGCCAGTTTGGTCTTCTTATAGTCATGTGTTGGCCAGTGCCTAGTAGGTGATGTTCATTTTTGTGTGAACACATCCATCATTAGTGTGCCTATTTCCTGTTAACCATCCAGGTCTGGAGAGGTTGTGGAGGTTAGGGTGGAGGCCAGGGTGGACAGAGGTGATTAGTAAGAGAACCCTGAACACTAACTCAGGGCCTTGTTGAGCTATGTAGGACATACTAAAAGATCCAAGGAGGCTACATTTAAAAATAGCATAATGAAATTAGTACACTGCAGTCTGCCCTGAGGAGCAGACATGACCTGACTTGATGAAGCTTCACATACAAAATGGATTTTATTTTTAGGGCATTCTATCTGGGATAACAATGGCTCTGCTGATAGGAAGGTAGTGGGTATAGTTTGTCTTAGTGGCTGGCACTTACATTTGAAAAGAACAAAATAGCATATTTAAACTGTCAAGCCCTAATTGTTTCATTAGACGGTGGTAGTCTTTGACAAAAGGAGCCGGCTAACTGCTGAAAGCAAGAATGATGAGCAGTAATTCTGGCAGGGCACTGGGGCGCTGCACTAGTTACCTCTCCTCCTTTGTTTCTTCCCAGTTCATCTCTGTTACAAGCGGAAGTCTCATTTTCTAATGTAATGACTGCTATTAAAATCAGTTAAAAGTCTTTCATGAGCTCTGTGGTATATCTTCCACATATTTTCAGATATGAATGAGCTACGGAGGCGAGTTCTAGCATTTGTATTCATCTATTGGGGTCTCTAGCATCCAGTTTAATATCAATTATACTAATCAAGGATATTAATATAGGACTTTGAACCCAGCAGGATCCTAAAGTGATTTACACATTTTATACATTATGGATGAAATGTTTTGTTTACCACTAACCTGCAGTCATCTCACTTTTGACGGTAAATACCACGCCACCACCAACTGCCTCTCCTATGCAGAAAATGGAGACCCTCCCATCCGACAGATATGAAAGAGGACTTTTTGGTAGGCAGAAGGCAAGAACTCAGCTTAATATCTTGACGGGGCACTGTAGAGAAAGCCCTGGGCTAGGCATTTATGGTAAATAAAGCAGCTTCCACATATTAATTTTATAAAGCATTTCTGCTCTTCCCTCTAACGCTGCACATCTGTGAGGTATCAGGGGAGAGACAGAATGGGGGGTGCGGAGGGAGAGTTCTGATTTATTTCTTGCTGCTCAGTAGAATAAAGACCCACAGCGTGTTTTCCATTTACACACATTTGAGAATTTAAAGGCTGCTTAGAATGAGAGGGTGGTTATATTTCATCAAGAGACATCATAAAAGCTTTCTCCAGTTTGAAACACAAAAATTCAGATCCCATAGATAGCTATTTTTTCTCAGGTACAAGGAACCAAATGTGATTAATGCCTTTCTCAAAGGCCCCAACCTGCCTTTCCCCATCCAGAGAGGGCTCACAGAGGGATTCTTCCAGCAGCCCTAGGCCTCTGTTCTTGGCAGGGCAGGAGGGAGACTCCTCCGCTGGGTGGGCTGTGTGGGACCTCTGCTGTGGAGGCTGCCCCTCTAAGTTCAGAAAGCTGATTTATCTTTGATTCAGGTTTTTAAATTAGCCTTGTTTAAAACCATCTATCTTTTTCCAAGGGCAGCTTTGCTTTTAGCCAAGCCTCACATTACGCACTGTATATAAATTTCCACTGAGTTGTTTCCCAGATTCAAGAGTCGAAATGTTGAAGCCCAAGTTTATCATCATTCGGGCCGAGCTGGAGCAAGCTTGTCCTTGTCAGACATTGGTTCCGACCCTGAATGTGCCGTCTACTATTTAAGTTTTTGCTCAACATTAAATGATGATTTTGTTGGGGAAATGCTCATCATTTAAACCCATCCTGCCATGACTTGGATGTGGCTAAAGAATCTTAATAATTGAAAAACCTCATTAAGTGAAAAGAAACCAGTCCTAAAAATGTGGAAAGTGACTCCATGAACTTAACTAAAATCTGATTTGGAAGGATGGTACTTGTGGTTTTTTTTTTACTATCCTGGTGAAGATGTACTGCAAAATCCAAGGATTCCTTCAGAATCCAAGGGAGATTCATCAAGAAGGAAACAGCAACTTGGATGCAGCATGCCTTGTGGGTTAGAGAATAAACAGGCAGAAACTGACCATATCAGGTAGAAGCAGGGCAACTGTCAGGATGTGGCAAAACACGTTTCCAGTACAGTCTTTTTACCAGTGTGGACAGGACTTCAGCTGCTGCTTTCAGCATGTGCTGACACAGGGCTTCCTTTACTCACCTGACTCACAGCCATTTCCACATGCTTAGCTGCGGCCCAGCATGCTCCGTTGAAATGAAAAATGATCAAAAGCTGGAGATGGGATCTTTGCCATTAGGGACCATCAATGAGAGGGAAATACAGTCTCATTTTCAATGTTTGATTTGTTCTGACACAGGTAAGAATACATTTCCATGCTCTAACTTGGCAATCTGGTTTCCTAAGAAATAAAGTAAGCAAAAACTCCAAAGATTGTTTAATACGTCTAAAGACATATTAATGTGTCTAAAGACAGATTAAAAATCATGTCTATAATTTTCCAACAATATATAAATATTGTATAGATCAAGGGAGAAAGGGATTTATTTAAGTATTACAACATGATTTTAGCTCTGAAAAAAAATCTTAGAAATTGTATATTGCATATATTCCCAGTTTTGTTTCTTTCGTAAATGCAAACAAATAGCCTGGAAACCTGGAAGCTGTAGTAAGTAACCTGGTCATGGATGTTGAACCAAATTGCTTCATCTAGGGTTAAATTAAAATATATTAAAAAAAAGTTTCTTCTAGGTCTACACTATTGATCAAAATTGCCATCTGTAGGTTAATAAGTACACTTAACTCTTTCCTATCTTTATTTTTTCACTCTGAAAAATTAGTGTTCACATTGTCTTCATGGATTGTTGTCTTCATGGATTCCGGAATAACATTCAGGAATTAACCGAATGTTAAATAAACACTTTGCATAGCAGCTTCTCTAAGTTTAAGGAGAATTATCATCAAGCCATTAACAACAACTCACATTCCAGTAAAATTACCAAATTGTAATATTGGTTTTAAGTTGAATTAGGAATCTGCCATCATGGAGCCTTTGGATAGGCTTCATGAGACTATCTCAGAATATGTGTGGAATTATAGAATGATAGGGCTGGAAATGAATTTAAGGGCATCTAACTCAACAGAAAGGGAGGCGGGCCTAGTGAGGTTAAGCTGGTAGGTCGTTAGAGATGGAGCTGGCCTCCATTTATCCATTTGTAACTAGACCTTCAAAGACCATCTAGGAGCATTAGTATAAAAGGTAAAAATGATCTTAGGATTCTGTTGTTATTTTTGTGATTAAAAAAAAAAATCCTTCAGAGTTTCTTTAGGGAAAAGAGGGATCAAGCTTAGTAACCAGGGTCTTGTGGTCATTTTTAAATGTTATCTTTTACAAATACTCAAATACAAATTTCTGCCCCAAGTGGGAGCAGAACAGCACAAGAAAGAGAGACCACTCAAAATCCTTCTGCATCTGCCCCAGCCCTAATCTTTCCTAAGAAATGTGAGCCTAGAGGAGCTCTAAGGTACCTTTCAACCCAGTGGCCTGAGATTCCACCATAAAGCATGTGGGGAGCTGCTATTCGCCGAAATGCTTAACTTACAGTTCACATATATAACATTCTTCCTCTCATTCCTTGCTGCTCATCCATTAAATCTCCAACTCTTACTTTTATTCACCTAGAGCATCAATCTCTTATTCTTGTGGACAGCTAATGAAAGATCAAATAATTTGGTCAGCATTGGAAGATACAAAATACATTCAAGACTTTCATAACAGGATTGTTATAAAACAGCATAGCATAACTACTAAGACTCAGATAAAGCAAAAAAAAAATCTACAAACATTGGGATTTTCTTATGCTTTAATGCATTTACATGGAATAATAGTGTATGTAAAATATTAATGCTTTTAAACTCACACTAGGTCAGCCTGACCTAGCAGTATGCCCGTCATCACTGAAAAAAATAAAATCTGGCATATCTGCATGACACTGGTTAACTCCATGGGTACTGGGATGAAGGAACATTGAGAAAATATGGCTCAAGTGGCCATGACCCATAAGAGTTGAGTAATTTTTGATGTAGACAATAGGGTAATGTTTCCAGGGTAGGATGAATCTCATAATAAAGGGGCACTCTAATTTTGTGCTGGGGGAACAAGACAATAGACACTATTGAATAAACTGCCTAGGGAGAATTTACGTGATATTATAATTTTCACCCTATAACCCCAGATCTCTCTCCAAAACTCTACTCTCCATTATCACCTCCCCTTGTGTACCAGACATCAATAATGAGAAATTGTACTGTCACCTCAACTGTAATATCTCTTAAATAAAATTTCTCTTGTCTTTGAGCTCTGTTTTTTAACTTTCCTGTATTTGATAAAGATCTTCTCTAGGTTACCCAAGTTTGAAATGCTGGAGCTACCTGTGACTCATATATCTGTTTTACTGACGAAACCTGGATTTTGTCTAAAAACTGACTTGTTATTCTTTACTCATCTTTTGATGATGTTATTGTTATTTGACTTAATTCATTGTTCGCTTTTCCTCTGGGTTTTATTAATACATTCAGGTTCAGTTCAAGACATTTTTTTCATGCAATTTTGCCTGATTTATGCCCTTGCTCTTCCTCTTCTCTAACCTTCAACAATGGTTGATTTCTACCAAAAGACACCATTAAATTGTTGCCTGCCTTATGATGTTTGATGTTGTGTGCACACAATATAATCTTCCTGCTGAAATAAAAGCTCCTAGAGTTCAGAGACTGGCTCTTGTGTTTGTTCTAAATTTCCTGAAGAACCTAGATTGTGCTGGAAAAGTAATAGGTATGCTAAAATAATATGTGTTAAATGATTTCATATAAATGGAAGCTAGCAAAAACATAATTTATTATTTTCACGAAAATGATCTTCATGTTTAGTTTCAGAAAATTTAGGGTGGTGGACCACACATGTAAAAATATGTTTGAACTTTGGATATTTTTGTTTTTGTAATATCTTGAAATCTTTTGACATTTTGGCCACTCCAAATGTGGGTATTATTTAGGTCATGTCAGATTACATGTTGAGGGGCCAACAAGATTCCTGATGAGAATTGGAAAACAGTAAAAATGCAGATGTTTTAAAATGTTCTCCTATTCCATGCTGTATTGAGGTTGTCTTCTATAACCGATCATGTACATTAACAAAAATAGCTTTATCAACATTTTAGAAAGAAACTCAGTTCAGTGCTATAGATATCATCCAAAAAAAAAAAAAAAAAGATGAGCAATGATGCATTCGATTCACAATAAATCTCTGTGAGACTTTGAATTTTAGGCAATAGCTGTATTTATTTTTATTGTATTTTTTTATGAGGAGTCTTTGGAAAAGCTTATGTTCCATGATCTGATGTTTATGGCCAGTTCAATCTTCCTTTGAAGATGAGCTACACCCATAAAATAAGCTGTGACTCATCCAAATGCTTATGACTACATGATGCTCATTTGTAAGGTTCAAATCTTTACAACCTTATGGACACACCTCTTTTTGACAAGCCTGAGGTGCCTGGACTCGGTAGGGATGTAAGTATGTGTCACTACAGGCTCAGGAATGAGCATGCTCTTCCATTATCCAGGCTGACCTCAGTGTCTCTGGCTATATAAACTAGTCTGTCTGCTCTGAATATTAATCATGTTGGCTTTAAACTTGGGAGTCTTTTAAAAGAGAAGCTTCCCACTCCTCAACAATAACAAACAGTTTAACATTGTGTTTAGCAACTTGTCAGCTACTCCATCTCTGTCGAAGGCATTTCTTTGGTGATTATATCTCAATCATGACTGGGCCAGTTTGTGATCTGCATTATAGAAAAATGAGGCATCCATAAAACAATTTAATAGCATTTTTTAATGTAATGAAGAAATAAAAGTGTGAAGGGAGAGAGAAGAAGAGAGAGAGAGAAAAAGTGGAGAATAGTAATTGTAACTAACACTCCTTGCACTCTGCTTTCCAGAAACTTCTAAGAGCTTCCTATGGATTGACTCATTAATCCTTATGAAAACTCTTATTAGATAATAGTACTATTTTGATTTTTTTTTCTGATAAAGAAATTAAGGGATAATAATAAGTACAGATTTAAGACTTGAACCCAGGCAGTCTGACACCAGAGCCCAATTTTTCAACTTTTATGGCATATTTCTCTGCTACATAACAATTGCTGACTGCTCTTGGCAAAGAGTAATTTAATTTTAAAAATCGTCATAACACAAAATAAGTTGGGATTTGAATTTTCTATTTGTTAAGGCATAGTTGCACAAAATGCCTAGACAATCTATTGAATGCTGAACTATTTCACCAGTCACTTGATCTTGAATCCATGAAGTGCAGCTCTCTGTTTTGTTAATGGTGTGTAGAATGATCTGACAAAAAGTTTTCACAAACTGAGGAGACAATGAGCATCATTTCAAATCTCATAATGACTAAGAAATGCATCTATTTCTTAAATCCAGTTGGCTTCTTTTCATTATCTTATTCTTAATCACTTGCCCAATTTTATTTTAGAGTTTCATGCAGATGTGTCCCAGACTTTGTAAATGTCAAAGCATTAGCCAGCAAATATTAATTGATTAAATGTTCACTTCCCCTCCTGATGTACGTGTCTAGAGAATAGGGTCTTGTGGGCACTTCACTGAGGGTAGATTGGTAGAATTGGTCGTTCAACCAAAAGTAAAGAATATAGCATAAATATGAAGTGTAATGATGTTTTATCTACAGACTATTGAAAAAAAATGGTTTGGTTTTAATAGTCAATATTTAAGTAAAGATAGCAGAGCAAAAATTGAAATTAAATTAAAATTATAGATTAGAAGCTTTCACCTTGTATGAAATTATTTCCAGTCTCACTAAGTTGAGTGCCACATCAAGGATGGTAGGAATTGGTCGTGGTGTTTAGCATCCAGGTTTTCTGGTGGTGGAATCTCCTCTCCCCTGGTCTAAGCTCATGTGGACCTCATACAGTTGATTGTATTCCTAATTCTAGGGGTAGAACATGTGACCAAAGCCTACACCAATCAACATATCGCATTCCTTTAACACTTGTAGTTAATTCAGTGTGAGCCAAGTCAATCCATTAGCACTTTTGAGGACTACTTGGATTCTGGCAGGCAGTCTGAAACCATGAAAACACTGAGGACGTCAAGTTGAGAAATGGTAAGGACAAAAACAAAACCAGAAACTCTTGGGTAAAAGTCATTCAAGCTCTGGATCAATCCTTGCTTGAATCTAAAATATCTCTGTCTTGTTTGAGTCGGTAGATTTTTTCTTAAAGCAAATTTGGATTGGGGTTTCAGTGACTTGCAATTCAAAGAATCCTAAGAATAAAAAGTAAAAAGGAAACAATGTGATAAACTTGTTAAAGTATATTTAACTTCTCTATCATGATATTAAGATACTAAAGTGAGATGGGACTATCTGAAATCATTTTTTACCTTACTCAGTGTTTTGTTTTGTTTTGGTTTTCGAAGGAGACACTGTTTGGGTCTAGCAGAAGCCTCCTCCACTCCTTTTGAGTTGTTGTCAATATCTTTGACAGCACCTGCTGAAGTGGTGGGCCTAGAAGGCTATGTTGGTTGCATGTGATATCACTGGGGCTAGTGCACAAGTGGCCAGGAGGAGGTTAGTGGAACTTCAGATCAGAGAGAGATGTAGTGGAGATATTACCTAGGGCCTTGAAGGTCATGCTAAGGACATTTTGAGCAAATGAATTGAATCGCTTTTGTTTTCCAATAATATTAGTCTGAAAATTGTGAAAATTTACTTTGAGCTAGCTTGAGTAGGTTTCTGTTTCTCGAAAAGAAACAACCCCTGACAAGAAGAATTGTAAAACATTTTCATAAAAGGACCAACTTCTTTCTAAATCATTATCATGTAAAAACTCTATGTATAAAAGAGATGAGAACAGTGTAACTGTTTTAGAAGTTCATATTTGTAACATTTTAGAAGTTCATATTTGTAACATTTACTTTCTATAAAGCTGAATTAATGAGAAAAATGACACTGTTTGAATGAGTACAAAAATGTGAACTCTGGTTTATAGATGATATAAATGCAGTCTCAATCTTCAATTTTACTTTTGTGTTTTGCATTGCTTGCATGATATTGAAAAAAATTCTAATTCACACTAATAAATAGGTGCAAATGGTAAACGATTTGAACAGCTCATCTTGAAACCTCAGGATTTTCTTCGAATAAACTGACCTAGAACTTGAAAGTAGAACAATGGTTAATTTTCTTTATAAATTGGAATCTTATCAATATCTAATATATCTGCATTCTTCATCATGGACATAAAAGGAAGCCAATAAACTTACAAAAGTTAGAGAAAATGTTAAAACTATTTACATTATGGTATTATAAGATACGTGCTAGGCTTACTTGTTACCGCACAGGTGACTGTTATACTGATTCTGAATAGAATCTACACCAAATGGATCTGGTTGAGTCTAAGCTGCCATTAATAGAGCCCAGCAGGTTTGTGTTAAAGTAGTTGCTGAAACTGCATAGTTGAAGTAATTGAACTTCTTCAAATCATTCTTCACAAAGTGCATATAGGCAGGAACAAATTTATTGAAAGGACAGATCAGAGCTACAAGCTTCCTTATCAATAGTCCAGTTTCGAGAAGCTCAAATATGTGCCCAGAGATCACTAAGAGGCCTGTGCAAATATATGTTAACCTACATGCATAAATTTTCTGTTAGTAGTTTCCAATGGACTATATCATTTGACTGTGCCTTTTGCTTTACTGTATTTTTAAAATAGTTCTAAAATTATTTGAAAAATTAAAATTTCCACTAAACTTTTGGAAGATACAAAGCTACTCAGAATAATTCAGTAATATCTGAATAATACATTAAAAATGATAGAAAAAATTAACCCCCAATATCACAGATTATGAAAATAAAGCCAAGTGGCGGAACTTGGGAAGGACTAGTCCACAGGTCTGCTTTTCTTGTAGCTTATGACTGTCCTCATTTTGCACACTGCTAATTTTTTTCTTATTATCAAATAAAGTAAATAATAAATTTTGGAAAATACATTTCAAAATTTTTTACCTTATAACAAAGAAGTTTTCAGGCCTTCCAGTATGGTTCATAAAATACACTGTAACCTCTTTATACTTATTTCTATGGTATCTATAAAAGGATGTTTCCAGCTTCATCCATGTCCCTGAAAACGACATGAACTCATCCTTGTTTTATGGCTGCATAGTATTCCATTGTGTATATGTGCCACATTTTCTTTATCCAGTCTGTCATTGATGGGTATTTGTGTTGGTTCCAAGTCTTTGCTATTGTGAATAGTGCCACAATAAACATATGTGTGCATGTGTCTTTATAGTAGAATGATTTTTAATCCTTTGGGTATATACCCACTAATGGGATTGCTGGGTCAAATGCTATTTCTGGTTCTAGATCCTTGAGGAATCGCCACACTGTCTTCCACAATGGTTGAACTAATTTATATTCCCACCAACAGCGCAAAAGCATTCCCATCATTCTCAGCAAACTAACACAGGAACAGAAAACCAAACACTGCATGTTCTCACTCATAAGTGGGAGTTGAACAATGAGAACACATGGACATAGGGAGGAGAACATCACATACTCGGTCCTGTCAGGGGGTGGGGAGCTAGAGGAGAGATAGCATTAGGAGAAATACCTAATGTAGTTGATGGTTTGATGGGTGCAGCAAACCACCATGGCACGTGTATACCTATGTAACAAACCTGCAAGTTCTGCACATGTATCCCAGAACTTAAAGGATAATAAAAAATAATTTTAAAAAGGATGTTTAAATCCAGAAAAAAGTCTAGTTACTAAAAGTAGCTGTTACATTAAAATACTTATGTAGTAGGAAAAAAGCCAAAACCCAAAAATCTCTTTATACCCAGTAGGACACCTGTTTCTGAACTGAGGCACACTCATCTGTCTCACCCTGCTACATTGTAATCTCCAAGGAGTAAGGACATTGCCTTATTTACTTTTGAATCACCAGCTTCTAGAACACTGTGTGGCCTGTAGTAGGTATTCAATACATTTTTGCTGTCTTTTTGAGAATGCAACCATAAAAAGCAGTTCAAGACTTAATTGCCATGGTCTTAGCTTAGATGAGTTTGTAAATAAAAAGTTTCAAGGTCAGCTTTATTGAAAGTGAGGGGCCAGTCCAAATTTATGCAGTATTATCATTTAATATAGTTTCAGATATGAAAGCCCCAAGTCATTTTCTATTCAATTTTAAAGAGTTGAGAGACTATTCTTACTCCTAAGACCTCTGAAGTTTTTCAAGTATTCTAATTTGCATGTGATGAAACTGCATTGTTAACAGCCCATCTTGATTTTAATAGTGTCCCAATTTCATTTAAGAGCATTATCCTGAAACTGCCATTATTAATGGCTGACATCCTAAATGTTAGGGATGGTAGACTCTGATTCATTTCATCTCATGGTGGTTGGCACGGATATGTAGGTGTATACATGCTGGCCCATTTTCAATGGATGCCATGGATAACTTGAGTTTCATTTATTCAGTGATGGATCTGTTAATTAGTTTCCTTGCCTTGCTTGGAATTTGGGTGTGTGTATAGTAAAGGCTGGAGACAGAAAAAATTATAGAATCAAAACTATAGTTTACACGTTAATTATATCTAGTTGCTCACCCAGGTTGTGATCCTGTTCAGAACCTGTCTTTTTTTAAAGAAAAACAAAAGTCAATAACCTGTCTTTTAAGCCTCCCTCTGTTTAGTATTATGGATATCACTGATTTAGCGTGCAATTTACTTTGCCCCTGAGATTAGCGCCTCTCTTTCCTCCTTATTCCTGAGCTGCCACTCCTCATTATAACAATAGTCCTTTATGCCCTATTGCCAATTCCTTAGTGTTGTGCTCATGTGTTGGATTATTGCCAAGGATGAAACTCTGAAAACTTTATGGAAATGCTGATGCTGGTAAAGCTCCAAGTGGAAGAACACAGTAAGAATATGATCTTAATTTCTAGGAGCTGTTCAGTCTCCTAATCACAGTGATAGAGTTTTCCTCAACTGCCTCCTTCAGTTGAGTGGTCACCATTCCTTCAGTGAATGATCCCGTCTGAATTGTGGGAAGGCCCTGGGAAGAATGAGCACGAAGCTTGAAGTCTTGTTTCTCTTTGGAAAGGGACTATTGTTGTGGGTTGAGCTGTGTCTTCCAAAAAGATGTGTTGATGTCCTAACCCTCAGTACCTGTGACCTTATATAAAAATGGCATCTGTGAAGATGTAATCAAGTTAAGATGCTGTCATACTGGATTAGGGTGGGCCCTACTCTAATGACAAGTGTCTTCATAAGAAGAGAAGAGAAAGAGAGAGGAACACTCAAGAAGAATGTCATGTGATGATGGATATGGAGATTGGAGTACATAATTTGTCTGCAAGTCAAGGAATGCCAAGGATTGCAACACCAAAAGATAAGAGAGAGGCATGGAACAGATTGTTCCCCAGAGCCTAAGAGGATATAACTCTCCTGACATCTTAATTTTGGATTTCTGTCCTCCAGGACTGTGAGAATAAATTTCTGTTGTTTTAAGGCACTCAAATTGTGGTAATTTTTTAATGGCAGCCCTAGGAAACGAATACATTCATGAAGATGAAAATAATAGATGATCTGAAGATAATGAATTTTGACCGTTTTTGGTTTTTGTATTCTGATCTCTTTCCCAATAAACCTTTTTAATTAGTTTAGCAAATTATATATTGGTTCATGTTTTCTTCTTTCTTCCTCTGTGATCTGGCAGAAAGGAGCAGGATCCTCGCTCACCCGTTCCGAATTAGCTGAGTCACTTCCAGTGGCTCTGTTTGGAGCTGTCTTCTAGATCCTGACTGCCTTCTTTCCGCAGCAATGCGCGTGCTCAGCACTGCACATTCGGGATGATTCCTATGACTTCCTCTGTTCTTTCTCCCCTCCTCTCCCTAGTAAAATAGACCTGCCTAGTGTTGCATTCCCTCAGAACCCTGAGCTATGCCAGGAAACATGTTAGCTGGTCTGCTAAGTAAATGGTGGGTCACTGCGTAAGTGACCATTACTGAGTTAAAATGTAATGTCTTACAAGTAACACATTTATTTTAATAGAGTCCGTCTTCAGGCATGACTTTGACTAAAAAAAGGAAAAAAGAAGGCAAGAAGTGGAAATTACATGATGAGGAGGGTAAGGGTGAAAAGTAGGGCAGATATCTTGGGGCAAACACACCTGTCATATCCTTCAGGTTCTATTACACAGAAAACCGCCTACTGTTCCCTGTCTTTGAACCCTGCTGGTGGGAGTTCTAGTACTGTCCCAAGGGCAGGTTTCAGGAAGAGGAGACCAGAAGCCTAAATACAGTATACCCTCATAATTGCCTCCTAAATAGTAAGGGCTTAAAGTCAGGTCACAGTCCTTTGCTGTTTTTACTTTACTTTCTCCATAATTGGACACTTCTTTTTATAAAACTTCTGATTTGTGAGGTGTTTGCCTCTACCAACAAATGATGTGAATGAAGGGACCCATACTTGTAACAATGACACATGGAGCTGCCTATTGCAATTTATGCTAGATTTCTTTAATTCATCAAACATCTCAATAAATTGTTGCGAAGTCTTCTTAATAAACATTTTGTTGAGTATGTATATATGTATACATACGTGTACATATGTTGAGTATGTATATATATATACACTTATGTATACACAATATATATAGACATATTTATATGCTACTAAATAAACCACTTGTCAGTAAATTTATACTTTGAGTTTTTGACTGATTTGAATGAGAAAATTAAGTTTTTTTTCTGGCATTGTATAGACACAACCCAATTCAAAGGATAGATGTCCAGAGTTAATTGCATATCTATTGTGACCTAGTCTTATACAACTTTGCATTTTTCACTTCTGTTTTCTGGGGTCCAGGTGATTGAATAGCTGTCTTCTCTCATTGAGCACCCACTCAGGAAATAGCTCCATGAGTGTAGTGCTCCAGCCACAAGATTTAAGTAATGACAACTCCTACTGATTTTCTGCCAGAGTAAATAGCTGTAAGTAATTTTTGAAATAATAATGTTGGACTAAGTGATGATCCTCAGTTAATCAATGTGAAAACATCCTAGGACTTATTCAGGTCTAAAAATCCAGAAAGTATCAATCTTGAAAGAAAGGTTTTTTTTTTCAGGTAAAATGCTAATTTCCTTCTATTTTTGTCATTGCTGACAGCAATCCTATGGCTACTACAAACAAGACATTGTTTATTGACAGATAAAACTAGAATCTTCTATAAGGGAGGAAATGTGTAAGAACACAATAGGCTCTGGAGCCAGAATGTCTGGGTTCAAATCCCATCTTCACTACTATAGGGAGCATGTCCTTGGGCAAATTATTGAACTTCTTTGATACCAGCATTCATAAAATAGAGATAATAATAATACTTACCTCATGGGATTGTTGTGATGATTAAGTGAGTTAATATACAAGAAGCTCAGCATAGTGTCTGGCACATAGTAAACACTCAATAAGTGGTGGCTATTGTTGTTATCATGATTGTAAGTTTTTCTTGATTCAAAAGGGACAAGCCCTCCATACTCCCCGGTGAAGCTGTAACTGGAGCTGAAACTCTTTGATCAAATGCATTCTTGCTGAGAACACAGGCTGCTTCTAGCAAAAGAAGTTTGTGGTAAGATATATCAGGGACATAAAAAATTGTGGTAGAGACCAAAATGGACGACAGCTGAGTGGCTGAGGAGAACTACACAGCAGTGGCAAAGGACTGGTTGCTCTTCTGTCAGTACTCACCTGAGCTGATTGTCATGATTGCTTGTGAATTCTGGAACTGTGTCTGATGTGCAAATCAAGATCTCTGCTTAAATGAGCTCTTATTTCATAGGAAATGGCTGTCTTAGAAAACATTTGGCAGAGTTCAAGTGTCTGCTAGTATATTGTTTTACAGAAAGTCAAAATCAGACTAACAAACAAAAGGATTATCCAAAAAGTGATGCTTGTTACCAAGAGGCACAAGTATCATGACAGAAGTTGAACCAGCAAAGAGGAAACGTGCTCAGAATGCAGGGAGGCTGAGTCAGATGGTGGGTCATGTGCAGAAATGAGATTACTACAAGGTTTTATTAATATCTTCCTAGGGCATTCAATTCACAAGACAGCGCTGGCAAAAATTGCATCGTCAAAATTATGCTTAAACAATTTTTATTCCACATGAAGTATAATATAGATGGTTTTGTATATACAGTACCATATAAGAAAACATTAAAGAGCTTATTAAAATAGTACATATGCAAAATATAATTTTACAGCATTTTGTAATATTCTAAACTGAATCTTGAACACGAATAGTTAAATTCACTTAAGTTAAATGCATCCATTATGTGTTTCTTAAAATCCTGGTTGGGTCCTGGGCTAACTCTTATTCTCTGGGGTGCATGTTCTACTTTTTTTCCTTAGCCCACATACTTTCTCATGCATATTGACACATAAAGACTAACATTTTTTTTCAGGAGAAAGGTATTTGGTAAAAGGTGATGTCAGAGGTGGATGCTTTGTTCTCCAAGGTTTTCAATATTATATACAGTTGAGTATCAGTTGTAACAAAGGTGCCTATAGGAAAGTAAAAAAGACATTCTTGTGTACGTGTTTATTACTAAGGAGATTGGCAAGATTTCCATGTTAGGAGATTAGGGAAACAAAGCAATGTGTGCCATCACTTCAAGACAGATCACCAAAATGAGTGAGCATCTCTGCTCCATTCTTCTTGGTTGTTTACTTCCCAGGGAGAATATAGTTAATATAGGAACAGTCTTAAATATTGAATGAGAAGCCAGGTGAGGGTAGTGTGATTCAGACAATATCAGGAACCCCTTGCCCTCCATATCTAGTCTCATTCAATATGGAATTTTATTCTAAGACATTAATTTCTTTGTTTCAAAGTTGGTCCTCCTTGGGAGTGGTAACAAATGAGAATCAACAGCCATAATGCTGGAGTCAAACTGGATGAACCCTTGTTTCTTCTTTCTGGGTATGTGTCAAATTACATTAGCAACCTCTGTTGCATTAGAGTGAGGCTAAGGAAATGTCAGTGGAAGGATGCCTACCACTTCCAGGCCTGGACTTAAAATCTCCTGCTTGGTCTTCCAAGCTCTGTTTTTTTACCTTAGTGATTGAAAAAGTTATATTAGAGACGGCACCATTACACAAAGGAAGGGATCTGAATCCTTGAGTCCTCACTGAAAGTAGAGCCTCCAAGGAGAGCTGCCCATTCACAATAGACTATGTATAAATGACAAATATATCTTTTTAGTGTTAAACATTTGGGATTTTGCAGTTGTTTGAGTAGCTAAGGTTATCTGTCATAATGCAGACATTTATATCCGAAGGAGAGCACTGCTATTAAAAATCTAAATTGGGTGGTGTTGACTTAACTGTTGAAAGGTAAGTAGTGAGAAGAATGATATTAGAGTCTTCAAAGATGGCTATCCATGTAATGCAGTGGCAAAATATTGAGTAAAGCTTTCATATGCAATAAATTGGAAGTCAGAACTGGTCCCTTCTCAGCCTGCAGCTCCAAGAAGAGATGGTTGAAATGAATCAGAGCATTAGTGTTGGCTTGCTATTACAGGCTGTATTTTTCAAGGTACTACCAAAAGAGGAGGGCTCAGGAAAGAACTGGCTGATTTATAAGCATAAAGGAAAAGGAATTGATGGAGTACAGACATGTTTATTTGGTAAGCTGTTTTATAATCCTAAACAGGAAAAGTTGGGTTCAAAAAATTGTTAGTTGAGTAAAGTACAGTAGCTTAGGGAAAAGATTAGATTAAGTGTCAACTTTCCTTAGCTGACAATTACCTAATTTATGCTGATTGTTTATTGACATGGAAGATTATCCCATTCTCTGTGTTAAATTGCCAGAGAGGTATGGGGTGAGAAAGCAAAGTAATAAAGCTGATTTGAGAAATATATCTCAGAAAGAAAATTGGAAACATTTACCAGCTCATAGCAAATATATTGGAAGTCTGTTAAGTCATTGAGGGAATTGTATTGCCAAAGAAACAGTAAATCCAGACTAAAAGCAGTCTTTGACTTTTTGTCTTAAGTAACTCTTGGGCCCTGTAGCAGATGTTGTCACTGCACAATTTATATCCTGCTGCTTATTCTAGGATACAACAGACATGTGTCTATGTCTCTGCTCTGGTAGACTTTGCTGGCTACAGAACTACTTGGAGTTAGTGTCCCAGGAGTAACTTTAAACCAGCAAGGGATAGGAGATTTGGGATATATTAATACCTTAGCTTCTGCATCTCTCAGGGAAATCATTCTTCATATAGTCTCTTGGAGTATCTCCAGAGGTTTTGAGCTCCAGCTTATCTAAGTGATAACCTATTCATGAAGGCTCCCCTTACTGGCTTTCCTTCTTCACGTGTATTACTTCTCCACTGTTCATAGTGCTTCTTGAGATCACTATCCAGATAAAGTTCTTGCACCTGAGTCTTTCTACAAGAGTCTGATTTTTAGGGAACACATACCAAGACAGGTCACTACTTTCCATGAACAGCAGGTAGGACTTCAAATGCTCTGCACCCTCCAAGGAGGCCATGCTCTGAAACACCTCCATCAGAAGTGACTCATGAGGATAATGGGCAAAAAGGCCATACAGAAGTACAGCCAGGGGCCATGAAGAACAAGTGACAGGGAGTTTCTCCCGGAGGGTAGAATAAAAGCCAGGTAAAGAATTGCCTCCATGTGTCTAGCAGAACTTCAGAATTGAAACAGACCATTGCCTATTGTGTGACCCATATTCTTCCTCTTTCCAAATGGGAGTGTTTATTGCAGTTATTATGCCTCGATTACACCATTGTATAGGGAATATGCATGTGGGGACAGAAAACTTGTCTTTTCAGTATACATGTGGGAGGAACTAGGTTAGTCATATTCAGCGTGGGGGGATAGTACTGTGCTTTTCCCAGAAATACAGGATTTTGAACTTGATGCAGTGACCAGAAGAGACTGTGGCGGGAACATTAAAATGAATAATTGATGACCAGAAGGGGGAATTGTATAAAAGACTGGTTGTATGGTCATTCATCCTGTTTCATTCTCCTGTGCTTAAAAGAAAAGTACATTTGAAACCTTCCTTGCAGTTATTAAGGGGCCATCGAATGTGGGCACAAATGATATCTGTAATTCCTAACCCTGGCCATAGAATCTCCTGTATTAACATCCATGTCTTCTCTTCCCTTACCTTCATGAAAATGGATGCCATCTGTGGAATAGGGTGGCATAGCAAAGATGCAAGGAACTATTATGCCTAAGCCACTACTTGGAGGAGACCTGCCAAGGGAAGATCCCCAACCTTTTTGGACTGTGGTGTGAGCAGCAAATAAACCTTTAATTTTTTAAGCTGCTGAGATTTTGGAATTGTTTGTTATAGGAGCTAGCATAACTCATGAAGATGCATAGAAACATATGTATTAATATATTCATTCTTCTATTATATCAATGGTCTTCTTAGACCATCTTTTGATGGGTGGAGCTAGATCATGATGGGCATCAGTAAGCATTAGCAAGGGGGTGGCATTGCTTCTGAACGGAACCAGAGAGTGCTGAAAAGAGGCCATACGTCTCTGCCTAGAAGTGAATCTATAGTACTATAGAATCTCAACTGGATTCTACAGGACTATGTAAGCTATTTGAGTGTGTGTGTGCATGTAGGTGTACCCACAGTATCTGTATACATGAGGAGGACACAGGTGGTGCCAGCCCTACATGGTGCAGTAGAGCAGGCAGCCTCCTACTGTACAGCTCTCCTTGCAGTGACCCCTTCTTCTCCTTCCTTTCTGTTGCTACTGATCCTTTCTTGTTTCACATTCAAAGTTGAGCTATTTGTGACATCCATAATTCTAAGGATAGCCAGGGTTGCTTTGATGAATTAGGCTGGCTAGGCAAGCTCTGCAAAAAGGGCAGAATTCACAAATAGGGAAAGATCATTCTGGGTCAAGGGTTGCTCTCATTCCCAGCTGGCTAACAGCTAATTCTTGCAAAAATATGCTTCTTTTTCCAGAAGCATTTATATTTCATTTGCATTTCAATGGGAACTTCCAGAGGACCTCTAAAATTTCAAGAAAATCTTTTTTTAGCCTCAAAACTTTTATTTTTAATAAGCAATACAGGGTAATACAGTCACATGGTTCAAATAAAAATAATACACACTGAGGAGAATTTGTTTACATTCTGTATCACCTCCTTTACCTCCTCCGTGTAACGACTTTTACTAGGCTTTTATGTAAGTGTAATCTTTAATGATTGAATTTCAAGCACCAACAGCTGATGGGGAAATAAAATTTTAAGACAGAGAATATTTTCTTCAAATGACAAACTATAAATGGCCATCTATTTCAACAACTATTTATAAAATGGTCCTGAAATTTAGAAATAAGCATTGAGAAACCGTCGCAATTCTGCACTCCCCAGCCAAAGACCAATCATTTGATAGCCATACTATCAGACGAAATAGGTTATTGTAAAACTCTTAGTTGCTGAGAGAAACATCCAACTATTAACTCATAGCAGATTTTAATTCAGAGAAATTTAAATCTTTGTAACAAAGGTTTACATGTCTTATCCCTTCTCAAATTTCCTATCCTTTTGCTGGTATGCAAGAACAAACATGCAATAGTGATTACATAGGTAATAATACCACAGCCCTGCTGTGTTTCACCAGTGTGAATGCAAGCAGCTGCACCAGACTTGCTCAGCTTCTTTCCTATAGGTTTTCCTTTTACTTTTCTCTATGGCAACAGCCCCCAAAAGTTAACCCCCACCCCTTTTATTTAGAAAAATCAATTTGATTTGAATTATAAAACCCTGAATACATTTAGTCTTAGAGATGTATTTGATATTATCTTTTCTTCAAAGTTCATTTCTTGTGACAGTCTCATTCAAAATTATAAGTATTAAAAAATAAAAGTGAAGTTCTGGATGTCAAATAGTAACCATGTGTTTGGGATTGTCAGAGGGGAGGTACGAATCTCGGGGCTTTTGAATCTATTCAACAGCAGATGTAAAGATCAAAAAGGGAAAATCAGAAGTATGAATATAGGGAAAATACTTTGAAGTGGAAGTGTTTTTTACCAGAGGAAACCAATTTCCCCAATTTACTAACATAAAGTTGGGCTGCATAAACCCGCGGAGTGAATGAGCTGACACTGAAACGTTTGTAAACAGACTAGCAGATGGGAGAGTGTGCTGTGAGTTGTCTGCCTTCTCGTTCTCTTTTATTATATGAGGAGAATACAAAAACAAAAAATAAAAAAAACAGAGGTTGGGAAGATTACTTGGGACTACTTAGAATTCTGAGTAAAAGGACACCTGGGCCATTTTGAATAACTGACTATGTCTCTGTAAGCATACAATCAATAAGTCAGCATTTCTAAAATTTAAAAATCTTTATGCTTCTTCATGTTTTAAGTGTATTATGGAAGTAGATTTATGAAATACTGTCATTTTGGACAAAATAAAAAATTTAAATTTATTTATAATTTGGCCTTTATAACAATTGTCCAAAATTTTTAGCAATTTTGTTATTGCCCTTATTTAATAAGTAATTATTACTATTTAGGGATCTTCAAACGTTGCTTGACCTAAGGAGCCCCAGGGAATCTTAGAGCAAGAGTATTATGTGGGTTTCGGAGCTCTTTGCTTTTCGTGTTTTATTTTTTCAGGAGGTTTCAAGATCATCTGTTTCCTCTGGCTTCTCGTGAATGACTTTGTGGATGACTTTGCCTCTTTCTTTGGTGTATGTGTTATGATGATCTCAATGAACAACATGTTGGACTCTGTGAATTTGCTTCCATATGGAACAAGTTAGCAGCTATTTAATTTCTAAAAATGTTTATGAAGTCTACAGTCCATTGTTATTTTTAGAGAGGCCTGTGCAGATCTTCACCAGACGGTTATTTCAGGGCTCCAGAGATTCTTCCTTTTCTTTATGAAACTCCTCCAGAAAACACACCACCTTAAAACTATACTGAGTTATTGTAAATATTAAAATCAAGGTATTGATTCCTTGTCTTATTCACATTAAATCTTTTCTAATAGAAGTTAGTTTGTATTTAGCCACGTGACAAACAGAATTTTTTTATTAAAAGATTTGCCTATAAGCTTCTTTGATTTTATAATTAATGATTCATAATAATTTATGAATTAATGTATTTGTAATCAACAAAAATGCATATGATACTTTTAGGAATCATGTAAGCCCTTAAAAAAAAGCTACTTTAAATTCATCTGTTTTTAGCATGTAACTGAGTCTTAGAGACAATATTGAACTCATGGTGGTTTCCAGGTTTCCAATATCATGGTTGTTAGGTGATTTAATTTTTTTTCTTGGTCTATTAACTCAGAGTTACCCATTTGTTCAAGGGTTTGACACTTTTTAGTATTCAGCCTTCATCACTCCTTCGGAAAGATTCTTGTGGTTGAATGTTGAACACTCACAAAAGCTGAGAGGTATTTAAATGTGAAAATGAATTCTTATAATTAGATTTACTCTTTTTAATCAAGGATGCAAAATACTGTTTCTTGTTCTCAATGAAATTTAGGAGATGAAGTTGTGAAAATATAAAAAAGTAAATGCATCTGTTTCTGCCTATTTGAAAATCTGTATCTCTCTTGAATTGTTCTTTTTTGATAATGTTCTCATTACATGATTACTTAGTTGTAGCTGTAAGAGAATATTTGAATTACAAAAATGCCAGTCTGGTGGCATTAGAGAAATATACTGTGGGCGAAGCTTATCTCTGGGTGGCAACTTAAGGTAAAACAATTATGGAAAAAGGAAATGCCATGAGAAAGGAAGTGTGAAAGGAAAATGATTCATGTCAGGAATTATAATTTGGCTCCCAACAAGTTTGGAGTTGTAGGGACCTATTTAATAATTTTTCACACAGAACCTGTTTAGTAGACATTACAGGCAAAATCCTAAAATGCAAGCTCTTTTTTTTTCTTTTTAAAGCTGATAGGGATTCAATGAATTTTTTTTTCTTAAAACATTAATTTTAAAATAAAGTGAATTTGTCAGTCTCGGGAACCTGTCTCTCTCTTTCTCTAGATGAAAAATAATTTTGTTTTGATTTATGCATTTAATATTTCACACTGGAAATGTAAAACTACAGCAGTTATTTTATAGTGACTGAGATCAGGAAATATGGTGGTAATTCATTATATTTATTATTTTTCGTTATAAAACTATAAATCAATGTTATTGGAAATTAAATGTCTGGTCTACTGTGAGGGCATTTTGAGGTATAACAGTACTTTCCATAAGGCTTTCCAGGATCTGACAGAAACCTGAATTATTCATAAGAGTCTTAGATTTTTTCCTTCAGCCCAATCAAATTAATAAAACAATTTCAATTCTAAAAGCTATTAATACTCTGTGGAAGAGAGCAAAAGCATGCATTTATCTTCAGTTTTTATGTTGAATTTTGTTTACTTCTGGGAATCAAAAAAACCAAAAAAGTAAATGTTTTAAAAAAGGTGGAATACTAGGTCTGATCATTGTTACTTTGCTAGTATAATACAGTAGTGTTATAATTTTTGTTCTTCCGTTGTCATTGTACTTCAAAGAAAGACGATTACTTGTGTCCCTTGAAGGGTTTTTTTGAACTCCTTCTTAAGGAAAAAAATAAAATCATATAGAAGCATTTTAGTTTTTAGGAGTAATTACTATTCCATATTCAAAATGTTTGAAGTCCCTAAAATGGACCCATAATATGAGTGAAATGGAATCATAACATGTGATAAGGCAAACATAAACAGCTGTATAAAACACATATCAAAAGGAACAAAGACATTATGTCACTGGGTATGGTAGATAAGCAAATTATTTAGTTGGCCACTGAACTGGATTGACTTGACATTTTTGGCATGTACAGCAAATGGGAAATACGTTGGTTACACAATCTTCATTGTCTAACCTGAAAGCAATTATATGGTTAGCGGAGAAAAACTTATATCAGGATATAAATTCAAAGAGAAATTTTTTTGTGTGGATTCTTGAAAAAGGGACTTTTAATAATAAAGTAGACAGCATCTTCAATGCCAGCTTTGTCTTATAGAAAGATTGTTCAAATGGACCCTTTTTGAATCAGTCCTCTTTGAAGGTTGAGGATATGATATTAAACCATAACTCAGTGAAGGCAACCCTAGGGGTGCTTGGATAATAAAGTGTAAGTATTCCACTTGTTGAAGATATGGCTTAATACAGGGATAGAACTGGGAGAATCCAGAAGAAGGAAGTGCTTTCAATATCCCTGGACAGTCTCTCTCAAATTCCATATGCTTTAAGCAGGCCTGGATTATTGTCAACTTCGGGATACTCTTCTGAACTAGAAACAGATAGATGGGAATGAAGCACAACTGCTCTATTATGAAAGCTCAACTTGTATTTTCATCATCCAGAAAGTATTACCTTTTAGCACAGTCACGGGCAGCTACAATACTTGGAGAGAGGACCAATCTGTTCTCCATATCTTCCTATTGCCTAGCTATTGTAACCATAGAGCATGCTGGTTTTGAATTAGCCAGAGAAATGTTTATGCTACCTGTGGAAAGTAAAAATGCATCTTGATAGCCCTGCCAGGAAGTGTTAGCTGCAAAATACACATACCATACCTAAATCTGTTGAATAGTGTTATTTTAAAATGTCCATTTAAATGTTAGCGTAAGACTACCAGATGTTACCAATTTTGATGGAAATGAGATCAAGTGACCTCTTTGAATTTATGAACTGATGAGTCCAATGCTTAAGACTTTTATTTGTTTTATTGTCAGAGAATATTCAACAGTTTGGCCACTGTAAAGAAGGATATTTGGCATTCTGTTTGCTATAGCAAGAGGGAATACAGCTTGTTTCTTGAATAGCTGTACCATATGTTGTAGTTGTGGGCTGGTTTGATATGTGTTCTACTATTTGAAGGGGGATGGGTGATCAACAGGGAGGCTGGGTTAAGATATTGCAAGTTGAAAACTGAATAATAGTGCTGGAAATCAACTTGCAGCTTAGAGTTTATAAAGCATGTCTAAGAAGTCAAGAAGTTGAAATTCAGAATATAAGGAGCATCCATTTGTAAAAGTTGGCAATTCTGAAGGACTTTGACTTTCAATTTGACAGGATAAGAACAGAGTAAGAATAAGCTGGGAGGCTGAGAGGGCGGGCTCATGCCTGTAATCCCAGCACTTTGGAAGGCTGAGGCAGGTGGATCAACTGAGGTCAGGAGTTTGAAACCAGCCTGGCCAACATGGCAAAACCCCATCTCTACTAAAAATACAAAAATTAGCCGTGTGTGGTGGCATGTGTCCAGCAACTTAGGAGGCTGAGGCAGGAGAATCGCTTGAACTTGGGAGGTGGAGGTTGCAGTGAGCCGAGATCATGCAATTTCACTCCAGCCTGGGTGACAGAGCAAAACTCTGTCTCAACAACAACAACAACAAAAACAAAAAAACTGAGAATAGTTTGGGGACAGAAGTGGAGTCCTTTAGGAATTTATCAAGTCCTTTGTCTTGGATACTGTCATTGGCTTCCGTTTGGGGAGGTCCATCAATTATACAAAATATAGAGATAGTTGTGTGAATTTAAATAAAGATTTATACGTCTATTAATTCTGTCAAAAGTCAAGTTATAAATAACCATGTCTCCCTATCTTTATTGTTTTCTCTGTGCCTGATTTCAAAGCTTCTCATTGAAATCTTATTATATATGTTTTTATAAAACATGAAATTTATATATTATATAAACATTTATATTTATTTTATATATTTATATGCTGCATACCGAAAAAATTTTGAATGTGGAAATGAGAGAAGGAAAGAGAAGAAAAGAGGAACGTGTTAATTTCTTAGAGCTGCCATAACACAGTACTTCAAGGTGGATGGCTTTAAACAGTAGAAATTTATTTTTTCACAGTTCTGGAGGCTGGAAGTTCGAAATCAAGGTAATGGCAGAGCCATCCTCCTTCCTCCCTTCCTCCCCTCCCTTCCTTTCTCCCCTCCTTCCTCCTCCTCCTTCTTTTCTTTTCTTTTCTTTCTTTCTTTCTTTCTTTCTTTCTTTCTTTCTTTCTTTCTCTCTCTCTCTTTCTTTTCTTTCTTTCTTTCTTTCTTTTTCTTTCTTTCTTTTTTTCTTGCTTTCTCTTTCTGCCTTCCTTTTCTTTTCTCTCTTTCTTTCTGACAGGGTCTCACTCTGTCACTCAGGCTGGAGTGCAGTGGTGCCATCACAGTTCACTGTAGCCTTCACTTCCTGGGCTCAAGCGATCCTCCCACCTCAGCCTCCTGAGTAGCTAAGACCATAGACATACCACCACACCTGGGTAATTATTATTATTATTTTTAATTTTCTGTAGGGATGGGGTCTCACTATGTTGCTCAGGCTGGTCTCAAATTCCTGGGCTCAAGCAATCCTCCCACTTTGGCCTCCCAAAGTGCTAGGATTACAGATGTGAGGTGTGAGCCACTACACTCGGCACCATGCTCACTTTGAAGCTTTTAGGGGTAGATCCTTCCTTGCCTCTTCTAGCTTCTTGTAAGCCCCAGGTGTTCCTGGGTTTGTGGCAGCATAATCCAGTCTCTGCCTCAGCCTTCACGTGGTCATCTTCCTTCTTTGTGTCTCTCCTCCTCTTTATCAGGACAGGAGTTAGATTAGATTAGGGCCCATGCTACTCCAGTCTGACCTCATCTTAATCTAACTAATTGCACCTACAACTGCTCTATTTTCCAGATACAGTCACATTCTGAAATACTGGGGATTAGGACTTCCCTACATCTTTTGGGGAGACACAATTAAACCCATAACAGGGAGGTATTTTGGTTTATTTGCTTATTTTGGGAGAGGATATCAATCTTTATAGAATCAAGAGTCAAGTAAAGCCAGACTTTTGTTTTCCCAGATAAAAACAGTCAAGACTAGCTTTAGTTCTCCATTACTTGTCATTTGAAAAGGAAATGTAGAAGTTAGTTGAGGAATTGTGGGATGGACTTTCCATCTTGACCTTTTCATTGCACTGTAACCTTCTCTTATTCTCACCTGTCTGATTGTAGAGTCAGACTCAGGAGCAATAATACTGAAAGTCAAAGTACATTTAAAGAAGAAGGAAACAATTTCCGTAGAGGCAATGGTATCAATTTAAGGAGTGAAAATAAAATAAATTATAATATTAATTGATCATTAATGCTGATGTCCCCCAGATAGCCCAGAGGCTGCCATTTAGTGCTATGAAGTTACAGAGAATGAGTTTAACCAACTATTTTTACCAAAGATTCAAACATTTGTCTCTATAGAAATAGCCCATGGGAAAGCAATTTTCTGATCTAAATTTCCTTTGCGTGGAAGGAGATGTGGATTCACCATTCATTAGTTTAATGACCTTGGATAAATAAGCCCATTAATCTTGAATTTTTCTGCATTTGTAAAATACGAATAAGAGTAACTTAACCATTAATTTAATAGGGCATTTTAATATGAAAGCCATCTGTATACCGTGATGTTATATACACAAATGTAATAATTTATTTCTGGACAATATCCTCCTGGAGCCTTTAAGAGACACTACAGCATAGCAGTTATTGGCATGGATTCTGAGTCAGACTGATTCTTGAATCTCAGCTGAAATCGCAGCTCTACCACCTACTAAGATGTGACCTTGACCTCTGCATGCCTCTGTTTCCTTCCCCATAAAGTAAGGATAATAGTATTTACTTCCTATGCTGTTAAGAGAATTATACGAGTTAATAAACATGAAGCAGTTGGGATAGTCCCTGGCACATAGTAAACACTCAATAAATGTAAACTGAGGTTGTTATGATGATTACCATAAAGTCTGCCATCTAGGTCAACCCAATGAATGCTTGAAATATGTAATATTTAGAAAAGGATGAAATTAGTTCCAGACATACAGGATGTGAATTTATATATGCAGCAGAACTATGGTTACACACACACACACACACACACACACAGAGTACATATAGGTAGATGTACAAGTTTGTAGATTTGTAGGTAAGGGGCATGGAAGAAGGAATTCGAAGAGGTTCATATAGCGTTGGATCAGGATGAGCATGATAGTGATGAGTAGGAGCCTGAGAAAAGCCCAGAAATGTTTAATATAATCACTGTGGTAAGGGATTAAGGGGTTAAAGCACAAATAAATGATTGCTTTAAAAATTACAGGAATATTGTGGGCTGAGATGGAAAGCCCCTAGTTTATGATAGAACCAGTCATTTTGTGCTGAAACCCACTAATTGGCTTCAAGCACTACTCTTGGCATTTTTACAAATTAGGAAATTGAGGCTTAGGTTAACTGGAGAGTACAGTGGGAGAAGGAATAACCAGCTGGTCACATGGTGATTGTGATCCCAAAGCCTTCAGCTTTAAAGACAATTTTACGGTTTTAAGAAGCATTTTTTGAACATTCACACTTAATTTGTGAATCTTATTAGTTTCTGATTAGCCAGAAATATAGAGTGATTTAAACAGACTGCATCAGTAGGACACTTTCTATTGCAAGTGGGACAGAACCAACTGAAGCCAGCTTAAGAAGGGACAAATGACTAACCTGAGCTCAAATCATGCCAGCAGTTTCTCTCCGTCTCCCAGCTCTGCCTCTTCAATGCTGCTTCCTTTTTCAGTCCTGGTGGTGGCAAGAGACTGTACTAACTCCAGGGTCTCAAGCCTCTGAGGATAAAGGCAATAAGAAATAGTGAGCTCTTTCAAGTACCCCCCACAACACATCTAAAATTCACTGATTTAGCACTTTTGCTCACATTCCACCCTGGAACCAATACTTGTGGCCAGGGAAGGATAATGGGCTGATAGGCTTAAAGTGGTTTAGAGATTGAGGGAGGAGTACAAGTCCAAATGAAATTTGAGGATGGTTGCTTGAAGACGGAAGGCTGGATGTTGGCAAGACAAATACCAAAAACCCATGCAAAGTTAATGCATCTTGTACAACTGCCTAAAATACCTTTGCCGTGATTCTATGTTGACCTAATTACGAGGAAGTTGTATGGAATGGAAGGATAGATTTTATTCTTGGCAGGTGCTAGGAGATGATATGCCTTGACTTAAGACAACTATACTCTTTCTTAATTTTCAGGTGTTTAAGCTTGAGATAGATGGCTTTATGTTTGCTTGGAGGAGGCAACGATTATGTTATGGCCAGCTTTATTCTTTTTCGTTTCAAAATTTCGATTCAAGCTAGTCACGAAATTGAAAGGCTAATTTAGATGAGCTTCTATGAATGCTTCTTGTCTAAAAAGCAACTGGTTTGCTAATTGTAATTTTCATTTAAATATATTGAAATGTTTAAAATCATTTTTCAAGTCATTTAGACATTAAAATTGGCTTTGATCTTTTACCATGTTTTTATTTTAACAGTTGTGCTATAGTGTTAAAGTAATAAGAGGCAGATATTTAAATTGAACTAAAAACTGGGCTTGACTGCTGAAAAAGGAATAATTATGATTTAAATAAAAACAAAAACTGTAGACATATATTTTTATGGCTGCAATCCTTATGGAAACTGACTTCAGTGACTATAGACTTTTTAAATTATAATTTTAAAAGTAAGTACACTTACATTACATAAAATATAATGAATGCAAAAAAAAATATACGATGCCAAATTTTCTACACTATTGAAAAACAATTTGGGTTTTACTATATTCCTTTTCCGTAGAGATAAAAATATCCTTAATGTAAAAGTATTAGATATCAGATAAACTGTCTTAAAAATTCTTAAAATTAGGCTAATGTAAATGGCTTTTCCCAGTTCTTCCTTTGCAAGGAAAAACAAACACAACAATATTTGGGAGCAAAAAAAAAATTATTTGAAGAAACCACAGAGCTAAATATTGCATTGATGTATGGAGCACTTCCAGCAAATATGTTCAAATACACCATGAGAATGAGTTAATAATACAACAATTTACTTTCTGTTCCAATGGATCTGAATGTTTCCCTGTATTTTTATATGTTTGTTTATATGAGTTATAAGATAACCACTTAAGGCCAGTTGTAAAGTTATAAGGTTTAAGGATTTCACAAATCAAGAGATCTCTTTGACTTTTATCAAAAATTTTGTTACTGATTATTTTCAATGGGGGTGTGAATGTTTATAAAAACTCCTTGAGAGAATGTTTTTTTTATGTGCTATGCAAGGTGGATGCTATGCTGCTCAACGTTCAAGAATAATAATCATGAGTATGCCTAATACAATGCCCCTATTACTAAATTGTTGGCCAACAAACTAATATTCACTGGCAAACTACCCTCTATTGTACTGTAACCTGGTGTCTGCATGAGGACAACAGTCTGGTTCAGGGCTGACCAGACCAGACCAGACTGAGGTGGGTGGTGTTTTCCTAACAGAGCTGGTTTGGCGCAGCCGGCTACTCCAACAAAATTGTATTATGGGAATCAGTCTGTTCTCTCACAGTGAGGGGAATTTTCTAGCCAATACAGTTTATTGTTTTTTGTGTAAACAGCCCAAGTATTAGAAGGGGAGAACTGACATAACTTTATATGAAACCAGCTCCTCCCTGTTTCTGCTGGACTCACCCAGTTCAGAATGCTCTTGGCTAAATTATAGAGGGTTTGGGAGAAAGGACAATGCAGACAGGAATATCAGTATGGCTGTAAGTGTTGTTAAATTATAGAGTTACTTCTGTACCTGTTGATAAATAGCCAGAGTCCTGAGTAGGCTTCCCCACCAACAGCCCCTGGCCATCGTGGCTCCTTCCCTGACCTCTAACCCTCTCTAAGGTCAGCAACTCAAGGGGTAATTCCTGGCAGAGACGCAAGTCTTTGCTCCTGGACCATAGATAGCATCTGTTCTGATTGGCCGGTGGCTGTATGCTTCTGGTTCTGGAGTTTTTTGAATATCACCCTGACAAAGAGCTAGTGAAGTGTCATTTCAGCACATTAGTTGAAGACCAAAACCCAAAATCCTCAGGACAATGACAGCAGTCAAAACAGATAAAAGGGACCCCCCACCTCCCCGCATGAAACCAAGTGGGCTTCGGATCCCCATGCTTCTTTAAGAACAGTTTCAGTGTTGAACGTGATGCAGTTTATCCTTCCTCATTTCTTCCGTCCTCCACTTTTGGAACTGGTTCTGTTTATATTCCTTCATAGAATTTATAGCAATTGCTCTAAAGTTCCATGATGGAGCATTTCTGCTAATGAGCATATTCAGGAAATGTGTGGGTACAATGATAACAACCCACCCACTTTTAAGCTTATTTTAGAAGATGTAAACATGAGAAAATTAAAATTAATTAATGAGCAAATTAAGGAAAATGCTAAATATCCTGGGTTAGGAATTTCCTTTTTTTTTTCTTTCACCTAGAATCTTTGGAAAAAGTTGTGTCTCTAGTGATAGAAAATCTTCTAGTGCCTTCTTATTGCTCTGAGAATGAAATCCGCATCTCTTGTTAGGATCTGCAGTGTTCTCCATGATCTGGCCATGGGTCACATCAGAAAACAGGCCAGTGTCCTTTCTGATCTGATCTCATGCTGTCCTTTCCCATTCTCTCTGCTTCCAGCACACAGGGCTTCCACAGATAGTCTGAGCTGATTCCTTACCTCCAGGCCTTTTGCACTTGCTGTTCCGACTGTTCCAAATGACTTCCCCCTGGTTCCTTCTGTTATTCAGTTCTTATTGCCTTAGAGAGATGTTTCCTGATTGTTCTATATAATAGTGCCCTCCCTGCAGGCACTCTGGGTGATCCGTAGTGCTAGTCACTACCCCAAATTATTTTATTATTTGTTTATAGTCAATCTCTTTCCTCCAAAATATGAGTTAGGTGAGCACAGGAACATTTTCTGGCTTATTACTGTTGTAGCTCAGTGCTTAAAAGAAGGAGAAGCAGCACATTGTAGCACAGGCACTGGAGAGTAGCAGCCTCCAGAGCTCAACAACCTGGGTTCTCAGTCCTGCTACCTGCATGACCTGGGGAAACCACAACGTCCATGTCACAGGGGGTCTTGTGAATAGTAAATGAGCTAACACGTATAAAATTCACATAGAATAGGCTGGCACGTGAGAAGCACTATATAAATATTTGGTATTTTGATTTTCTATTTTTTCATTAGAATATAAGCTCCAAGAGGGCAGCATTTCACTGCTTTGTTTACCGACCAGTCCTTAGTACCTGGAAGTGTACTGGGCTCATTTTTGGAACTCAAAAACTAATGTTGATTAAAATGTTAAAAGTGAGGTTCTTTAAAAAAATTATATGAAAGACAGAAATTAGAGAGTCAACTTTTCTACTTTATTATTTCCCCTCACATCACTAAGCACATAACATCATGGTTAAATATTGAGTTTAATTATGCCTGGAATTTTCCAATTCTGATCACTGTAGTCTAAGTAAATTGGTTCTATTTGTTGATTGATGATAATGTTCTTTCTTCCTAAACCTGGCTGGATCTTAGAAATCCTTCTCAACCAGTGTTGCAGGGTGATAACACCAATCAGGGTATGCATTCAAGGAAAAACCCGTCACTTCTAAGATCCAGAGCAAGTATTGGTTCTCGGATGAATGTATGAAATTTATTTCTCTTCTGTGTTCATCTGGAGACTTATCTGTTCCTACTTTCCACTGGCCACTGGCCACTCAGAAGTGAGGAGGATAGGGGAAACAAGAAATGTTTTTCTGATTTCTTCTGATACCATGGGTCTTAGTTTTATCTTTCAGGGGGTTAAAGTTTGTTCGGAGCACAGATAAGAGGACTATGAGAAATTATTAAGTCTTACTGCTTTAATTAAATATTCTTCACCTGACTAATAGCAGCAGAAGTGTGAACTTGCATTCACTTTAAACTCCTTAGGTGTTAACGTTACGTAAATATGAAAATTAAGCACTAGTGGTTTCACTTATTTTTTTAAAAAATAGAAAAAAATAAATTATGTATATATGGCAAATTTCAGAGACACTGATAAGATTATCAAAAACATTCACAGGAGAAAGCTATAATTATTTGAAAATCTTAAAGCTCTTTAGTGAGATTTTTCATTTTTAATGTTGAAGTTGCAGTCACCTTTATTTTTCTGTTTTTGATCCAGGTATCATTGAAATTGGTTGTTTGGAACTTGGCATTAATGAGATTGTAGTTAGGGGTTCAGTCCCTTGTCTTTCTGTCACAGTCAGATAAATGCAGAGAAGACTTTTCTGCAATACCTGACTCTACTGTGACTCTAGTTTTCTGTCCATACTCATGTTCACTTGTTTATAAGGTAGGGGATTGAGTCTTGCATTCTATTCAATAGTATTTATTAAACTTCTATTACTATTAGTTCTTGACTCTAAGACATCATTGATGATAGGAGACACCATCACTTTAATATTAGGAATAGAATAAGCATTATGAATTTAAAAACCTATGGATTATAATATGTATAAAAACCTGAAAATATGTGAAAAAATATGTGTTTGTCTTAGAATTTGGAAAATATGGTTTGTAGTATAATACCTTACCACTATAAGTAAACAACACAGAAACATTATTTTGTGCCTTTGGTGCTGACATCTTTTTAAGCTTTATTGAGACATAATTGACAAGTGAAAATTGTACATATTTAAGATATTCAAAGTGATGTTTTGATATATGTACGTGTTGTAAAATGATTAAATCAAGCTGTTTAACATATCCATTTCCACACTTATTTTTATAAGGTGAGAATATTAAGATCTACTCTCAGCAAATTTCAAATATATGATACAGTATTACTAACTATAGTCAGCATGCTGTACATTACGTCTCCAGTATTTATCCTGTGTAACTGAAACATAGTACCCTTTGACCTTATCTTTCTATTTCCCCCAGGTCCCCGACTCTGGCAACCATGACCGGGTGTTGCTTATCTGAGTGTGGATTTTTTATATTTCACATGCAAGTGAAATCACGCAGTATTTGTATTTTAGAGCCTGGCTTTTTTCACTTAGCATAATGTCCCCCAGGTTCATCCATGCTGTGGCAAATGATAGGACTTCCTTTTTTTTAAGGCTGAATAATATTCCATTGTGCATGCATGTCCACGTGTGAGTGTGTGTGTGTATACCACACCTTGTTTATGTGTCAACAAACACTTAGGTGGATTTCATATCTCAGCTATTGTGAACAATGTTGTAATGAGTATGGGAGTACAGATGTCTCTTGGGAATACTGATCTCATTTTCCCTGGATATAAACCCAGAAGTGAGTTTGCTGGATGACATAGTAGTTTTATTTTTAATTTTTTGAGGAAGCTTCATACAGTTTTCCATAATGGCTGTCCCATTTACATCCTCACCAACACTTGTTATCTTTTGTCTTTTTGATAATAGTTATTCTGACAGGTGTGAGCTTAGAATGTGATTTTGATTTGCATTTCCTTGGTGATTGGTGACATTAAGCATATTTTTACCTTCAATTTAATACATATTTTATTAGATCTGTATGAGACTAAATTGCTTTATGTACTAAAATATTATTCATTTTATACTTATATTATTTTTATATATTATAATGTATTTTTACAAATATATTTATATATTTACTACATAAGATATATATTTATATTATTTATTTATTTTATCATTTATATATTCATTCAACAAGTATCTCCTGAGCACAAGTACTGTCTAGGTGTGGTAAAAATATTCAACAGTGAGAAGTCAGATAAGGTCCTCGTTTTCATGTACCAGTAAGGGAGAAACAGGAAATATAAAATTAAAATAAATGATAGTGATAAAAGTCACAAAAATAGAACAGGGCAATCTGTTCATGAAGGCCTCCGAAGATGAGTAGTCTATCTTAGAGTTGGTCAGGGAAACTTTTGAGAAGGCTACAGTTGAGCTAAGACCCTGGTGATGAGATGCAACAAGCAACATGAAACCATGGGGCAGAATGTTCCAGGAAAGGGGAACAGAGAGGCAGGGCATTATGGATCATGCCTGTAATCTCAGCATTTCGGGAGGCTAAGGCAGGAGTATCACTTGAGCCCAAGAATTTGAAATCAGCATGAGCAACATAGTGAGACCCTGTCCCTACAAAAAAGAAAAAAAAAATTCCAGGTGTGGTAGTGCATGCATGCCTATAGTCCCAGCTTCTCAGGAGGCTGATGGAGGATTGCCTGAGGCCAGGAGGTCAAGGCTGCAATGAGCTATGATTGCAGTACTGCACCCCAGCCTGGGTGACAGTGAGATTCAGTCTCAAAATAAATAAGTAAATAAACAAAAAGAGGGAACAAACAGAGCAGGAGTCCCTAAGTGGAAACAAAATTGACATATTTGCACAATAACTACAATAACAACTAAAGCCAAAGTGTCTGGAGGTAGAGAGTGAAGAAGAGCTGATATGCCATAAGCTCAGTAGAGTAGGAAGGGTAGAGATTGTAAGGGCCTTCTAGGCTATGGTAAGGAGTTTTTATTTTATCCTGTGATCAATGGGAAGCATTCGAGACTAAGCAGGATCATAACGCATTTTGCTTTACATTAAATAATTTTTTTTCTGATTGTTACGTGTGTGTCCTGAAGGCGGCAGGAATGGAGGTCTTCCTAATGGAAGACCAGTTGGGAGGTTATTGCAGGATAGAAGGATTTGCCAAGGGTCGCTTGCCACGGTGAGAGCAGTGATGATGGGCAGTGGGGAGATTCAGGTTATGTTTTGGAGAAAGAGGTGCCAGAACTTGCTGATGGATTGTTTTTGGTGTGGGGAAAAGAGAAATTATCAAATAGAGTTTTGACTTCATCAAGGCGAATGGTGATGCTACTTTCTGAAATTGGGGAAGAATCACTTTGTTGGCAGAGGGGAAGAGAAGTCAAGACTTCTGTTTTCACTGCGATAGCTTTGAGAAAATCCTATGACACATTTAAACAGAGATCTCAGTAGCGATAGAAACAAGATAAGGCAAGCTGATAACATGAAAAGGTTAGTTTTAGGTCACTTTTGAGAATATGACATATTTAAAATGAAGAAACAGGTTATTGAGACTCAGAATTATCTAGCAAGTGGATTCTGGAAAACTACCATATCTGGTCTTTCAATTCTTATCTTTAATAATAGTTCATTCAGGAATATCATTCTCCATTGATTGATAGAGCATTATATAGTAAGACACATTTTAAAGATAGATTTTAAGAAATGTTTATAACATACCAGTAGGAACATCTAAAGAAAAAGATTTCTTTCTGTAATAATAGCAATTGAGCTACTGTGCTGTCTGCAGACCAAAGGGTATTCCAAGCACTGAATCCAAGATTGCTAAAGAATGATGGACAAAAATCTAAATAGAGTCTACCTTGGCGAATATTTGCAAGAGTATATGATGCACATAAGTTATTTCTAAAACATATCAGGCAGAAGAATATACCATATTCTTTTGAGCTCATGCAAGTGTATTATATTTGTTTGTATGTAAGTAGATTTAGACTTCCTTAGAAATAATAACAACAAGGATCAGTAATCCAATCTTGTTAACAATACCAAAAGTATGAAGTATTCAAATTATGCAAAGGAGGCTTTTATTTATGCACTTTTATTTGGAGAAAAAGGTGCCAGAACTTGCTGATGGGTTGTTTTTGGAGTGGGGAAAAGAGAAATTATCGAACAGAGTTTTGACTTCATCAACAAGGCGAATGGTGATGCTACTTTTTGAGATTGGGGAAGAATCACTTTGTTGGCAGAGGGGAAGAGAAGTCAAGACTTCTATTTTCACTATGATAGCTTTGCGAAAATCCTATGACACATTTAAACAGACATCTCAGTAGTGATAGAAACAAGATAAAGCAAGCTGTATAATAGATTCAAGTGTGCAAAACTACAAAAGAAGCCAGTTGTAATCATTTGGGTTCCATGGAAAGCAGAGTTTGCTGTTGAGATTTGTGTTCAGGTGGTTTATTAGGAGTGGACTTAGAGAATGACACTTTTAATGGGAAGAGGGAAGGAAGCCAGATTTTATAGAGCAAATGTTAAGCTCCAATGTAGTTGCAACAGGGCCCTCAGCCAATCCCCTGTGGAGCTCTCAAACTGGGATGGTCTTTTTGAGATGTCTTGAATTGAGGCAAGGGGTCTGGGATTTTGTAAGCCCTCTCTGACTAGTGATTTAATGTGGGTGTAATTTTGGGCAAAACAGCTTCTTGCAGCTGAGGGCTATCCTTAGGCTGTCATCAGAAAACACGCCCACCAGCTGGTAAGTGAGTGCCTTAGTCCTGAGAGGGGGTGTTGCTCAGATCCACTGCCTTGTATAATAGCTTCATTTGATCTGAAGATGACTCCTTCAGGATTCCAACTACTACAGCAAGGTTTGTAGAAGGAACTGCAGCCTGCATCATGGGTCTCGGTCTCAGCACTGTGACTGAGAACTCATTATTTCCCTCCTCTACTATCCCTTCTAGATTCCCCTTAGCCTCAATTGGCACCTCTGTTGGTCTAGGAGGCTTACATGGTAGGATCACTCACAGCTTACCCCTAAGCTGTGCTCTTCTCAGATCATAGCTGGTACACTTGTCCATTTATTTTCAAATGAAGGTCTACTTAAGGAAAATTATGCTTTTCCTTACAAGCTGGTCACTTGGCTCAAGGAGCCCAAAGTGATTATGCAGTAGTTTGACTCTTTCTATCTCCATTCATGGACACATTCTACTTCAGTTAGTTGCAGGCAAGATGAATTGCTACCAGCAACAGAGACCAACGCTGAGTTCCTGGTATGGCACCATCCCTTGAGAAGACCAAATATTCTTTACTGGCAAGTCTATTACACTGGACTTCTAATATCCTGGAGTCGACTCTATTATATTACCTCTTCCACTATGGAAGGGGTCCAGAGGAATTGACATGTCACCTTGTGATGTTTTATCTGCATAAGAGATACGCCACAGGGGACTTGGTTTTGGTCATTGTTGCTACCAGATTATTCATTAATGAGCAGAATAGCTATCTAAGCTTTATTGAGTGGAGAACTGTCCTGTTTCACCCAAAATATCCTCCCTCCATCTCTGCCAACGTGGCTACTCTTTTCATGCACATATTATTCCAGCATTGGGGTGGCTGATGATTTAGGCTGTGTAATGTCCTCTGTCCAAGTCATCTGGTCTACTTTGTTAATTAGTACCTATTCTTGGGTGGTGGATGATCTCTAGTGGCCATTAATAGATGATACAAAGATCTTCAGAGTTTGTGCCCAGTCCCATATTCACACAACTCTTTGCCTTATTATCCCTGATCTTTCAATCTTTCTCCTTCCGAGCTCCTGACCAATAAACCAAGCCATTTTTTACTGCCTATAATAGGGCTCAGACCAATTATTTTTCTACATCGAGTGGATGACTGGGAGCACCACCTGAAGCTCCTTTGGGAGGATTTCCTCACTGATGTTTCTCAGAGCTACCCTTAGAGTGTGGCAGTAGCTCATTTTTGTTTTGCATTTTCGTATCAGTCTAAACCATTCATGATTTTCTCCTTCATCAGTGGGTCATAAGGGTACACTCCATCCTCCATGCAGCCATAGGACTGGTGCGACAGTAGTAGATGATCTCTAAGGAGGTGCGGAAAGCAGGGTTAGGTAGAGGGAGTACTTGAAATGTGATTTAGTTGTAACAGAGCCTTCAGCACACCCCATAGGGAACTATGCAGCTAGTATGGATCTTTAGCAATGTCTCAAAATGAAGTCAGAGGGCTGGGCCTCTGTATTCCTGACTGGACCAGTCCAGTCACTGGGTGTGGGATGCCTCTGGGGACTGGAGGTAACCTTGGGTGAGGCAGTTTCCTCATGCTCAGGGCAATTCCTGACGTGGAGCTAAGCTGTGAGTTCACTAAGCAATCCCCCAGGTAGCTGGGGGAGCTAGTGCCTAAATCTTGAGTGCAGGGTCCTGGTAGCACACAGAAGATCCATTACACCAACTCCAAATCATGTAAATTTTCCCAGGAAAATTCACCACCTGAAAAAGTAAGACACACACACACACACACACACACACAAAACTGGACTGGTTGAAGCCTACATAATATACAAACAAGTAGCATTTTGAATTTGGGGGATTATTGAGCATTCTGATAATTCCAATAATTGGGCATCTTACGGGTAGTTGTTGAGATTTGAATGCAGGAATGAAGGAGCAGAGTGTTGGGACTGAAATGAAATTTATTATCACATCCATATCTGTCTGAAAGCTGATCCGTGGCCCCTTATTTGTGAACTCAGTGACAGGTACTAAGAAGAGGCATCACCATGTATGCAGTCACCTGACACAAAAGCCTGGTTATCATTCATGACTCTTCTTGTTTTCATATTAGAGTCCATCATCTCATCCTGCAGATGGGCACTCTGTGCTTTTTCGTGAATTCTGCAATCCTCTTCATATCTGTTGCCTTAGTTCAGGATCTACTCACTTTTTACCTGGATCATAAAAACAGCCTCCCCCTTTGTTTGCCTCCCTTCCAACTCACAGCTTCCTTCGGCTTTTGTACACTACTAAACTTGAGCCAGAATGATTTTTCTAGAATGTAAATCTAGACATTAGGCCCCTGTTTAGAATTTACAAATGGCTATTTATTGCTCTTCTCATAAAATCCAGTCCCTTAAACTGGAATACAGAGCTCTTCCTGACCCAGTCGTTGCCTGTCCCACTGAACACTCTCTTATCACTCCTGCCTGGACCTTGACTTCCCTTTTTTTAAGCCTTATTGACCTGGGGTTTCATTCACATGTACTACTCTCTCTCTGCCTTCTGGACTATACAGTGGTTGTTGCCTTTGCTTGAAACTTCCTTGTGGTAGGCAGGACAATGCCCTTTCCTTCTCCCAAGATATCTGTGTGCTAATTCCTGAAACATGTGCATATGTTACCTTAAATGGCAAAAGTGACTTTACAGATGTACAGATGTGATTAAGCTAAGGGTCTTGAGATGGAGAGATTTACCTGGCTTATCTAGATGGGCCCAATGTAACCACAGGGTCCTTATAGGAGGAAGGGTCAGAGTCAGAGAAGGTGATGTGATGACATTGCTAGAAGTGATGGTCAGAGTGATGTCATTGCTAGAAGTGGGCCATAAACCAAGGAATGCTATAGCTTCTCCCTTAGCACTTCCAGAAGGAATGCAGCTCAGCTGTCACCTTGATTTTAGCCTGGTAAAACCCATTTCAGATTTCTAACCTAACCTCCAGAACTGTAAAATAATGAATGTCTCCTGTTTTAAGCCACTAAATTTTTGGTAATTTTATACAGCAGCAATAGGAAACTAATACACCTTCCCTGCGGCTAAATGCTATTAATCATTTAATACTCAGCTGAAGCAACGATTCTGGTTTAAGATATTCTCTTCTATGTTCCTACGGTGAACTCAATATTCCTTCTATTTTACTATGGATATCTGTTTTCTCTCTCCCTCTCTCCTCTCCCTTCTCTCTCCTCCTCTTTCAAACCTCTTGCATTCTGCCCGAGAGCTGTGACTCTATCCTGTTATTTGAGTCCTAGGTAGCAAAGGGCCTGGCCCATAGGCTTTGTGAAGTTGTAGTGCCTCCATCTCTGTATCCCTCTGCGGTTGTCCTCACGACAGGACTTTGAAGCCACCAGTGCTGCCTGTGTGTTGACGCCCTGCTTTCTGTTCTGAGGGCTTATGTTTATTAGGGGTTTTGATAAAGAGGGAGGAAAGTAATTCATTCAAATAATCTCAGATGAGCTTAGAAAGTTCCGGGGCCTGTGCTGGGGATGGGAAGTCTTTCTGCAAAAGATTCAGGGCTATGCATAGACCTCTGGAATAGAAGGCTTCACTCTCAGCATCACAGAAAATGTTTGCCGAGTCTTTTCTTCCCCACTCTGGGCTGTACTCCTGGAATCCTGAGAGGTGGTCTCCAGCTTTGCCCTGAGGTCCCACTCTCCACCGTCCACTGTGACCTCTCCTTTCTGAGGCTCTCAGCCCCGACCACCCCTCAGCCTTTCCCTGCACATTTCTCTGTTCCTCTATTTTTTTACCTGCTCTATTTTCATGACCTGAACTTGATCATTTGCTCCCCTCAGGCCTTCTCTTTTGATTCTCTAGAGACTATTTTAGAAATTAAAAACAAATATCTCAAATTGACTTCTCCTCAAGGCTATGTGCTTGCCTCTGGCTGACTAGAGGGGATGTCACAGGAAGTTCAGAAAGGAAAACACAAATATTTGAAATAATGATCTTGCTACATTCCAGTCTTGTTATAAATATTTGTTAAATGGATGAGTAGTGAGAAAGAATGGGAGAGAATGGCCAGGTTTTGGTAAGGGAAGTAATTTTCAACTCTAGGCTTTTTTGGGGGTTTCCACTGGTGGCACTTATACCACTAGCTGATAATCACTATTTTAGAAAAACTCCAGGGCTGAACATTTTGGTTAGAAACTGAATAACTTGGAAGATTCTATCAAAAGTCTGTAGTGAAGACATCTCTGATGTTTAGGTAACCAGACAAGAAGAAATATAGTGCAGGCCACCCAAGCACCTGCCTCCCCACACTCCCTTTTATGAATCACATATTTACGTATCATGGGAAAAGAGTGGTTTGCCTTATAGCTCTCTGTTCTCCTCCTCAGTGCCATAGGCAACTTTTTGTCACTCCTCTTTCCTGTGGGCCAACCCCTTCTTTGCTACAGTCATCCTCTTGAACTTCTGCAACTAGGCCCAATGGTGACATGAATGGAAGACACATTCTAAGAACCATAGTGAAGGCCTGAAATCTTAAGTAGCCCTAAACCCTGTATATACTGGTTTTCACATACTTACATAGTATGATAAAGTCTTCTTTATAAATGAGGCAAGTAAACAATTAGCAACAAAAGCAGATATTAGAATAACTATAACAATATATTGTCATAAAAGTTATGTGAGTGTGGTCTATTTCTTAAAATATTTTATTGTACTGTATGCACCCTTCTTGTGAAGACGTGAGATGATAAAATGCCTGTGTGATGAGATGAATGATGTAGGCCTTGTGACAGAGCGTTAGGTCAATAGACCTTCTGAAGCGAGGATCGTCTGATTTTCCATTTACTATATTTGGAGCATGGTTGATTACAGGTAACTGAAACCATGAAAGTGAAACTGTGGCTAATGGAAGATGATTGTGCATCCTACTCTTTGCCAACAGAGCCTGGCTTTGGGAAGGCTACAGGTCCCTTAACTACCCTGTCCATTTGTTCTTTCACCACTGCCACTCAAGCAGTAGATATGACTGATAGTAAGATGGACTGGGTTAACTTACGGCAGTGATGACATAGTAGGGGAAAATTTGCAGCTAATGTTTAATATTTCCCATGGTCCCTCATGGAGATAGTCATACTGATGCACTCAGTTTGTAATCTCACCTCTCTTCCGGTCTTTTGGTGAAGTCAGGTGCGTTATACATCCACCCTGGGTCACCCCATCAGCTTCAGGGAATCCCAGCCTGTAGCTATAAAGTTTGGTCTGATCTAAGATTCCATCTTTCTCCCTATCCTCCCTCCCATTCCTTCTGTAATATAAAGACCCATTCCTATGACTTTGAAATGATGACCTCTAAAGACTTCCTGATGTTTTCAATCTGGGACCTTCAGTATCCCAGTCTATCTCTGGGGCAGCCAGGGGAAAATTTCAGTCCTCCAGCTGCATTTGTCGCATTTGTAGAGGCAGAAAATGCAAAGTCATTGTGAGACCTCTGTTAATGGTTTATAATGGGTGATAGCTGAAGTTTTCAGAGAATTTCCCATCATTACACTGGAGGGAAGAGACTGAAAGGGGAACATAAATCCGTGCTTTGCTCTTTGGGAAAATCCCCATGCTGGCGTGGGGGGACTTCCCTTTCTATTATTCAGGAAGGACATCTTCATTTGATGGTTGCCTAGCTTTGTTCCAATGTGGATTTCTCTTCTCTTTAAAGGTGTTTGGATTAGATGTAGTGTGATCCCCTTCATTCCTCCCCTCTCCTCCCACACTGCCCAGAGACCGGGTTTTTAAAGCAAGCTCAGGTATTTCACCAAGTAATGTGTCCCTAGTGGAGAAAAGTCACAGCTTTATTGATTAAAATATTGGTATAACATCCATAATTCCTGTAATTTGGTGCCAGGTTGCCTCGCCACTTTCTCTAGGGACTATATATCAAATACTATTTTTCATGCTCTTGTTTGCTGATAAGGGCCCGATAAAACCACTAGTTTGACCTGATATTCAATTTCCGGAGATGAAAGCCCTGGTATGGATTGCCAAATGTCCTCAAATACACTGACAATCCATACCAATATTTTAAAAGAAATATGTGACTAAGGGGAAAAATATCTTTGGGTTTGGGTGTGTTTTTGTTTTCATCCCCTACCTTCAGTGTGTATTTTTATTCATTGCAAACAATTTTCAATCAATAATTAAAATTGAGAAACAGATCTACAGGGGGAAAAATCCTTCAGTTTTGAGTTTAATAGATTGCCTCTCAAAGTCATTCCCTGACACAGCAAGTTGCCGAGGGAGTTTGTGCCAGTAAATAGGAAAGAATGGGGTTGATTAAAAAGTAAAACAACACAAAACCTGACATCCTGTTGTGAGTTTAAAAATAAAGCAAAATGACTATTAGCAACCCATGTTGATTTCTGTCAAACTATCTTTATCTGTGCAGTAAGGACAAGGAGGAATAACACATGGCTTCTAGTCAGAGCAACTTTGGGCTTTATGGGAATTCATGATTTTTTTTTTTTTTTTACCCTCCAACTTCTGTCTTTTTTGTTTTCTTACGTTTCTCCTGTGGAGACTCATGAGACACCTATTAGTCAGTGTGGAGCCTGAGTTGCTGCAGGAGGAGAAATGGGATGTCTTTCAGATTTTCTTTCGTGTAGATCTGTTGCATGTTTACTAAGGTGAAAGGATTAGTGCCCTGGAGATCATTTGCTTTCATAAGCTTTAAACCAGAGCAGCAAAAGTTTCTTGCCTTGATTCTCTTCCAACAGCTCTTTCTCACAGCAAGGCATAGAGGAGCAAGCTGAGACCTACAGATTGCCAACAGACTCTTCCAGCAAAATTGCCCTGTCTCAATCAGTTAAACTGGGTGGGAAGGGAGAGCCTCTGCCAGTTTTCTCCCATCTCCTTCACCATGTGGCGAGACACCCGAAGCATTCCATGGGGCTTTAGGATCAAGGCGAAATACTCCAGATTTCTAAGTCTCATTAATACCCAAACCCCAGACCATATGTATGGATAATTCACATACTTTCTAACCTTTGCATTTTGTGTATAATCCCTCTGTCAAACACTGGTTTTCTGGAGCTTCATATAGAACAAAAAGTTAAGAAGAAAACAGAAAAAGAATTTTTTTTGGTACCCTAACCACTATTTCCATTTAATATAAAGAATAGTAGTAAGTATAGAAAACTAAAATTTTGCTCTCTGGCAATTTATAGCAGGTACTTTCCCATATGACAGGCATCTAAAAGATAATGACTTAAAATGTTGGTTTTGAAATGGAATATAATAGAAGCTAGAATGACAGCTGCAAAACAAACAATAACCCCAAAGCTGGTTTGAAACAAATTCAAAACCAGGTAAATGAAAGCAGGTCCCTGTTCCTAAATTACTTTACTTAAGAAATAAAATAAGGAAAACAAAGCAAAAAGAAAGAAATTTAATTTAATACTCTTTATATCAACCTTCTTTCCTCCAACTCCCTTGAAATATGGATGTGGCTGCAGGAGTGACTACACCCTTTTACTGAGGCATTTATGTGGTAATGGACATCATACCCCTGTTTACTAGGCAGTGATCCAGTTCTCAAACGAACTGATTAAATCACTTTCTCCATTTTGAGCTTTGGAAATAAGGAAACTGTAGGAAAAAAGCAAAATAAATTTTCACTGTGAATTCACAGATTTTTTTGGCCTTTATATTTTTATACAAGCACAATCTTGATAGCTTCAGAATAACCAACATCATAAACTCTAGATATTAAACTTGAGTTCCATTGATCAATTCTATATTTGGAGAATTTAAAATCTGTGAATTATCTACCACTCCACTTATCCTCAAAGAATGATTTCACCTGTATTTCACCTCAGGGAGAAATAGGTAAGATCTTGAAATCTCTGCTATAAAATCTGCAAAGCTACCCACCACTACCTCGTCCTCATTTTCTTCCCTCTGTTTATTACGGGAGGGAGCCTGATATTTCTAAGGCCTATCATTCCCCATGTTTAAGTCCCTTCTTCCTCTGCTTCCTGGCTATCACCCACTATTCTTTCAGATTTTATTTCTGTGTCTTAAGTCTCTGATCTTCCTTTCTTTTTCTTCCATTTAGAAACACAATAAATAAACAAAAACAAATATAAAAACTTCATTTTATCTTCTTCTTCTTTTTTTTTTTTTTTTTTGAGACAGAGTCTTGCCCTATTGCACAGGCTGGAGTGTAGTGGCTCACTGCAGCCTTGAACTTCTGGGCACAAGGGAGCCTCCCACCTTCTGAGTAGCTGGGACCATGGGCGTGTCCTGGAACCACAGCTGGCTAATTTTTCTTTTCTTTCTCTTCTTCTTCTTCTTTTTTTTTTTTTTTTTTGCAGAGAAGGGGTCTCACTTTGTTGCCCAGGCTGGCCTCAAACTCTCAAACTCCTGGGCTCAAGTGATCCTCCCACCTCGGCCTACCAAATTGCTGAGATTACAGGCGTGAGCTACTGTGCCCTCCAAAACCACTTTCTTGATTCTAGTTAGCTCTCCTTCCATTCATCTACTGCCTACCTTTCTTCTTCCTTTCACAGCTACACTTCTTTAAAGAGTTGCTACCAAGTGACCTCAAGCTAAATTTGCAGTTCAAAAATAGTCAGAGTATTTTGGTAAACATCAGTAGGTTCTGATCATTAGAGGTAGAGAAGGATTTATGGCTCCTCGTTGTCACTTACTTCCAGGTAGTGTGTTATAATGGATGCAAGTCTTAGTTTGAAATCTGCTATTTATACCAATATTTATTATAAAATAGGCACAAAATGTATAAAACCAGTTCCTATAAAATCAACTGAGACCATTGCTGTCTTTTGGCATTTGCATGAAAGAATTCCTCTAAAGTGACACCTGATATTCTGTGGGACTTCTGATTGGATCGGGCATCAGAGCCCTGTATGTGTGGAGGACACAGGAGTTGGAAACCTAGGCTCTAGTTAGAAGGTGTTAGGCTATTAGGTTTGCTAGATTCTTTAATTTCTTTCAGATGGAGAAGATAGAACCCACACAATCTCTTTTCTTCTCCAAATATCATGAACCCTACTCATTTCACAAAAGAAAATTTATTTCCAACATCCAGTAAGGTAATTAACTATCTGGGGTAGATTGAGATAGTATTTGAAGCACTTGTCTTAGTGCCTCTGTAAGTCTAGATTCCTAATGACATTCATCTAAGAGCTAACTAACCTCCTACTGAGGTCTGATTAAAGTTAACTTACATACACCTATGAATCATACTGCTTATTCTGAAGAATTTTAAAGCATGGGACTACTTAGTCGTTGAACAATTGTCACTTATCCTTATTTCTGCTCCGTTCTCACTTGCAGCTATATCCACTCTCAGCTGCCTTCTGTCCCCATTGCCCCAAAGAATTGTTCTTTCTAAGGTCATTAATAATCTCCGAAAGAATTCCAGTGGACACACCTCAATCCTCCTTTTACTTCATTTCTGGTTGCATTTAGCACAGCTGGTCATGTCCTCTTTCTAAATACCGTACCCTACAGATTTTCTTCCTGCCACATTAAGGCACCTTGGCCTCCATGGTTGGTTCTCCAGGTAAAGAAGATGGAGAGTGAGCAGAATGGTTTCTTTCTCGGGGATGACTTTCCAGGTTCACCTCAAATATTATTACCTATCATTCCACCTAAAAGATGGTAAAAGATACAGAACCAAGACTTGGAGCTTTGTAAAATCAAATGTTAGCTGGATGCTGAAGAACCAATAAAGGAGTCTGAGAAGTACGGGCCAGGGAGGTAGAAGGAAAATCACCACAGGGTGGAGAGTCGGGAGTGTGTTCCAGGAACAGGAAAATTAGACAACATATTAAACACTACCCAATTAGGATGAGGTCACGGAAGAAATCAGAGAACAAATATCAGTGCAGTGGTGGGGACAGAAAACAAATGGGGCTGGAGGGGGTAGAAATGAAAATGGGAGATAAGAGTGAGAGAATTTCTTTAGAAAATTTTTATTGTGAATTGGGGCAGAGAAATGTAGTAACAGCTGGAAGGGGATATAGGATCTGTCTTAGTTCAGACTGCCAGAACAGAATACCATAAACTGGTTTAAGCAACACACATTTATTTCTTACAGTTTTGGAGGCTGGGAAGTCCAAGATCAAGGTGTCAGCAGATCGGGTGTCTGGTGAGGCCATTCTTACTACAGCATGCTTGTGTACTGATGGGAAAGATCCAATAGAGAGAGGGAAATTGATGATGTAGTAAGGAGGGTATGAAATCCTAGAGAGGATGAGGAGGATGAATTTTATAACACTAGTAGGGGGATTGGTTCTTGATAGGAGTAGGACAGTCCTTCAAATATAATAGGAGAGAAGAGAGAAAATGGTTAACTTTATAATTTTAGAGTTGGAATGAATAGGAATTTAATAATTTTTAAAACTGTTGGGATTGTCAAATAGCTAGAAGGAAGAACGTTTGCCTTCTGTAGAAATTGGGTGTAAATAACTTGTTAGAATGTTGAAGGTACATTGCTACATTTGCTCCTTGGGAAAAGCTTTTCCTATAATATATAAAAGTATAATAAGGAATATCAGGCATGTGTGTGTATGGGTACTCAGGTAAAGGATGTGAGATGCACATGGATTCTGAACTTTTATGTGACTGGGCTAAGATATGCATATTGTCATTGCTTTAAAAATGCTATACTTTCCCGTATGATTTGAAAGATATCTGCTTCAATGGAAGATAATAATTAAGAGGCAATAGCATAAATAATTTACATCCAATAAATTCACTTTCTTAATTGGTAAGTCAAAATGATAACAATGGCAATGCCTTGTTGATTCACGGACCACCTGTACACAGAACAAACCTATCAATTAAATGCAGGTTTTTGTTCTAAAAGGAGGGTGTGTCCTGCTCTGTGAGAACTTCAACACAAAAAGGTGAAGTACTCTGTTTTGCAAGTTTGTGAACAAGTGGTTTTGCTACAAATTCACCACCATCACCACACAGGATGTGCTTGAGGGAATGCTTTTTGAGGAAAATTTAAAAATACCAGTGTCAATGACCACTCTGGTGGTTAAACAAAATCTCGGGCAGCATACTGCTGTAGACTTTTAGCTTCTTCATTTTTTTTTTTCCTTTAAATAGAACCAATTAACTCTTACTTGAATTTTCCAAATACATGAGGTTTCACTACCATTTTGGAGGAATGGAGCCAGCGTTTTGATTGTCACACATAGACTTTCACTAATGTATTTTTCCTCAAAGGCAACTAGATATTCATGTTACTATTGCTTTTCCTTAGAAACAGAAGTCTCCCGATCATAATTACAGGCTTTGAGCAAAGGCAACAGTAGTGAAGAAACCCGGAGCTCTGTAAACATTACTGAAGAACCATGCCAAATATATGCATAAATTCAGGTACGGGGAAACTTCGGGCTTAATGTTCTTAAGATGATATTTGAAGAGTGTTTCCAAAAATAAGGTTTTATAAGGGATTTTGAAAATTTGTTTGTTTTTAAAGGAAGTTTTAGCTTGTCTGGTTGTGCAGATAATCTTCCCTTCCTAAATCAGTGCCTTGCTGTTTTGTGAAGTCCAGGGCCCTGCAAACTGAAACAAAAGGTGCGAAGTTCTTCTCATCCATCTTAATAGGGTGTTAATGACTGCAGAGGCTGACTGAGACCATTTAAATGTGAGCGCTATTAATCACCTAGAAAAAACACAAACACCCAGCTCAAGCCACTAAAATGTAATTGCAAGGGACAGTTGGGTCTAATTTTGATTTTGAATGAAGACTTGTATAAAAAAAAAAATGAGCTGCCTCCAAGCCAGCTTGGCAGATTTAAAGCCAAGCCTACAAGCAACTGCCTGCTAATCTTTTATTGAGATTTGAAGAGGTGGTTTCTTCCATGAACTTGCAGTTTAGCTCTTCTGCATCTAGTGAACAACTTTTACCAATGGTATAAATTTCTACTAGGCAGTCACTTGCCAAATTACATTTCCTTAAGAGGACTTCCAATGTATCCTTTGACTTGGAAATGTGTGTGTGTGTGTGTTTTAAGTGCTTCAAGGATATTTTATTCAAGGTTTTAAATAATTTCCTGTTTCCATAACTTGTTGTTCTGACTCTTTTTGCAATGTGTTTGTCATGTCTGAAACTATTGTTTTTCTCAGATTTTGGCAGGGTTGGGGGTGGAATCGGCAGTGGTGAATCTTGGCTTTAACTTGGCAAAATTGGCAATATTTCTGGAAAACAAAATGAAAGGTCTAGAGGAGCATTTTTTTTTTTAAATTGTTGTTGCTGTTTTGCAGGGTGGGCTAACGGAAGAGTAGAAATGTAGCAATTCTACTTTACAGAAAAACAGAGTCTGCCTTCTGTATTAAGTGTAATCTAATGTATTAAATTGATAGAAATACACATGGTGCTAGGTTTCTGTTGAGGAATGCAGAGTTCGGCACGTATTCTCAGTCATCTCATTCACACATTGCCTGAAGTTTGAGATTAGTAATCAAGGGGTGGTTTATTTATTTTTGTTTTTCTATACATGGCCAAAGTACATGCATGATCTGTCTTTAGGGTATGGGGATATGGGAGGTAGGGGGATCTCCCTGGTCCAGGGTTCTTTGCCTGTGGCATTGTTTTCCATCGATAACTACCGCTGGGGACAATGACCTGGCCTGGCCTGATCTGACCCAGTTTCATGTACAAGATGCAAGTTTGGAGGGTATTTATCTCAACTGTTGGACATGTTGTTGATTTTTATTTTTTGACTGGAGCAGCCAAGCCACTTTTGGTTTCACCACTCCTTACATTCACCCTTTGCTTGTTGCCTAGGGCAGAAGGCACTTGGAAAGTTCACAAAGGAAATAAAATACTTCAGTGGCCTCTGAAGTTAAATAAAATACTTGTCTAAGGGTTAGGTCTTTCCCTCCTCCCTTTCGCAATGGAAAGAGGCAGAAAAGCTGTGGATTTTAATAAGGCTAACATTCTAGGTTTGGAAAAGGTCAAGTGACCACAAATGCCTGATAAAGTATTTGCTTTTTTTCAGTATAACATTTGAATTTTAAAATATGATATTTAAGGCAATTATTCTTCAGAAGTTCACTAACTTCAAATGAGTAGGTTCTAAGGGCTAAAAATGCTCCGTACCATCCAAGAGTTGTCACTAATGTTGCTGTCATTGTCACTTAAGGAAGGATTTGAAAGGTAGTATGTTCAAGATATTGCCAGCCTCTTCCCAGTGCCTGGTGGGTGGGGAGAGAAGAATGGGTTTAAAAGGCAATTTGAGCTGCAATCAGATAATATCAATGTATACATAAAGTACAAGTTATATGTTGTTATTTAGCATCTTCAATTACCCATTGTGAAAGTTAGGGGTGAATCTTTGGAAAAGCAGTGAATGTTTATCACCCACTTCCTCTTTTTCTCTTCCTGTTCTATTATGAGTTGTCAGTTAGCCTTTCTTTAGTCCTTCTAAGTTTGAAGTGTGCAGAATATTTAACATTATTCTACTTCTTCTAAGTTAATTTTTAAAATTCTGAAGTTCCTTATTTTAAGGCTACCTGTGTCTTAAGATAGCTGTTCAGGAGGAAGCGTGGGAACTGATTTAGTTTTCCCACCGAGAAGCCCTGCACGAATTCAAGTATTAGCCTTGATTCTGGCTCTGCAGCAGCCTCACTGTGTGGTCTCGGCAAGAAGTTGTTATATCTCAGTTTCCCTATCTGTATAAAATGGGGTAATTACCCTAGCTTACTCAGTAAGTTATAGCCTTGAACAACAAATGAATGATGATAAAGTATTTAAAACTACAAGAGAATGTAGAAATTCTAAGTATTACAGTTTTATTGCCTTACAAGGGGTGATAAAGTAAAAGTGAGGTTTAATAACAAATTGAAATTCCTAGATGAAAGGGACTGGAGAAGTTCAAAGTCATTTTATTATTATTAATAATAGGTGTTGTACTGCCTTCGTTCACCCTCGTCATCTAATCAGCACGCATTCCTTGGATTAAAGGGAGTGTTCTCTCTCCAAATGACTTTTATCTACAGTGTTGAGACATTCCTTATCCTGTTTTATGGATATGGAGTTTTGAATGACTATAAACAACTCCATTTTTTAGAAACTTTTTTTTTTTTTTTGAAAAGAAGAGAAGCCAAGTTGCCTCTTGGTTCACCTTCGTAAGTATGTGAAGATGTTTATATGAAGCTCCTTCACAGTTCTGTTCCTGTTTGTGAGACCCCAACCTCCTTGCTCATGGATTTATGTTGTTCACTCCATAGACATTCTTAGTTTCCCCTTTGTCTACGTGGAAAGATTCCAATTTTATTTATATAGAGTCTCAAATCATATCTCTAATTTTAATACAAAACCTCTGTTAAGCCAGAATAAACGGAAAGCATAAATACTTTAAAATGCTTTACTTTAAACATTTGCAAGAGTGGAGAACAGATTGTAGAAATTTCTCAAGTGAAAGGAACTTGACATACATGACAAATGTGAGGCTCACCTGGCTGAGGGGATGAGAAGATGTGGAGCCAGCATCGGCAGGAGTCAGAGTGAGGCTAGGCAAAAAAAGTATTCAGCTTCAAACCACTCTTGTTCTTTTTTCTTTTAAAAATTTTTTAAGGCCTGGCGCGGTGGCTCTCGCCTGTAATCCCAGCACTTTGGGAGGCCGAGGCGGGTGGATCGCAAGGTCAGGAGATTGAGACCATCCTGGCTAACACGGTGACACCCCATCTCTACTAAAAATACAAAATATTAGCCAGGTGTGGTGGCTGGCGCCTGTAGTCCCAGCTACTCGGGAGGCTGAGGCAGGAGAATCGCTTGAACCAGGGAGGCGTAGGTTGCAGTGAGCCGAGATTGCACCACTGCACTCTAGCCTGGGCGACAGAGCGAGACTCCGTCTCAAAAAAACACACAATTTAAATTTTTCACTTTTTAGGACAATTTCAACTTTTAGATACAGAGGGCACATGTGCAGGTTTGTTACATGGCTATATTGTGTGATGCTGAGGTTTGGGGTATGGATCCCACCACCTAGATAGTGAGCATAGTACCCAACAGGTAATTTTGGTGGTTTTTAAACCCACACCCTGCCCTCACTGACCTGTCTAGTAGTCCACAGGGTCTATTGTTCTCATCTTTATGTCTATAAGTACCCAATGTTTAGCTCCCACTTATAAGTGAGAACATGTGGTACTTGGTTTTCTGTTTTTGCATTAATTTGCTTAGGATTATAGCCTCCAGTTGCGTCCATGTTGCTGCAAAAGATACGATCTTGTTCTTTTTCATGGCTGAGTAGTATTCTATGGTGTGTATGTACCACATTTTTATTATCCAATCCATCACAACCATGCTAGTTCTGAATCTTTTACCCTGCTTGGTGAAAACCATAATGAATAAAGCATGCAAAATTTATTTGTGCAAAAGAATAAATAATGGCTTACTGCAGTAGTATCTGCTGGTAAGTTCATTTTTTTAATTCAAAATCTTAATAAGGATCTTCTTTTTGATATTGAACTATTCTGGGATTATGGGAAATGGAAGTATATTTAAAATTTAACAAATTGACAAGAGACACAGTGACCCTTTAGATAACTGGAGTTAAATAATGACAGAAGAAGTGTTCCAAAGCGGTAGATAATTAAATGTCAAACAAGAGTGGCAGCCAGTGAATGCTGTGGGCCTGGCCTGGCATGTTGGAGGTATTCAAGAAATACTTTTGAATGAGTTCACAGGAGGCTTGGAGTGGCAGCAAAGTCTTGGAGGCCGTTGTTAATGGAGTGGACTCTTGGGAGTCAGTTCGGGTTTAGGGATTGATGTGGAGAAAGGATAAGAAAAGGCATTCAAATTGGAAGACCATGGGGAGAGTTGCGAGGAGGGATGATCACCGTGTGTTCACAAAAAATGAGTAAATCTGTGACTGAAGTGGGGGACTGGCAACTCTTTAATAAAATCACTGCAATGTATAGCTCAAGCTTGTCCAACCTGCAGCCCATGGGCTGCATGCGGCCCAGGATGGCTTTGAATGCAGCCCAACACAAATTTGTAAACTTTCTTAAAACATTCTGAGATTTTCTATTTGTAAACTGTCTAAATACATTATGAGTTGTTTTTTGCAATTTATTTTTATCTTTTTAGCTCATCAGCTATCGTTAGTATTAGTGTATTTTATGTGTGGCCCAAGACAATTCTTCCTCTTGCAATGTGGCTCAGGGAAGCCAAAAGATTGGATACCCCAGGTACTGTAGACTGTTCATGGAATTGTATAGTTTCTAAGTACTTTGTAAGTTTCCATTAGTTGCGTAAGGCTAAAAGCCTACAAGGTGGGCTGAAAGGGTTGTCTCTTGGGAAGCTGAAGCTATGTGGCACCACTTTGAAGGGAGACGCAATTTGGGGACTCCTTTTCAGAGAAGCGATAGCTAATGTTATGCAACTGTCGGTAACTAAACTGGATCGGAAGGCTTAAACTATTAATACTTTCCTCTTCTGAACTAGATTTTTAAGCAACTGTAAATGCAAGCAGGTAGGCTGAGGAAGTCAGGTGATGATGCAAGAACTTTAAGGAGTGCTTACCTGTGCTGTGACTGAGATCATACCATAGACAACCTCCTACAATTTTTTTTTTAAGGATAGGAAGCCCCTCCTCACTGCCCCCCGCCCCCCCGTGTGAATGAAAGCATATTGAGGAAATACTTAATAATTAGAATCAGGAACCTGATGAAGAATGGCTTGTCAGTGACTCACTCAGTATACTGGGGCTGAGTTGACTTTTACCAACTCAAGTTTTACAATCTCATTAATGATTGTTAATAACACAGACAAAGAAAAATACTGCCTTGTTTTCTTTCATCATTATGTGTGAATGTAGCTGCCATTTAATGAGTGCCTGTTACATTCTAAGCTTTGCATATGTGCTTTCAGATATTATCTCCAATTCTCCACATCTCCAAAGTGGTTGCTACAATTCTTTTATAGTAGGAAAAGCAGGAAAACTGAGCCACAGAGTGGGTTAGCAACTTTTTCATGCTTACCCAGTCAGGATTCAAAGCCTGGTGTGAGCCCAAAGCCTGCACTCTTTCCACTGTGCCACACTGAGGAGTCTTCTCTGTGTAAAAATTAATTTAAAAATGTGTTATCACTCTTCTAAAATCTGAAAGTAATATTACCCGGACTACTCTGAGAGTGTATGTATATATATTTAATTACCCTTATATAAGCCTGGAGGCATTTTCACACAACCGCCTCAATGCACTTTGTATATTCTAAAGTTTTTCTATAGGCAGAGATTTAGTGACAAACTAAAGTTAGAGCCATGTGCAGAGAATCCCTTGCCCTTTTCCTTGCTGACTCGGCTTCCTGCAGCCTATTGAACAGAGGCTGCCAGAACCCATGTGTGTGTGTGGAGATATCAGTCCTGAAAGCAGAAATTGGCAATGCTCGGAGGACGAAAATGGCTGCAGATGTTGAGGGCGGGGGAGTTCAAAAGCAGCTCTGTTTTGTGGAATCCCACACTTGAGACCTTTTTTTGCGGGGGGGTGATTGGGAAACTAATAGCCCTCCACATTTGAGTTAAAACATTATGCTGCTTTCAGAGGAAATATAAAAGAGCCCTTGCCTTCCCTGCTTAGGCTGAGGCGGCCCTCCCCTTTGCGGCTCATCAACCTTGTGCTTCAGCCTTGGGCCTGGATTCACACCTCCTCCTTGTGACTGGCACTGGTTGAAAGGGAGGATCATGGCCAAGATGTGATCTGGCTGAACAGAAGGGTGTGGTTCCAGCATGGAGCCCCACTCTCATGTCTAACCCCCATCACTTCATCAGACCATTTCTTTGGCTTCCAATACTTCCATTATTATTTTTTTTGAACTTGGCATTTTTAGACTCAATAGTATACATATTGCTTAATAAGTACAATTCCTCAAATATTAAAACATCAATAGATTGCCTATTTTCTGCCTTTACCCCCACCCCCAACCCTCCAACCCCCAGGAGGAATTTATAATCCAAAATCAGTTGAACAAAACTTGATCCTGTTGTACTTTCCAGAACACTCACTTGTTCCACTGAATTCTTTTCTCTTAATTAGGTTCTGGCGAGGTATATGTGCTGTCTTTGTGGAGTCTCATCTCCTGTGCTGTATGTGTGTACATCTCAGATCAGTCAACCAGATCAATCTCTCAACTGTGTGTCAATACCTTAACCACACCACCCACTCATCAACTTTTCGTTTGAGTTTCAGTCTTTCATTTCTCAATTTCTCACTTATGTTCAACTGCTCATATGACCCAATGAATAATTCCTTTTGTCTCTCCTCTCAATTATCTTTTGTCCCAGCAATAGAGTTAGAACCTGTGACTTGGCCCATGAACAAGCTTTCGGGCCATGTGGTAGAACTGGATGAGAACTATGGGATTAAAAGTCTGGAGACAAGACTATTTTTTCTGGTTCAGCAACCTGGGGTTTTGAGTAAGTCTGTTTGCCTTTCTGAGCCTCAGTTCCCTCTTTTGAAACAGAGCTGATGATTGATCTGTAATATTCATTATTCATTGAAGAAGTAGCTAATGAGTGCCTACTTTTTGTGGCTCTGAGCTAGATGTTGTGCAAAGGTGAGAATATAGACACGGTCTCTGCCTGGAGCTTATATATGGGAGTGTCAACTGTCATTGAAGAATTCCACAAGTAACACACTTATCAACCATTATAAGTGCTATGAAAGAGAAGCACAGGGGGCCACAGGAACAGACAACAGATATACTAACCTAGTGGGAACAGGGGAGAGGGATATGTCAGCATGTCGGGACAGGGATATGGGTTTGGATGAGGGATAGTGCAAGAATTAATTAAGCAAAGGGGAGGGGAGAGAGAAGCATTCAGGGCAGAGGAAATAGCCAATGTAAATGCCTCAAACAAGTATATGGAAAGAAATGAATGAAGACCACCAAGGTTGAGAGAGACTACAGTGGGAAAGGGAGGCTTAAGATGAGGCTACAGATGTAGAGAGAGGCCAAATTAGGTGAAACCTTTAACCTTAAATTGTATTCTAAGTACAATGAAAGGATTTGAAAACAGTGGAGTGGCATGAGGTTTGCTTTTTAAAAGTCACTCTGCCTCTGATTAGAGAATTGGTAAGAGGAGGTAGAAATAAATGTGGGGCATTTTTAGTATTCTAGGCAAGAGAAGAGAAAAAGAGAAGAGAAGAGAAGAGAAGAGTATAGCATAGAAGAGGGTGGTAGAAGAGGATGGAGAGAAACAGATGGTCCTTCCATGTTTGTCTCTGATGCTTTTTCTTGTGAACCAACCCTATCAGCCACACAGGAAGGGATCTTGACTCTTCCTGCACTAGGTTTTTGTTTCAGCTTCACATTTGGCACATTGTTTACTTCGTCTTGCTTATTCAATATTTTATCTCCTCCACTGGATTTGAAACCTCTTATAGCAGCTACAATGCCTTGCCTACCTTTTTATTTTCTAAAAAACCTGGCTTTACATATAATGGGTGCATAGTCAGTGTTCTGGTTGGGTCTATGCTTTTCTTTATGGGCAACTTTATTGGTCGATGTGATACCCCCATCCAGAGGCAGAGCTGAGGGATTTGCTGGCAGGCCTGAGAGGTCTTTAGCCTAAACGTTAGGTTATATTAGGTGGAATTTGCTCTGCTATCCCCGAGGAAACAAAGGAAGGAGAAGGGTTGTGGTGGGAGGAAGGGGAAGAAAGATAATTTCTCCTTTGAAGGTCTTAGTTCGGAGTCACAGTCTTCCCTGCTTCGTATTCTCCTGCTGCAGCACTGCCGACAGAATTCTCACACACACACAGTTGCCTAGTTATTTCAAGTGTGATAGTAGGAGAAACTTCTGGAGTGTCAGGATCATCGACTGAGGCAGATGAAGCCTCACCTGGTGCTGACTGTAGGTTTCGTTGCTCTGAGGTGGTCACTGCTTACTCTTCTGAGCCCTTCCTAACCTTTCAGCAATCTGTTCACGTGGTTCCTATTCTCTCCTCAGAGGCTGAGGTACTTTCTTCAGCTACTTTGTAGCCATTGGCAGAGCACGGTCCTTTCCTGTTTGGATCCCAGATCGACCCCTTTTTGGTGTCTGGTTGAAACTCTTGTCTGAGCTGCCAATTTCTTCAGAAATTAGGAGTTTTGTTCCGGGTTCTCTTTCCATAAATTCTATTTCCTCTAGGTTTCTTTCCTTTTGTGCTCCAAGAGACTTTTAATAGTCATTCTTCAAATTTGGGGACTTCGGAACAGTTCATGACAGGTATTTTCTTTCCCTCATCTGCTTTGTTAAAGAAAAAATAATAGGAGAAGAAACTTTAGCTTTCCTCAGTGCCGTTCCTTTTTCCTCAGAGCCTACTTTGAACTCCTTCTACTACAGTCCCTTTATAGGGCTTGTAATAGACGATAATGTGCTAAAAGCAATCTCTGTTAGACTCTGGGAAGTCTCATTGTCTTCAGTTAGACTCTTTAAGATTCTTAAAACCCCCCAGGCACATTTAAACTTAAAAAGCTAGACCTTGGTCTGGGATCACCCTTCATTCATACTTATTTTCTGGTGAGAGTGGTATTTTTCTCTGGCTGATATTTTTCAATCTAGAATTACAAAATACTTGTGGCTGAAGGTCACTTTAGAGACCATCTCAATTCTTATCCATATTCTTATTCTGTTGTTAAGAAACCTAAAGGCCTGGTGAATCAAGTAGTTTGTCCTAAGTCATTTAGTTATTTAGTATTAATGACTAGAATCTTTGTCTTCAAAGGCCTAGCTTTCCATTCTTTGTAATTCTCTACTTTAATTTTCTACCGAAACTCATACAGCAGGACAAAGACATTGTGTTCTCACAGGGCATTGCATCATTCATTCCATCAATCATTTAACAAATATTTATTGAACGCCTATATAAGCAAGGAGCTGTGCTGGTGCATAACGAGTATGCATAAACAGCTTGATTTAAATACAAGCCAAATACAATTAATTTCTGTTAACCATTTATAATTGTAAATTCTTTTCCTAGGAACTGAAAAAATACAACCAAAATATTTTATGCTTCTATCATGTACAGACAGTTATTTTAGAAAGAACAGGGAGAATGCCATGTACTAATTATGCTGAGTTATGGATTTCTTGAGTTTTATAGAAATGTTTTGGTATGAAAAGAGATGGGGTAAGCAAGCTTAAGTTTTCGTAAAATAAACATTGGAAATTAAGACCATCTTCAGAATAGCTACGTGGTGGATAAAAAGTTTAGAAAATGTAATGTAGAGGCCGGGAGTGGTGGCTCACGCCTGTAATCCCAGTACTGTGGGAGCCTGAGGAGGGCAGATCTCTTGAGATCAGGAGTTTGAGACCACCCTGGCCAACATGGTGAAACCCTGTCTTTACTAAAAATACAAAAATTAGCCAGGCATGGTGGCAGGTGCCTGTAATCTCAGCTACTGGGGAGGCTGAGGCAGGAGAATCCCTTGAACCCAGCAGGCAGAGGTTGCAGTGAGCCTAGAAGGCACCACTGCACTCCAGCCTGGGCAACAGAGTGAGACTCTGTCTCAAAAAAAAAAAAAAAAAAGGATGTAATGTAGAATGAAATTGTTGTCTCTGAAAACTGTCATCAAGTTGTTTGTTTTACAGGTGGCTTATTATTACATCTTGAAAGGACTGGATATCTGAGCACTGTCTGACATTACTTTTGACTTCACTGGAGGTAACCTAGAAGGAGAGAGATGTCTCAGCAGTTTCTTTATCAATCGCCACCTTTGGATTTAGCCTTCTGTGGTCATTTTGAATAGCAAGCATCTGAGACAGCAAAGGTGGGCGCAACTGCCAAAACCACAACCCACGGTCAAAAGGATCGTCATCCATTTGGGGGTAAGAGGCATGATATGACGTTCAAAGAGTGCCATGTCAGGAGTCAGAGGGCCTGGTTCTGTGCCTAGTGCCAGCTTTTCTTCCCTCGTATGACCTCCTGGCAGGCCACCTAATCCTATGGATAATTTTTCCTCACCTTTAAAATAGTGATAAAAGCTCCTGCCTTACCTATGGCATGACATTATTTTGAGGATCAAATGGGATTGCTAATGCAAAGCTGCTTTCAGAACTCAAAGACCTCTGGGAATATAAGGCAGTTTTTGTTTTTAAAAAAACCTAGAAAATTGACCAGTAACAGAAGTATTTACCTTGCAGAAATTAGTGTTTCCTTCTTTGGTGGGTGTTGGGAGTCTGTGTGCATATTTTACTCTGTGGAAAGCACTTCTGTTCCCCTTGCTTTGAAACTGGCAGGAGATAGGCTCAGTGCTGGTGGGAAGTAGCTAGCCTCTCTTATCCCTTCAAAGAAGCAAGAACAGGACTGAATTTTATTAGAGAGGCTCACTGTGATGGACATGATGAGGCAGCAGCCACTGGATCACTCCCAGTGATCTCTCATTCCCGCAGAGTCATGGGAACACTTCACAGACAACCGATGTGAGGTTCTGAGTCATGTTTGCAATGTTTCCAGGTGATGGCTGATACCAAATGTTTCTTTTTCTTTTGTGCCAGGGCTGTAGGTTCTGTTGTGTCATGATAGAAAGGAGTAAAAGAAAAAATCCTTTTGCAATGCTTGATTGTAGAGAAGATTTTATTTTACATTCCATTATTTCGTGCAATAAGCTCTCATTGAGTGGGCACCATCAAAGGCATTAGTGATACAGGCCTAAGTGTTTGGGAAGACTGTGCCATGGAGTAATTACATCACATTGTGGTGGTAAAGCTCTGGGTTGAAGCAGTTAAAGCTGGAATACTTCCTTCATATCTGTGCTCTACTTATCTGGCAGCCTCAGAAGGTATGTGTTCTAGAAAGTGCAACAGTAAGATGGCAGAGATTATGTTAGTTTGACTTCTGTGGAACACATTTTCATTCCTTCTTTACCCTGCCTTTCATCAGCATTCAGCATTGTGAAAGTAACAGAAGTGAGAAACAAATTTGGGTTTGTCTGAGGCAGAAGCTAGCAGTTATTTATGTTAATATATTTATTTAATGACTGTTTAATTAATAAGCAAGATCTTTGCCTTCAATTAACATAAATTCTAGCTAAGGGCATAATGGTCACACAATGTAGAAATTCCTAACATGTTGGGTGTGGATTTATGGTATGGGAGTTTTATTGTAAAGGGCCTACAATAATACATCAAGCCTAATCCAAACAAAGGATATGCTATTAGTTTTAATGCATATAGGATCTGCTGTGATTACTAAAATACAAATCTAATTAAAGTTACTAAATTCATTGTGTCTCTTTACCATTTCACATTTTACTTTGACTGTGTAATTATTTTATTACATATTTTTCCACACTAGAGTATAGGTTCTATGAATCTGTTTTTATTCCATTAAGCCCCTGGGTACTAGAAGAAGGTTTGTTAAATGCTGATTAAGTATGTATTCTCAACCAACAGATTGAGAGATTACAAATATAATGTGCTATCCCTTGAAATTTTATAAATTTAAAAAGGATTTAACTTTTATAAAATTAGAAGTTAAAACCTTTGGGTTGAGGTTGAGCCTCTCTGAGTGTAGGTCAATGCAGCAAAGATAAGTAAGATATAGAAAAAAAAGCAAATTAAAAGGAGCAGGGCACAAAGACTTAAATGTGATAGGTTAGAGATCATTAGCTATGGAATGCCACCTCTGCCTTCATCTCCCATTGTTTTGCTTCATGCTCTTTCATTTCCAAGAATTTTGACATATCTTGCCTCATACGAACTATACAATAACCCACGAGGTGAGAAGCGGTGCAGAATGGCTATTGCCTGGTTCTTTTATCTTAAGACTTTCCAAAGCTGCTAATGTCTTGACTGATAGAGATAGAAGGGACTGAAGAGATGATCTTGTCCTGCAAGCCTTATTTCCTCTAAGGAAACAGAATTTCCCAAATGCTAAGGTTCTTGTCCAAGGTTATACAACGAGATTGTGAAAGAGGCACGACCAGAACCCCCAAATCTAGTCTGACTCAAGCTGTTTCTTTTCTTTGTCTCTCTCTCTCTCTCTCTCTCTCTCTGTGTGTGTGTGTGTGTGTGTGTGTGTGTGTGTGTGTGTGTGTGATGGAGTTTCGCTTTTGTCACCCAGGCTGGAATGCAATGGCACAATCTTGGCTCACTGCAACCTCCGCCTCCTGAGTTCAAGTGATTCTCCTGCATCAGCCTCCTGAGTAGCTGGGATTACAGGCACGAGCTACCATGCCTGGCTAATTTTTGTATTTTTAGTAGAGACAGGGTTTCACCATGTTGACCAGGCTGGTCTCAAATTCCTGACCTTAGGTGATCTGCCAACCTCATCCTCCCAATGTGCTGGGATTACAGGTGTGACCCACCATGCCCAGCCAAACTGTTTCCACTACACTTTATTAACTCGTTGTTGGGATCAAGTTCAACATCATTCAAATATTTGATCTGAGAGTAGAAAGTGCTGTAACTAATGAATTAAGGAAGTATGAATTTGAATTTATAGTTCATGCCACTGATCTTTTCTTTTCATCCAATCTTTGAAAATATATGCTCCTCCAAACTAGCAACAGCTTAAGAGTCCACCAAAAATACAATTTTGTAAACTTCTTGTTAGTGTTCACCTAATTCTACTGAAGATGATAATCTTTAAGTCAGCATGTATTTATTCTGTGAAGTCATTACAAATGTACTACTTACCTTAATACGAGTGAGTAAATATGTTCTTTCTTCATCATTTACGCGTTCTTTCTGTACAATAACTCCCTTCTCAAGCCAATATCAATGCTAATTCTGCATTAAGAAAGATAAAGACATAAAACACTGTGTTGCAATAAATATCTGGCAAGCCACAGAGACACTATTTTAAAGAAAATTGTCTCAAAACACTTTAATGGTTTCTATTGCTATGGTTGCAGAATTACTGAGGGCACATTGGTAAGAGGACCTCTATTACATCTATTAATGAGATTTATAAGAACACTAATAGGTAAATGCAAACCTAACTCCATCAATAGTGATGCAAATTAGTGTAATTCTAACTATTCAACTCAGGGTTGTAAATATTCATGCAAATTGTCTATTATAATGAATACAGACTTTGCATGTTCTAAATACAAAAGAACATGATGTATATGTTGACATCATGACAGAAAGCAAACTATCAACAGGGTGAGTAGTCTGATTTCAGTTAAACATATAAACTCTAGCAACACATCTGCTCTCATTGTTGAAGAAGAAATGTATACTACCAACTAGAGATTTTAGGACAGAGGGTTTAAATATTTTCCAACAACTTTCAATGCCATTGACCCATAGTTTTCTTCATCAGCCTGAGTAGTACTTGTAAGACCATCTGCTGGGTTCCGAGGAACACCAGTAATTTGCTGAAGAGTGAAGGAGATTGAAACTTAATACTGGAGAACAGTTCAGGCATGGAGAAACTGGAAAAATGTATCGTGGCAGCATAATTAGTTAACATTCTGTATGGGTCTGAAGGGAGAAGGATTTCTATGTAGGTGGAAGTGAATGTGAGTCAATGCAATAAAAGTATGTGATCTTAGTGAACTTTGCCATTCAATGATTTAAGGAATCTAAATCATTACAAAGTATTTTTTTTTCCCACTAACTCCTTTACTTTATAGCTCTCCTTGGAGATCCTGCTTGATAAATAAGATTGCCTCATTATTAGGTCTCTGTGGTCCTTAAATATCAAAATTAATTTAGATGGAGATGAATGCAAGTCTGATTTTTAGTTAATTTCAATGCCACAGTCAGGCTTTGAGGTCTTTATTTATTTTTATACTTTTTTTTTTTTTTTAGAGACAAGGTTTCATTCTGCCTCCCAGGCTAGAGGGTTGTGGCATGATCATGGCTTACTGCAGTCTTGACATCCCAGGCTAAATCAATCCTCCTGCCTCAGGCTTTTGAGTAGCTGGGACCACAGGTACATGCCACCAGGCCCAGATAATTTTTTTAAAAAATTTTTGTAGAGACAGGGTCTCATTATGTTGCCCAGGTTGTCTTGAACTCCTGGGCTCAAGCAATCCACCCACCTCAGCCTCCCAAACTCCTGGGATTAAAGGTGTGAGCATCCTGGCCTGAGGTGTTGATTTCAAATACACATTCTATTGCACTATCTGACCTCAAAGAATTAATATTTTTTTCCAAATCAGAATAAAAAGAGGGGAAATACTGTATTATCTAGGTAGCCATTGTCCTGGATGCTGGATAAGCACATTCAGGGAAGGACACACTGGATTTGCAAATAAACACTCTTAAATATTCACTTGATATATGATCGTCTTATACATGTTTTTGTATTTTTGTGTGTGTATATGTGTATATGTATGTATATGTGTGCAACTATTACTTTATTTTTCTATACATATTAAATCCTTGCCTTTACTATCTTGCTCATGTTTCTTCTGAAGATTGTTTATTCCATCCAATGTTCCATCAAGGGTACCTTGTTTCCATGATGTAATTCAGCTAATGCTATGTTCTTCTGCTCCAGATGGTTTCCAACTTTCTTTCTCTACCCATAAATGACAATATTCCTTGGCATTCCAGTTCTCAAATATGTGCAAATCACAATCCTTTATGAGTTTAGCCAAACTACCTAAAGTCCAGAAAGAGATCTAAGGCAATGAAGGATGGCCAACTAGTTAAAGCTCTTCTTACCCTTAGATTTTCCACACCTAATAATCACCACCATCAGTTTAAATAAATTCAACTGCAAAATGGTATATAAAAAAATTACTTTCATGTATCTCTCCAGAGACATTTCAAAGTATGTCTTTTCAGTTTTAAAAATACATACATCGTGCAGAAGCAGCAGCAGCAGCTCCAAACCAGAAAAAAATCATGAAAAAGGAATAATGAGGTATAGTGAAAGAATCCCAAATCAGTCCCAGCTGCTGAACAATTAGGTTAAATTGCTAACAGGTGTGGAGAAGAGCCCATGTACAATATTACCTTTTGTCAATGCGCCTTCTGAAAGGACTTTTGGTTGTAAAATTCCCAAGGCATTTGTAGTATTTGGAGGAAATGCTCTGTGTGTGTGTGTGTGTAAGTGTGTACCCCTATACCTATACATACATCCATCCACACAAAATATATCCATCTTTGGTAAGGTTTATTTTCTTGTTTGTGTTTTTGAGACAGGGTCTCACTCTGTTGCCCAGGCTGAAGTGCAGTGGCACCATCTTGGCTCACTGCAACCTCTGCCTTCCGGATTCAAGTGATTCTTGTGCCTCAGCTACCTGAGTAGCTGGGATTACAGGCACACGCCACCATGCCTGGCTAATTTTTGTATTTTTAGTAGAGACAGTGTTTCACCATGTTGACCAGGCTGGTCTGAAACTCCTGGCCTTATGTGATTTGCTCTCCTCAGCCTCCCGAAGTGTTGAGATTACAGGCATGAGCCACCATGCCCAGCCTGTTTATTTTCTTAATATATCTCATTTTATAATAAAAAAATTAAATTTTCATATATAGGTTGTGGAGTAGTTAGGAGAAAAAGGGGGTTGGAGTATCTACAACCTGAGGTCCTTGGACCTGGAAGTTTGTGTGGAGGGCTTCTGAGATAATAAATCCTTCAAAGTACATTCAAAATTTGGGGCATATTTGCACTAATTCTTGAAAGAGATGTTAAAGGCTTCTTCAGCTTCCCAAAAGAATCTGTGAATCTCTTCCTTCAATTTTATAACTGATGTGGTCAAAAGAGCACGAACTTTTAAGTCAATCAGCCCTATGTTAGAATCTCTGAGTATTACTTTTCTGAACATGTTTCTTTACTTTTAAAGTGGGGATAGTGCCACTGGCCTCATTGGATTATTTAAAGCAGATTCTCAAACTTCAATGTTCATATTAATCACTTGGGAGGTTGTTAAAATGAACATTGTCTCAGTGGGTCTGGTGTGGTGTATGAAATTCTGCATGTTCCAGAAAATCCCAGATGATGTTGATCCTATTGCTCTGTATATCACACTTGAATGGCAAGAATTTCAAACACTGGTTCTAAAATTTGAGCACACATTGAAATTACCTGGGGAGTTTTAAAAAAGTACTGATTCCTGTCTCCCATATCCAGGCTCCTGATTTAATTGGTATAGGGTGCATCCTGGGTATGATGATTTTTTTAAAGTTTTCTAGATACTTTGAATGTGCTGTGAAATTTGAGAATCACTCATTTAAAGCGTAGTGTCTCAGCCAAAGAAACTATCAACAGAGTAAATAGACAACCTACAGAATGGGATAAAATATTTGCAAACTATGCATTGAACCAACAAAAGTCTAATATCCAGAATCTATAAGGAACTTCAACAAAAAAACAAGCAAAATGAACCAACCCCATTAAAAAATGGGCAAAGGACCTGAACAGACACCTCTCAAAAGAAGACATACACGCAGCTAACAAGCATGTGAAAAAATGCTCAACATTACTAATAATTAGAGAAAGGCAAATCAAAACCACTATAAGATACCATCTCACAACAGCCAGAATGGCTATCCTTACAAAATCAAAAAATAACATGCTGGAGAGATTGTAGAGAAAAGGGATTGCTTGTACGGTGCTGGTGGGAATGTAAATTATTTCAGCAACTGTGGAAAACAGTTTGGAGATTTCTCAAAGAGCTTTGAATTACCATTTGGCCTAGCAATCTCATTACTGGGTATATTCCCAAAGGAATATAAATCATTCCACCATAAAGACACATGCACCCGTATGTTCATTACAGTACTATTCACAATAGCAAAGACATGGAATTAAATGCCCATTGATGGTGGACTAGATATAGAAAATGTGGTACACATACACCATGCAATACTACACAGCCATAAAAAGAATGAGGTCATGTCCTTTGCAGCAACGTGAATGGAGCTGAAGGCCATTATCCTAAGCGAATTAATGCAGGAACAGAAAACCAAATATCGCATATTTTCATTTATAAGTGGGAGCTAAACATTGTCTACCCATGAACATGAAAAAAGGAACAATAGAGAGTGGGGACTACTTGAGGGTGGAGGGTGGGAGGAAGATGAGGATCAAAAGATTACCTATTGGGTACTATACTAATGACCTGGGTGACAAAATAATCTGTACACCAATTCCCCACGACACACAATGTACCCATGTAACCAACCTTCACATGTACCCCCGAGCCTAAAATAAAAGTTAGACAAAAAAGCACAGTGTCTGACACATATTAGATGCTCAACAATCATTAATTTCCTTAGGAGGCTCCTCAATTATTGGAATAGGATAATAACATATAAAAGACTGAAGTATTTTTTTTCTAGTGACATAAGGGCTGAGAAGATTGCTAGGAACTAGAGAGTTGAATTCTAGTCTTCAATGGACTTGTTCTGAGACCATGGATATGGTTTCTTATCATTTCCCTGTTTCTTGTATTTAAACAAATGGGAAGAAGGATATTTATGTTTTGACCTCAGATATGTATTGGGAAAAATTAATATTTATAAAATGATTTGAGACCTATGGATAAAAGAGTATTCAAAACATTTAAAGTACAGGAAGGGAAAGGATGGATATTCTTTAAAACATTTCAGTAATTGGCTCAAAACAAGGAGAGACAAAATTGAGACAATCAAGAAGAAAGGAGGTGGTGGTCAGGGGGATGATGATGTTGACATGTTTTCTATAGATGCTTGGAGAAACAACACAAAACCAGTTTACATTAGTTCATTTTACGGCCCCTGATAATTTTAAAGGGCCCTCTCTTCTATTAGGAGCCACATTTCAACTCAGAATATAGGTTTTTGAAATCTTCTTACCCAGGCACAGGCTGTGGGAGCCACCCCTGACTAAGCTGCTATTATCACCAACCCTTGCCAGAAAGAACTCCCAGCTTTTCATGCTCCATCACCAACCCTTTGGGAATGTTTTAAGCAAATGCTTTGAAATTTGTAAGTGTTGATCTCATTTATGAGATTCCAAATTCTTTGAGGGTGAAGTTCTTTGCCATTACTATAAAACATCAAATATTTGGAAAGGCCATTTATTGAGGCGGGTCCAACATGATGTTTGTGAAAGAGAGCAAGCTCCTCTGTGCACTGGACTCAGGGAGATGGAATAGAGTGATAGGAATGCAGGCCAGGCGTCTTCCTTTCTCCCATCTGGAACAGGCTGTCACTCTTGGTCACCCTGCTCTCAGCCCTGGCAGCTGACCTGCATGGGCTACAGTCGAGGGCTCCCTCGTCTTCTGGCCTCAGGTTGAATTTGGTCCATGGTATACCCTAGCAGGAGACACAGGGAGGGAGGTGAGAGAATTGGGGTTTGAATTCTTCTAGTTTTCTTCCTGACAGTCTACTTTGGCTACCTGTTCTTGACTAAGTTGCAGCTTCTGTTAAGATGGCCCTCTCCACATGACTCTCCTTCCTGGTTCCAGTAACTGCCCCTTTTCTTCCTCCTTCAGGCTTATGATGGAAACAGTCCCTGTGTTGCACTGTATGTTGTAGCTTATTTTCATTTTGACTGTGATTTTGTAAGTAATCCTTTAGATTATTCTTATTTGGTATAAATGGAAATAGTATGAGAGTAGGGACCTCATCTCTGTCATTTCCTATTATTTTTGTTGGTATTTGCTGAATGAACGAAAAATAAATGTTTGAAACTTCTTCACTGGCTGCATTTGAACACTTGACTTAGAGTACTGATTAGTTATCAGGGGAGCCGCTCTGTTCGTGATGGCAGTCTCCCTGTGGTTAAATTTATCTCAGAGGTAAGGTCATAAGTAGAACTTTTCCATGCTCCTTTTGCTTAGATTTATTTTTAAATTCTTAAATATTATATGGAATTTAAAAACCATAATATGGGTACTGCATTAAAACAAATACGTGTTTTTAACATTCCTCTCGCATACTGAATTTAGTAGGTTACCTTCAAATGTATGTAGAATCTGCAGCACAAAGTTGCTAAGCAGTGTCCAGCAAGCAGCAGACCCACATTGCTTATACCCCATTCTTCTTGCCCTCTCAGATTCTCCACCTCTCATGCTCACTTTTTTTCTCCTCTAGCAATAGAAGCTTCACTCACTTCTGAGATGATGATTGGCATGCCTCACTTTCCCCTCTTGGGGTAAAAAGTGTCATTTTCTTTGGTATTCACTTTGAGCTTCCATTTGTTCTAGTTAGCAGGAAATCCAAACTTTCTCTTGTAATCCTCTTCCAAAATTTTTCTCAGGAGCAGCTTAAATAAGTCCATGAGTAAGGGCTCCATGAGTAGGGTGAGATTTCTGCACCTGCCGAATGTGGGACAGCCCGTTCTCCACTCTTGCTTGTCTCCTCCAGAACCTCCTTGCTGCTGTCACTACAAGAGAGTCCTGTTGTCATTGCTAGGACTTGGTTGGATGGATCTGACATTGAAAGGTAAACCTGGTATTATGGGCTGAATTGTGTTTCCCCAAATTCATATGTTGAAGCTGTAACTCCCATTACTCTTCTAACCCTGAGAATGTGACTATATTTGGAGATAGGGCCTTTAAAGAGGTAAATAAAGTAAGAGGAGATCACATGGGTAGGCCCTAATCCCAAATGACTCGTGTTCCTATGAGAAGAGAGGATTAGGACACAGACTTACACAAAGGAAGATCATGTGAAAACAAAGGGAGAAGACAGCCATCTGCAAGCTGAGAAGAGAGACCTCAGAATGAAACCAACCCTACTGAGACTGGATCTTTGACTTCTATCCCTGAGAGTTGTAAGGGAATACATTTGTAGTGTTTAACCCTCCGGTCTATGGTACTTTGTTATGACAGTCCTACCAAATGAATACTCTTGGCATCTTTATGCCTCCATTAGCTTGGATGTCAATGTGGGATAATTCACCAAGGTTTTGGTGGCATCTTCAGGAATAAAGAGGTGTACTATGTTGTCCTTGGGTAGAAAACACTAGGCCCTGAGTGTTACGGGTTTACTGCCAGCCATTTCACTTCATCCAGGTAGATACATTATGCAAGGTACTTAGGAGAGCTTTTAGCACTAGATATCAGTTGTGTCTGCTCCTGACATGCCCTTGGTTCTTAGGGTGGGAAGACAGACCCACTTATGTTCAGGATACCAATAGGATTTTAACTTATTTGGAGGCTTAATTCACAAAATGGCTCTTTGCTACTGCTGTCACTAGTACTGTTAGACTTGTATTCCTTGGCATCTAGATCCCAAGACAGGAAGAAGTCTCTTTTTCCTGCAGCCTCGTGGCCTGCCCTATATTCTGCCCTAGGATTAATTATTATCTTAGGATGGTTGCCAGGGTAGGTGTATCCATTTGCTTAAGGAGAATCTCTCATCAACTGAGGTATGATTGTTTGATGTTAGTGTGTTTTCTAAAGTCTGTGCTTTCTATAGAGTGTAACTTCTTTATTAAGATTCACAGTGAAAAAGCATGCAGTTCTTTTTGTCCTTGGAAAGAAATTTTCATAATTCATATTTTAAAAACTGATGCTTTTAATGGGCTCCAGATTGATTTAAATAAGGAAAATTTTTAGTTATTCTATTTTTGAATGCTGCTTTTTCATCATGCTCTCTCTTCTTATCCTATGGAACTTGCATCAGATGATTTTTAGATTCTCGACTTTTTCTCCATAGCTCTTAACTGCTCTTTTTCTTGTTTTGCTACATTCTGGGTGAATTCCTCAGCACTCTTTTGGAATTCACTTGGTTTTTGGCACTATCCTTTCTAGAATATACCTAGTCTATCGAATTTCTTATAAATATAAATTTTCATTTCCAGGAACTTTTGTTTTTTCAATATTCATTTGTCCTTTTTCATAATTTCTTATTCTTTTATTGTGAGGAATAATAAAAGGATCATCTCTGAGGTTTCTAAAATATTTTTAAAATTTTTTTCAGATTGCCCTATTATTTTAGTTTGATATTGAGTGAATTCCTCATCCATTTGGTGATTTGATTAGCTTCCTTTTCTGGCATTAGTTTTTGTTATGTGTTTTGCAATTTTGGTATGCAGACTCATCTGGAGTGGAATTCCCCCCTTCTCCCTTTTCTCCCTGGACATTCCTATTCCTGTTTTGTAATTTTCTGGTTGTATCCAACCAGCTTCCTAGGAAAACCTTTACCCCAGCTAAGAACCCCATCTTAGATTTTCACCTTGGGGCTCTGGTTCCATGGCAATGTTAGGACTAGTACATGTTTAAGTGACGAACTAATGGGCAGTTTGACCCAGGGCCTGACAGTGAGGCTATGTTTGCATCCTTCTGCCTCTGTAGGCATTGTATTCATTTGCTAAGGCTGTCGTGACAAAGTACCACAGACTGGGTGGCTTAAACAACAGAGATTTATTTCCTTACAGTTGTGGATGCTGGGAGTTCAAGATCAAGGTATTGGCAGGGTTGGAGGTCTTCTAAAGATCTCTCTCCTTGGCTTGTAAATGGCCGTCTTCTCCAAGTGTTTTTACATGGTCTTCCTTCTGTGAGCGTGTGTCTGTGTCCTAATCTCCTCTTCTTGTAGGGACACCAGTTATATTGGGTTAGGACCACCCAGATGTCCTCATTTTAACCTTCACTACCTCTTAAAGACCTGATCTCCAAACACATTCTGAGGTACCAGGAGGTAGGACTTCAACATATGAATTTAATGGGGATGCATTCAGCCCACCACAGGCATGAAGTTTCATGTAAGCTGTAAACTTAGAAAATGTTAAGTTGCAGCTCCTTTCAGCTATTTTTCTTGGGTAAGGAACTCTATCCTGACCCTGTTTTCAAGCAGTGAGCCAACTGTAGCCCATACACATATAGATTTAGTTCCCATTATTGTGTGGGTATCAAACTCCTGGTTGCCTCTGCCTATTTCTAGACACAGAACGCAGCAAGACTGCTGCCTCTGCCCCACAGAATTGTTTGTGCTTCTAGTCCAGAGAGATGATTACCTTGCTATGAGCTGAACCTAAATTTTTAAACTTTCTCTCCTTATATTTTTATCTATCATTTTTGTGTGTTTGAATTAGTAGAGGGTTGTCCAAGTATGACTTAACAGTGCCATTTTAGTGAATTTACCAAGATTATTTCTTAAAGAGAAAAACAGCAAAATTTTTGCTGATACTAAACTTTTACAGGATGTACAAATGTGATCAAGTCTGTGGTTAAAAGTGTATTTTGATCAAGTCTATGGTTAGAAGCGTATTTTGACATCCTAGCAAACTAATACGTTTACTAATAAACACAAGAGACTAACTCCAATCCAACAATGTTCTTGCAGATATATATTCAGTTTATTAAATGCATAGTACAACAAAAAGAAAAAATTCAAGCATAGCCACATAATGTAGTCGATTATTTTCCAGTCTGAACAACTGGAGTACAAATCATTTTTAAAAGTCTGAATTATTTATGCCAATCGAGGGGAACATTGACAAGGATAGTAAATTGCAAATCATTTGTGTTTTGTTTTGCGCTACATTTCTGTAATCTATTTAATCCAGGTGTTTGATATGTTGGGGAGTTTATACCATTTCCATTCAAATGATTTAAAAAAAACAACCAACCACATTCTGAATATCTGATTTGGAAACTTCCCAACTTCTCATCCTGTTTTATCACTTGCCAAAGTCTTTCCTGTTACTGATTCCACGCTCAAGAGAGATGCTTGATTGGTTCTGACTGATTCGCAGCATCTGGAGCTCACCTTATCTCTTGCTAAACTCATCCATGGTCTGACTCACACCTTCCTTAAGGGAAGATATTGGAAAGTAATGATGTGTTTTGGCTTCCGTGGCTTTATCCAATGTCTAAACCAGGGAGGAAAGAGAGAAAAGTGTTCTAAAATCCTAAAATCTTGTGGAGGTTATATGTACACTAAGCCAACAAGACATGAAACTCTCACATTCCTTATGAATAACCCACAAAGGGGCGTTTGTTCATAGATTTGACAGTCATATAGTCTACTGTTGTGCTTTGATGAAGGCTTCAAATTATTATTAACCTGCTTCAGGTCACCTATGCAATGAAAGCCAAAAGACAGGTGACCATATTCTGAACTACTTTGGTGACTGGCAAATATTACATAATCTCTGGAAATTATTATTTGCCATCACCTGTTCATGAATCACTGATTGGCATACCTTTGTACATAGATGAACAAATCCACTTGACTTTCCCAAACAGTACATGATCTTTGACCAAACAGTACATGATCTTTGACCTTGATCTACAAGAATTTACCAAAATAGCGCTTTCTTCTACAAATACATGTTGAAATCCTACTACTTGTCGGGATTATTCTAGGCACTGGGATTCAGCAATATATAGCACCAGATTCCAGTGTAAGTGGTGCTCAGAGCTTGGTTTTCCAATTGAGATAGGACCAAACATTTGAACCAATTAATAAAAGAGCAACCTATGTAGTCTTTTTCTATAAAAATGCTTATTAAGTGCTTTGAGATTTAAATTTTTGAATTGCAGCGAAACCACATTAATGCAGATGTAGATAATTTGTGGTCATTTTTTTTTTTTTTTAACAGAACTTTGATTCTGGTCTTATTTTTATCTGACACACAGGTTTAGTCAGTGATAAGCAGCATAATGGTTGTTTGCACTTAGGTCACATAAACTGGAGAATCAAGAAAATTAGCCAGACAATTTAGAGGGAAAAGATTTTGTTAAGGTAAATCTGAGGTTTTCTTACTCAGACTCAAGGGTCCATTACTCAGATTTGCAGAATAATTACATAAGTTTCCATTGTGTTTAATTCATACAAACCAGTGAGAAAATATTAAAGAGGCAGAGGAAAATGAGTTTCAACTTTTCTAATGTAAATAGCTCCTTTTTTTTTTGGTCTCATAAACCCAGTTTTATTATTCAATGCTATGCCAATAATTTACCATAATGAAAATGTGCTATAAAAGCAGTTCACAGGGACATTGGCTTCTGCAGTTAAAAAATGCAGAGGCAAGTTGAAGAATGGGCTGGCCAAAGTTTGCATGGAAATTTTGTGTGGTTCTGAATTTGTGTATGTGGATTTAGGGACAGGCTTGCAATGACTGATCTTCTAGGATATAATATATGTAAGAAATTGCTGATAAATATCATATAGAGCTTTGTGCACCCCAAACTTTCTCCAGTTATTTGGAATCAAACTTTAATTCAGTTTTTCTCAAGCTGTGGTTTATGAATCTTCTGCTTTTGAATCACTTTGCCAGATGACTGGGTTCCATGTCACACCTTCTGAATTAGACTTTTCATGGTTGTACTGAATCCTGGAATCTACATTTGAAATAAGGGGTCCAGATGATTCCAATACATAATAAAATTTAGAATCCCTGTCTTAACGTCATCACATTTTAAGACACTTAATTTGCTGCTTTTTGAAATTGACTTCTAGTGTATATATAATTATATTGTTTTACTAATTTTTTAAAAATATTAACTTTAAGGTAATTAAAAAACACCAAAAAATGCATTATTGAAATTTTTTTTACAACTTAAAGGATAATTCACATGATTTGAAAAATGACTGCCTAACGGCATCTATGTTTTCCCCAGTGTTGATTAATTCTAACAATTAATTCAATTTGGCAAATATGGTTTTGTACGCTAATGTTAGATTTAAGCTTTCAAAACAGGAGGCTATTTTCCTTTGACTTGTATAGCAAAAAGGAAAGGACCTCTAGCTTACACAGTTGACAAAGTGAAAAGCTTATAATTCATTTGTGTTTTTAGTTAATTACATTCCTTTGTAACCCAAATGAATCTTAGAGCCGCAGGTAGCACAATTTCCAGAGAGAATTATATTCAAAAAAGAAAAAAGTGTTTGGCCAACAAATACAATTAAAAGTGAATTCTAACGTGTACCTACCTCCTTCATAGAGTGTTAAAGGGAGTTTCTGGCTTGGGTTTTTCAAAAGTCCCTCCTAAACTCTCCAGTTCTTCTGCTATCCTAAAGTTGTTATTGAATATTTTACATCATAAATTATAAACTCCCTCCCCACTTTCACTTTGGCTATCTTTTTTCCTCTTCCCTCTCAATCCTCTCTATTATTTAGAGAGATATAATCTCTAGGGATACCCTCCTTTTTCTTCTGACTTAATCTCTTGATTATTGTAATTCAAAATACCTGAGAATCAGACTGACAGATGCTTTCTATCACTTACTTCTGATGTAAATAACTAGGAACTGATTGAAAATATGAATGTAGACCTGGAAGTCTCGATGGTTGTTTGGCATTTAAAAATTTCATTTCCATCAATATGTCCTTAATATTACTGTTAGGAAATGAAACTTTAGCTACATGAGTTCTATGAAATGAAAATATTTTAACTTTTGTAATTTTGGCACCTATTAAGTGATATAAAATTTTGTGGCATATAATTTCAACATCTAGTATGAAATATGATATGTAATTAAAAACGGAATGCCAAACAGCACATACTCATTGTTGATTCCAGATTGCAGCAGCAGCAAAAACATTTTCATGTTAATATTGGTACTTTCACAGTTAAATATGGTCTAAGCACTGTGGAACCACATATAGACCTCAGACTTTTGTCGCAGGGAAATTTTTATTACATGCTTTGCCTTCAATTTACTTTAATAACACTTAATAATAATGCATTGCATTTATGAAGCACCTTTTATCCAATGATTCCGAAGCATAATATAAACATTAATTTTTAAAACTCTCTAGGAGAGAAGTATTTATACTCATTAAAATTTTTAATAAAAATATAAATGCATGCTATAACTGGAGCTAACATATTAAATGGCTTAATTTGCTAAGGAATAGAAGCTGTACAGTTTTTGCTTCTGAATTTTGAAATTCAGTTCTTATTAAAAATAAGACAAAAGCATTTTTTTTGTGTGTGTACAAAGTCTTTCACGAAGGGAGAACCATGGCTGCTTGATTCACCATGGGTTGTCCATTGCGTAACATTTTCTGCATGAAGAGGGCATTTGGGCAGTACTAAATAGTTGGAAGAATGAATATAGACTTAAAAGAAAAGAGCTGTTACTTTTTAATGATTTTTTATTATTAAAGTTAAACTATCATAGTATAATTTGTTAATGGTTATAGTGAGTTGCATGGTGGTCTATGAAGAGATATGTCCATGGCCTAACTCTCAGAACTTATGAATTTCACTATTTGAAATAAGGGTCTTTGGAGATGCAATTAGGACACTTGAAATGAGATCTTTTTGGATTGTCCAGATGGGCCCTAAGTCCAATGACAAATTTTTGAGACAGAAGAAAAGACTGACAGACAGAGGAAAAGGCCATGTGGAAATGGAAGCAGAGATTGGGGCGATGCAGCCACAAGGAGTGGCAGCAGCCACTAGAAGGTGGAAGCAAGGGAGGATTCTCCACTAGAGGCTGCAGCAGGAGTGTGGCTCTGCTGGCACCTGGTCCTTGCACTGCTGGCCTCTGGACCTGCAAGAGAATACATTTCTGTTATTTTAAGCCACATGGTTTGTGGTATTTCATTATGGCAGCCCTCGGAAATTAATATGAGGTAAAGATTCTGGTATTAAAGGCTTCTTTAAAAGTTGCTACATTCTGGAAGACTAGTATTTTGGTAGTGAATTTTTCGGCAACCTATAAGAGGGCTTATATCATTAAAAACAGAATTGTTATATGTATAAAATCCTGACATTACTAATTCAGAATATAGATCCCTATCTTGTTGTACTCATCATTGACACACATAAAAATTACCACTTATTTGCTGAGAGAAAGCTGTTTACGTTTTTTTCTGTCTTTTTATATCAGTGATTTCTACTTTTGTAGATATTTTCTTTCTTAAAAATAAATGCATCAAATATCATTATGAAATGGATTCCACTTTTCACTGTGCATATGAGGAAGTATAAATAGATTTCACCATAAGTTATAATGAAATGTTAATAATTATCACCATTTCAAACAGAAATATAAGGTTAGTATTTTGCTAATTATACAAGTGAGAAAATTGAAGCTCACAGAGAGTAACTGACAGAGTTCCCAGCACTAGTAGGCAGTAGAGTGGCAATTGAATGGCCTGTCTAGCAAGTCTGCTTTCTTAACCAGGACACACTTATGTGAACCAAGACACCATAATCCACATGGTGGATGCTGCTATGTCCCTCCTTTAACTCATTGGAAAGTAATGTGATAAAACTTATGTACTTTAATTGATTATAAACTTAATGTAATAGTTCCTCTAAGAAGATGTTTTGCCTTGAAAGACTACCTGGGCATGGAGAACTCATAGTAGAACTGATGGGGGAAGATATTTTTAGGATGTTCCTTTTTAATTAAAGCCAATCTAGGATAGGAAATTGCTTACTGTGCACTCACATAAGATTGACCCTGAATCTGTAGGATGTGACTCACTTGAAACAGATGGAAAATTGAAATCTGATTCACTGATCTGGGCTGACTTTACAGTTTTATTTAACTGATTAGCTTCGTGGATACTTGTATAGAACAACTTCTGTGGAGGGAAGGGGCTTAGAGGAATTATGTCTATGGTGTAACGTAGGCTGCATGAAGACTCTGACATTATCTGTGGCTACATTGATGGATACTGAGTAGCTCAAAACCGGGAGTATGAGAGCCTTCTATCTTTCTAAACTTTGACGTTCTCTTATTCAGTATATTTCCCTAAAGTGTTGGGATAAGAAGCTCACTTTGCCAATATTGAAAATCTTGCTTGGAGTTAAATTTTTGATCTGTGTTCAAATTCTCACTTTGTTACTTACTAGCTATATGACTTGAGCAGGTTAACCAACTTCTTTGACTTTCTTTGAATTTGAATTTCATCTTTAGCATACTGAAGAAAAAAAATCCTGGTGTAGTTTTTTAAAAGGCCCAAACACATAGTTAATTCATATTAATATCATTCTTTGCCAACAAATATTTTTTGACAACCTCTATGTGCCTGTCAGATAGAAAGGTTCATTAATTGACTTGGAGATTGGGCGATGTGGAACTCTGATTAAGAACTTTTGTATCTACCCATTCATGGGAAGTCTGAGAAAATGAACTGGAAGCCAGTGGCTTCCACGGAAAGCCGCCCTGGTAGATGGCTATCAGCAGCTCAGTGCCCTCTCTTTGCCAAGCCACCAGTGGGCATTGTCCCAGTGATGGTTCCCTGCTAATGAGGGTGCTCAAGATTGTTTTGTGGATAATACTTTCTGACAGTTGTCAATTGTCAGGGAAGTTTAAATAGCTGGAGAACTTTCTGTGTAGGCCAACTTATATGTCAGAGGCAGGGTTGTAAATGGCACTTCAAGGCACCTAAACATGTCAATGAAATGGAATTGGAAATGATACTTGAAAACCTTGGCTGGCTTTATGTTCTGATAGCATTTTTGCCTTAATGTTCTTCTTTGGACAGTGTGTTGGCTAGCTGTAATTCTAACCCTCTACTTTCACTGAATCATATGATTATATTGTCTTTAGTTACATATATAACTTGGCCAAAACAAAAATATTTACATAAATAACTAAAATTGCTCTGTGAAAATAGGAAACTCAACATTTACAAAACCCAACTAGGTGTATACTACTAGTGGGTATACAGTTGGCTTGTCAAGAATATCAATTGAGTGTACAGTGCCTGTATTTAATGAAAGAAGAAACATGGGGTCTTGCAAAATAACGTTGATGTGAGGAGGGTCCTATAAACATGTATGATGACTTTTTCAAAGGTGATAAGTGTTATTACAATAAGACAAAGGCCATGTAAGTCTAGGAAGCTTTCATGGAAAATGTGAGTTTTGAATAAGGTTTTGAATGTTTTGAAGGTATAGGTCTCAGCAGCAAGATTGTTTTTTGGGAAACACAGATAGGGAGAATGCCTTAGGCAATATGCTCTCATGTTATACTCTTTCTATATCCCTAGGCTACATTAAGACTTCAAATATTTCTTGTGTTAAATATTCCCATATTTGCATATACAGTCTAGTACATCCAATTCCCTACTGGCTTGACTTCTCCAGAAGATTCCTCAACTCAACCTATTTAACACAGAATTCATTAATATACTCCCCTCTGCTCCTCTCTTTCACTCTGCTTCTCTCAGTGAGGGGCATTACATCCATCTGTTTGCTCAAGGAAGGAATTTATGAATCATTTTTAATAACCCTACACCCTCACTCCTACTTCGCATCAGTAGGTGAGACCTATTGATTTTACTGCAGAAATACTTCTGTTAACTATCTGCCCTTCACCCTCACAGCCATGTTCCTACTCAAGCCACCTGCAAGAACACCCAAATTCTTCTTCTGTAATCACTTTTGTCCTTTCCAGTTCATTTTTTACACTTTACATAGAATGATTTTTGACAAATCCAAGTCTGATTATTGTATTCCTCTGCTTAAAACTCTTCAATGTATTTTCATTGTTAGTAGGTTAATATCCAAATTTTCAATATCCCAATTTTTAATACCCATGGCTTACAAGAGCTCTACACTATGGTCTCACCTACCCCTTCACCCTCATCTAGTGCCATGAAACTTCTCGCTCTCTCTGTCTTAACTACTATTGTCACAAATGAGTCATCATTTTTCTCATCTTTGATCTATTGCAAATACTCTTCCCTTTACTTGGAGGAACAATTGGTAGTATCCATTTATTTGAAAATAAATATATTCTTATGGACCATTATAAGCATGATGAAGGAAAAGTGCAGGGTGCAATAAGGGAATCTTACTAGAATGAAGGCTGGAGGGAGCTGCTGAGTAGGTATTACCCAGTGTGGGGTAGAGAACATTCCAGGAAAAGTGACTAAATATTCAAAGGCTATGAGGTAGAAAGAGCATGTCAAGTAAGCAAATATGAAAGGAAAAAAAAAAAAGATAGTGAATTAGAGGGTGAGTGGCATGAGTTGAGTCTGGAGAAGTAGGTGAGGCCAGACAAGGAAGGGTCTCTTGATCATGCTGAAGATTTTGTGAATGAGGACATAGCAGTTGTTCCTGTGACATCAGCAGAATCTGGAAAGAGAGACGTTTATTTGCATGCTTCCACTATTAATGCTGGCCAGTGTGGTTAATTGTAGGAACAAAGAGGACACATGGACCCCAAATTAGGAAAGATGAGCTGGTAGAACTAGTGTTGGACCTTGGGGATGGGTGAGGAGGAGGGACTGCAGATGACCCCACAGTTTTATTGCTGGGTGCTCAGATGGCTAGCAGTGCCCCTGACCAGAGTAGACAAGTTGAAATGGGGCAAGGGTTTGAGGGAGAGGACACTGGGCTCAGTGTTGTCATAATTAGTTTTAGATCTTGGCAGATCACCAAGGAGAGTTATTTTGTAGACAGCACGAAATATGTCATTAGAAAGAGGATGAGGGGTCAAGAACTGAGATATTGATCTGAGAGCATCTGTGGTCAGGAAGGAGTAGTTATGTTGCTTTTCAGTAAGCAGGGCAGTGTGACAATATAGAATTTATTAGACCAGGTCAGCTGGGTTCCTGGATTTTCATTAATAGTGCTTAGCTGCATCAGCATGGGGCAGAAGAAGTATGGACAACGATGCTTGCAAGGGAAGGGGGAAGCCAAAGGAAGAGGGAGTTAAAGAGCATGAGAAACACACACAAGCCTACTGCCCACTACCAGGGTCAGCTTTAGAAAACCACTAAGTAATCCAGGGCAATTGTTTAATGGGAAAATCAGGTTCACATGGACGTTTAGGAAAGCCTCAGCCAGTTAAAGGAAGAATGGCATTTATCAAAATAGGACAGCACACGGGCTGAAAAGTGCATGCAGATGGAAAGAATGGGCTGATAATCAGACTTTGAGCCCTGCTAACATGCTAATTGTATATGATGTGTGTGTGTGTGTGTGTGTGTGTGTGTGTGTGTGTGTGTGTGTGTGTGAGAGAGAGAGAGAGAGAGAGAGACATTCGTGGTAAGCAGCTTTTCCTTCTTAGTTCCTTTTTGTTATGACCTTTGTGAGCTTGGTGATCTTGGTCAAGTCCCTTAATCTTTCTGTATTGAAGCATCCTTAGCTTTAAATTAGAGGGGAAAAAATGGTGTCTTATTAGGTGGCTGTGTGCTTTCAGTGAGCCAATGTATGAGAAAGTGACTAGCAGAGTGTCTGACACATTTTATTACTCTGAGTTCCAGCAGGTCACCAAGCGGGTGAAGATCTTTGCCTGTTTTCTGCTCCTACTGATCACTGCTTTTGGAACCTTTATACTACTTTACAGGGCCCTCCTCACTTAGAAGGAAATCAGATACCATCTGCTTGACAACCTCATAGATCTATTTCCATAAAAGAGATTATTGCTACAATTTTTGAATTCATGAAGATTTCATCGATGCAGCAATGAGCATCAGTGTCCTTGATAACTCTTTCATCTCTAGGTTACACAGAATAAGACTGCACCTGTAAACTCATTGTAATTTGCAGAGCTGTACATACCTTTGAAAAATGATTTGTAATTCTCATGGCTAGCTCTCAAAGTATTTTTTAAATGACTCTGAGCTGAGCAAGGACAAGCCAACCATGTAAGGTTTTAAAAAGGTACCTGACAGACACAGATATCACACATCTGTTTTGATAGTCACTAGAACACTAGGAAGAGGTCTAATTCCACTGATCACAAATATATTTCACAGGACTTATACTTGAATTTTTTTCATGTCTCTCATGTAGTCTATGGAAATATATTGCTTTTGAAATTTTGATTTCCTTGATAAAAAAAAGTAAGTAAAAAGAGACCCTAGATCTCTTAAAAAAAAAAAAAAAACTAGCATGGATTCCAAAAGCACTTATAAGCATAATAACAATCCAAACAGAGATAATGTTATAAGGATTGCTACAAATGGATGCTTGCTTATTTCTGACTACAGTCAAAAGATGCCAACTAATAATCCCCAAATGGCCTTGCCAGAACAAGTTTATTTTTATTCTGGGAACGTTTAGAGTTTCTACATCAGGCTGCGGCAAAATACGCTTTATTTTTTTGAACTTGAGATCAGGGCAAAACCATATGCAAATGACAAAACCCACATCCTTGAATGATCAGAATACACGTAGCATTTAGGTAGGAGCTACTGGAGTTCTTTAAGAGGCTGAAAAATTAGGTACTTGGGATTTTGTTGTGTCAGGGAGGAGGGTCAGGATAGAGGGTGGGGGTGAAAAGAAAGTCTGAAACTTCACCTACCTACAAATCATTATCCTTGAACTGGCTGAAGGCAAAACTGGCTTGTTTACCTGCTTCTCTTTTAGGGAAACCCCAGGCTGCAGATTTTTAGCTCTACCTTGTCTTTGAGCTGGTTCCCGTCAGCATTTCACTCTGAGTGTTCTCTTAAGTAAAAATGTTCTAAGGCTGATGAAGATTAGCAATAATTAATTGTCACTTTTAAAACAAACACAGTTTTGACCTTGAGTATTGTATGCATTCTCAGCAATAAAATCTAACAGTCTGACCTGAAAAGCATGGGCTCGCTGTGGTGTCTCACTCTCGAAGTGATAACTTCAAATTCACTGATAATTAACAGTAATAGCCATCACAACAAAATCATCTAAAACACCCACATGAAAACTTCTTTAGTATTAGTTTATAGGTCTACTAATTAAAAGTCATTTTTGTTTCTAAAGATTCCTTTGACTAGCTCTATTCTTCCATTGTCTTCTTTTGAAATGTGTTTTCTTGTTGCTAGCTAAGTGACATTATTTAAACCATCTGATGTTAGCATGATTTGCTCTGAGGGTGTTAACCTAATATTAAGAAATTTAAATTTAGTTTTAATATCTCAGTGGCATTATGCTTTGTTAAAATTGCATTTCTGGAAAAACTCACTCATCTGTAACAGTTTAAACATGAACCCTTTACCCATATACTATATTAGCTGAGTAAAAAATGAATTTTTAGTGTTTTTCTTTTCAATACATCTTGTGAAATCATAAGAGAATTCTGCAATTTATACAGGGAAATTTGGCTGCCATTTGCTTGGACTGTGACATATGACTATAATTTGTAACTTTCCTTCCAACACTTGGTTATTTGTTATCTGAATATCTGAGTTTCAGAAGTATGAATTAGTGTATGAACAATGGAAAAAAAAGGTATGCTGTAATTCTCAGGGGCATGGTGTGTTACTGTCCTTAGAAATATGACTTGGGAAACACATTTAAATATAGAATTTATATTCTGCTTCTATTAGTGATTTACATGACTCTGTGACTTGCATCTTCATTTAGGTTTTTTTTTTTTTTTTTTTTTGAGACAGTGTCTCACTCTGTCACACAGGCTGGAGTGCGGTGGTGTGCCATCTCAGCTCACTGCAATCTCCACCTCCCAGGTTCAAGTGATTCTCCTGCCTCAGCCTCCCAAGTAGCTGCCTGCCACCATGCCTCGCTAATTTTTGTATTTTTTGTGGAGACAGGGTTTCACCATGTTGGCCAGGCTGGTCTCAAGCTCCTGATCTCAAGTGATCTGCCCACCTTGGCCTCCCAAAGTGTTGGGATTATAGGCGTGAGTCTTTAGTTTTGCATCTTTTTATTTGTATGTTTTTCATTCTGTTTTGTGTTTGGGGTTATGCGTGTCTTTGGCCTTTTCCAGTTGTCTTTGAAATTTTATCAAGATCACGACTTTATCCTCTGGGTGCATTTTGAAGAAAAATTTATGAAGAGCATATAGGTATTGCAGAGTAAGGCATTTATTTCTTTAACAAATATTTGTGAAGCAACAAAGCGACTACTATGTGTCAGTTACTGTGTCAGACACCAGGGACACAGATTTAAACAAGGCAGATGTGGTTCCTTTCTCAGGGAGCAAATAGTTTAGTGGGGGATATAGAGGAGCAGACAGGCAATTCCAAACACCACAAGGTAAGCGATAGGATGGAAGAGTTGAGACATATAGAAGAAGTACCTGCCCCAGAATTGTTGGGTCAGGGATGGCTTCCTGGAGGAAGTGACCCTAATGTGAGACTTGAAGGATGCATAGGAAATAGCCAGACAAAAGGCATTTAGGGTTTGGACAGGGGCTAATGAACAGAAGGATAGTGTTTTAGTCTGAGGGAATGGCTTCATTTTATAAAAGACCAGAGATAACTGAGAGGAATTAATAGTAATTCACTCTGGCAATGGAGATGGATCAATAGAGACAAAGTTAAGAGGTATTTGAGAAACGATATTCAGTAACAACAGCAATTATTGACTGGATATGAGCCTTGGAGAGGTAAAAGTAAAGGGTGACTCCCAAATTTATTATTTTAGCAATTGGATGGTTGAGGAAGGGTCAGTTAACTGGGAAAAAGGCAGGTAAAGTAGTTTGGACATTGATATAGTTAAGCTTTGTGTCCCAAACCAAATCTCATCTTAAATTGTACTCCCCAGGTGTTGAGGGGAAGGACTGGTGGGAGGTGATTGGATCATGGGGGCTGTCTCTCCCATGCTGTTCTTGTGATAGTGAGGGAGTTCTCATGAAATCTGTTGGCTTTATAAGTGGCAGCTTCCCCTGGGCTTTTCACTGTCTCTTGCCTGCCACCATGTAAGATGTGCCTGCTTCCCTTTCCACTATAATTGTAAGTTTCCTGAGACTTCCCCAGCCATGCAGAACTGTAAGTCAATTAAACCTCTTTCCTTTATAAATTACCCAGCCTCCAGTAGGATCTTCATAGCAGTGTGAAAATGGGCTCAAACAGTAAATTGGTACAAATAGAGTGGGGTACTGCTATAAAGATACTAAAAGATGTGGAAGTTACTTTAGAATGAGTAACAGACAGAGGTTGGAAGAGTTGGGAGGGCTCAGAAGAAGACAGGAATATGGAGAAAGTTTGGAGCTTCCTAGAGACTTGTTAATGGTTTTCACCAAAATGCTGATAGTGATGTGAACAATGAAGTCCAGGCTGAGGTGGTCTCAGATGAAGATGAGAAACTTGTTGGGAACTGGTATAAAGGTAACTCATGCTATGCTTTAGCAAAGAGACTGGTGGCATTTTGCCCCTGCCCTAGAGATCTGTGGAACTTTGAACTTGAGAGAGATGATTTAGGGTATCTGGTGGAAGACATTTCTAAGCAGCAAAGCATTCAAGACATGACCTGGATTATTCTGAAATCATTCAGTATTATGCATTCACAAAGAGATGGTTTGAAATTGGAACTTATGTTTAAAACAGAAGCACAGCAAACAAGTTTGGAAAATTTGTAGCCTGATGATGTGATAGAAAAGAAAAACCCATTTTCTGAGGAAAAATTCAAGCCTGCTGGGGTGCAGAAATTTGAATGAGCAATGAGGAGCTGCATTATTAATGACCAAGACAATGGGGACAATGTCTCCAGGGCATGTCAGAGATCTTGGCAGCTGGCCCTCCTGTCACAGGCTCAGAGGCCTTGGAGGAAAAATGGTTTTGTGGGCTGGGCCCAGGGTCCCCCCAACACCTGTCCAGCCTCAGGACATGGCACCCTGTGTCCCAGCTTCTTCAGCTCCAGTCGTGGCTAAGCCAAGGTACAGCTTGGGCTATTGGTTTGGAGGGTGCAAGCCCCAAGCCTTATCAGCTTCCACATGGTGTTGGGTGTAGGGGTGCACAGAAGTCAAGAACTGAGGTTTGGAAACTTCTGCCTGGATTTCAGAGGATATATGGAAATGCCTGGATGGCCAGGCAGAAGTCTGCTGGAGAACCTTTGCTAGGGCAGTGCAGAAGGTCAAATGTGGGGTTGGAGCCCACCCCCTGCCACAGAGTCCCCACTGGGGCACTGCCTAGTGGAGCTGTGAGAAGAGGACCACCATCCTCCAGACTCCAGAATGGTAGATCCACCAACAGCTTGCACCATGAACCTGGAAAAGCTGCAGACACTCAATGCTAGCCCATGTAAGAAACCAGGAGGAGGACTGTATCCTGTAAAGCCACAGGGGCAGAGCTGTACAAGACCATGAGAGCCCACCTCTTGCATCGGTGTGACCTGAATGTGAGACACGGAGTTAAAGGAGATCATTTTGAACCTTTGAGATTTATTGACTGCTCTGTTGGATTTTGGACTTACGTGGTGCCTGTCGCCCCTTTGTTTTGGGCAATTCCTCCCATTTGGAATGGGAACATTTATCCAATGACTGTACTTCCATTGTATCTTGGAAGCAACTAACTTGTTTTTGATTTTACAGGCTCCTAGGTGGAAGGGACTTGCCTTATCTCAGATGAGACTTTGGACTTGGACTTTTGAGTTAATACTGAAATGAGTTAAGATTTTGGGGGACTGTTGGGAAGGCATGATTAGTTTTGAAATGTGAGGACATGAGATTTGGGAGGGACCAGGGCAAAATGACACGGTTAGGCTTTGTGTCCCCACCCAAATCTCATCTTGAATTGTAATCTCTAGGTGTTGAGGGAGAGACCTGGTGGGAGGTGATTGAATCATGGGGGCTGTTTCTGCTGTGTTGTTCTCGTGATAGTGAGGGAGTTCTCATGAGATCTGAAGGTTTTATAAATGGCAGTTTCACTCTCTCTTGCCTGCCACCAGGTAAGATGTGTCTCTTCCCCTTCCACCATGATTGTAAGTTTCCTGAGGCCTCTTCAGCCATGTGGAACTGTGAGTCAATTAAACCTCTTTCCTTTATAAATTACCCAGTTTTGAGTAGTATCTCTATAGCAGTGTGAAAACAGACTAATACAGACATGATGAATTTTAATGACATAGAAGACATATAAAATGACTATCGGATATTTAGGTGGAGGTGAGTAATATAGACATGGAGCGCAGGAGAGAAAGAGCTGGGTTGAGTTTATGCTGTTGAGATTCCTTAAAATATGGTTTCTTTTTTTTGAGACAGAGTACAGTGGCACAATTTAGGCTTATCACAACCTCCACCTCTTGGGTTCAAGTGATTCTCGTGCCTCGGCCTCCCCAGTAGCTGGGACTACAGGCGTGCCACCACGCCCAGTTAATTTTTATATTTTTAGTAGAGATGGGGTTTTAGTAGAGATGTTGGCCAGCCTGGTCCCGAACTCCTGACCACAGGTGATCTGCCCTCCTTGGCTTCCCAAAGTGCTGGGATTACAGGCGTGAGCCACTGCAACTGGCCAATATGTAGTATTTGAAGTCATGAGAATAAACTTGATGAAGAGGTTGGGAGTCTGTATAATTCATTGGAACTTATGCCTAGGTAATACTTTATAAAAATGTTTGGTTGAGATGTCCCAAAAACAATTTGGATCCATGTATATGCAGGATTAGAGCAAATCGAATTAGAGTAAATTGTAATTCAAGGTCAGGAAAGAACCACAGAAGTCCTTTGATGTCTCCTGCTTACAGGCCCACATGAACAACAATGTTATAGCAATATAGTCGTAGCTTTGTTTTATGTTTCAGATAGAAACTACCCTCAAAGATAGAGACACTGACATGATTTGAATGGAAGTCTGAGAATCCTATTGGGCAGGTCCATCACATCTCCTGCCATGCCAGTAGCTTCTTTCTTAGGGAAAGTGCCTACCCATATGTGGGCTGTGAGAGCTGCCCTGGGTGGCCATGAGTCCCTTTCTTCCAGACCTATCTCAATGGGGTGGTCCTATCCCTAACCAATCTCTAGGCTGGCCAGTGTCCTTATGAGATGGTTTGGCATGAAAAACTGCCCAAACAGGCAAAATGTGATTAGCTGGGTCAGATGTTCTCACTCAGGAATTTCAACTAGGGCAACTGGGGAGGGAGTCAATTAGTTGGTTTTGGGAAGGAGTATAAGCTGAAAAGAACCACAAGGGGAGGCCTTGTGGCAGCAAGAAAGATGAATAAAGTGGGTAAGTAAACAGACTTTATGAGTAAGCAGAAACTGAAATAGAGATGGCACGGCAGCAAGAAGAGGGTAAGGTGGCTCCTGGAACTAGTGGGAGGAATAGATGCAATCAGAGAGGAGCTCACTCACCATAAAGGTAAGGGATCAACAGAGTCCTGCTAATAACATGCCCGTAAGGTTAGTGGTCACTGGAGCCCTGGTGGATTTTTCTTATCCCCAAATATACGAGTCTCTGAGTGGTAAAAGGTGTCCCATGGCACTCCTGTTTCTTTTATGTTCTTGAATATCCTTATAATAAGCTCTAATTAATCAAGGGAACTAGAGTGAGTCTTAATTTATTGGGAACAGATTGCTTTACTAACAGAATCCTTCTACCCCCAAATTTCTCCCAGGCTTGCTTGACACATTGCAAGATGAAATATATTATTAGAAATGCATTCTTTTGGGCTGAGAAATTGGGGGCTCAAGATTTTTCAATAAAATGTAAATAATGCTAACTGGTGTAATATAGAAAGCCATTTTCCAACATAAAGAACAGCTATTGAACCTCTTTATGTATTGAACATTTTTCATGTTTGTGTGTGTGTGTGTGTGTGTGTGTGCATGCTAGGACAGGGTATAGATGATGGGGGACGAGGTAGGAAGCTCTGAGGAATGTTGAGTATGCATAAAGCAAAGTCTTTAGAAGTTTACAATTCAGTTGGGGGTATATTTGGGAATAGGAAGAAATTTTTTGTGTTTTTAAGAGACTGGGTCTTGCTCTGTTATCCAGGCCTGAGTGCGCTGGTATCATCATATCTCACTGCAGCTTTGAACTCATGGGCTCAAGCAATCCTCTTGCCACAGCCTCCCAAGTAGCTGGGACTACAGGCTTGTGCCATTGTATGTAGATAATTTTTAAACTTTTTTTTTTCTGTAGAGAGAGGGTCTCACTATGTTGCCCAGGCTGGCTTCAAACTCCTTGCCTCAAGCAATCCTCCTATCTGGGTTTCCAAAAGTGCTGAGATCACAGACATGAGCCACTATGTCTGGCCAAGACTAAGAAGGGCTTTAAAGATAATCTAGACAAGGGATTGCAAACTCAAATGTCTACAAGGGTCAGGCAAGGTGAGTGCTGAATGAAGTGGGCTGGGCAGGTGCAGTGGTGAGCTGCAGACTGCATGGACCATTTAGGGAACTACTCACATAATGGTTGTTAGGTGGGAAGGCCTGCCCAATGCTTACACATCTAATTTTTCAAGAGGGGCTCAATTTTTATGTAAACTCTCCTAAATTTTAAATATTGGTGTGTAATCAAATTCAAGCAAAGCAAAACAAAACAAAACTCTTTGGGGCCAAACAACAAAAAAAAAATCTGCAGGCTGTGTTCGGACCATAGATCAGCAGTTTATGATCTCTGCTCTTGATCAGTAGATTTCAAAATGTTTAAAGATTCAGAAACATCCTGCAAAAGAAATTTTATGCCTGAATATAACACATGTAAGGACAGAAGCAGAAGTATTGGGGTTGAAACTGGGGTGAATGAACAGAGCCTTGCCACTCTCATCCTCGACTTCCACACTCAACAGGCCCAAAGGAAGCTTGACAAATCTTGAAGACCACTGAGGGAGTTTAACCTCTTAGTTTTACAGATGAGGGACATGAAGGACCCAAGAGCCAATGGCCCAAAATAAGGATATTTACAGAATAATGCAGATGGTGTCTGTTTGTAGATGATAGTGTGTGAGTTGGTATGTAGAAAGTGGTTAAGTGTGCTGGTTCTAAGCCACACTGCTTGGATTTGCACATACTTCTTAAGGGCAAATTAGAGAAGGTGGTATTCAGTCTCCGTGCCTACATTTCCATACTTGTCAGATTGGAATGATACATAGTAATACTTACCTCATTAGGTTGTTGAGAAGATGAAATAACATGTACAGCAGTCCCTGGCACAGAGTAAGTGTTCAATAAATGCTAGCTTTTTAAAAATTATAGGGCATCTTTGCTAGTCATTAACATTATAGCAAGATTTATTTCATGTGACAAGTAGCTCTCACCTATGAAATAGTCTTGCGAGAAGGGAATTTTTGGTGGGGGTAACTTGTATCTAAAGTACAGAGGTTATAGGAAAGGTAGGGAATGGTGGGTGGGGGCCTAGAGTTTTCTCTTGGGTCTTTGCAACTCCTTAGACTTGAAGATTTTTACTCATTGTGGGCAGTCTTCCAACCTTCACTTATGCACACAACCCATCTTTTTGGCTTAGAGGGTCGAGAAGATACCCAGAATCAGGTTTGAGAAGCTGATTAAGGAGTCGAAATATTTAGGGATTAATTTTTCATAATAGGAATAGTGTTTAGATATAACCTAATTTGAGGCCGGGCGCAGTGGCTCACGTCTGTAATCCCAGCACTTTGGGAGGCCGAGGCGGATGGATCACGAGGTCAGGAGTTCGAGTCCAGAGAGGCCGACGTGGTGAAACCCCGTATCTACTAAAAATACAAAAAATTAGCTGGGCATGGTGGCAGGTGCCTGTAGTCCCAGCTACGCTGGAGGCAGAGGCAGGAGAATTGCTTGAAACCAGAAGGCAGAGGTTGCAGTGAGCCAAGATCGCGCCATTGCTCCTCTGGCTTGGGTGACAGAGCAAGATTCTGTCTCAAAAAAAAAAAAAAAAAAAAAAAGATATAACCTAATTTGTGGGCCCATCCCTCTCCTCTACCCACAATGGTACCCATCAAGCACCCGAATATGGAAGCTGTAACAGTCTGGGGTCCAGCTTAGAAGCCTAGCTCTGTAGAAGTTGTTTTTCTCCTCCTTGGGATCATATCCAGTGTAGAATTCAATAGATCATTCCTAAGCACCTACCATGTGCCCAGACTTAGGGTACCTCAACCATTTCCTGGCCAGCATGGCTTCATTAGCCCTTTGTTGGTCTGTGTGGTGACTCCAGGGCCCGGTCAGTGCCCTGCCCTGTGCCAGCCCCCTCGGTCCCACATGCTCCTTTACAAGGCAGGAGCTCTGGGGCCATCTGATCAAAGGAGAGATTGGAGCCTCTTGGCAGGAGGAAAGTTAACAAACAACCATAAAAGGATTTTCTAAATATGTCCACAATCCAATATAACCCTCAGTAATTTGATTTGTAGGAAATGGAGAGCAGAACATTACACGCAGAGTGCTTATCTATAATTCATAATAATTACTGTAACGGGGAATATATCATATAGATGTAGGAACATAAATTATACCCCCAGCTTGAAGACTGCACTCTGGGCTGAAATAGCCCCTCATGTCCTCCTAATCTACCTACCCTTTAGCACGTGCCGCTTAGTTGCCCAGTAGACTGAAGGCTTTTTCAGGCCACCTGTTGAAAGCTCAAAAGTGAGGAGTTTCTCCTTTTGATGAGAAAGAACACTGATCTGTTTTGCAGGAGGAGATCAAGCACTCTCTTTGCCTAGTTTTCTCTAGTATTTTGGGCTTTGGATAGTCACAACTTAACATTTGAGAACGTGTTGATTTATTTCTTCGTGATGTTTGTGATCTAGTGTTATGACAGGAACATTTGCTCTTCAATGGAAACGATAGGGCTGCTTTTGCTGCTTGTGCCACTGAAGGTTCAAATTCAGTTGGGCTGAAGCCTGATGTGCAATGAGGGGATGTGGCCTGTTGAAAAGAGGCTAGAGAGATAAATGTGTGAAAAGCTATAAACACAGACACACACACACACACACACACACACACACACACGTATATGTCCCCCAACTTGGAGGGTAAGGATAAAGGGTAATAGGTGCTACATATTTCACAAGAAAATGATTGTAAGCTCTTTATTCTTTTCTTTTAAGCATTATTTTCATAACTGACATCTCTCTTACCCAGCTTCCCTTTCTGACCCTTGAATTCCATCCCAAGAGAGAGCTCTTTGTAGCTGTATCTTCAAACACTGATCATAGTCTCTTTTAGTTGGTCTTTTTACAGGTTATAATTGTCCAACATTATTTACTTTTGGTCTGTCTGGGAGACATTCAGAATTGGTCCACCACTTTATTTTTAGTGGCAGAGCGTGTCTATTCTTCAGCTGTTGGGAATGCTGGACCTGGCTGCGAATCTTGTTTGCTTTAAGTTGCAATGCTTTCAGCCCCATGTGTTTTAGTTTTTGGAAGCAGCTGTATTGGTAAAGCTTCTGGCTGAATTACCGGACAAAGCCTGCATTATAAAAATCCTCAACTTGTTTGCTCTTCACTTCAAAAAGACTGTGGGCTGCCAGCTTGTCCCACTCATGTTACCCACATGCCTGCTTAAGTTTTCACCAGCAGGCGTGAGTCTTTTGGTTTCTGTTTTTTTTTTTTTTTTTTTTTTTTTTTTTTTTTTTTTAACTTGGTTGGCCTATAGCTATTTGGTTTGATACTGATCTGTCAGAGACAAACCATAAAGGGGCTGGCACAAGATAGCTGGCAGCCCATGGCCCTCCTATTAGCAAGGATAAGATTTGAATGGAGGATTTTATTTTTTCCCCTGGTCAGCATCTTCAAAGTCGAACGGAGACTGGCATAGAATACTTCTGTTGGCTTTTGAAAGGTGGATTGCTCAGTCCCTGAACTCAGAATGCGTGCGTATGTGTTGGCATCAGGGACTCCAGGGCAGTAAAGCAGGCTTGAGTAGGAAACACAAACATGCTGTGGTTCATAAACAGAGCCTCACCATCAAGAGGAGGAGGAAGTTTCAGTTGGTTGGTGGCCCATAAAAACACTGGAATTCCATACATGCTATGCACTTGTTCAACCGCCTAAATTGCCAACATATCACTGCTTTTCATTGCCCCTAAATTAATCCTTCTGTTCCTCTACCTTGCAAAGTACTTACTGAGCCTTCAATACCACTTTAAAATTTTTATTATAATTGCAACTCAACTGTCTTTCATTTTTCCTTATGATTTGTTCTCTGTGTTGAAGAACCTCTGGATAATTGAAGAGATGAGTGGATGGCAGTTGCATTAATCTGCACTTGGTTACTGGTATTTACATTGGATGTCATGGACTCCATCCTCCAGTGTTCAAGATAAATGATGGCTGACAAGAGAATTTGCTTCCTTTAGACTTGTATGGGGCCTTGCTCTGACAAGAGATGTCAGAGAAGACTTGAAGAGCAGAACTCCAGATTTAGCTTTCTGAAACTTCTCAGCTTGGGCTTGAATTAAAATCAGAAAAATAAAACACACCTTTTTTGAGCATTGCCAAGACTAGAGGTGCAAACTCTCAGCCTTTGGCCCTGATCTGGTCCACAAAGTGGGTTTTGTTCATCCTGAACACATATATCTCACCATGTGGCTAGCTTTTTCTTTCAGATGGCTTAATTGCTATCACTTAAAAACTTAAATGTTGGGAGAATCACATGAAAATCTTGATTTCCAGCTCTTAGAGAATTTGTAAGGCCTGGCAATTCAGGACTTATATTCTTGTGTGCAAACACGTGCATGGGGCTTACTAACTACTGGTCCTTTTAGATAGGGCAAATTCACCACAGGCTCCAAGGCACTGAGGCCAGTGTCAATTGCCACTCATTGTATTTGCAATTTTGCTTTCTTAGCAAATAGCAGCGTTAGGAACCTTTAACATTGTGCCCTTGTCATCTTGCTTCCTTTGCCTACTATAGTTACCTGCTTGATGCCTTAGGATGTTTGCGTTTGTGTTGCCAGCCTTCAACTCGATGTGAGGCACAGGAATGTCAGTCAGAAAGCGAGAGTGTCCCCTCATCAAGGAACTCAGGCAATAGAACTCAGGCAATAGAGCCTGTTGGATTTATTTTGTGTGGTTTGTTTTTGTAAAATTCTGGTGTTTGAATACTTGTGGTGTCAGGAGTAATGACTATGGTAGATGCAAAAGAGAAACTTTGTTATTCCTGTTAGACATAAGTGATTCCAGTGGCAGTAATGCACTAGGGTTCGGGGAGAGTCTGAGCGGTCACAGGGCTGTGGAAAGCTTAAGTATAATGAACTGTGAATTCTTTGAAGAAGAAAACAAGCTCTTCATATCCTTCCCTATGTTGGAAATTACAAAAGAAAACGCAGGCTTGAACCCTACCGCCTTTTGAGACTGCATCAAAGAAGGAAATGTGAGAGCCATTATGTATTGTCTTGGAGCTCACTGGAGGACAGACTTCCCAGCTGAGTTCTCCGTGAGTTTGTGGGAAGAGTACCATGGATGGAAGATCTGTTGAAAAATTCATTCATTTTATTATGTGCTCCTCGAATTTGGGGCATTCTATGTCCATCCAGTCTCTTTGTAGGAAGAGGCACATCAAAGGGAAACCACACAAAATATCCTGAGTGCTTAATAAATATTTCTAGATGAATTTGTAGGATACCGTTTGTTTGTTTTGAACAAGGAAATCTGGGGCACAAGTAATTGGTTCCTGGCTTTCTAATGATTGGCTCTCCAGGAAGATATTGCCATTTGAAATTACTTAACATTTCTCCCCCAATATAAATGCTTAAGGCAAGAACTAGATTTTTTACCTAGCAAATAGCAATGTAAATGTCAAAGAACATATTCCAAAGCATTACACTTACAGCTCTTAAAATGGCATCTTAGAATGGTATTAATCACTGTCAGTTTTGTGTACAACATTTCATCAATTAAATAGCAAGAGGACCTGTCCTTTCATGGAAAGCAAATAACACATATGGATTTCCTCTTAGCAATTAGCTGAACATTCTGCATTTCCTTCTTGCTTGCAAAAAGGGTTTGGACTGAAACCATCAACATGTTTGTGTTCTTCATTGGTAAAGCAAAGCAGATGTGTAACAGCTTTCGGTAGAATCCAGATTCGTTTATAAAGTACCTTTTGAAACATCTTGATGTGGAAGCATTTCTGCATTGTTAGATCTTTTAGGATTGGATAGAAAGTGATACTCCATGAAAGTTCTGAAGTGCTTTAAACTTTGTCACATCTTGAATGGAGGTTTTCAAAACTGTGTCACTATGTGTATGTAGAGGAGAGTTTAAAACTTTCAAGCTTAATGTGAAAAATTTGTTTCCAGCAGGGACTAGTTTCAACTAGGTCTATGGATTTATAAAATGATGAGGCAATTTTATGCAGCAAAGACCAAGGATAGAAATGCAGTTTACATAAATGGCAATGGATTAGCACTTAAACCACTCTTCATGTATGTTTAAACAATCTTCCATGACCCTCAGAAATCTCCTTTTATAAACTTCATCATTTATCTGGGATTACAAGGGCAATGTTTTGACAACACTGTAGATTTACATGTAACTCGTCATTTGTTTATCATTTATTTGAGATGATTAGTGCCTGAACTTCAAATGCCTGGAATGTGTATTACACTCGTTTACATTTTTGGTAGACTATAGTCTTTTCAATGTACTTTTTAGGCCTGAGGACAGCTTGGTGACTTTAATGATCTTTCTAGTATCAGTCCCATCTAAGCCTGAAGAAAGCTGATGATTTATAACTTTTCAGCAAAGTTCAGTTTTAGTGATAATCCATCAAAGTCCTTAGTATTCTTCTCAGACTCTTGTCTCTCAGACCTAGTCCAACAAGATGTATTGGTCTCTGAAAATTGGCCCTCAGGGCCATGTAGTCTTCTAGAAACTCAGGAATGCAGCACCAGTTATAGGTTTTCCCAAATCTGTAGATGTAAGTGAACAAATAGTAATGTGGATACCAATAAAGCAAGAGAATATCTGCATTGGTAAAATACATACACACTGTATACCCTAGGCAAGTTATAATTATCATCCTCCAATATTGTCTATGCATCTAAAATAGCTTTTGCATTCATTCATATTTCCAATGATATAAATATGCCTGTTACCAACTACTTGTTATGATTTTTCCCCATTTAGGACCATCTTAAATTGATTTTTTGGCTTAAAATCAGAAAGAGATGTCCAGAGGAAGTCATTGAAAATAAATTCTATTTGCAGAACATGAAATTGTTGTGGTTGTGTGGTAGGTGAATGATTGTACACTTTAGAAATGGAAAGTTTAACAAGGTAGAGAATTTGTATTTGTGTTCAACAGAATTCCTTTGAGCGCTGGCTGTTGTGAGAGAAGCATTCTGAGCAGAAGACAAACTCTGCTCCTTTGGGGGCTGCAGATGGTGTGCACATTCACCTGTCAGTAGCCCTGGGTGTGTAAGCCATACCAGATGGAAAGGGAGAGAGAGAGAAGCAAGGCAGGAAGTGAGCATGGAGAAGTAAGAGGCAGCATCTGTGTGAGAGAGAACTGGCTTGAATAAGAAATGGCCAGAAATAATTTTTAGAAAGATTTCTGTGAAGCTTTGTGTAAATTCTCCATATTATCCATTAAAAGCAATTCACAATCAAGACCTACATAATACTTCAGGCCTTCTGTGGTCAGATTGCTGTTTAATTGAATGCAATGCTGTATAAAGACTGGTCCAGGTGACAGTCAGCTATATTTGGAATAAGTATGGGGAGGCACATGTGGGATTTTTGGATTCAAATTATTACCCTAGACCTAAACTAAAAGTGTACCTTCAGTATGATCATCTATGTTTTGGAATTATATGAAAATTAGTATTATGAAGTTTATACTGCATGTTTATTTCAACTGAAGAAACAGGGCATTATGAAATTTTGTAAAATATAAACATAGAGGAGTGTTCCTTGTATTATGTACATATGTGTCCATAGGATATATCTACAGTAGGGCAGTAGGGAAGGATAGATGTAGAAGTTTGGCAGAGATTTACGGGTAAGCCATATAATTCTAGAAACTGAATCAAAAACAGGAGGAACTGACCAGTATCAATGTTCACACACAATGTCCAAGGCAGAACTTAGAGTCAACAGTTAGATGGTTGATTAACCAAGAAGAAGAGCTGACTGAATGAACTCAATCTTTTATCTCCTATGATATCAAGCCTCTGGATGATATCACCTATTATAGTAAGAAGGTCATGAGACATCAATAAGGAAACAATAAGTCAGAAGGAGTTAAGGTCATGAGGATAGAGCAATGAGTTGCTGGGGGACAACTGAAGATGAGACAAGGGAGGGAGGCAGAAAAAACTATTTAATTGTATTGTGTGTAAGTCAGATCACCCCTTATGTCATTGGTTCTTGACCAGACTATGACTGGTTAAGGTTTGCTTTTAAAGACAAGGCTCTCAGGTGAGATAGAGCTAAGGTAGTCCTTGTGATGGTAATAATTTCTTATTATAGGGAAAATAGTAGCTGCATCTGTCTTGCTGGGGAACATTTCTCTGGTTGGGTAGATCTTATCCTATCAGTTTGTATCCTGTAGCATCATATTGGTTTGTTTGAGTTTAATGGTTGAGGGTCAACAGAGGAAGCCTTAAAAATTTCCTTGTGAACAAATGGGCTGAAAATTGATTTTTAACAGACTCCACGGATACCCATTTACTGAGGAAATTGGAATTGTTCTTGGAAAGGGAGAAGAGGTCAGTGACAGCCATGTTTAGGCTTGTTCAGTGGTTTTGCCTTACTTCACTGGACGAGAACAAATCTCTGGGGACTTGGCTGTAACTGTGGGACTGGAGTTAAGCAGACTTTGAGTCCAAGGGTAGAGGCCAGCTTGCCTAGAAACTGGAGAAATTAGTAGGAAATTTTATGCCAGGGACTGGAATAAAGGTCTCGAAAAGCAGTTAGAAATGCCACTGAAATGGAACAAAGATAAATAGCCTCAGGGCAGGGAAGTGCCACCAACGAAGTGGGGGTCTACAGGCGTTCAGGTCATTCATGGATTCTAACTCATCAGGAACTGCCATGGAGAATAGCTTATAGTTTTGAATTGGCAACTATGAATTAAGGAGAGGTGCAGCTGCAACGGTGGTCCATCCACTAGGGGGCAGTAGATTGAAGCATGGTCAATCAGAACTTGAGGCCGATTTACTATTTATAGGCAACGTTCTGGATTTTATTTCCAAACCAAGTAACCATCATGATTTTTGGAAGAGGAAAAAGAGGAAACTCTAGCAAACCTTCAGGCACACAAACAACTAAAACCTGAGGTGATGGTATGATTTCGGCGGCTCGAGTGATTTGAGTATGCTTCAGTTTCATGAAATCTGACCCCTCAAAAAAATAAGGTCTCCAGGTTGCAAACCCTGAAGAAGCTGGTTATAATCAAGTTGGAGATTTTACTCTATTATTTTTTTCAAAAGTGGCGTGCTGATCATAAGCAAAGTTGCTTTGATTCTCTGGCCTCCTCCTCGATTTCTCCATGTTTTGCAGACCTTAGGACACTAGGCTGCTCAGGAATTTTGGGGGGCAAGAGACAATCCCACATTTGTTTTAGTTGTTTTAGCAAGGGATTTCTAGGGGTTGTCAGCCCCTTGAGGGAAAGAATTAAGTGAATACCACTTTTCCCTAATATCATCAGAGACAGAGACTGGTATCATGTCAGAAATATGATGAGTTTTGCTCCTGGACTTTCCAAGGGGAGCTTCAAGAGTCATAGTGACTGAGATGAATCATCCTCAGCTCAGTAAGGATGGGAAGAAAACTGAGTGTGAGGCACCATAGTATGAGTAGGAGCAGGGCATGGGAAGCACGTACAGAGATGATGCTATTCTTTGTGGAATATTACCAAGGTGCTGTCACCATACGGTATAGCTAACACTTATTTTGCACCTGCCATGTGTCAGGCATTGTACTAAATGCCTAAACAGAATGATTTGTTCAATCCATACAATAATCTCAGGGTGAGATATTATCATTATTGCATTTTATAAGTGAGAAAACTGACGCCCCAAGCAGTTGGATTCCCACGGTAGGACTGGGTAACAAAGCTTGGCACCTGAGTTTTAATTTTACCTATGCTATTCTGCTTCAAAAATGAGGCAGATGATTTTATTCACCAGGGGTTTAGGGGACAGAGTACCAGATATGATAATTATGAGAAAGGCAGTTGTAAATTTGGGGGTGAGAGAAATACATCATATAAAATATTTAGAAAGTATTTTTTTTTGTTAAATGCTGTGTATCCCCTATCCCTGACACCCCCATACTTTATTTTTAAGAAATTATAAGTAAAGATCTATATTGTTCTTTAAGATTTCTGGAGTTGAACTTTTATATCTTTGAATTCAACACTGTGTCAAAAATGGTTCATGAGGGTGAACAGTTATATTTGGTTATAATAGTTATAATTCTGAATACATTTTATCATTAGCTGTGCATTTGTTATTTCTTCTTGACTTTTACATAAGATCTTTCTTCAAAGTTACTAAAGCTCTTTAAACGGTGGAAATTCAGAATAACGAAGACTGCGGCATGGTGAGGTATCTTCACTATGGTGTAGTGGTTATAAGCACAGACTGTGGTGTTGAGCTGTTTTGGACAGTTTCTCATCTTAAGAGTTGTGCTAACTCAGGGAAATCACAAGAATCCTGAGCCTCAGAATATCTTCTATAAAAAAGGGAAAATCTTTATTTACTAGGGTTTTTGAGAGTTTTAAATGAGATGACTGTAAAATACTTGTCAAAATGCGTGACAACATAATAAGAATATAATGTGACATATTGTTATTGTTATTATTATTAGCACTTCTATTTTCTGGTTGCTAGTATCAGCTTCACTCTGAATTGCATAATACATCAAGATAGACTGGATACCAAGTAATTTGACTATAGTAGCCTTCTATTGATAGCTATTAACTGTCTTGGGCTTATAGATAACTCTTCTTTTTTGAAATAAGTTTTTCTCCTGGATTCTAATGTTGCTCCTAAAATACTGGCCACTTCTGTTTGTCTTTATTTCTAATGTCTGTTCCTCTTTTCATTCTCTTACTATTGAAGTATCCCAAGGCCTAGAGCTTGGAACTCTCATCTTCTTTATTTTATCTGTACTCACTCCCTTGGGATATCAACCTCACATTTACATTGACCACTCCCAAATATATATCTCCAAACCAGAACCCAATTGTAGATTCATATGTTCAATTGCCTATTAACACTCTCACTTAGATGCCTAATAGACGTATTAAACAAATTATGCTAAAAACTGAACAGTTGCTTTTTTCTTCTAAAACTTTCTCTACTCACAGATTTCCCTATCTTCAGTTGCTCAAAAAGCAAAAAGAAAAACCACAGCAAGTAACAAAAAAACCGCTGGAAAACCTGAAATCATTCTTGGTTCTTCTTTTCCCTCATATGCCACATCCTTTCCACTGGAAAATCCTGTTCGCTTCATCTTCAAAGGATTCCCAGAATCTTATCATTTCTCCCTGCTCGCTCTGCTACCATCCTGGTCCAAGCTACTGTCATCTCTCATCTTCGTTCTTCCAGCTGCCCCCTAAGTGGTGTTACTGCCCCCACTTTTGCCCCCTTCAGTCTATTCCCAACACAGCACTCAGGGTGATCCACTTAAAGCATAACTTAGATCCTGTCACACCTCCGTTCACATCCAGTGGCCCCCATCTCACTCAGACCAAAGCCAGTTTTTTTGTTTGTTTGTTTGTTTGTTTTAATTGCCTACAAAATTCTGCACAATCTTGGCCACTTTCCCCCATACTTTTTTTTTTTTTTTTTTTTTTTTTTTTGAGATGGAGTCTTGCTTTGTTGCTCAGGCTGGAACGCAGTGGCGTGATCTCGGCTCACTGCAACCTCCACTTCCTGGGTTCAACGGATTCTCCTGCCTCAGCCTCCCATGTAGCTGGGACTACAGGCACGTGCCACCATGCCCGGCTAATTTTTGTGTTTTTAGTAGAGACGGGGTTTCGCCATGTTGGCCAGGCTGGTCTGGAACTCCTGACCTCAGGTGAGCCACCGCGCCTGGCCCCCATACTTTTTTGACTTCTCTCATTGTTCACTCTTTCTCCATTTCGCTGCCTTCCTGGCTTTTCCTTGAGTATATCAGGCACACTCCTTTCTCAGGTCATTTGCACTGGCTTTTCTCTCTTCCTTGATTACTTTGCTTTTAAATATTCATAGCATTCACCGTTTCACTTTAAAGTATTTGAGCATCCTTTTTACAATTGTAGCCCCTTATATTATCTTCCTACATTGAGTTAAACTGGACTAATTTGAAGGAATTATTTTTCTGCAGAGTAATTGTCACTTATTAATACACTCTATATTTTATTATTTATTCTGTCTATTGTCTGCATCCACAACTTGAGTATTTAAGCTCCATTAGAACAGCAATTTTGCTGTTATGGCCACTGCTATCCTCCCTGTGCTAGAATAGTGTCTAGTTTGGTAAATCGTAAAAACTGCCTGTGACTGATGTGATTAAACACTTGTTGAATAAATGAATGATTTATTTATTCTTTATGATTTAGACTTGGTGTTTTTGGTACTTTACTGTACCATTTACTGGAATCTTGGGGGAGCTTTAGTCAATGGGTATGACTGCAAGCTGTGAATGAATGTCAGTGCATTTACAAGACTAATTTTAAATATTTGGTACGTATATGCATATACAGTACATACATAGGTCTTGGCCTCTGCCATCCTAAATGTTCAGGGTAACATTTCCTTCTGGGATGTGTAGTTAGGGAAATCAGTTTGGTTCTTATACCCCACCTTCCACCAAAAAATAATGGAGAATGCATCAACAAAGGTAAGAAATAGAAATGCATTTGTTTTTCTTCTCTTTGGTAATTGTAATTATTTTCTTTTCCTTTTCACTTGTGACACCACTAGTATTGCAAACCACAGAACTCAACACTGAAATATTTCTGCTATTTGGAATTCAGGCAATAGCGGCCTTCACCACCTTCTCTTTTCTCACTAACAAGTGAAGGAGCTATTATATTATATGCATGGACTGTCCAATGAGCAAAGGCCAGGTGTTGCTCTGAGTGACAGCCTTCCGGTTTGCAAAAACTGTAACTCTGGTTATTCAATTGAGTGATTGTGTGGCTGTATGTCACTCAACTTTCAGAATACTTCTCTCAACTTCCATTGTATTGGCTGCATTCTAAAGTTGATGCTGCAAGGAGAGGGTAGGGTGAGGTAGACAGCACTGACAGTTGAAGCATCTGCAAGCTGGGGCACATCTCCTGCTGCAGTGTGTATCTTTGGCTAATAGTGGTATCATTCCTCTTTTTCCTTTTTAAATAAGTGACAGGTAGTTGGAATTTGTGCTTTTGTTCTTCTATAAAAGGAAAAGTAGTCTCATGAAGTCTGTCTGAGTAGGATTCATCTAGTCTTAAAATTCTTCAATAATATTCCTTATATTAACTAGTTGAATGGAAATAATAAAACTGACTTTGCTAACCTGATTGCATCTGTTATCTTACAGAGTGTAGTTAACAGGCATGCGTGGCTGATGTGGCAGCAGTTGGTCTCATTTAATGTTACTGAGTGTCAAGACTGCCACAATGATGAGCTTGGAAATGAAGTGGTCTGGTTAATTGGCCACAGGTAATAGTCAACGGACTGCTGTGTGTCTTTTTTTTTTTAGCAGCATTTCACAGAGCTGTTTTTTTTTTTTTTCAAGTTTCCATGATGTTAAGTGAAAATATCTACATTGCCATTGACTCGGGTAGTAGTATAGCTGCTTTCGTTAGTTTAATAATCTCTTAAAATTGGAAAGACTTATCATTTGATATGGTTAGGATGTTTCATTCCCTTCAAATGTCCCCTCACATCATTCCCTCATGTTGCAGTGTCATCCCCAATGTTGGAGGTGGGGCCTGGTGACAGGTGTTTGGGTTATAGGAGCAGGTCCCTCATGAATGGCTGGGCGCTGTCCTTGTAGTAATGAGTGAGTTCTTACTCTATGAGATCATATGGGATCTGGTTGTTTAAAAGAGCCTCTCTCTCTCTCTCGCTCTCTTTCTTGCTCACACCCTCTCTTGCCACGTGACACATACTGGCTCCCCTTCACCTTCCACCATGATTATAAGTGTCCTGAGGTCCCCACTAGAAGCAGATGTCAGTGCCATGCTTTGTGTATAGCCTGCAGAACCATAAGCCAAACAAATCTCTTTTCTTTATAAGTTATCCAGCCTCAGGTATTCCTTTATAGCAGTACAAATGGACTAACACATCATTCTTCAGTGTCCAATCTAAAAATAGATAGAAAAGTCATCTCTCTTCACTGCATAACGGAGTAGGACTCCAGGCAATTTATCCTCCTCCCAAACACCAGTGGCTTCATATTATGAAGGCCTTGACATTGAGGCTGGGACTTGGACTTCATTCTTTTAAAACTTTGTCCTTGGGAAAGGGTGTGAGTCCTGATTTAGAAAGATGAATGTAGCAGAGACTGCTTTGCATTTACTAATATTCATTTTCTGCTCTTCCTGAGAACATGACTAGACTAATTTTCCAGTCTTTCTCTTGGTTATGTGAGGCTATGTGATTGGGTTTTGGCCAGTGAAAGTGGGCGGAAGTGATGTAAGTGTGTCATCTCGCTGCCAAAGTGGTTAAGAAGAGGGCATGTCCTCCCTACCTGATGGCTGAATGGAGGCTTTCTGAAGACCTAGAGGTAGGTGGAGCCCCAAGGTAGAAAGATCTTGAATTCCTGAATGGAGATTGCATGACTAGAGACATCTGTATTGAAGTGTAACCTGAGTGTGTGTGGGTGTGTTAAGCCATTGTGATTTTAGGATTAACCTGCAGACAACAGCTTGCATTATTTCCCTAATTAGTCTTTCAGGCATAGGCAAGAGGAGGAAGAAAAGGAAGATTCTGGAGTGAATAGGGCCAGTTGAGCTGCTCTTGCCCAGATAAAATAATGACAGCTGAGTCCAGAGTTGATACAATAAAGAACACAAAGAATTTTGGAAAAATACTTATTAATTTAGATGTAAAGCATGAATTAAAAGAAAGATACAAAGATAACCTCAATATTTTAAGCTGAGAAATTAGAATAGTAGTTACCTCAGACAAAAAGGGATAATTGGAGAGAAGACCTGAAGTGGGTAATGAAGATGCAGTGAATGTTGTTTGGCATCTGAGCAATATAGGAATCTGGAAATGCAAGATGGGAGATTAGGTGAAAGGTCAGGGTATAGCTTTAGGTTTATGAGTCATTAACATCTGCAAAGAAACCAATAATAATGGCAGATTAAAAGTATGATGACAGTGTATGAGGATTTGCATGTTAAGAGAAAAATAGGAATTAGTGAAGAAGGCAGAAAAATAACCACTAGACTAAAAGGAATAAGAATGTGGAGGCAGTCTAGAGAAGAGAGTTCATGAAGTAATTTGTTTAACACTGACAAACGATTCAGATTATCACAAATGGTGAGGAATGAGAGAAAGCTATTTGCTTAGACACTTTTAGGCTCCTTCCTGGGGAGCATCCCTCTGTATGACTGGTGTAGATCTTTATAGGTAGATATTGCTATAATATAATTTGAAAGGGGTAGTCATTGGGCTGCCTTAGTGTAAGCCCAGGACAAAGGAAGCTTGGAAAAGCATAAGACACATATTTTTATTTACCATAGGTTTTGACTCTGTCATATTTGTTGAAGCATCTTTTATGTACTAGGCATTATCTACAGTGAATAGAATGGGAGACGGTCAGACCATGTATTAGTCTGTTCTCACACTGCTCATAAAAACATAAATGAGACTAGGTAATTTATAAAGGAAAGAGGTTCAATTGATACACAGTTCAGCATGGCTGGTGAGATCTCAGGAAACTTACAATCATGGCAGAAGGGGAAACAAACACAACCTTATTCACATGACGGCAGCAAGGAGAAGTGCTAAGCAAAAGGGGAAAAAGCCCCTTCTAAAACCATCAGATCTCATGAGAACTCACTCACTATCATGAGAATAGCGTGGGGGAAACTGCCCCCATGATTTAATTACCTCCAACCAGGTCCCTCCCAGGGATTATGGGAACTATAATTCAAGATGAGATTCAAGTGGGGGCACACAGCCAAACCATATTATTCCATCTCTGGCCCCTCCCAAATCTCATGTCCTCTCATTTCAAAATACAATTATGCCTTTCCAACAGTCCCTTAAAATTTCAACTTATTCCAGCATTAAACCAAAAGTCCAAGGCCAAGGTCTTATCTGAGACAAGGCAAGTCCCTTCTACCAATGAGCCTGCTAAATCAAAAGCAAGTTAGTTACTTCCTAGATATAATGGCGTTACAGGCATTGGGGAAATACACCTGCTCCAAATGGGAGAAATTGGCCAAAACAAAGGGGCCACAGGCCCCATGCAAGTCTGAAATCCAATAGGGCAGTCATGAAACCTTAAAGTTCCAAAATGATCTCTTTTGACTCCATGTCTCACATCCAGGGCACACTGGTATAAGAGGTGGAATCCCACAGCCTTGGGCAGCTCCGCCCCTACGGCTTTGCAGGTTACAGCCCCATTTCTGACTGCTTCTTAGGCTGGTATTGAGCGCCTGCAGCTTTTCCAGGCTCACAGTGCAAGCCATTGGTGGATCTACCATTCTGGAGTCTGGAAGACGGTGGTCGTCTTCTCATAGTTCCACTAGGCAGTGCCCCAGTTGGGACTCTGTGTGGGGACTCTGACCCCATATTTCCCTCCAGCTCTACCCTAGCCAGAGGTTCTTCATGAGGACTCTGCCCCTGCAGCAGACTTCTGTCTGGACATCCAGTCATTTCCATACATCCTCTGAAATCTAGGGGTAGGTTCCCAAATCTCAATTTTGACTTCTTTGCACCCACAAGCTCATGGGAGGGAGCTGCAAACACTTGGGGCTTGCACACTCTGAAGCAATGGCCTGAGCTGTAACTTGGCCCCTGTTAGCCATGGCTGGAGCAGCTAGGACTCAGGGCACCAAGTCCTTAGGCTCTTCACAGCAAGGGGGCCACAGGCCCATCTTAGGAAGCCATTTTTCTCTCCTAGGCCTCTGGGCCTATGATGGGAGGTGCTGCCACAAAGGTCTCTGACATGCCCTGGAGACATTTTCCCCTATTTTTTTGGTGATTAACATTCAGCTCCTCATTGCTTATGCAAATTTCTGCAGCCAGTTTGAATTTCTCTCCAGAAAATGGGGTTTTCTTTTCTGTCACATCATCAGGCTGCAAATTTTCCAAAATTTTATGCTCTGCTTCCTCTTGAATGATATCCACTTAGAAATTTCTGCTGCCAGATATCCTAAATCATCTCTCTCAAGTTCAAAGTTCCACAGATCTCTAGGGCAGGAGCAAAATGACACCAGTCTTTTTGCATAGCAAAAGTCACCTTTGCTCCAGTTCCTAACAAGTTCTTCATCTCCATCTGAGACCACCTTAGCCTGGACTTCATTGTCCACATCAGCATTTTGGTTAAAGCCATTCAAAAAGTCTTCTGAGCCCTCCAAGTCTCTAGGAAGTTCCAAACTCTCCCACATTTCCCTGTCTTCTTTTGAGCCCTCCATACTGTTCCAACCTCTGCCTATTACCCAGTTTCAAAGTCGCTTCCACATTTCAGGTATCCTTATAGCAGCATCCCACTGTACCGGTACCAATTTACTGTATTAGTCCATTCTCACACTGCTGATAAAGATGTACCTGAGACTGGGTAATTTATAAAGGAAAGAGGTTAAATGCACTCACAGTTCAGCATGGCTGGGGAGGCTTCAGGAAACTTACAGTCATGGCAGAAAGGGAAGCAAACACTCCCTTCTTCATATGGTGGCAGCAAGGACAAGTACTGAGAAAAATGGGGAAAAGGCCCTTATAAAACCATCAGATCTCATGAGAACTCCCTCACTATCATGAAAACAGCATGGGGGAAACTGTCCCCATGATTCAATTACCTCCCACTGGGTCCCTCCCACAACACATGAGGATTATGGGAACTACAATTTAATATGTGATTTGGGTGGGGACACAGCCAAACCATATCAGACCTCTAGCCATAATATAGAGTCATAGCTGTCCTGCTGTGCCTATAAATGGTGTCATGGGGCTACAGGGATGGATTGAACAGAGTGTTTTTTTCAGGCCTGAGTGGATGGGTCAGGGAGACAGTGATATTAAAGCAAAGTGAATTCAAATGAAGGTACAGAATGAGCAAAGGCAAACACATACTTGGATGTGGAAGATTTGTGGAATAGATGTGTTTGGGTTTTTGGGTGGTGCGGCTGAAGAGGTAGGGCTATGGGACTTGCTCTGTAGCAGTGCAGCTTTAATGAAGATTTTAAACAAAGGAGGGACACAGTTAGGTCTGTGTTTTGGCAATGCAGTTCTGATAGCCTAGAGGAGGATGGGTTAGAGATGGGAGAAACTGGAAACCAGAAAGCCCATTAAAAAATTATAGCAATTGTCAGGGAAGAAATAATGAGGTTCCTTAAGTAGAGTGGTTGGCATGCGAGGAGGGGAAAGATTTGAAAATATTTCAGAATTGGAAAAGGCTGAATTTTGTGACAGACTGGTTGTGGAAATGAGTGGGAGCTTTAAGAAAGATTTTAAAATGCTGCTTGAAATTGATTATATCATTGTAGATGTTTGGGTGGGGGCTTTGGTTTTATATATCTAGACTATGATACACTGCATCCAATCTGGGAAAAAAATTTGCCTTTACCCTTAAAAAATACCCCTAATCCAACTGCTTCTCATCACGTCCTCTCTACTACTCTAGACCAAGCCACTGGCCTCTCTTGCCTGGATTATTTCAATGCCCTCTAGTTTTCCTGCTTCTACCTTGCCTTTCTATAGTCGATTTGCAATGCAGCAATCAACGTTTTTTCTGCTAAAACATAAGGAAAAGCCTCTCCTTTTCTCAATATCTTTTGATAGCTTTCCAACTTTCTCAGAGTAAAGCCAAAACTCTCACACAATCAACAAGAGACTACTCAATCTGTCATGCCCCCTGTTTTCCTCACCCATCCATCCCACTCCAAACCCATTATCTGCCACCTGTCTCCCTTAGCTCTAGCTTCATTGGCTTCCATGCATTTCCTGGAATACACCAGGCGTTCTTCTCTGGCCCTTTGCACTTGCTTTTCTCTTGGTTGAGAATACTCTTTTAGATATCTGCATCATTTACTCCCTTACATTGTTCAGATCTTCACCCAAATGTTGTATTTCCAGAGAGGACTTCTTGGCTACCCTATCCAACATGTAAGCATGCCCCTTCATCTTTCCCCACTTTTTTGCTTAATTTTGATGCCTAGTGCTTTTGATTGTTTAAACTACTTGCTTTTTACTTAATTACTTTGTTTATTATTTGTCTTCCAACTAGAATGCAAGTTTCATGAGGGTGGGTTTTTTTTTTTTAATATCTTTTTCTGCGTTATCAGAGTGTTAAGCACACGCCCATTGCTCAATCTTTGTTGAGTGAATGAAAGTTCTAGGGAAATGCAACCTAAAAGGAAAAAGCTAAAATTGGGGGAATTATTTTCATAAGAATGTGAATTATTGAGAGATAGTTTTCATTCTCCATCAGCCAGTAATTTTATTCATTAACATTTCCTCAAATTGACTTAAAAATGTTTAAACTACATTACCCAAGTAATATAGTAATGAAAAATACACCATTTGATTATTGTTGAATTTTAAGTGTTGAAATTGGATTACAGGAGAAATTTTGAGGACATGAAGCATCAAAAGTAGCAGACTAGAAACAAATCTCTTGGATGAGGTGAGGAAAAGAAACAGAAGGATCTGTAAATTCCAAATCTACATTGGAAGGCTGGATGCAAAGAGTTAGTGGGAGGTTGTAGCCTGTTGAAGGGCTCAAAGACCTGCTTATATTTATGCTGCTTTGATCAGAAACAAAGAATTAATCAGCCATTCTCTACTCTATCATTACATTGGTAACCATATGACAACAAATGTCATCACTCTTCCAAAGACACTGAGCAATTTACTAAGGATAAAACTTGAACTGTAAGATTTAGGAAAATGTGCATTATACAATGAATGAAGTTCAAGTGGGAGAGATTATAATTGTGTACCTTCTTTTTTAAAATTTTTATTTTTTATCATGAGACGGAGTCTCACTCTGTCACCCAGGCTGAAGTGCAGTGGCACTATCCCGGCTCACAGCAACCTCCACTTACCAGGTTCAAGTGATGCTTCTGCCTCAGCCTCCTGAGTAGCTGGGATTACAGGCATGCACCACCACGCCTCGCTAATTTTTGTAATTTTAGTAGAGAGGGGTTTTCACCATGTTGGCTAGGCTGGTCTTGAACCCATGACCTCAGGTCATCCTCTTGCCTTGACTTCCCAAAGTGCTAGGATTATAGGTGTAAGCCACCGCACCCAGCCTATAATTGTGTACCTTTTGAACTAAAGAACTGTAACAGTGAGAAAGGTGAAGATAATAAAATCAGAATTGCATGATTGATTCATCCATTTGTCAACATTGATTGAATTTTTCCTTTGTGCTAGGCACTCTTCTGAATGGTAGTGATGCAAGATTAATTTTTAAAAATGCTCATTGCACTTAAAATGATCTTTGTAATGGGGGACACAGGCAGGTAGGTGAATAATTGCTTCACTGTATAAAAATATTATGGTAAAGTTATGCAAAAAGTGCTGTGGAAAGCAACGAGAACAAAATATGCAATTATAGAAGCCTGTTGTTTGCAAGACAGTAGGATATAGTTGTAAAAAAACCAGCATGTGAGGGGGAAAAAGCAGTATTTATGTTACTATGCATTTCTATATATGTGTTGTTATATTTTAAATTATATGCATATATTATGCATATATAATTTTATTAATGAAAGATAATATGAAAATAAAGATAATATATTATACACATATGTGTATGTTAATAAAATTGACAGCTGAATTAATGAATGCATATGTTAAATTGACAGCTGAATTAATGAATGATGTAGCGTCTTTGTAGATGAATGTATGTTCAGCAGTTAAAAATTTGAATCTGAGGTTCAGAACAGAGGTTAGGGCTAGAAAGCAGCATTTTAGAGGTGATAGCTAAAGCTATGGAAGTGAATGAGATTACTCAGAGTATAGAGCAAGAAGAGGGTAAAACAAAATTTTTCATTAAAGGGCATGTGGAGGAAGCGAAACCTGGGATGGAAATGGTGGAATAATATCCAGGGAATCTGGTCTTGAACCAGGAGACTCATTTTGAATGTCAAGAAAGGAAAATTTTAAGAAAAAAAATTTCAACCCTGTCAAATGCTTCATAGCATCACATAAAATTACTGAAATAAAATATTCTTAATAAAGGAAATGTTGCAAATAGCTTCTTTAATTGGTGAAAAGACTCAAAGTTTTAAAATGGTTTTGTTACCATAAAGAGTATTGGGTACCTCCATACCTATAAAAAAGTAATTCAGGAACTAAAGGAAGAAAAATGTAAAATATAAAGTTTCCAATGTGACCTTTCCATTGTGTCAGCAATCATATTACCTGGTTTTTATTAGTCCAATAAAGCTATAGTTTTTTTTTTTTAATTCAGGTTTGGATAAAGTGCACATGATTTCTGGATTTTCAACATATACTCTGTAAGGCCATAAGGAAGGCGTAGCATGGATCCAATTTTATAGAATCTATCTTTTTTCCCCAGGTCACCTTTTTCTGCCCTCTTCTTTCCTAATATTTCCTATAGAATCTCTCTGTGGTTTTCAAAATCCCACTGGCATGTTTTTGTCAGACCCGACATTCATCTTGTTGTGGGCTCAGATACTTCTGAAAGATCAAATCACAGAGCTTAATAAAATGCAGATAATGGCATTTTTGCCTATGTGGTGCGTCTATTTCTTAACAAATTTAGGGGAAATTCTATATGGTAAATGGAAGAGTTGGCACTAAGGAAGTTAAGAACATTGGCGGGCAGCAATGTGATTACTGGCTGGAAGAAATGTGGATGAATTGGTCTATATCTAATCCTTTTGTGGCTTCCTGTGTGACACACTGTAATGAAAACATCACCGCAAATTATAAGAATTGTCAAAATAGGCTACCAGAGATTTTTTTTGTTCTGGAGTTTGCTAACCAAAAATGTACAGCGCTTTGCATTATACATCCAGGCTTCTCTCTCTCGGTGGATGTACACAGGGGCTGAACAATTAACATGCGATAAAAAAGTTAAACTCTCCTTGAAATCAATGGATTGGGGATCTAGAGGATAGTTGTTTTATAAACTGAAATATAGAAATAGGTTGAAAGTCAAGTTCCACTCATGGTGCTGGAAATCATATTTGTTTATGAATGCCATGTATTACGTTTGAGTATTGTGGATAGTTGTATCTTTTTCACATTTAACATTATTTGAAGAGATTGTAACAGCTAAATACACACAGACAAAGCCTTTTCTATAAAGTGTTTAAGCATTTATTTCCTTCCAGGAAATGGATATATTGTTTGCCTGAACCATGTGATATAGCTTAAAGTTCTTCGAGAAATTAAAAGATCTTAACAAATTCATTATTGAAACCACAGTGTTAGAGTAATAATAGACATACTGCCAAGTTCCATTGAAAAATGATTTTCTCATTTGCTCCTCCAAAGAGATCGAGACATGTTCTGTTAGCTTCCCATTTTACAGATGAGGTCTCAGGGACAGGCACTCACAGGGAGCAAGGGGCAGTCTCATGATTCAAACCAGGAAGTTTGATCCCAGGGCCTGTGCCCTTAACCACTCACCTTTTGTTTTACCCAGTACTGTACAGTCTCTGACGTGCTACTGCACACTCTGTATCATTTCAGCCTCACAGTGCTGTAAAGCAGAAGAGAGGACAACAATTCCTATTTTGAAGAGGTGGTTTGTAGACAATTAAATAGCTCATAGAGGGTCTTAGAAAAAGAGCTGTGACAGACAGAGCTAAATTCTAGTTTTCTCAATTCTATTTTAGGCTTATTATCTGTTAATCAACTCATTTCTTTTAGAAAGTCTAGAACTTTTTCTAGAAAAAATGTCCTAATGTTGTGTGTGTACACATTTCATTAATATTTCTCTTCAAGATGAATAAATATGAATGCAAATTAACTTTTCTCTGATACATTTATTCAATAGGTAGTTGCAAGGCAGCTGTTAGAGGCCAAAATTAAAGATTTGGAAGTAACTGGTTTATAAGCAGTAGCTGGGAACATCAGAAATGAATGGGTTCTTCCGGGGAGAAGTATTGTGTATCATGCCATGGTTGACAAGATAATGAAAAACAAACAAAAATTTTGATGCATATCATTAAGAGTTTGAAATATTTCAAGACGATTACCATATTTTAAATGGTTCATATAGCTCCTCACCCCAAAACCTAAAAGATCAAGTTGGCTAAACACGTACTTTATGCATACTAAATATTTACAAAGTACTAGGCAAATGAAGCAAAAGATGGCTGCGACTCTGCCCCAGCTTTCAAGAAGGTCTTATTGTAAGGAATAGGCAATATGGCAACAGTGTTAAGAGAAGTGCCATAAGAAAAGTAACAAGTACCATGGGGTTCAAGGAAGGGTGAGATCACATCTGGTTGGGGGCAATCCAGAAAGTTTTGTAGGGAAATGTTTTGTGGGATGGTTAGCATTTCAATAGGGGAGAGACGTTTGTGGGGTGAGGATAGTGGGGGAATTTCGAGAGTGGTTTTCAATCATCAAAATGAGAAAGAAAATGGAAGAAATTTTATATTTTACTCTAATTTCTTAAAACGACAACTATTTTAATGGTTCTCTGTGAAGACTAAAAACATGAACTATACTATAATTAAACCTAAAACTTTATATTGATAGGGATTTTCTTCCAAGGAAGTTAAAGTACTGTGTGATCAAGATAATCTGAATGATTATAATGTCCTTTTCAGTAAATGGGAACTAAAAAGAAAAAAAAAATTGAGTGCGTAAGTAATTGGGTTTTCAAGAAAAAGTCACTGGCAAGTTAAAAATAGAGTTAGTACCATCTTTGGAGTTTCTTCCACTTCTCTACTTCTTAGTACAAAATGACACAGATTATAAAAGCTTAATTCTGGAATTGAAAAATGGATGGATATTAATGAAGTGAGTAGAAAAATGCTTTAAAATACAGTTACAATCTACCACATTTTATAACAATTTCTTCTGAAATCTGATTGTTTATAAGGATCCTCTGCTTTTCACAAACCTCCAAAAGCTATTTTACACTTGATAAAAATCTCTCAGCTCATCATGCTAGAATGTCTGAGACCATTAGAACATACCAAGTATATTCCACTTATCAAATGAATGAAAGTACCAGAAGGTTGCTGTGCTGAACTCAGCCTGTATAACAAACATGTGTGGCAACTCCCTGAGGCCCTATTGGATTTCAGTGGTAACAGACGGTGAACTCAGTCCTTAGCTAACGGAGACCCTTCTTTGTCTCAGGATAGAAAGCACCAGTTCCCAGGAATTCTTACCCAAAAGTGTTGTAATTGTTAGCACTTAATTATGTTTTAGCTAACATAAGCACCATCAAAGTTCAGATGAAGAGAAATTGCTGGGCGGGTGGGGGGCGGGAAGGATCCTCGGTGGGGAAATTTGAATTTAAGAATGGCCGAATAGTTTTTATGCAATGCTGTCAGGCTGATTTAGGTGAAGCTTGAAACTGTTTTAATGGAGCCAAACTTCAACTCCTGAGAATGAAGAATGGAATTTTCTTTTGAGTAAAAATAATGTTTTAATCACTTGATTTAGGGCCCTCCTAATCTGGTTTCTGTCTATTTGATAACAGGAATTTAGTCTAAGCTGAGAAAGAGCTAACTGATTAATCCGTGTTAATCCAAATACTTAGAAAGTCCTATGTTTGAACAACTCAAGTGCCTTATTTTAAGGGTTTCAGAAAATATTTAAAGAGGATTCTGGTTTTCTTCTTCCCATAATCAGGCCCTAGTTTAAATCCCCATCCATTTCTAAAAATAGACTTTATTTTTTAGAGAAGTTTTAGGCTCACAGCAAAATTTAACTGAGAGTATAGAGATTTCCCATATACCCCTTGCCCCACACATGCACAGCCTCCCCTAGTATAGACATCTCCCCTAGAATTGTATTTGTTACAATTGCTGAACCTCCACTGACACATCATTATCATCCAAAATCCAGTAGTTCGCATTAGGGTTCACTCTTGGTGTTGCACATTCTGTGGGTTTGGACAAATGTATACTGATATATATCTACCACTGTAGTATCATGCAGAATAGTTTCACTGCCCCCAAAAATCTAATGTGTCCTGAGAATGCATCTCTCCCCCCATACCTGACAACCACTAACCTTTCTACTGTTTCCACAGTTTTATCTTTTCTAGAATGTCATATACTTAGGATCACAGTATGTAGCATTTTCAGATTGACTTCTTTCACTTAACAATATGTATTTAAGTTTCCTCCATGTCTTTTCATGATTTGATAGCTCATTTCTTGCTAGTATTGAATAACATTTCATTGTCTGGGTGTACCCCAGTATATTTAGCCACGCACCTACTGAAGGATATTTTGGTTGCTTCCAGGTTTTGGAAATGATGAATAAACCTGGTATAAACATCCGTGTGCAGGTTTTAGTGTGAACATACATTTTCAGCTCCTTGGTAAATACCAAGGAGAGTGGTTGCTGGATTGTATGGTAAGAGTGTGTTTAACTTTCTACAAAACCACCAAACTGTTCTTCAAAGTGGCTGTAGCATTTTGCATTGCCACTAACAATGTATGAGAGTTCTTGCTCCACATCCTTCCAAACATTTGATGTTGTTAGTTCTTTGGATTTAGGCCATTCTAATAGGTGTGTAGTGTAACTCGTTTTAATGCAATTCCCTAATGACACATATTGAACATCTTTTCAAATGCTTATTTGCCATCTGTGTATCTTCTTTGATAAAGTGTTCAGGTCTTTTGCCCAGTTTTTAATTGGCTTGTTTGCTTTCTTATTGTTGAGTTTTAAGAGTTTTTGCATATTTTGCATAACAGCCCTTTATCAGATGTGTCCTTTTGTGAATATTTTCTTCCATTCCATAGCATGTCTTCTCATTCTCTTCCCATAGTTTTTTCACAGAGCAGAAGTTTTAAATTTTAATGAAGTCTAGCTTATCAGTTATTTTTGCCATACCCAAGGTCATGTAGATTTTACTCCTATGTTATCTTCTAGAAGTTTTATGATTTTGTGTTACACATTTAGGTCTGTGATCCATTTTGAGTGAATTTTTGTGAAGGGCATAAAGTCTGTGTCTAGATTCATTTTTTTGCATGTGGATGTTCAGTAGTTCTAACACCATTTATTGAAAAGACTGTCTTTCTTCATTGTATTCCCTTTACTCCTATTCAAAGGATTATATGGGCTTATTTCTGGGCTCTCTATTCTGGTGCATTGATTTATTTGTCTATTCTTTCACTAACATAGGGTAATTTTTTAATGGTTTAGAAGTTATAATGAGTTATCATTCTAGATTTATGAAAACAAAGGATAAAGCTCTTTGTATACATTTTTCAAAGAGGCCAAAATCTTTCAAAATCCTACTGATTATTGTTTTCAAGTCTGTGAGACACCGGGGTCAAAACTAAACTTAATTCTCTTGCTGGTGGCTTGTAAAATGGGATACTTAAATTTCCAGAGGAAAGGCCTGAAATTTTGGTCTTGTAAAGCTGCTTTCTTGTCTTTTCTTTCCAGTGCTGACACCTAGTTTCTGATCTGGCTTGCCTAGCTTTCTCCTACTGCACCCACTCCAGGCTGGGACAGAAGAGACTGCACCTAGCAGCTTGTGCTTCCACGGTGACGTCAAATGTGAAAGAACCAATCCTGCTACAAAGAGGGTGTGGTGGAAAAAATGTCTATGCTCCCAAGGCTTGCCTGAGGGCAGAACAAGTGTTCCAGTTTCCCTCTTTTCCACTGCTTTTCCCTCTCTCCTAGTTCTCCCTCGCCCCCTTAGGTAAGACTCCTTTGCCTATGCACCCCTGCAAACATAGTGGTTCTTAGGCGTAAGTGTACATGAGGCATCTTTTTCAAAATACAGATTGCTAGGGCTCACCTTCCAGAAGCAGTGATTCTGCAGGTCTGACTGGGTTGCAGGAATTTGCATTTTGAACAAGCTTCTGAGTGCAGATGGTTGGTAGAATGCACTTTGAGAGACGCTGGCATAGAGGTAGTTTCATACTAATAAATTAAGTGCTAGAGCTTAGAAACAAGTAAAACTAAGCCCAAAAGATTTGCTAAATACAGTACAAAATTCAATGTCTTACCAATTAGAAGTGCACATAATCAAATTAAACAGCAGGAATGCTTCTGAGAGATTAGTACTTCTAACATTCTCCATTAAGAATAAAGGGCATATGAAGATGTATATGCCTGTATATGTAACTAATGGGTAAGGAAGATGATAACTAGGTTCACGAGAAGGGGCTGTGAATGTGTTAGTGTTTATTGACATAAACTGAACAAGAATTTTCTTACTTGATGCTGCTTATTGTCCAAAATTTATGTTTTCTGAGTGGCACATCATTAATAGGCCCAAAATGGGAATTTACTTTTCAAATAATTTATTCCTGTAGGGGCCAGAAGAAGAAAAATTCTTCTTCCCTCTATGAAAGATTGCTAAAAATCAACTGACAAAAGGCAAATTAATAGGAGAAAAGACACAAAAATTAATTTAATCACAATTTTATGTGATATGGGAACCTTTAGAATGAAGACCCAAAGATACAAGGGAAACCGTCCATTTTTATGGTTAGATTCAACAAAGTATGGGCAGCCATGTAGAAATTTGACTGGACAAAAAGGATGTGATGTAATGCTAAGAGGCTGAGTGGGGAAACCCAGCAAAGCCTGTCTGTTTAGATTCTTCTTGTTCTGTCTGTGCAACATTTTGGGTATGGGGCAGTACCCTCTCTGGAATGGGGGTCTTATGACCTACAATCAAACATGTTTGGCCCAATAACTTCTTTATGGCTAGTTTACACAGAAAGGTGGGGGAAAGTATTTTTGGAGTATTATTTTAAGTTTTATGGCTGGCTTTGGGAAAAAAGGTTTCTGGTTTCTAAGAACTGCTTTGGGAAAGAGGGATTCTAGTTTCTATGCCTAGCCTCAGGGAAGAATGCAGGGACAGAGACAGGAGGGCAGGAGAAGGTCAGAGAGCTGTTTCTGAGGCCTTCATTTTAGGATATTGTTTTCTGATTCTTAACAGTTCCAAGTGCTGATAGTTTCTAGAAAAGACTTTGTTTAAGTAAAAATTGGTAGAACATGAAGTTGGAACTCATTTAAATACTCCATGGGCTCATTTTGTGATTGCTGAATGTTTTGTATTTTTTTTTAATCTTTATTAAAATTCTACCTAAGGTGTCTGGAATGTGACTCTTACCTTGTGATCTATATGAGCTCCACCAACATGTATTTCCAACGTAGTATAGGATCTGGTTCTTCACGGTGATAATAACCACAAGAAGTCTTTTCCATTTAACAGCGCACTGCTTCTTCTTTGACAATTTGTTTCAAAGATGTTAAGAAGAAGATGGTAGATTCAAACCTTTTATGTGTCAAATGGAATGGGTTTGCATATTCTCCATTTTAAAACCTCAAGATTTTTAGTATTTTTCAAGGAACGTAAAAAAATCCCTCCCCAATGATTAAATATATAATTAAACCTATTTTGGTAATAGCTAATTTAATTTTATTATTAGCTTTTCAAGAACAATATGAACAAAGCTTTCTTATGATTTGTTCCTGGAAAGCAATTGTCAGCTGTCACTTCTATCACAACTCTTTGTGGGTGAAATCCAACATTAGTAACTCCTCCCCCATCCATATACTAATATGTTCTGAATGTAATAGCTTGATTTATTCATTTAACGACTATTTACTAAGAGCCTTCGTCAGGCAGGGTATTGTTCTAGGCACTTGCACTTAATGCAAATGAAGCCATTCCAGATTCTATCATTCAGTTCTCACAACTTTTTCTATTAAATACATTTACAAGAGTGAATCATTCACAGAGTTCCAAAAATTACACAATGTGCTATTACAAGAAGGAGAAAATAAAAACTTCTCCTCATCTTACTGTTTGTTTGTATCCAGTTTCCCAGGGTTAACCATTTTTCAAATATTTCAAGGTATGCTTCCAGTTTTCTATGCATGTATAAGAATACAAATATCCATATAGGAACATTTCCATAAACTATTTATAACTCAATAAAACAATATTACAAGTTTCGTTTAGCAATTTGAAAATGAGTTAAATAGGGAATAATTAAAGGGAAAACAACATTTTCTATCATTTTCCTAGTGGTAAACCTGGAATCTATCAATATTGATTGTTACATACTACATTTAAAAGCTAATTTGAATTTCTTCCTTTTAAGTTCATGTCTAGCAATAAACCATTGCATCTATACACAATGAGTTGGTAACACACACACAAAAATGCTGTATATCCAGACCCCTATGTCATCAGTAATTCAAAGGCTACAAACAGAGCCTAGTGGAAATCGTTGCTATTTTTAAAAATCATTATGTTTAATCTTTACATGCAGATCAGTCAAATTTGGAAAGCATACATTAATATTTCTTTTATGTGACTTTTTGTTTCATATATGGTTTAAACTAATTTTGGCTATTAAATTTTATATGTTATATGCTATCAAATTTGCTTTATTTGGGGAATGTCTATTATGATTCCATTTTTTATTTGATCAACAGAAAACTAAGTGAACAGCAAATACATTTCATTTCTTGGCAAGCCCACATATAATTATTTTTCATTTAGTTCATTAGTGAAGGCCTTATATATATTCTACAAAAATACTATCTCAGTTGCTATCAATTGCACTTTAAATACATGAAAACAATTTTTCTTATTATATCAATAAAATAATATATTTCTAGAATGTTCCTGAATAATTTATTGTTTGAGTTGGGGAATTGCTAACCGCAGTAAGAGATAAACCCCTAAATTTCAATGGATAAGTATAAAAGAAGTTAATTCTTACTCATGGAACAGTTTGATGCAGGTCTTTCTGATACACAGGCAGGTTTCTTATGGGGATTCAAGATCTAGACCTCTATTACCTTGTGGATCCATAATCCAATGGGATATGAGAATATTCTCCATTCAGCCTCCAGTGAGCAAATTCCCAATAAAATCTTTCAACTGATTAAACTGCCTCTGGGAAAATATCAGACCAGGTATGTGGTTTGCAGTCTCAAGGAGTGTCCCTTAAGGGAAGAGAAATATGGCATGTGTGGTGGGTCATGGTTGGGGAGGGTGAGCAAATGGAGGGAGTTGTAGGGGTGGTGGTATCGAGAAGAAAAAAGAAGGAAGAAAGCAATATGAGAATGTGTCTTTAACTGTGGGCATTTCATCAAAGAAACCTATCAGTTTTTTTAAAATAAAATCATACTGCTAAAGAATTCATGAACATATACTGAAGGCCTGTGACTGCTCAAGATTTAAAACAAATCTTGGGACGCCATTCTTCTCATGTGGTGGTGATTGAGAAATCTGTGACTCCTGGGGGGCTTGTTCTAATGATCACTTCACTTGCAGCAAAAGAGGATACAAAGAATGAAAAAAATCTGTTAGAGGATGGAGCTAGGGAGTTCTCCCCTAAGTGTGGAATGAGGGCCTAATCAAGAAATATCCCATACCCATGAGTGGAACACCTCATAATGTCTTCCCAGAGGGATTTCAGAATAGCTATAAGCCAGTGGGTTCTGTATCTTCTAACCATCCTATTTTCCTATTTTTTTTTTTAACTTTTATTTTAGGTTTGGGATACATGAGCAGGTTTGTTATATAGGTAAACTCATATCATGGGAGTTTGGAGTTTGTTGTACAGATTATTTTATCACCCAGGCACTAAACCTAGTACCCAATAGTTATTTTTTCCAGTCTTCTCCCTACTCCCACCCTTCACCCTCAAGTTGGCCTCAGTGTCTGTTGTTCCCTTCTTTGTGTTCATGGGTTCTCATCATTTAGCTCCCCATGAAAACAGACACAAGACAAGGATGCACTCTCCTATTCAACATAGTATTAAAAGTCCTGGCCAGAGCAATCAGGCAAGAGAAAGGAATAAAGGGCATCAAAATAGGAAGAGAAGTCAAACTATACCTGTGCACAGAAGACATGATTCTATGTCTAGAAAACCTCATAGTCTTGGCCCAAAAACTCTTTCGGCTGATAAACAACTTCACCAATGTCTTAGAATATAAAATCAGTATATAAAAATTACTAGCATTCCTATACACCAGCAACAGCCAAGCCAAGAGCCAAATCAGGACCACAATCCCATTCACAATTGCCACAGAAAGGATAAAATACATAGGAATACAGCTAACCAGGGAGGTGAAAGATCTCTGCAGTGAGAGTTATAAAACCCTGCTCAAAGAAATCAGAGAAGACAAAAACAAATGGAAAAACATCTCATGCTCATGGATGGGAAGAATCAATATCATTAAAATGGCCATACTGCTCAAAGAAATTTACAGATTCAGTGGTATCACTATCATACTATCAACAACATTCTTTACAGATCTAGAAAATCTATTTAAAAATTCATATGGAACCAAAAAGGAGCCCGAATAGCCAAGGCAAAAAGAACAAAGCTGGAGGCATCACATTACCTGACTTCAGACTATGCTGCAGGGCTACAGTAACCAAAACAGCATGGTACTGGCACCAAAACAGGCACATAGACCAATGAAACAGGATACAAAGGCCAGAAATAAGGACCCACACTTATGATCATCTGATCTTTGAGAAAGCTGACAAAACCAAGCAATGGGGAAAAGACTCCCTATTCAATAAATGGTGCTGGGATAACTGGCTATACGTATACAGAAGATTGAAACTGCACCCCTTCCTTATACGATATACAAAAATCAACTCAAGATGGATTGAAGATTTAAAATTAAACCCAAAACTATAAAAAACCTGGAAGACAACTTAGGCAATACCATCCTGGACATAGGAACGGGCAAAGATTTCATGATGAAGACACCAAAAGCAATTGCAACAAAAGCAAACATTGACAAACGGGAACTAACTAAATGAAAGAGCTTCTGCACAGCAAAAAACACTATCAACAGAGTAAACAGGCAACCTATAGAATGGGAGAAAATATTTGCAAAGTATGCATCTGACAAAGATCTAATATCTAACCATCCTATTTTCAGTAGGACTTTTATGATGGCCACTGTTCCATTACTGTGCGTTGAGTGAGTATAGGGCAGATGGATTCATGTTTGCAAGTGATTTAGAGATAATTCTGCATCCCTCATGGATAATGGGCTTTGATAAGGATGCCAAGAAGATGGGCTTTTGATTTTTTTCCCTTGAGAAGGGCTTGTATGGAAAGCATGTGTGGAAAAAAGGGAGCAAGGGAGAGTAGAGACTCTTTGGAGCTCAGAAGAGCAGACTGTGGCAAGCATATTGATGCTCACCTAATAGTCCATCTGCTTGCCTACATTTCCCAACCTGAGTCTCTGGTTTCGTGGAACAGAGTCCATTGCCAACCCTGGTGGGGCATGTAGCATGGAGGGTAAGGCATGAAATTGGGAGAAAATAAATAAATAGAAAAGTTGAAAAGTTTAAGAGAAGTTTTGATCATTTCAAAATTTACCTAGGAATGACACTCTGTCCATCATCCATATAGATAAAAATAGTAGTAGCTGATATCTATTGAGCATTTACCTATCCAGCCACTGTAGCAACTCATTTAGTCCTCACAATAGCCCCGAGATGACACTATTATTATGCCTATTTTATAAATGAGAAAACCCACAAAGAGCAAAGTTAAGCAGCTTATAAGTGAAACATAGCTAGTAAGTGACTAAGTTGTTATGAGTGACCTTAAGCAGATTTATAAACAGAACAGCATGCAAAGTCAGGAAAGCTTCAAGAACTAAGATTAGAGTACCAGAAGTCCTCTGTCATTATAATAATTGGTATGTTTGCCAGAAGGGGTAAATGAAGGGCAGGAAGCACCAGAGACTGGTTATTTCCAACTCAACTTTGTGAATTTGTCTAATTAGGTGACAATTATTTTGGGGAAGGATTTTTATTATACAATTTTTCCTAGAGCTATTTCTTTCTTTTTCTTTTCCTCTTTTTGTAATTCAATCATTAATCTGTGTGAAATATGTTTAGCTGGAATATATGATAGGTACTTTATAACTCAAATTTCAAATTCCAAATACTAATTTAACACTATAACAAATTAGAATAGGACTGGAAATTGTATTGAAGATAATTCTATAAATGTTATTACTTTTTGAAACATTGAGAAAAGACAGACAAAATATAGTAGTATACATTGAATGCTTGGTTTTTGATAATTATTTTTTCTTTAAATTGAGTTAAATGTATTCTTTTTTCAATTGATTTGCTCTCAGTGCTACCAAACTATAGATGCCGTCAAAAATAAGGAGGTGTTATTGTTGCTATATTTTGTTGTAAGAACCACCAAATTTGAGTATGTCATGGACAATATTTTCCTTTTCACTAGACACTATTAATTGGATGTCAGAACCCTTATTTTATTTTTTATTGCAATGGTAGTTCCCCATTAACTTGTTGTTTTGAATTCTTTCCTATATATAAAAGATTCTAAATTCTAATATTCACATTACTAGAAATTTAAAAAGTAAAACAAGAAAAGTAAATCAACTATAATAACTGTGGTCATGATGCACTTTTGTCTCATCCTTTTCACTTTTAAAATATGCCTAGTTTATGTTGCTGTGATAATATTGTTAGTTTTCTTTTAATTTTCCCAATGAAAGAAGATATATGCATTGAAAATAGAACTGAACACAAGTGACGGCTTAAGATAAGCAGTCTGAAGTAGTCCTCCCTTAAAGCACCCTAAACTTTGTAAGAAGAGACTTTTTATAATACCAGGCACAGATTCTCTAGTGACACACAAACATATTTCCATCCTTTTAGCTGTCATAAGAAATTGCTTACTGTAAGATTCAAGTTCAGAACTCACAGTGCCAATTAAGAATAATACCCATTTTAGTTCAAACAAATACCTCGTGTTTCAGAAATGACTTAATTGACATGACATAATAGGTATACCATGCCCAATGGAGCAATCTCATCTTAGTGTGGTTTTTCCTATAGTTCTCATCACTGTTGCACAAGGGTTGACTTGTTTAATATTAATAATGTTTTCAAAACCTATGCAACAATGTAATGAACTCAGAGAAGCATTGGCATACAAGGTGCTGAACGAGCACACTCCAATTAACATGGGAATCTTTGTGATTAACATCAGTACTTCAAAAGCAAATTATATGTGTCATTATTTTGCATTATATTCCTTGGGATAAATCTAACATTATTAAAGAAATATCCAAGAAATGCCCGGAAATTCTAAAAGATAAATAAAATATTATCTCCCTTTCTGCATATAAATTTTGTCACCTATAGAATTGTGGCTCTAATGCATGAAGAAATTGTTAAAAATATTTCAGAATTGCATTTTGAACCTAAAATTATGGCTTGGTGTTAGGTGATTGGTAACCCTCATAAAAATGTGAGGTTAAACGTTATCCATCTGACTCTTTTCAGATAGCTTAAAATGTCAAGAAGTATATTTTCAGATTTCCTATAACCTTTAAACAGCCAGCATATAAAATGAATATTGAAGAGAAGAGATCTTGATTAGTTTTTACTTTTGAAAACTGTAAAGCTAGTTAAAAATAATAGTGCTTTAAAAATACGTTGTTATTAGATATATAATTATTTTTAAGTTTTCTTAATATTTTCAGAATGAAACAGGTGGTAATACAGGTAAAATTGATGAACAAAAGATCATGATGTATTTTATTCATCGAATCAAGACAAATTAAGAAATTATCATTCCATCTAGGCAAATATCCCAGGTAGACTGTAAACTTAAGCTGGAAATAGATTTTTTTAAAAGTGAATTAAAGAAAAAATTAAAGGAAGTTAAATGTTACAGTAAATACAGCTTAAGACCATTAACTTTTTGAATAATCAATACCAGAAATAATAAAGTAGATAAAAAGATTTACTCATCATGTCTGGAATATTGAAAAGATATTTGACAACACATAAAAGAATACTTAACTTGTGAGGAGATGTCTGATTACTAATTTTATATGTATTTTGACCACATAAACATATTTAAAACAATTTTGTAACCTTTTCGATGTCTGCACTCATTTCATGGTAGCGAGATCGAGTTGTGACTCCATAGACAGGGACTGACCCTCCCAGAAGTTCAGGTTTCCAAGGCATGAAGCTTATGATCAATGCTTCAGCAAACTCTATTAAGGGAATGATTACTAAGAACCCTAGCTAGAAAGTGCCTTTTGGTGAAATGTATTATAGATAACATTGTGTTTCTGGTGGCGTTGCAGGGGATGAAACTCCATTAACCTGTTAAGCACGAAGGGTGTAAAAATGCTAAGAGAGAAAAATCATAGAGACTGGAGAAAAGATTTTCCTGCAGTGCTGTGTTCTAAATGGATGAGAGAGCTTCAGATAGTTGTTGTTGCATGGAGCTAGGTCTTAATCTCTTTGTCGTAGAAGGGGAGGGACATTTTGAAAATGGACACCTGCTCAATCTCCTCCCTCCTCAGGAAGCTCTGGCAGTGGCACAAGTTATGCGGTTCCAGGGTGGGCATGTAGGTGTAGACTTTGGCTCCACTTGCCAGCACATATTGCTTGCTCACTGCAGAAGTCTATGCAGTCGTATGGTTGTCCCCAGGTGGGTCATCTGTGGCCATTCTGCAGCGTGTCAGTACTCACATGGTACCTCAGATATTATTCCAGAGAACTGGCTATTTTCATTCCCGCTTGTGCACTTTTGGAGGTAAATGTGGAGAGCCGTCTGATAGAGACAAGTGCTACCCCTAAGCACATATGCAGTAAAATTTAGGCTGTGTGGTGAGATTTGAGGGGAAGGAAGTACTCCCAGGCATCTAGTTTTGCTTAAAGGGTGCTGTGAAGAGCAAGAAGGAATCCACATCGTCTCTGAGTTTGCTCACGTGAAAAGACGAATTACACTGGCTGATTTCAGGGCAGCCGGGAGTGTTCACTGATCCAGAATATTTCCTTTTCCTGACTACCCTTGTTCTTGAAATTCCATCAATCAACATTGTTTTTAGAAGTAAAGCTTTGTCTTTTCTAGGAATAACCTTTGGAAATCTATTTATCGCAGTGAGTGGTAGTTCTTTTATATTAATTGGTTTTTTTTTTAACAGAAAACGTAGGAACCTGAAGGAAAGACAGTCTGATGTGAGGATGGAAGAACAGATGGGCTCATTTGTCCATTTTTATTTATTTACTTATTCATTCATTCAACAACAAAAAATGAATCGAAGAAACTTTTTTCCTTTTATTTTTAGTTGGCCCATAATTGCTTTTATTTATGGGATTCAGAGTGATATTTCTGCATATGTATACAATGTGTAATGCTAAAATCAGTGTTAATTAGCACATCCACCACCTCAAACATTTATCATTGCTTTATGTTGTGAACATTCAAAATCGTCTCTTCTAGACTTTACAGAATGTACAATAAATTATAGTTAACCATATCTACCCTACAGAGCCACACAACACCAGAACTCATTCTTTCTATCTAGCTGTAATTTTGTATTCATTAACCAATTAATTAGTTTCTATCTAGCTATAATTTTGTATCCATTAACCAATTAACTTCTTTCATGAACTGAGCTTTTTGTTTTTAGCTTTCACATGTGAGTGAGAGCATGTTATATTTATGTTTTTGTGCTTGACTTATTTTGTTTAACCTAATGTTCTCCAGGCTCATTCATGTTGGCATGAATGAGAGGATTTCATCCTTTTTAAAGGCTGACTAGAATTTCATGATGTATATATACCACATTTTCTTTATTCATTCATTTTTTGATAGACATTTAGCTTGATTCCATATCTTTGCTACTGTGAATAATGCTGTGATAAACAGAAGTGCAGGTATGCCTTTGATATCATGATTTCTTTTCCTTTGGAAAAAAAACACAGTAGTGGGATTGCTGGATTATATGGTAGTTCTATTTTTAGCTTTTTGAGAAACATTTACACTGTCTTCCATAATGGCTGTACTCATTTATATTTCCACAAATAGTGTATGAGTTATCTTTTCTTTTCCTCCTCACTAGCATTTGTCATTTTTTGTCTTTTTGACATAGCCATTCTAAGCAGGGTGAGATTATATCTCATTGTGGTTTTGATCTGCATTTCCCTGACGATTAGTGATGTTGAACATTTTTTTGTATACTTCTTGGCCATTTGTATGTCTTCTTTTGAGACATATGTATTCAGATCCTCTGCCCACTTTTTAATGGGATTATTTGTATTTTTGCTGTTGAATTGTTAGAATTCTTTTTATATTCTGGATATTAGTCCTGGTCGAATCAATAGTTTGCAAATATTTTCTCCTATTCTACAGGTGTCTCTTCACTCTGTTGATTGTAAAGAAACTTTTAAACATGTAAATTAATAGATAATTTACAGAATACTAGGTTCTGTGGGGTGGAGGGAAGGTACAGAAATTAATGATTTTGCTGACTTCAAGTTCTTACCACATAGAGGAGATATTAAGAGAAGTATTTGGATAATCATAATCCAAGGCAAAGTCTAATTTTTGGCACAACTCAATGGTTGCTCCAAACAAGCCTAGTACAAAGTTGTTTTGCTAAGTATTACCAAGAATGCTTTTCAAGTAATTATAATAGTTTTTCATGCCTATACTGTGGCAGGCACTAGGCTAAGTGTTCCCTTTCAATTAGCTCACTTGATTCTCATAACAACTTTAGGAGATAGTTCCATTTTACCATCTCTATTTTACAAAGAGGTTAAATAACTTTTCCAAGGTCACACTACTACAGAGTGGATATCTGAGCCAAGCCCAAACAAAATGCTGTGGACAACGTCCTGACTGATGTAATTATCTCAGTCCATTGCAGAAGTAGCACCTGATTCCACTAGGAGCTATTAGCAACGTAAGGATCCGATTTTCTGAAATTCACCAGTAGAGAGGTTGGCCAAGGCCAAGAAAATAGGAGAATCATGATATTTATTAAGACAGGGAAATGGGGAAATCTCTGGATCACGGTGCTGGCCAGGGTAAATATGACCTGGTGTAAAATGATGTAACCCTAGATTTATACCACAGTGTAAATTTCATGAGGGCAGAAACTGCAACTTCATCTTACTCATCCTTGTCTTCCCATCACCAAGCACAATATATGGCACTGAATGGGCATTCAATACACTGATGGTGAAAGAACATATGAGGAACCAGTGGTGAAGGAGTCATTGAGAAATTCATTTACTTCATCATCTGACCATGCTGGTTATCGTGAGAAAGTGAGGCCACATTTAATCTTTGAACAATGCTGTAACTTTGCTTGAGTGAATCACACTAAGGAGGCTGTAGAACAGAGAGGTTATGTACATGCTTTAGAGTCAGGCAGAACATGTTTGGATCTAGGCACCCATAATTACTTGCTCTATGATCTTAGGCAATCTAATTTTCTGGAGTCTTAATTTCCTCAGTTGTAAAACTGGAAGTATAATATCTCATGTGTTGTTACAGAGATTAAAAGTGGTAACAAATATAAACTCTTAGTACAATGTCTGGCACATAGGAAGGGCTGCTATCATTTTTATTCCTTTTGTTGTTATTCATGTTATCATAATGATTATGACTATGAGTCATAACAATGGAGTGGAAAGAGCTCTAGACATCATTAAAATACCTTTGCTCTATTCCTGATATATATATATATATATTTTAAAGTATATTTCTAACTCAGATCTCCTAGGAATTGTATTTTCTGTAAAATATAGTTGTGTAGAAATGAGGTTACATATAGGAGCACTTGGTAAATTGCAAAGCATGATAAAAATGTAAGATGATATTATTTTTCCTTACTTTACATAGTTTTATGATTTGTGCTTTTGGTATCTCCTATTTGGCTTGCTTGACCTTAGCTCTCAAACCTATATTCATAAGAAACACCAGGAGAAATTTAAACCTACAGATTCCTGGGCGTCACCCTTAGAGATTCTGATTCAATAGGTCTGGGTCGGGGATGAAGCTGCATTTTTCAACAGGCTTTTCTGTTGATGCCAGTGCAGTTGTACTGTGGCTACCCTTTGAATAGTGCCACTCTGCGATGTGTAACTAATTTGAAGACTGCCGTGACCACTTCAAATTCTAGATCCTGCTTGGTCCTGAAGCAGTGGTTGGTAAAGGCTACTATGAGAGCTGTGGCCCACTGTGCGTCGTCATTTCTATTTGTAGCTGAGTGGAGTTGGCAGCAGGCACAGGCTGGCAGTCGTTTCCAACACACTCCTTGTCAAAGTACATACTGTTTCTGCAGCTGGCATCTATTCCCTGTACATCCCAATTATAACAGTATTACTGAGTCTTGTGACAGTCACACATTTCATCACCTTGGGGGACTGGGCAGAACAGGTTTGCCATGGCAAGGGTGCCCTGTTCCCTCCTTTCTTTGTATTCATCATAGCCTAGGAATCTTGTTGGTCTTGCTTGGCACTGAGTGTGTGCTGTTCCTAACTGAGGATGTCTGGAGCCCAGAACAGGTCAGAGATTATGTGTAAGCTGCAGGTTTGGAGTTGCAGGTTGTGCCTGCTGTAAAACACTAATTTTTGAAGCATTTCTACTATTAAAATTTTCACTGTTATGATGATCATCATGCTTTGCCCTCCTTTGCTGGGCCTGAATGCCTCAGCAAACCATTCCTACTCCTAGGTGCACATGACTGATCCTCTATAATTTGATGGAAGTATAGGGTGAATTTCACACTACCTGCATAATGGGGAGTTTTGATACCTGCATAATGGGGAGTTTTGATGCCTGCATAACTTTTTCCTCTTAAGGAAGTAAAGGAGATAATACAATAGATGTTGAACTATTGTAGTGAAATGTGTTTATGTATAATACATACTCAAACTGTCTTTACTTAGTAACCTGATTTTTAAAATATGAATAGCAAGTTGACACACAGAAAAACATATATTGAGAGTATCTGTTATTTTGGATAATTACTGGAAGTGTGTTACTCTTGAAAGTTATAGTTAATGAAGATATTAAAATAGATCAGCATTTTTCTTTTTAAAAAAGCTATCCTGACATGGATGTGGGTTTAGTAATTGTTACTGGTAACAGCTTATTTGAGATCAATGTTATATTTATGTTAGTTGGTATCAGCTGGAAAAAGATGATTCTTAAAGGTAAACTCAGGGAGAATAGGCTGAATATAATTAATACAAATAGGAGAAATGACTGTTGTCTTAGTCCATTTGTGTTGCTGTAAAGGAATACTTGAAGCTGGGTAATTTATAGAAAAAGGCTTATATGGCTCACAGTTCTGCAGGCTGTACAAGATGCCTAGCAGCAGCATCTGCTTCTGGTGAGGGCCCCTGGCTGCTTCCACTCGTGGTAGAAGGCTAAGAGGAGCAGGCATGTCCAGATCACATGATGGGAGAAGAAGCAAGAGAAAGAGAAAGAGGAGAGACGTGCCTGGCTCCTCGTAACCACCAGCTGTCATGGAAACTACTAGAGAGAGCACTCACTCATCACTGTAAGGATGGCACCAACGCATTCATTCATGAGAGATCTGCCCCCCTGACGAGAACACCTCCCATTATGCCTTTCCTCCAACCCCAGGAATCAATTTTCAACATGAGATTTGGAGGGGTAAAACAAATCAAACTATACTAACTGACAAATGTAAATATTTACAATAAATATAGTAGTGGTGATATTAGAGACACACTGAATTTTAAGCTGTCTAGCAGAATCTCTCCTAAAAAGATAGCATGGTTCTCGAATGTAAAAATTTGCAAAAGTTAATAAAATACCTTATTTGAGTATTCTGCCTTCCATAACTCAAGGGAAATGTAAGGAGCTTAACAGAGAATAAAAAAATGGTCACAAACGTTATTAAAAGAATGGAAATCTAACCTTATATGGGGAAGTTTCGGGAATAAGGGCTATTTTGCTCTGAAGGAGACAGCTGAGATCTGACTTTGATTTAGTAATGGCCTTCAAAAAATGGACATAAAATGTTAGTATAGAAAGTGATCAATTTTCTCCCCTATCCCACTTTAGCAAGAGCAAAGGGAAGTGTACCTTAGCACAAAGGTTGACAGATTTAGATTTGCAGTTGGTGTTTTTAGGAGAAAATCCTAAAGCATAGAATTCTGAGAGGGAGCTTTAAAAGGCAACACAACCTCTACAGTGTGTGAGGATGGTTTGTGAGTGGTTGCGGCCAGTGTTGGAGAGGTCACAGTGCTTTTCAAGGTTCCTCAACCCTAGAATTCTATGATTAAGCCTAGTTATAGTATGGTGCCCAGGAGGAACAAGCAATTGCTGTGAGAGAAGTTCTCAGAACTGCCTCAAACTCAAAGGTTAAAAGAAATGACAGGGCAGTTTTCAGTTTAACTTGGAGCAGAGAAGCTAGAGCTACAGGAGGATTGGTGACATGAACAGATCTGAGGTAAATTTCCTGTTGGAGAAGTGCCACGCAGACTGTGAAAAAGTGGCATGACTGAAAACATCGATCAGGACAGTCAGAAAGCAGGAAATTGTAAGACAGTGTCTCATCCTAAATTTTATGCATGAGGATGAACAGTCATTTCTTTGAATACAATAGAGACCACAAATTTCCTTATGCTTTAAAAAGTTTATAAAATTACTTTTTAACCTAAAGTTTAAAATTATTTAAAAAATATGCATATTAATTTTGTTGTAATACACATAGCATAAAATTTGCCATTTTAACTATTTTAAGTGTACGTTTTAGGGACGTTCACATTGTTCTACAACCATCACCATTAACCATCTCCAGAACTTCTTTCATCATTCCAAACTGAAACTTCGTACCCATGAAACAATAAATCCTCTTTCTTCTCCCCAATAAAGTTACTTTAATAATTAATCGTATTAAGAAACTATTACCTATTTGGTGCATAGTGTTTTTTTCAAAAAGGGAAATTTAATCATGGTTATCCTATCCTAGGGAAAAATTATGAAGCATTTATTATCCATCAAAGAATATGGTTGTTCATGGTTACAGGGTCTAGAACTGGATAAGAAATATATGTTTTTTCAAAAGAAACCTTAAAACAGAAAATGTTTTAATATAAAAATTATACACATCTAGTTCATGTCATTTGTAGGGACATGAATGAAGCTGAAAACCATCATTCTGAGCAAACTATTGCAAGGACAGAAAACCAAACAGTGCATGTTCTTACTCATAGGTGGGAACTGAACAGTGAGAACACTTGGACACAGGGTGGGGAACATCACACACTGGGGCCTGTCGTGGGGTGGGGGGAGGAGGGAGGGGTAGCATTAGGAGATATACCTAATGTAAATGACGAGTTAGTGGGTGCAGCACACCAACATGGCACATGTATACATATGTAACAAACCTGCATGTTGTGCACATATACCCTAGAACTTAAAGTATAATAATAAAATAATAATAATAATAAATTATACACATCTGAATATTCAGGCTTTGATTGTAAATGTTTTCTCATTTCTTACTACACTGTTACTAGACTGTAGTACAGTCCATGGCTGGGCTTGTATTAGTAAAGCACTGGCTCACAGATAACAAAAGGATTATTAATTTTATATCACAGAAGCTGCAGACTGCTGTACCTCATCTGCAGACTGCTGTACCTTATAGGCTGTTATATTTTGAGTTTCTAATGACCATAGAGGCCAGGTACAGATTTAAAATATTACTAACCCTGATGAAAAGTATTTAACATTCTTTATTCAACACCAACTTATTATAGCTGTTGTAAAATGTTCATTATTAATTTTTTCCCCAGCTGACATCTTGATTTCAGGTTATTAATTTCTATAAACATACCAATGCTATTCCTATTCATGTTTATTGGCTATAAAATAAAAACAAAACTAGCTTTATTAACATATACAATTGTCTGTAGGATGTGTAAAATTTAACCAGAAAAACTGAAAGGGATATTTAACTATCTAAATACTTGTTCAAGTAAGGTGTATGTTAATTTTCATTCTTTTAAAAATTATGTCTTTTCTTGTTGAGCTGCTAAGATTTCCCTTTATCCTAATTGTTCTGCCATTTCACTGTACTGTGTCTAGGTTGGAACTATTTTTGGGTACTTTTTTTGTATTTCAAATCCTGGAATTTCCTCGGCTATTATCTTTTCAAATTCAGTTTATTTTCCATTCCCATTTGGGAGACCATATCAATCTACTGCTCTGTTCTGAGTGGATTGGTTAGTCCTGTCTTCTAATTCATTGAATTTCTATTTATTTGTATTAATATGGAGGTTTAAAAATGTAGTAAATATCTTTTCTCTTACATTTTTAATTGGTTCTATTTTTAAATTTATCTCTTCTTGATTTGTTTCTATTTTGGTCTAAACAGTTTTTTACTTTTTAAAGCTAGAACTATTTTTATAAGGAGCTCAAATGCTTTTATGATATTAATTTTGGTTTTTAAAAAATTATTTTATTGGTAGTGAATGAGTCTCTCAACTATTAATGATGCTTCTCTCTTTCATAGTACTGATTCTTAGGGGCTTTGGAATGATCCTTCCTAAATTTATCTTGAGCAATCATCCTGCCTGCCTGCCTTGCCTTCCTCTCTATACTTATTACTACACATGCTGCTTTTTAAAAAATGTTTTTTTTTTAATGAACAAATAAGAACTTTACATATTCCTGGAGTACATAGTGATGTTTCAATACATAAAATGTATAGTGATCAGATCAGGGTAATTACCATACCATCATTTCAAACATTTATAATTTCTTTGTTCTGGGAATGTTCAATATCCTCCTTCTAGTTTTTGAAACTATATAAGATATAATTGCTAACTACAGTCATCCTACAGTGGCATAGAGCTGGTGGTTTTCCCTGCCCTGGGATGTTGACCCCCACCCCAACACGAAGCTAGTGAGCAGCACAGCCCAGGTCCTGACTGGAAGTCCTTTGGTCTTCCAACCTCTGGAAGTTCACAGCTTTATTGAAGTGTAGCCTCAGGCAATGGATCGGTCTGTCAGCATCCTTCTCTGGCCAGCATCCCAGCTTAACGATGCATCTCCTTGTTTCTCTACTTGAAACTGAGCAGGCTGATAGATTCAGCTTCTACTTCTGAACCTGTTTTTGGTGCATGAATCCTTATCATCTTTTTTAGTGTGATTGCATCTTTTAATTAATTTACTTATTTTTAAAATTAATGCTCTCTTGTGAGTGAAAGAAAAAAATTCAGGGTATGAACTGACAGTGTCAATGTGCCCATGAGCTCCCAGGCCTCTATGTGTAGACTGTCAGGATAATTAATGCTAAAATCTGTTTATCAATTTACTAATTCAACTAGTCTCTTTGACCTCTGCATTTAATAACTTTTTTGTGTATGCTCTAGCTTGAAACCTGGGACATGGATCAATTGATTTAGAGCAAAGCCCCTCCGGTTAGTAAATGATTATTTCAATGAAAAAGGTGAGAGAGACATGACCCATATGAGGCAGTCTGGCCTCTAATAGCTAGATGATTCATAATTACAGATCTAGAGTCCATTATTTTGGTATTTGTATATATTTTATGCAAAAGCAATTTTTGGCTTGAATGACTTGGATAATTATCTCAGTTTTCCACTTTAATTTGCTTATGTAGAAAAAATGAATTTGGGGAAAAATGCTTGGTGGCACATTATGATAAGGGTCAAAAATGGAAACAACAACAATAATCTGTGATGTTACTACTGCAGGAAAAATTAAAACTAGTTACTTTAAAATTTCAAGTGGATCAGGGCCCTGAGTCACTAATGTTGTAGGGCTTTCTTGGGTATATATCTTTTCCTAATGAGTTGTCATGAGTGCTTAATGTCAATAACCAATAAGGTAGTTCTTTGTGAGATTCAAAAATGGTTGCATTGCTTGAAATATTGAGCACATGAGTCATTTACTCATTATTGTACAACAATTAAATTGAAGTAAGAGTAATGAGGTATAAAGTTCACACTAAATTTAAGAGTGATGCTTTATTCAGCTGCCAAGAAAATTAAAATAAAAATATTTCCACATAACTTTATGAATGGTATAGAAATCTTTGACAACAGTATAAGGTTGTTACCCCATTTTTAAATTAAGTGTTCAGCCTGATGTCAGCAAACTTGATGAAATGGAATTAGAAAAGCCTCATGTCTTTAGGTATATGTTTATGTATATATGTGTGTGTGTGTGTGTGTATGTGTGTGTGTCTGTGCATGTATATATGTTCTTAAAGACTCAATACTCAGTTTTGCTAAGACATAATTCACCCAAATTTTGTCTAAAGAAAAATAAGAGTGTGTAAAGCAAAAGCCTAGTGAAGCAGGTCATGCTTTTCAGTTGATTTGCACATAAATAATATCGGTTCTGGGAGTGGACAGAAAAATAGGGGTTATGTAAATGTGTCTCTTTCTGTCCCTGGAGAAGAGGCTGGGCAATTGAAAAAAATAATTATGCATACTACTAGCAGAGACATTCTAACGGTACTTTAAGCCTGATTTGGCACACCATGTAACTCTTCCAGGCACAACGAACAATTTTCATAAACAGATTGAATGGAAAGGTTCCCTGCCATTGTTCTGCCATTCAGCTGACTCTGAGTTTAACTGTGTGACATATTTTAGCCTAGGTTCTATGCAATATTTTTTGCAGAAAAAAGATAATTAAGGACTCACCAAAGGACTATGGATGACATGATTTCCAAAAGCATTGATTTATTTTTAAGTATAAGTGGAATCACTGTATATGTTTGTCAATTTCTATAATCCCCCCAAGTGTCTTATGTCATCAGACTAATACAAAGTATTTTTTGAAAATTCATTAAGATACTCAGAAAATCCAGTGGCCATGTATAAATATGGTTTGTGAACTTATCTTCTCTAATAAGAGATAACTGGAACCTTCTGCTCAGCTCTCTTGTTTTCACTGGAAACTTGTTTTTTAAATTATTTTTTGTGTCCTTTCATAAGATTTTGTCTTCTGATATCAGAATACTGATATTCTGTGTTCTTGACTATATCATGCACATAAATGTACTCAAAGGTTAAGCAAAAATAATTTATTTTACATTTTTCAGTGGAGAAATTTAGTGTGCTAATACTCCTGTATTTCTAAAGAAACTTGAGAACTTGGTAACAAGAATGATGGATGGAACCTTGAATAGAGATGGACTCGGTTTGCGCATTTAAGGCATGGGAGTGTTAGGGACCTCTCTCATTAATACTGTGTTAATGACAGATATTAGCTAAATAGTTCAGTTCAAAATCCTCTGCCCATTATATCTAAGTTCTTCTAATCTCTATTCTTTATTTATACGATATGTAACTTTTACTAGAAACTTCAAAATCTTAGTAGTGTTTCTCTAAATGTCTTTAGTCTACTGAAGAATTTGAATAAAAATTTTTCAACTAGGGAGAACTGCACAAAACAGTGATTATATTGAATAATGATCATGAAATGATGCTATGTTTACAACAACAATAAAAACCTGTTTACAACAACACAATAAAATTTCCAGCTTGCTATCTGATTATACTGCAGTCAAATGCTAAGAGATTTTAATTCTATTCTAAAATTATATTTATATAGACCATAGAAAATGGTGTGGCTAAGGATTCCTAATATCCGTATCTGAGATTTATATCAACACCAGAAGAACCCACTTCCATATATTTTATTTTCTTTAAAACATTTAATTAGAAATATTTAAGACATTCATAAATGAATAAAAATCAGTATACTCAGCACTCCTACCATACAATTTAAGAAATAATGCATTATCTAAACAATTAAAGCTACAAAGTTTTCCCTCAATTCTACCCACCTCAACCTCTATTTTTCTGAGGAACCACCCTTCTAAATTAGTATTTGAAATTTCCATGCACTTCTCTAAAATTTTACATCATAAATATGGTTTAAGTTTTATGTGTATGAATTGGATGTATATTTCTGCTCATTGCTTCTCTTGCTTCACATAAATATTTGAAATTCATCTATGTTGTTATATGTAACTGCAGTTTATTCATTTGTGGTACATTGAATAAATGAACCATCATTCATCTCTTCTCCTGTATATTGACATCCACTATCTTAATTTTTCAGTATGGTAAAAAATGCTGCCATTAGCAGTCTTTGGTTAGTACCCTTTATCATTCACAAAATTTTTTTCTAGAATATATAATTAGAAGTGGAATTGCTGAGTGATAAGTTTTTCCATCTTCAACTTTGTCAAATTATTTTTCAAATTGATTGTACCGATTTATATCCCCTTTAGCTTTGAATGAGTTGCTGCTTTTCTATATCCTTACCAACTCTTAATATTGTCAGATTTTTTTCCTCAATCTGATTAGGGTGAAATGTGATTTCACTGATGATCTAAGTGGTACTTTCCACATTCCATAATAGAATGAGCCTATTTTTTATTTACTGATTATTTTTTATGTAATAATTATTTATATTTCCTTTTAGGTGAATTGGTTACTCACACTTTTTGCTCATTTTTCTTTGTAGTATATATATTTTTCTTATTAATTTATAAAAATGATGAGAAATAATGTGTACAATGTACATTATTCAGGTGACCAATACCCTAAAAGTCCTGACTGGAAAACTATGCAGTTGATACATGTAACAAAATTGCATTCATACTCCATAAATGTACCACTAACATTTTTTTAAACTTATAGATACTAATCATTTGTTAGTTATATGTGTTGGCTGTACCTTCTCCTAATTTGTGTCTCATTATTTCAAGATTTTAATGCTATTTTTTAAAAAGAGTGATCCCTTTTTAGTTGAAAAACAAGTGTATGTGTGTTTATATACAGATATATGTATATATACAAAACAAGTATATGTGTGTGTATACACACATATATGCATGCAGGCATGCAAACACACACACATAAACACACACACACACATACAGAATAAAAGACTTGAGATGATATACACCAAAATTATGTCTCTGAGGGCTGGAATTAACAATTTTTCTTTAAAAATCTTATTCGTATTTCCTATTTCTATACTATAAATATATACTGTTTGATTATAGAAAGAACAATATAATTTTTTTCAATTAAAAGAAAGCATGACATTTCTTTGTATAGGCACACCATACTTATTTGACCATTATTTTACTCTTAAGGTGGTTCCCTGTTTTTTGATAATGTGAACAGTGCTGACTCAGGCATTCTCACATACAGATCATTAATTTCTAGTACCATTATTTCGGTTACTATTTTGGAAGATTAATAAGTTCTCAAAAATGAGATTGCTATGTCTATTTGCGCTATGTCTATTTGCATCTGTGCAGTTTGACTGCACCACAAAGTACACTTTTAAAGTGTACAATTTAATACAATTTTATCTGTCAATTAAAAAATAAAAAGTAGAGTACAATTTAGTGGTTTTTAATATATTAACAAAGTCATACAACCATCACCACTATTTATCTCCAGAAAAATTTTATCACCCTGAAGAAAATCTTCAGACCATTAGCAGCCACTCTCCAGCAATCCCTTCCTTTAGCCCCTGACAACCGCTAATCTACTTTGTCTCTGGATTTGCCTGTTCTGGACATTTTATATAAAAGAAATTACACAAGATGTGACCTTTGTGTCTGTTTTCTTTCACTTAGCATAATGTTTTTAAAGTTCACGTTGGAACTTGTACGTAATTCTTTTGTGTGGCTAAATAATATTCCATTGTATATATATACTATATCTGTTTATCCACTTACCAAATGATGCAAATTTGGGTTCTTTCCACTTTTATTCTATTATGTACAAATTTTTGTGTAAATGTATGTATTCAGTTATCTTGGATGTATAGTTGGGAGTGGAATTGTTGGGTTATATGGTAACTCTATGTTTAACTTTTTGAGAAACTGTAAAAAAATGTTTTCCAAAGTCGCTGTACCATTTGACATCCGTGTCAGCCATGTATGAGGATTGCAATTTCTCCACATCCTTGCCAGCACTTGTTAGTTTCTGTCTTTTTTATTATAACCATCTTACTGGGTGTAAAGTTGTACCTCATAGTGGTTTTGAATTGAATCTCTCTAATTATTAATGTTGTTTAGCATATTTATATGTGCTTTTTGGCCAATTTGTATATCTCCTTTAGAGAAAAATTTGTTCAAATATTTTGGCCAATTTTTAGTTGGGTTGTTGTCTTTCTATTGAGTTTTAGGTGTTCATCATATATTTTCATTAAAAGTTCCTTACTGGGGATATGGTAGTCAATACCTACCATATCCATTTTTTTCTCATGTCGTTCTATGGGTTCTTTTTCCATTTTCCTCATGATGCCTTTTGAAGCATCATTTTGATGTCCAATTTATCTATTTTTTCTCATATCTAAGAAGCTATTGTCTAATTCACAAAGATTTATGCCTATGTTTTCTTCTAAGAGTTTTATAGTTGTACCTCTTACATTTTGACCTTTGATCCATTTTGAGTAATTTTTGTGTAAGATGTAACATAGGGGTCTATGGTAATTCTGTGGCATGTGGATATCCAGGTGTCTGAACACCATTTATTGAAAAGACTTTTTTCTCTATTGAATTGTCATGGAACTCTTATCAAAAACCAGTTGACCAAAAATATATTTAATAGTATCTTTTGATAAATGGAAGACTTTATAATATTTTCTTTGTCTATTTATATATGCATTCTTGGTAAAAGGATACTACCTTGTGCCCTATTTTTCTACTTATTTTAGGTTTTTTTTTTGAAGTTTTCCTTTTAGCTATGTCTTTGTTCATCTTGACCATGCGTGTTTTTAAGTAGATATACTATTAAAAATTACATATGGATAGCAAATTTTCTCAGCACCATGTATTAGTGTTTTCTCTTGCCACTAATGTGAAATGTCATCTCTGTTGTATTTTGAGTTTCTGTACACTTAAAAATCTGTTTCTATATTTTCCATCCTTTTTTTCTTGCCCTATCTCTGCTTAAAAAAACTAGAGTGTCTTAATTCCTATAGCTTTCTAATATGCCTAGGTATCTAGAAAGGCAATCACTAACTCTGTTCTGGCTACTCTTAAGCTTTTATTCATTCATAAATATTGTATACTTACCTTTTCAAGTTCCAAAAAAAGTTTTTGGGATTTTGATTGGAATCACATTAAATTTATAGGTCAATCTGTGAAGAAATTGACATCTTAATGATATCCTATTATTGCTATCTATGATAATATTATCACTCTCTTTTGATTTATTAATTTCTTTTCTACTTTATTTAAATAGTTTCATAACGTATTCCATAAACTGGAGACATGTGTTTTGTCAGATTTAGTCCTACACATTTTTATTTTTTTGTGGCAATTATAAATAGTACCTTTTAAAAATTACATTTTCTGTTTGAAACTAGTATGGAGGAATGAACTTTTTGTTTATTAATCTTAAATCCAGTGATCTGATACATTCAACAATTAATAACTTGATTTATTGGCCTTTACACAGTCTAAATGATAATCATGTCATCTCTGAATATTGGAAGTTAAATTCTCCCTTACTAACCCTTGTATTTCTACTTTTTTTCTTGTCATATTTCCCTGATTATGCCCTCTAAATATGGTGTTGAATTGTAATATTGATAATGGGCATTCTTGCCTTATTCTGAAATTTAATACAAATTTTGCTAGTTTTACAATGAATTATGATATTTGCTGCAAGTTTTTGTTAGCTACATTTTATCTAATTTGATGCTCCATTATTAAGAGGCTTTTTATGAATGACAGTTGAATTTTATTAAATACTTTTCTGCATCAGTTAAAATGAACATATGGTTGATTGCTTCTTGGCCTTTTGGCTAAGATCAAGTGTAAGATGAACATATGGTTTTCAGATATAAATTGTGAGAATGAGTAAATTTTAATGATATAACTTCCTATGTTAAAACATCCTTGAATTCCTGAAATAAACCCAGGTAAGCATAATCTATGTTTTTTCAAACTTTGAAGGATTTATTTTGCTAAAATTTTGTGTTGGATTTTTGCATCTATGTTTATCACTGATTTCTTCAACTTTCTACCTACATATTTTGCTAGCAATCTGATCTCTATGAACTTAATACAACCAAAAATTATCTTCTTCCGTAGATCACTTTTTAACACTTCCTAAGGAGAAGGATGGGGCCAGGTGCGGTGGCTCATGCCTATAATCCCAGCACTTTGGGAGGCTGAGAAAGGTGGATCACCTGAGGTCAGGAGTTCCAGACTAGCCTGACCAACGTGGTGAAACCCTGTCTCTACTAAAAATACAAAAATTAGCCGGGTGTGGTGTTGGGTGCCAGTAATCCCAGCTACTCAGGAGCCTGAGGCAGGAGAATTGCTTGAACCTGAGGCAGAGGTTGCAGTGAGCTGAGATCGTGCCATTGCACTGCAGCCTGGGTGACAAGAGCAAAACTCTGTCTCAAAAAAAAAATTAATTAAATAAACAGACAACTAACTAAATAAATTAATTAATTAAATTAAATAAAGAGAAAGATGGTAAAAGTTGTGGTCTTTGAACTTTGGGAACAGTTTTCTTTTTTTTTTTTTTTAAAGGAATTCACCTAAACTTTATGGATATATAATTTTTTTTTTTGCTTTTCTTTAAATTCTAAAGCTGTTTTTCCTTCTTATATTTTATAGCTTTGTTTCCTTCCTCAGTCTCTCCTACAATTATTAAGTATTAAATTCATTTATTATTTATACATAATTTTTTATTTTTTCTATTGTTCTTTGAAGTGTTATTTATTTTGTACTTCTCATGTCTTCCTCAAATGTAAACTCTTCTACTCACATCTTTTTGTACATAGCTTTGTTTTGCATTTTTAAAAAAACTCAATAGATATTTTGGTTTTGATTGACTTTTATTAATCAAGATATTACCTTACTTTAAATAATACTCAGTTTGGTAATGTAATTATTTTGGAAAAATTCAAAATATCTTTTCACTCCATCAGTCTTAAAAATTCTATTTTTCATTTTATCTTTTACTTTTACTTTGAATCAACTCTACCTCCTCAGAACCCTCTCCCCTCTCTCAGGACACTGTGATTTGACTCTTCTAAACGGTCATCTTTTCTAGGTCATTGAGTGAGTCATTGAGGTAACTATCAAAGGAATACAAGATGCTTTTGGCTCTGTTTTGGCTATATCTGATTATATCTTGTGCCATATTCACTTGTTCCTCAAAGCATGCTTATTAACAAAATTTCAAAGAACCCTAAACAGCTTCTGAAGGTATACCAAGTTCTTTCACTTTAAAAGGCAGCACAAATCTTCTCAGTGGGAAAATAAATGATCAAATCTCATCTCATTTCAAATAAATTAGAGTTGGCAGGCTTGTGTGTCTGGAGCTGACTTCAGTACTTGATGCTAAAATGTGGCTTTTCGCAGTAGTTATAATAAATTAAGGTTCTGTCAGAGGCCAAAGTCATGAAAGTTAAAGGAAAAATACATTGATACTCTTTACATTTTGGGCTTTTTGAGGTATTTTGGTCTTCAGCAGGTTGACAGCACAAAATAGACAAACCCAATATTTTAGGCAATCGTGCCAGGTTTCACTTGTAGAAGCCTGTGAGTGTCCTGTGTTAGTTTGTGAGTTATAGCAGTGAAGGCTTAGAAAGTGAGAAATGACATATTTCTTGAGGCTGCGGGGCGTGCAAGTTACATAGTTCTCTCTCTTGAATGACAACATGATCCAGCTTCCCAGTGAGAAGCATGCTGGTGTGCTTCGCTTCCTACACTCTTTCCTGAATAACGTGAAGGTGTTGTTAATTTAAAAACTGTCATTCACAGGGCATGAAAATGTTTCAGTTAGAAGTCCAGTGACAGGCAAAAGACAACAATGGCAATGGGTACTCTGAAACAGGTGATAATTTTCTGCAGCTAATTATCATTATTTTTCTAGCTGGAACATTGTGCAAAACCTACAGAATAATATATGCTTTAATAAGGTGGGCTTGTAAGAAGTGGCATTCCATAACTCTACCAAATAACTTGACTACCTCTTATTAAAAAAAAAAAAAAAAAGGTTGCAACTGGGTGATTACTTGTCTCATCTACAGTTGAAACACCTTTGCTGGGATTATTTTTGTCTTTTTATCTATTTTATCTTTGCTATTGTGATCAGACTTTTAAAAAATGGGGGAATACTTAAGGGTAAGCTTGAAGCAGTTTCAAGGTATCAGTGTTCTGAAATGGAATCTACTGGACTCCCCACTCATTTTCTTTACCAGCAGATTTCATAGTCACCCAGGACTCTTGCTGCTACAGAACACGACAGGAACAGGAAACTGTTCAGACATCTTCCCAGTTCCTTTAGTAGTCCATTTGTCAATGTAATGAACATAATTTAAATGATGTGACTCCCTTGACTTCCCAGTTATTATTTTTAAAATTGTGACAAATTAAGTGAGCATCCTCTGGCTTCAAATGGAGAGCCTGAAATATTAGTAGTGCAAACAATCTAAAAAATTTTTTAAATAATTTGAAAACGGCTCAGACTACCTGAATTTATAATTACCATAAAACCAACAGCAATAGCAAATAATAAGAGTTCATATAGCTTCTGATGTTGGGTGTTAAAGGGCATGAAAATAGAGAATAATTTCCTGATTTTTGAAGACAATCCAAGTTGAGCGGATGCATACGAAAAAATGTATCAATATGGAACCAGAAAGTGAGAAAAGAAAGAACTATTTCAAATGTGATTTAAATCTCATTATATTTTGCATATTCAGTGGGAATCTCCCAAGGTTTCGGTTTCTCTTTGGGAGTAAAATGAGTTCTTAAATGTGCATTCATCCATGCTGCTAGAGTATCGTTTACTAACAAATGATTGCAGCTTTACCCCAGTGGCCTGAAAGAGTTTTAATGTTGCTTCCAGATGTGCTTAGTTTATTTCCAGGGTATAATGTTTTCCATGGGAAGCTTGGGTGATTTTCTCACTTATCAATGCCAATTTCTTGGAGGTAGGTAAAATTTTACTCCTCTTCTAGATGAAGAAACAGAGCAGGAAGATATTATGGCTTCATTAATATAAAATGAGAAGCCCTTAACAATCCTGGGTAAATTATTACATCTAATGTGTACTTCATGAGATTATACACCTGGATTTATGTTTCTGTAAGGGTTTCCTAGTACTCTTCCTGCTAATATTCAGTATTACACAAATAATGATGTTCATCAGGAATTTTTAAAAATTAGAATTTTGAAAACTGACCTCTAAGCTTAGCTTTCAAAAACCCCAGTGGTTGATTTAAAATATTAAGAAGATGAAATAAATATAATTTTCCACTACTTGAAAGACTGCTGAATTTTAGCTATTAACATTCTTTGAATATTGGATATGAATAATAATATAAGGTATTTATTACAGAGTAATCCTATAAATTTTATGTTGGAGCATATTAAAATAAAGACCAGTTTAAATGAAAAATTCATAATGTATCCAGAAGAATTGTGAGTAGTTGTTATCAAAGCTACTTTGGTGATATGCAAACTATACAATAGAATTTTAAGAGATTTTTCACAAATATAAATCAAGTCATTGAAGATACTCAAGTATAGTCAATTGAGCTTAAATACTTATTAAAACAGACAATCTAAATTAACATGATTTAGAATCATAGACCTCACCTTGTGAAAGGTCACTTAGTATCAATTCTGGAACTTAAACCTTGTCCTATACTTTTAGTGCTCTGCAAAATAGCATATTCATTCTTAAAAACAATGAGAGCTATTTGCCCAATACCTAAGTAACTCTATTTTGGAAGAGCTTGTAAACTTAATCCCTAATTAATTCCTTACAGTTATACCCAAATTACAGGAGAGTGTAATCTTTCCCAAAGGATACTTAAGTCAACCACTAAGACAAGAATTGGAAAGTTGCTTATTGTCAAAATTACCCTTGAAAATCTTCTATTGCCCTTGAAAAAAGTAATGCATTTTACTTCCTTTACATTGGTCATTCATACATTCTTTACATAGGTTTGCCAAACATAAGCACTGTTTCAAGGTTTCTTGCATCTAATATCTGATTAAACAAATGATGTGATGTCCAACAGCTTCCTATTTTTAAATGTAAAATTCTCCTGATACAACTAGGATATTTTGGTAGAATGTAGAGAAGAGGGTTGAGAATTTTGTCAATTTTGTTCACTTAGATAATTAATTCATCTCCTAGGACAATGCTGGCCATATAGTAGTCATTCAATAAATATGTGCAAAAACAGGTTGAGTAAATAAATAAAATGTGAATAAGATATGTTTATCAAATGAATTAATGAAAGGTAAATGAACGTCTCCTAAGCCTAGCTCACAGAGGTTTTAGGTTAACACCAATATTGGTTATGTGGAGTTGGATTAAATGATCTCCTGAGGTTTTTGGCTTTTTTAATATTTCTTTTGGCTTGGTAATAATATTGTATTATTTGGATAAGGTGATCAACTGCAATAGTTTTTAGTTGGTATAAATAGATAGCTTCACTCACCTTTAGGTCACTCACATGATTAACTATATGTTTTGACATAGGACTGTACCTTGAAGCTAATGAAGCTCTAGATATGTCTAAGGTAATATGAAAGGCCTTAGCAACATGTCCACAGGGTCATACTGTTTGCTAAAGTAATGCATTTTAATTGAAATAGATTAATACCGATATGTCTATCCACAGTCACTTCTCTTCATTTACAACTTTTTTTTCCTTTTTTGGTTAGATAGCCCTGGAGTGGATGGAAGGGGGCCTGTCTTAGATAAGGCCAAGGGGAAGCTGAGTTGTGGATACACATTAAACTTGGGTTTAGTGGTGGATGTTTACGTGGTTTCAATCTCCTGTTAAGTTACTAGCTATCCAAGTATAGGTGGAATACTCCAAATACCCGCTGGGCCAATTCACCCAGGTGTGTGGGCCCAAAGGCCTTATCAAGCATAATATGAATGTGTCTTACAGCATTCAGCACCAGAAATACATGAGTAGAGGATGAGAAACAAGGCTTGAAGAATATAAATGCAGAAGCCAGTTTGCAGAAATTATTTCCAGTCATCAGAGGTTTAAATTTTAAGTGGGGGATTCAATTGACATCAATACATAGTGAAAATGGAAGTTCTCTCCTATCATGAATATACTCAGTAATGTATCTTATACCACTCAAGATGTATTCTACATTGTTTTTATTTTTTGATGGAAATTTTGCAAAATATAATTTGTCTGAATTTTTGTTATAGCACACAAACTTTTAACAGTTCTACAAATAGTGATTATGTCTGTGCTGAAGTTTTATGTTTTCTACATCTGAACTACTGTTAATAAAAACAAACAGTAACAATTATCTTACACAGTTGTATTATCTTTGTATTCTTTTTATAAAAATCATATATAAAATTGTTGTCATAAGAACAGTGATCAAAGAAAATACAGCCAAAATGGAGGAAAAGTATTATAGGGGTGGGTCAGAGAGTTTGTTAAGTAACATTGAGTTCTTATGTATTAGTTTTCTGGATTTTGTAATATTTGTGATTTTTTTCAGCTTCTTTAGATTTGATTTTGTTGTGATTCCTCCTCTCATCCTAAGCAAATATTCACATTCATACCTAATTTTGTATTCCTTATGTTGTAACCTTTTCCTGAAAGAAAACGTCCCAAATTATATACAGGTCACGCTACACAAAACCTGAGCCCACCATTGTAACTGAATTTGGAACAACCTTAGATGTGCAAGGCAGGGAGTGGGGAGTGCAAAAGGGTAAAGAGTGAGAGAGCCATGATGAGGGGAAGCTACATCTTCATCAGTCCATTTTGCTGTCCTTGTTCACTCTTTCTCAGGAGATAGAGTGGAAATATGAGGTCCGTGCACTACTTTGTGATGAGAGTTGGTACCTCCAAATGCATCTCAGAACCAATAAATGGGAGCCAGGATAGTTCATGGAGGCCAAGTATAACTTTTTCTTTGAAATCTGGCTCTTTGAAATATGCCTCAATTTGTCATGAACCATTTTCAGTTTTGGAGAATTTTTGTTAATTTTCTATATTCTTTACTGGAGCAGGTTTATGTTTCTTACTGCCTTGATAGAGTCTAGATTCTTCTGTGGCTCAGAACCCCCAACACTCAGGAACCCTAATCATGCTGCTCGACCCATTGGTGATGCCAGCCTTCCATTCCAAGGCCCAGCTCTACGGTTGGTCCTAATTTTCAGCTGTAATACCCCACAGTTGTTAAGGCCCAGCACATTCTTCTGTAAGAGTTGCCCCCTAGAGTTTGGGAAACTCTTTAAAGGTCTGCCAGAAAGCTATTGCAAACATTTCATCTGCTTTTGGTTTGTGGGTTCTGAGCACATGGTTTCCAAATGTCACATTTGGAATATGGAATTCAGTTATTCACAAGCATTTTCATCAAATCATTAATTTTATCCGTCGTCTTCTGTGAATGAACAATGCATGATGTCTGGCTCTTTTTAAAATATCCCTCTTCCTTCCTTTTATATATAATAATCTTATTTAGCTGACATGTTCTTTTCAAAGGTTAGGAGCATTTGGGATATATGTGTTTTAAGAAGAAAGGTGAACTCATTAGCTTCACTTTCTAAATATTTTAATAATGTTATGGAAGCCTGGGATGCCATCTTTATTCAGCTATCTCTTTGTTTTTCTGCCACAACTTAGCACTTATAGTGAATCGCAATACATATTAATAAGCAGGCAGCTTAATAAGACTCAGGTTAATGATGATAATTATTCCTACATGGTGTATGCTGACAGTGTGTGCAAAGATATTCACTCTTCAGAAAAGCCCCAAGGCGTTACAGATAATTCTGACATCTCTTACATTATTTGAGAAGAAGGTTAACAATGCTATGTGATAGTTGGCTTTTTTTAAGTGAACATTTTAATTACCTGGGGATAATGTCCATGGTTAGAATTCAGTGAGTGGGCATGGGCCAAAAAGTTTTCAGGAGAACCCTGAAGTGGGCTAGAATTAACCATTAAACTTACATGCTTGCAAACATGGACACTGGAAATAAATCAACATAGTCAAGAATTAAGAAAAGGTCAGTGTTTTTGCTCAGTGTTTGAGTTAAAATGGGCATCTAGTTTGATGTGAATATTTATTTTGTGATTCATCATGGTAAAAGCATAAAATTGTGAAGTTATGCCTCTTTTATTCTTTTTTCTTTCTAAGCCTACCACATTCTCCACAAAAACAAACACCTAGTGCTTAATAACCTTGTGCTCTGTTTTCCATTCCTCTAATCCATGTTGCTCTCCAGTCTCTCATTCACACCTCAAGTATTAATGACAAATGACTGATGAACAGTTCAGAGCTACATTCCACTTTTTTTCTTCACAGGGTCGATTACCTCTTCAGAAGTATTAAAACTTTAAATCAGGTGTCTCAAATAAAATACTAGCCTGGGCCTGTCAGGTAACATTAATGAGTGAAGCTGGCCAAGTGAAGATTGTAGTAAAACACAAAGTTCAGCCCTCTAGAAATGGGGCAATCACTGCTCGTCTCCAGGAAATTATTTTACATATACATTCTGGCCCAGATCTGCTAAACACTGACTTTTCCAAAAGGAGCTCAAAATCTGATTTTTTGTGAATTCTTCCCATGTTGAAATATTGTCCATGAATTCAAACATTGCCTATATCAAGCACATATCCAGGGCCAAAAATGTTCCAAGGGACATAAGTTCGTGACATCTACTTTGAACTGAAGGAAAGAAGTTGCAACGAACATAATTCACATACTTTTGCCCCCAGGTTCAGGAAACTGGAGCACCTGCACTCCTCTAAATGCATGTCCATCATTCAGCCCTTCTTTGTGATGTTTCGTTTTCTCTGGGTACTCGTAGTGCCTTCTCCACCTTGGAGAACTGCTCACTTTTGATGGCCTTGTTTAAATGTTACCCTCTCCATGAAGTTTTCTAAGCCCTTTCTCCCCTTCCAAGCCATTTCTCCACTACTCCCTTACCTTGTGCGAGAATCCATTTTCTTAATATGTTGCTCAGGCATCTGGCAAATACTATGATAAGCACTTATTATAGTGTGTACTAAATATTTGTGAGTGTGTTGGTCTCCTCAGTTACAATGTGCAGTCCATATGGGTAGAGTCTTCTTTTTATTCATTTATCAGCATCACATACTATCTAGCTCATAACAGATAATAAATGTTTGCTGAATGCATGAATGGATCAGTGAATGAATATTAAAATGATATTCTTTATGAAGGCTTAAGTATCCTTATAAACCTCTCTTCTCCTGGCAAGAGATGTGAAGATAGAAGATACTCAGTGCATATTTATTAAACGGGAAGTGAATGTCAACCAGTGAGGGGGAGTTACTTTTTGAAGAGTTAGGAAAAGGCATATTGAACATTGTCAGAGCCTATCCTCCTTAAATCATTTCTCACTGGGATAAAATTGGTCCTTAAATTCTCTATGATCCTAAAATTCAATTGAAATTCATAAAAATTATTAAATATATGTAGATAAAATTATTAAAATAAAATTATCAAATATATATATTTTATAACCACAAGGCCTAGTGGTTATAAAGTAATTTTTTTCCAGAAAAAAAATCAGTATGAATTTGAATCAATAAGCCATCTTGCAGTACTCTATCCAATTGGTATTTTTATAAATGCACATAGTTATTTAAAATACAAATATTTATATGGAAGATGTCTAATCTATTCGTCATGTTAGGGAAAATCTTCTGCCTGAGTCCTTCTGTCCTGAGTCTTCTAGAAAACTACCTTACTAGAACCTGATGCTAACTAGGAAATCTGGATTAATTTGGAAATAAGTTTATGGTTAAATTAACCATCTGGTGTAAAGTATAACCCAAGATCACCGTCCTAGTTGACCAAAGAAGGCATGTAAAGTCACTTCCTCTGGAATAGACATCTGCCGTGCTCATGGCCAGCTCTTTAGTTTTGCAAGAATAGCATCAGCAGAAGACTAGCTAATTGTTCTGTAGATGAGTTCAGTTAGCTAAATAGTTTGGAGACAAAAATCAAATGATGCAGGCCAGTTGTTTATTCACTTGCACATTTCAATGATAATTAATTAGCTAATCAGATGTGTGAGAATCAACCAATGAATTAGGGATCTAAGTTTGCAGACAGCTGTGACCACTGCCGCTCTTTTAAGAAGAAAATAAATGTTATTTGTTACAACTTTGTTTCTGTTAGTGTGTTGCATACATAGCATATCATATTATTTGGGACCTTGTGCCATTTCGCTTCACATTGGACACTTCAACAACGAGCAGTTATGAATCATGCACATTTTCCCCATTTGAGGCAATGCATACAATTCAACTACATTTAAATGAACAGATTTTCAGAGTGTACTTGAGTCTTTTCCTGGGGCTATGATAGACCTGCCCCTAGTCTCTCCATTTCCGTTGGTAAGCCCTTATATATTTAGCAGTGGAAAATAAAACAACAAATGTTATTCAGCAGAAAGATAAAAGCCCAATCTATGTAAAGTGAGACAGAAGAAATGGAAACATAGCATGTGGATTTTGCATGCTGAGCCTCATAAAATGCAAGCATGAATTTCCTCTCATAGTGAGTGTGGTCCAACATTAAACGAAGCATGGGGCATGATTATGAGAGATAAGATCAGTAGTTGGAGAACATACAGCAAGCTGTTTTACCCACATTGAATATAATTTCACTCTTCTGATCTATTAGGCCCTCTTGGTGCACATCTTTGTAGATTTTTGCTAGTTCTCAGGAATGCATTAAAAAACCCTACAGGCTATAACTAAAATTACTGAATATTTTTTAATGTCTCACATGTTGACAGTCCTGATTTTCGTTATATAAGAAATAACTATCGATAGTGCCATTTAAGTCCCTACTCTTTAGACTTGTGAATGCTAATGGCTGGGCTGTCGAACTTCAGCTTTTCCTGTAATCGTTATTCCTGGTTTCCTGTGGTGGATATGTATCGAACATAAGAAATTAGCTGCAGAGAGAATTAGAGGGTGTAAGTCTGAGTCATGTAAATGCCAAAAGCTTTTTGTGACATTTTTCAGACTTTAAAAATGGAAATATGTTATTTGCACAGTAGCTCCTGATGGAATATGACATACTGCAGCGATGTGGTGAGTTTAAGATTGGGCTGCAGGCCATTAGGAACCCTCTGTGTGAGAGCCTGGGGCCTGAGCGTAGAAATGGGAGTGAGCTACTTAGTAGATGCATGGCATTTGCTGACACACAGAAGAGAATCCTCGTTAGCTCAAGCACTGCTACTGAGAATTAAGAACTTGCTTGAACCTGTTATCCTAAGTATAATTTAGGAATATAATTTTCAAGCTTGATGTAACTTTTGTCTTTATTCCAGATGATGTTACATCATCGTCATTATATCAGCACATGAAAAAAAAAATAATAGGGCCAAGTACATACTTTAACTCTTATATTTCAATTAAGATTGAGCCCTTTAATTCAGTCAAAATAAGAAATCTTTCTAAATAGATTCTGTACCTTTGTTGTGTTTGAGAGGCATGGAGGGTGGTTGTGAAGGTGCATAGCAGAATTTTCTCTAGAGGACAACAGAGCACTCTCCTCAGTCATACTATCCCCTAACTCCTATTCCAACCCCTATTAGCTTTGGAGAAGAGCCTCTTGGGGAGGCAGAAACCGTCTCTGGTTTCACCTGGGGCTTTCAGGGTGGGTTGCCTCAGAGTTAATTTTCACTTCAGAGGATAGTCTTGCAACTCTTTGAGCCCACACTCCTGCTGAAAACAGGAGAGTGTGTGGGTATATCTTTTTTTTTCTTTCTGTTTTTTGAGGGTAAAGTAACTCAGTAATCTCATGCCGATTTTGGTATTTTACTGCCAGCTGTAATGGATGATCATAGGAAACAAGGTTGTTTAACCTTCCCTGATTTCTATTTTAGAAAAGTCAATGTAGTCTTCATTTGTTACTTTCATTCTACGTTCTCTTAAGGCCATCAGACCAGCTTCTGTACAGATTGCCTTGATGTCAGCACCAGAGAGGTCATCTTTAGCCATGATCAGGTCGTCCAGGGTTACATCATCAGCCAGCGTCATCCTGCTTGTGTGAATCTGAAAGATGCGCTTCTTCAAAAAATCTAAAGAAAATGTTCTTTATAAGAAACAGGAAGGCACCCCTGAGGGGCTGTATCTCTAATGAACCATGGCTGTCATCAGGAAAATGGTTGGGAGATTTCTCAATCCCTGAAAGGGATGAGGTTGGGGGAGTTGCCCAGAGGAATCCCTGTTCCCACTGATTTTTATTAGCAAAACATCCTGTGTCTTTTGGAGTACGATGTGTAAGTGCCCATTGGGTGGCCTGTTGGTCACTGTGCAGCAGTCTGCTCCCCAATAAAGCGTGCTCTTTCACAAACAAAAAAAAAAAAAAAAAAAAAAAAGAAAAGTCAATGTAAAGTTATTGAAAGATACAGATTTTGGGAAAATAGATGGATATATTCAGAAGAAGAGGAGATGGATGACCAAGAGAATTCCTGAAGGAAATTACCAAGTGCAATCTGGAAATAGATGAGTAGTGAAACAAAACAAAACAAGACAAAACAAAACAATCGCGGGGAGGGGGCTCTTTTTCCTTTTAAGAATGGCTTCTGGGAAGCTTCTGTCCAGACTTCTCCTCTGTGCACTCCCTTAAAGCAACGCTGCTCTTCCTTTTATATTGTCAGAGATGCCTGGTAACACCATGACACATTTTTCCCCTAGCTGCCATCCTCGATGATTACCTCTTCCTCTTCTCCCGCCAACTCATCACCAGCATGTGTTGGTTCATTGCAAATCTCTCCACTCCTTTTTGCTCTATTTCTACTGCCTTTGCTTGCCCTGGCCTTTATTTTATCTCAACTAGATTGGGCAGTTTTACCTGGTTTCTCAGCTTCTCGTCTCACTCCACATCTCTGTCTTCACTGTTCATGTAAGTATTTCTGGCGCTTTCCTCTCCCCCTTGTTTGGGAGAAGCACCATTATACTTAATACAGAGCACAGTAACGAGGTCTACATTTTGTGATTATGAAATATTAACATATATTTTACTCTCTCTACTGATGTCTAGGACCTTGCAAATATGTGTGAGTCTGTAAAAAGTAGTTCACCGCCTCCTAGGAGCCATAAAACCCTGCAGTCATGTCCTTTCTGCTCAGTTGCGGAATTATGTTTCTGTTGTCCACAGGAAAAAGTCTATATCAACAGTCAAAGCTATTCACAATGTAATCCTTCCTTAACTCTCTGGTTGACTTATCATTTCCCCCATCTACCACTGCCCAAAGGCCAAGCTAATGGTCTTATGACATCATGAATTTTCAGTCATTTTCACAACTCCATACTTTTTTCCAGTTAGTTCTCTCTTCCTGAAATCTTTCCTTATTTGACAAAAATCTAGTAACTCTCCAAGATTCCTCCTCAGTGTCATCTCTTCTATATGTTCTTGACTCTCAGGCTGAGTTAGGGTTTTCTCCCTGCCATCCTTTGCACTCTGATACATATTTACCTCTTTATACCATTGGCTTGCCTGTAATACTACAAAACCCTTCATGGCAGCAATTTTGTTTATTTATCCTTGGATTTCCAGCTTTTAAGCACTTTATGCTCCAAACAAAACAAAACAGACTATTGAAATAAATGAATAAATGCATTAAAAATGCAAACCCTAGGCCGGGCGCGGTGGCTCACGCCTGTAATCCCAGCACTTTGGGAGGCCGAGGTGGGCGGATCACGAGGTCAGGAGATCGAGAACATCCTGGCTATCACAATGAAACCCTGTCTCTACTAAAAATAAAAAAAAATTAGCCAGACATGGTGGCAGGCGCCTGTAGTCCCAGCTACTCGGGAGGCTGAGGCAGGAGAATGACGTGAACCCAGGAGGCGGAGCTTGCAGTGAGCCGAGATTGAGCCACTGCACTCCAGCCTGGGCTACAGAGCAAGACTCCGTCTCAAAAACGAAAGACAAAAAAACAAAAAAACTTCAACACCTAGCACCTCTTTGCATCAATTGTGAGAAGTAGTAGAAGTCCAATACATTGAGTATACTATACATTATCTATATAGAACATGATCCAGGGAGCAGTAAATTCATAAAATGAGTGTCTGCATTTTTCTTTGAACAGAATCTCATCTCACTTTGAGGTTTACTCATCAATGCCATTTAAAGAAACATTGTTCTGCTAACAATGTGCCACTTTATTGAATTTTATCAGAGAATTTCACTACAGGTTTAATTATTGTTCACCTCAGTGTCAGGCTGCTTTCCCTTTATTAACTAATCATCTATTGGCGCAGTGGGGTTCCTGTAGCTTCCAGGTTTCTCAAGATATGTCAAATCAGATTACCTGTCTTTATTTTACATAGTTTAAAATTTAAGTTTTTTCTAAACTCAGTGAGGAAACAATCTCCCACTGTTTAATGTATGTAAACTATACCAAGGTATGCATTTACATAACCTGAGCTGGCTTAGTCATTTGAGCTTTGTTAATTAGCTTTGGAAAAGAAAGTTAACTTAACCAGAGTACTAAATAGATGTATTAGAGGAACTTTTTATTTTTCCTTACAATACAGACTATTTTAGTGTTGTTACAATGATTTAACTTATAAATACCAGTCAGTTATAGAATACAGACCATGAACTAGCTTTTGCACACACTTCCATGACAACATCATAGTTCAGAATTTATTTTTGCTTCAGCAGCTAACAGATAGGAAGATTCTATAAACTGGGTTGGCCTTGAAGTAAAGTTATTTGTAAACCATTTTTGTTGATTCCAAATCGATATGCTGAGAATTATTTTTATAACGCCTAGCTTTCTAGAAGACTTTCATGTTGAAATCTTCTGAAACTTAAAGGTGAGGTATTTTGAAATATCACAAAGTGCCAAATGGCATAAAGTATGTCAAAAAGTATCTTGATTTTAAACCAGTTCAAAAGGAGTTCAGTGTTTTATGATCTTTTGGAGCATCCTTGAGCCCTCTAAGTTTAAAGTCTGTGAAGCCTAGTCATTTATGTGTCATAGATAATAAAGCTTTTTACCATTTAAAAAATATAAGTTTTTATATGCAGGCTCAATACATAGTTAATAGTGTTAGATCTTTTCTGTTAAGTCTATATGATTAGGAAAATTCTTTGCATGAATTTTGCAAGATCAAAAAGCCTAAAACTTATATAGTTTGCCCACATAAATGATATAAATTGGGGCAAACATAAGAGGAGAATTTGTGATTTCTCTCCATTCCCAGGATATTTCATTGCATTTAATAATAATTCATAATTTAATCCATAAATAATGGATAATTAGGAAATACTTTTCTCCACAGTTGTAGTAGTTATATCTTTTCTGATAGTTTTAGTATTACTATTTTTACTTTTACAACTTAGATAACATTTTTAATATAATTTCAATTTTTATAGTAAACTTATAAAGGAAGGCCAACCTAAATAGAAAATACACCTGGGTTATAAATCTACTCCAATTGTATTGGGATGTTGCTTGGCTTGATTTCCTCTTGAATCAGACTGGATTTAAGAATGAGAGAAGATATGAAGGCTGTATTTTATTCTTCATTTTGTTATTTGGTTATTTAACAATTTGCAGTTAATAGCTAAAAAAACTTTTCAGTTGTCTTATTGATGTGTGAATTTCCTTTTTCAGATCTTGACATATGTATCTTTTGGTCATTGCTTGTTAGTTTATTTGTAAGTATTTTTGTTTCAAAATGTCAATGAAAACTTGATTTCTACTTCTCCTTTTCATGTACACTCAAATCAATAAATGTCTGTACAAAGGTCTTGAGTTTACTAATAGTTTACAATATTAGTATTTTTTAAAAGTCAACCTTATTAAGATATAATTTTAAACAAATTTTAAAAGAAATCCTAATAAAGGTTCACAAATATGTACATACATATAACTTACCACTCCAATAAATGCATATAACATTTCTGTCACTCTAGAAGTTCTCTCCTGCTCCTTTGCAGTTTATCTTCACACTGCCTTCTACACCAGACAACTGAAGATCTGACTTGTAGCCCATTGATTAGTTTTGCCTCTTAGAACCTCATATAAATGGACTCAGAAAATGTTCTCATATCCTTCTGTTTCTGCCTTGTTTTACTTGACATAATTCACCTTTGTTTTATGTCTCAGAAAGTTTGTTTCTTTTTGTTGCTGAGTAGTATCCCATTATGAGACTGTACCAAAATTTACCCACTTAACTGCTCATGGACGTTGGAGCTGTTTCCATTTTTGGCCTATTATGACTAAAGCTGCTCTGAATATTCATGTACATGTCTTTCTTTTTTAAAAAAATTATTTTCAGTTTTCTTACATAACTATCTAGGAAGTGGAATTGCTGAGTTATATGTATGTTAAACTTTATAAGAAAATGCCAATTGTTCTTCAAATTGGTGGTACCATATCACAGTAATACTGTCGAGTTCCTCTTAGTCTACATCCCCATCCACACTTGCTTTTACTAGTTCTTTGAATATTAGACATTCTTGTTGGAATAAGAAAACACCAAATACTTTATTTTGCCTTCATGTTTTCTTCTCTGATGCTCTTTCCTTTTAAATGTAGATCCACATTTCTGACCTATATAAGTTTTGTTCTTCTGGAAGAACTTTTAACATTTCTTGCAGGGCATGTCTGCTAACGATGAATTCCCTCAGTTTTTGTTCATCTAAGAACAAGATTATCCTTTCAAGGATAATTTTGAAGGATAATTAGTTACTATTTTTCTTCAACACTGTAAGTATCTCTCTCCTCTCCGTTGCTGCTTGCGTGGTTTCTGATGAGAAGTCTGCTGTAATTCTTATCCTTGTTTTTTTTTTTTTAATTAAATGGGACAGATGATGTTTCATCCTCTGACTTCTTTCAAGATGGTCTGTCTTTAGTTTCCTGTAATTTGAATATGATACATCTAACTGTAGATTTTCTGGTGTTTATCCTGCTTGGTTATCTCTGAGCTTCCTGGGTTTATAATTTGGTAAATATTATTTTAGGAAAGCTTCTGGCCACTAGCAAAACATTTCTTCTACTTCACTCTTTCTTCTTCTTTTGGTGTTCTAAATACACAAAGGCTACATCTTTGAAATTCTTCCACAGTTCTTGGATGTTCTATTTTGGTTTTCCCCCTTTTTTATTCTGTTTTTCTCTTTGCACTTTGTTTGGGGAATGTTATTGAAACTCTTTTCAAGCTCACTAATTTTTTTTCTTAGCTCTGTCTAGTCTACTCATGAGTCCATCAAAGGCATTTTTTTTTATTTCAGTTACAGAGCTTTTGATTTCTACCATTTCCTTTTGATTCTTTCTTAGACTTCTCATCTCAATGCTAAAGTCAAATAAATGTCTTTCCCCCATGTGTAATAAGGTTCTGATAAAATATTTTTTACGATAGAGTAGGCATTTGTTATGGAGAACACCTTAGGTACATTTCACAATTATTACTTTACCCCTACCCCCTGCCAGAGCCAAAAGGACACCTTTCTGAGCTCTTCACCATAAAAATCTGGTGGGGTTCCTGGAATGAAAGTGTGAGGCCCTTTCTTAAGGCTGTCATTCTAAGGACTTTCTCAAACTCTTCCCTCCTCAGGCTCCAGAGGTTTGTTAAAATTATCATTTAAGTGTTTCTACCACTTTTGGGCTCCAGTGGCTTCTGCTCTAGGTAAAATGACCTCAGCTCTGACTCTCTGCATTTGGCCATCTCTCCAGATAGTGTGGTGACAGTTTGTTACCTCACTTCTCTGATGGGTCCAAGAAAATACATTAATTTTCAGTTTGTTCAACTTTTTGTGGTTGGTTAAGGATAGAAGTGAGGACTTGCAACCTCTTTCCTGTTTGAAATGAAACTAGAAATTCTGATTTTTGATCTTTATGATATCCTTGTTACTCTTTAGTATCAGGGCTATATTATACTCACAAAACAAATTGGTAAGTGTGCCTTCCTCTTTATTTTCTGCAGTATTTTGTGTAAGAGTGATATTTTGTCTTTCTCAAATACGTGGTAGAAATTACCAGTTAAACTATCTAAGCCATTATTTTTTGGAAAGGTTTTTTATTATAAATTTAAAAAACAGTAAATACAGAGCTTAGCAGATTTTTCTATTTTTTTCTTTTGTCAGTTTTTTTAATTCATTTAGTTTACTAGCATTAAGTCATTTATAATATTCCTTTATTGTCTGAATGTTCTGTAATAACAGCCACTATTTCATTCCTGCTATTGCTAATTTTATTTTTTTCTCATCAGTCTTTGTAAGGGGTTGTCAGTCTTCTTAATCTTTTAGAAGTCAACTTTTGGATTTGCTAATTTTCTCTCTGTCAATCATAGATTTCTATGCTTTGTTGCTTCCTTTTTGCTACTTGCTTTGGATATAATTGCTCTTTTTAAAACTTTTTTAAGGTGGAAAGTTACATAATTCATTTGATGTTTTTCTTCTTTTCTGATATTGGCATTGCAAGCTACAAATTTCCCTCTGAGAACTGTTTTAGCTGTATCCTACACATTTTGACATGTTTTGCTTATAGTATTACTCAGTTCAAAGTTCCCTTGTCATTTTTTCTACCCATTGATTATTTAGAAATATGTTGTTTGAATTCCAAAATATTTTAGAATTTTCTAGACATCTTTAAAAATTTAATTTCTAATTAATTTTTTTGTGGTCAGAGAACATACTTTATAAGATTTCAATTTTTTTGAAATCTATTAAGATTTATTTTATGGCCCAGTACATCCTTCATCTTGGTGAATGTTCCATTTGTGCTTGACAAAAATGTATTTTTTTCAGTCTTGTGTTGATGTCAATTAGATCAGAATGGCTGATAATATTTTTCACATCTTCTATATTTGTAGTTTTTGGTAAACTTGTTTTATCAGTAATTATGAAAGGGATATTAAACTCTCCAATTATGATGGTAGATTTGTCTGTTTCTCCCTTAAGATCCATCAGACTTTGCTTTGTATATTTCAGTGCTTTCTTATTGAGAGCATATTTTAGCTTGCTATGTATTCTGCTGAATTGATCCTTTTATTATTATACAGGGCTTCCCTGTATTTCTTGTAATACTCCTTGTCTTGAATAGTAGCTTGTCTCATTTTAATGCAGCCAGATCAGTTTGTTTTAATCTTACTGCTTTCATGGTATATATTTTCCACTTTTTACTTTTAGTGTCTTTGTGTCTATTTTTAATGTGTTTATATTTTTGAGAGCATATGGCTAGATTTTCCTTTTTAAAACCAACCATGCAATATCTACCTTTTAATTTGAGAGTTCAGTTCATCTACTTTCAATGTAAAATTATTGACACAGTTTAAGTCTATTCTCTCAACCTAGCCTTTTATTTGTTTCATTTGTTGTTTTTTTTTTCTCCCTTTGTGTTTTGATGTCTATTTTGGTTTAATTGAATATTTTCAGTGCTTCATTTATTTTTCTCTCACAGTTTTTTAGCTGGACTTCATGTTATTCTTTTTAGTCATTGCTATACTGTATATACTATCTACTTTGCCCTTTTTAGAGTCTATTTAGAATTAATATTTTACCATCCACAATTTGTATATTGCACATCACAAATGTAAGAATCTTACAACAGTACACTTACCATCTTTGTCTTTTGTGCCAATTTGTCAAATATTTTACATTGTCAAATATATTATCGATTTTACATTGGTTAAAAAGCAGTTTACAATTTTATTTTTTTTGCTTTAATGATTCACTTACTTTTTAAGAGATATTAAGGGAAGAAGAAAAGAAGGTAGTCATTTACATTTATTCACATACTTAGTGTCTTCTGGCTCCAGTATTTTCTGATGAGAAGTCAGCTATTATTTGTATTTTTTGTCCTCTATATATCATTTGTTGATTTTCTTTGCCTGCCATCTTTATCTTTGTTTTACAATAGTTTTACTATGATATACTTATTTGTGTGTGTGTTTTTTTTTTATTCTGGGTTTAGGAAGCTTCTTGTATCTGTAATTTGACTTTTTTTCCCATCAAATTGGAACAACTTCAACCATTATATATTGATATATGTATTTCATGCCTTTTTATTTATCTCCTCTTTTTCTGGGACTCTATCTGTAGATATATTTGACTAGTTGATACTTCCCCATAGGTTGTTAAAGACTGTTCATTTTTCTTCTGTTTTTCCTCTCTTATTCACATTGAATTATTTCAATCAAACTCTAATCAAATTTACTGACTCTTTCTTCTATAATCTCCAATCTGCTGTCAAAATCATTAAAATGAAATTTTCATTTCAGGCATTGTAGTTTTAAATTCCAGATTTCAGTTTTATTCTTCTTCTCCCCTTCCTTCCTTCTCTTTCTCCTCCTCCTGCATCTTCCTCATTTTCTTTCTCTTCTTCATTTTCTTTCTCTTCTTCATTTTCCCATCTCTTCACTCATAACTATATTTTCTTTTAAGTCTTTGAACATCTTTGTACTAGATGTCTTCTTCATTCCATCTATCTTGTGAGTTTTCCCATATCTTCACTCATTATGACTATATTTTCTTTTAAGTCTTTGAACATCTTTGTACCAGATATTCTAAAGTCATTTTCTGTTAATTCTAATATTTGAATTATCCTAGAGGTTTTTTTTTTTATTGACTGCTTTATTGCTATATGATGGGACATATTTTTATCCTCTTTTTTTTACATTTAAAAACATTTGGATTGATTTTGGACCACTGTGGGTGATATCATAAGTAATATGGGTTATATAATCTCTCTTAAATAGCATTTTGTTTTGGCAATTTAGTAAGTTACCAAGATGCTCCTATATCCTATCAAGGCTTGGCTTAGTGTTTTCTAAGGCATGGTCCGTACTCCTAAGATACAGATTTTCTAGTGTTTTACCTGAAGGCCTATACTCTTGATAAGTTATCTTGTCTTTGACTGGGCTAAAACTTAAGTGCCTCCACATACTATGTAACTGCTGTTATTTGTTGTTTGAGTCTCAATCCTGTAAGCACCATTCCCTGCTATATTTCATAATATAGCATATGTCTTATCACCATATGTACAGTCCATCCCTGGATCCAATGAGTCTACAAAGATTTCTGAGACCACTCTTCTTCCAAGCTCTATTCTCTCTAAAATCTCATCCTGTAAATTTCAGCTAATAAATTTCAGCAGCTCTGAACTGTGAACTTTGCCTCCTCAACTAATTGGGTCTGCCTTTTTCTACTACTGGTCTTCAATTCCTTATACTGCATTAAGAAATCGCCCCTGAGGAGAAAGCCGAGGTGATGATGAAACTCACCTCTTGTGTTTCCCTTCATTCAGAGATTACTGTCCTGTGCTACCAATTGCACTGTGACAGATAATAGTCATATCATGTATTTCATTCAGTTTTATAGTTGCTTACCATGTGTGGGCAAATCTGATAGAGGTTAGTCTTTCAATTTGAAAGTGGAAGTCCATGCTGTTATCTTTTAAAAAAGAGAATAACTTCTCATTCAGTGAAATCTGGAACTGAAATGTTTTGATTCCAGTCTTATACAAGGGGATGCACAGACATCATATATATTGCTAATAAACATTGCAACACTTGAGACAACTAAATAATGACACTTCACTTTCCTCAGATAAAGGTACAGGGAGAAGTAGAATATCCTCTATTTTGGCACCACGCATAGGCATTCTCCTCAAAACTTGTCCTGGACTTTGATGTCTATTGTCTCGTTTTGTTGGCTATAGGATCTAAATACAAAATGCAGCAGTGAGGAGCTAAAAGCAAATGGCAAATCTGGCAGGTTTACGTAATTTATAATTAAGTTTTTCTTTATAGGAAAACGTTAAGGGTTAAAAATTACATGGTATAAAATAACATTATATATTCCAACATATAATAAGAGACTTAACATCTAATATTGTCATGTGATATTAACAAAAATTACTAGACTTTAAAACATATCACATTTCACAGTATGAATAATAGTTGAAAGCATTTGGTCAAATTAATATGAGAATTTAAAATCTTACATTTCTTTTGTGAGTTTCTAACTTTTAGATTTAGTATTACCTAATTGGAGACTTTCAACACTAGATATATTTCATAGTAGTAGGTGTATAATTAACAAAGAGAAATAGACATGTGCTAAACACAGAATTTTACAAAGGATTTGGCATGGTTCATAGTGGCTATTTTTGAAAATGACAAAGCCCGTGTTTCCTCATTTAATCTCAAGTGAACACTGAAGCAGCTGGGTCTCATCCTCTTTTGGTAATCTTACAGATCCAAGAGTTTTTTTTTTTTTTTTTTTAGCTGCCACTCCTAAAGTTTCTGTGTTTTTTGTTCCCCCTCACTCACTCTGTTCCTTCAAAATGTTTCTACATATTTTCTTCTTATTGTGTTTGATACATAATGGAGACTGCAAAGTCTCTTTTCTTTTGCCTAGTATTATACAACAAAAAATTTTACCTTTAGATTAAATATGTTACTTGGCATCTCACTTTAAAAATATATCTTTCTATTTCTGTGTCCTATGAAATTATCTGCTGAGCTAATTCCTCCCCAACTTTGAGAGTTATGATTCCAAAAATCTCTATGGTTGGAGATCCAGTGGAAATTCTCCAGGCTTTATTTCATGGTAAACTTAAAGAGTCGTGTGTTTTGAGTGAAACTATGAAAGCTCACATGAATAGTTTTTTGTTTTTTTTTTTACTTTTTACCAGAGTAAAGCAATAAAGATATCATGTTATCTTGTATGTTAGTAACAGGTGTCCTGTACCATTAATATCCGTAAATCATTTGTTTGCTAAAATCAATACAGTCCTTCTCTTCTTTAACCAGATCATTTTGTAATTGTGTATTCCTCTATTCTTGTTAATATGCACACTAAGGAGTGTTTCTTTTTATGTTTGAAACTTCATGCAAATGGCCTATCAGCCTTTATAACTATGATCCGGGGTGACTGACTCCCTGTTCAAGTCACCTGTGGCCTCAGGCAGCTGGAGTTACTCATTATTTCCAGAGCTGGGAAAAGCTTTTCATGTATTCAGCATGATCTTCCACTCATTTTTACATCCTACTTCTCTTCTCCAACCCCTCTTCCCTCCCTTTCATATTATCTCCAGGAAAAATGACTCATGATTCACATATACATACTTGATTTTCACGTAAGAAGAATTTGAGCTTGGGAAGGATTTTATACATCTACTTGTCTCTATTGTTTAGAAGATTTAGGAAACATTTAATTTTGGAATAACTCATAAGATTTATGGTTACAGTGAACACATGATAGATGATCAATGGGTTTTTGTTTTATGAGTGAATAGTCAAAGTTTTAGCCACCCATGCATGCTATCCATTTCCTTATAGCTCTGTTTTAGTCATTGAATTTATCTTCCTTAATCCATACCTAAATCTTGCTTTTTCCAGAATTTTCATATATAGATTTCATTTGTTTTTGAGCTTTGGAAAACTTCGATAGGTGTTAAAATTTGAATGAAAATTCAACCATCCAAATAATGTAGCAAAACTTGAATGAAACATACTGTAATGGGGATTTCTGTAAATTATAATTATTTTAGAACTCATTGTTATTAGTTTTCTAAAACAGAAATTATGAAATGACATAGTATAATACTTGGATGATTCCCAGAATTTAGAGACAAGTCAAACAATTTTTCTACCTTAAACTGGTTTTAACAAAAGATTAAGAAAAACAATTGAGATTAGTTATTTGTGCAGCTTCATAGGAAGTATCTCATCCAGTTACAAACATGGACTGACTTTTCCTAGGAAGTCCGTGAAATTTCCAGACTGAGGGCCAATCTCCAGATTATAGTGGCTTTAACCAAGTTCAGCCACCTTGTGAGGCTAGCTTAAAATAACCTGGTAGTTTTTCAAAGCACTTTACATTTATTTAAAACTTATAATATTTTAGCTCCTAGTAATTTTTGTAGCAGTGTCTGTCAATAAGAGGTTGACACTGGTCATTACTCCAAAATGACTACATAATTGAGATGATATTGAGCAACCGATGAGGATGTATCAAATTAAATATTAAAATATTGGCCTTCAACTCCAAACTCACATATTCCACAGTATACTCCACATGTGTTTCTAACTTTACATATTCAAAATTTACATGTCCAAAATGAACTCCCCATCATACTCCCCCTTGCCCAAATCTGCACCTCCTACAGTATTCTTCACTTCTTATTCTGGAAAATTCTGGAAAAATTCACTTCTTATTCTCAAACATTAACAACATTCACAGCTCTTCTCTTTCTCTTATATCCCAAGTCCAACCAACTGCAAATCCTCTTGACTCTACTTTCTATCTGTCTGGAATCTGGCCTCCCTACTGTCACCACCATAGTCGAAATTGCTTCAGTTTTTGCCTAGATTATTGAAATAATCTCCTAAGTGATCTCTCTGCTTCTACCCTTGCTCCCCTCTAGCAGCCTGAGTGATCACGTTAAAAGATGTTTCACTTCATGTTCCTTCTCTACCAAAATCCTTTTATAGCTTCCTATATCACTGGTAATAAAAACCAAAGCTGTTTGTATGACTTATAAAGCTAGTATGATCTGACCTCTATGCCCTTTCTTTCCTCTTTGCTCTCATTTCTTTTTCTTTTCTTTTTCTTTTTTTTTTTTTTTGAGACAGAATGTCACTCTTGTTGCCCAGGCTGGGGTGCAATGACATTATCTTGGTTTGCTGCAACCTCCGCCTCCCAGGTTCAAGCGATTCTCCTGCCTCAGCCTCCTGAGTAGCTGGGATTACAGGTGTCTGCCACCATGCCCAGCTAATTTTTTATTTTTAGTAGAGATGGGGTTTCACTATGTTGGTTAGGCTGGTCTCGAGCTCCTGACCTCAGGTGATCCACCCGTCTTGGCCTCCCAAAGTGCTGGGATTACAGGCATGAGCCACCACGCCTGGTCTTTGGTTTCATTTCTAACTATTCTTTTCCTTATCACTTGGCTGCAGCTATCACAAATCTCCCTGTTGTCCCTTGAATATTCTAGCCACATTCCAGGTAAGCTCTTTTGCCTAGAATACTCTCCCCATCATAGCCACCGGTCTCTCTTGCTCACTTCTCTTTGGTCTTGTCACAAAAGTCACCATTTCAATGAAGTTTATCCTGATCACCTTATTGGAGATTGCAACCTCACACCTGCAACACTTTCTATTCTCTCAAATCTTTATTTTATTTTTCCTCCTTAACATATTATTATTCAATATTATTATTACTTTTTAATAATTGTAAACAATTATTACTATTTTTAACTTGTCTATTTTGTCAACTTCTAATCAGATTATAGGATTCATGAGGGCAGATAGTTCATTTTATGTTTTATTTACTTTTGTATTCCCAGAAAATTGCCTAGCAGAGAAGATGCTTAACATGTATTTGTTGAGAAAAGTTATTTATGGTTACTATGGTCTAGGCACTTTACCTTCATGATTGTAATTAATCTTCACAATTACATTAAAAGGTGATTACTAGCCCTCTCTTGCATTTTAGAGAACTGAGATGTAAACATATAATTTCCCCAAGATCACACAGCTTGTAAATGGCAAAGCTAGTATTTTAACTCAATTTGTTTAGTTCTGCATCAAGACTTCTACATCTCCATGATGCTCACTTTGTGGCAATCTTCATCCTAATAACCTAAAACTAGAGCAAAGTTAAGATAAAAAACTATAGTAGGAGAATTTTTTATAATGCACTGATGTGGTTTGGCTGTGTCCCCACCCAAATCTCATGTTGAATTCCCATGTGTTGTGGGAGGGGCCTGGTGGGAGTGATTGAATCTTGAGAGGAAGCCTTTCCAGTGCTGTTCTTGTGATAGTAATAAGTCTCACAAGATCTGATGGTTTTAAAAGGAGGAGTTCCCCTGCACAAGCTCTCTCTTTTGCCTGGTGCCATCCATGTAGGATGTGACTTACTCTTCCTTGCCTTCCACCATGATTGTGAGGCTTCCCCAGCCATGTGAAACTGTAAGTTCAAATAAACCTCTTTCTTTTGTAAATTTTCCAGTCTCAGGTGTGTCTTTATCGGCAGTGTGAAAATGGACTAATATGTGCACTTACACTTTTCAGTAGAATTTTAAGAGTAATTGTTCTAATTCTTTAATTCTGACTGTGCAAATGGCAAGACCTGTGAAGGATCTGAGATTTTACTATACTTGCAAGCTAACAACTTAGTCTACTAGAGTTTCATAGATGGGTGGAGAAGACATGAGAATACTGGGCCAGGAGTCACAGTAAGTCATTTGTTTTTTAGGCATAAACTTGGAGAGGTCTTTCTCAGATGTTAGGATATTTTAATAGCATATTAATGTCTGTGGTTTAAATGTAATAGGGAAGTCTAATGTCAGATTCATAGCTACACTATTGATATGGTTCGGCTCTGTGTCCCTACCCAAATCTCATGTCAAATTATAATCCCCAGTGTTGGAGGTGGGGCCTGGTGGGAGGTGTTTGGCTCATGCGGGAGGATTCTTATGGTTTAACATCATCCCTCTTGATGTTGTCATGGTGATAGTGAGTTATCATGAGATGCAGTTGTTTAAAAGTGTGTAGCACCTCCCTTCCTTCTGCTCCTGCTGTGTAAGGAACCTGTTCCTGCTTTGCCTTTCACCATGAGTAAAAGGTCCCTGAGACCTCCCCAGAAGCAGATTAAACCTCTTTTCTTTATAGAGTATCCAGTCTCAGGTGTTTCTTTATAGCATTGCAAGAATGAACTAATACAACTGTTCATAAGTAAGGGTTAAGAGGGCATTTGATATGTTTTGTAGGGTTTACAAACTTAGTTGGGTTCTTTGTTCGCAACTGACTCCTTAGGCAGAATTGTCCAAGACAGACTTTAAAATAATTAAAGGAGATAGCAAAATCAACATGTCTGAGCTAACAGTTTCATGCATTTAACTATTTTCTCCTCTGTAATAATGATTTGCTTGTTTTGTGATACATCAACTATTGCAGTTATATTATTCTTCAACACAGTTTAAGAAGAAGTTAAGATAAATCCTTTGGCCAGGATGATTTCAGTGTGCCCTGAGGTAAGGAAAATGTGAATACGCTTCCAGCTGAGTAAAGTATTAATTAACTTTGAAAAGGCATCTTTCCAGCATCCAGTAATATAAAATCTACATACTTTTAGAACTTTTCAAATTCAATGTATATAGTTATAATTATTTAATGATGTTGTCACTGTTTAAATGCTGTTCCCGCCAACAATGTTCAATATTTATTTTTAAGTGCATTGGTACATTTATACAAATGGCAATAATATTCAATAATGACAAAGTTTGAAGTAATGTCCTTGTGTACTCAGAGCACAAACAATAGAATGGGTCTCTAAAGTAGTCTTTGGACAGGAGTATGGCAGGAAGAGAGAATGAGTAACGGGAGAAGACAGTATTGTCCCATGGCTGTGGGTCATCTTTTATGGTAGTGTAGTTGACATAATTCTAAGCATATTTGCTCTTTTCTGCTTTAACAAAACATTTTATACAAAGAGTAAGTCCAAAGCCACGTTTAAGAATATTTATTGAGTCTAACTTTTACAGACAAAATTGAAGTTTTGAAAAGTATCAATACAAAGGATTCATTATGTGGATCTTGATTACAGTAATGTTAATCTAAGTGAGGTGTCTTAGTCAGTAGGGATGTTATAACAGAATACTTTGACTAGGTGGCTTATAAACAACAAAAATTTATTTCTCATGGCTCTGGAGGTTGGAAATTCGACATCAGGGTGCCAACATAGCTTGGTTCTGGTGAAGGCCCTCTTCCAGGTTGCAGACTGCTGACTTCTTGCTGTATTCTCACATGGTGGAAAGAGAGCCAAAGAGGTCCCTGGGTTCCCTTTTATAAGAGCACTAATCCTATGAAGACAGCACCTTCATCACCTAATTACCTCTCAGAGCCCCTGCCTTTGAATACCACCAAACTGGGAGTTAGGATTTCAACATGAATTTTGGGGGACACAGACATTCGGTCCATTACATGAGAGCTGTGATAAAGCTGGCAGACCAGCCAGGATCTTCATCCCATTTCCTCCTGGGGAGTGCCCTACTTTTAACACTATTCTTTATCATTGAAGTGATTCTTGTTTTCATTTTATGTTTTAAATAAGGCATGTGCATCTGCAAGTCTAAGGTATCATCTAGGTGCTTCAGAAGTTTCCCACAAATGGTTTCCTTGGTAATGCTATATACCATGTCTGATGTGGTATTCTTGGAAGAATGTAATTTTTAAGTAGTAAAAATTTATCATCCTGAACCTAAACTTACAGTTTTCAATTCTAAACCTAGTAAGTAGAATCCATGGATTGATTGCATTCAATTAAATATCATGCCCAGTGAGTGATCACCACACAAACTATCGTATTTTCTCTCTTTATTTCTCTTGCTTACCTAATGTAGATTTAAAAAAAACAAACATATAGTCTTAGTTGCCTTTTAGCTTTTTCTGACAAAAGTATATGATTGGAATTCAAATTTGTTAATAATTTGTGCCTTGTATGCTATTGAATTTGAAAACATTTATCTGATGTCTGAAAAATAGCTAGTGTAGTCATTTTCTGAAGACATTCTGCAACTCTTTCTTTGATCTTCAAGTCTGGCCAAAGATAGATCAATTATTTTTACTATTTGACAGGCTACTATTCTGCTGATCACTTTTTCAGCTCTCTAGATATAAAAAAATCTGCCTTTTCTGCTTAAAGTTTATCTATATTATGTATTTTTTTTTTTTTTTTTTGAGATGGAGTCTCGCTCTGCTGCCCAGGCTGGAGTGCAGTGGTACAATCTTGGCTCACTGCAAGCTCCGTCTCCCAGGTTCACACCATTCTCCTGCCTCAGCCTCCCGAATAGCTGGGACTAAAGGCGCCCGCCATCACGCCCAGCTAATATTTTGTATTTTTAGTAGAGACAGGGTTTTGCCGTGTTAGCCAGGATTGTCTCCATCTCCTGACCTCGTGATCCGCCCACCTCGGCCTCCCAAAGTGCTGGGATTACAGGTGTGAGCCACTGTGCCCGGCCTATTATGTTTTATCCTCTTTAATTCTCACCCCGTGTTTTGGATCTGCTCTGGTTGTAGTGGTCACAGTTTAGCTTATCAAATAGAATTCCTCATAAATGCTCTGTATCATTTGAGGTATATATATATATGTATGTATAGTCAACTGAATTTTAATATTTATTCTGTTTTTTATACATCAAAGACATATCATTTAATTATGTGAGAGAATATCTCCCCTGAAACCTTTTAAAATTTTTCTTTCCAAATTTATTTCTCCTGTGAACATGTTTAATCATTTTGTCAAGTTTTCTTTAAAAAATCACAAAAGGTTCATGAGTAAACTTGCATTAAGCTTATAAATTGAATAATAATTATCAAAAATTTATAAATTTTAGTCTTACAATTTGAAATTTTGTAAGAACATGATATCCAATAAATATCTGTCAAATCAATGCATAAATATGGGATTATTGGAATTAAACTAATTAGAAAATTTAGAAAAAGTTTTGGAAAAATCTTAGATCCTCACTTCAAATGTTCACATATTCTAGGTGAATTAAATATTTAAATAATAAAAACATGTCTTGCAAGAAAAGTTTGAAAGTAACAGAAGTTAATTTTATCAACCCTCTAAGGTAAGAGATAATTTCTAAGCAGGTAAAAGATAGAACTAGTGAGAGGAAATATTAGTAGGTCTGAAAAGCACACACAAAAAAACCCCTACCAAAATATCAAATCAAATCAAGTTGGAAAAACATAAGCAACAAATATGAGAAGTCAGAACTATAGTATAATTATCACATAAAGAATTTACTTATATATACATACCTCCTACATAAACACAAAAATTAAAAATTAAAACTTTACTTAAATTGACAAATGCTATAATAACATTGACTAAATGGTGAAATATAAGAATAGATCACAAATAAATTAAATTTATTGTGAATCGTTTTATGATCTGCCCTGGAAAATGTTTTATATATGCTTAAAACAATCTATGTTCTGGTGTTGTGGGATGGGGTGCTTTTAGTATTGGTTAGGCTATTCAAGTTGTTGTTCTAGGTTTTAAAATCTTCCATATTTACTGATTTTATATTTGGTAGTTTTATCAATGACTGAGAGTGTACTATTGAAATATCCAAATATAATTGTTGAATTGTCTATTTTCCTTTCAATTCTGTCAGTTTAGGCTTCATGTACTTCTGGGGACCTTTTTTATAGATGTGTTTACATTTATAATTACTTTTTCTTTCTGATGCATGGACCCCTTTGACATTATGAAGTGTATCTTTTCAAGACTTATTTATTTATATTCATATATAATAGCTGTACATATTTTTGCAGAGCATGTGATAATTTGATGTACTCATATAATCAAATCAGAGTAATTGGGATACCTATTGCCTTAAATGCTTATCTTTTCTTTATACTAGGTACATTTGAATTATTATCTTCTAGATATTTAGAAATGTACAATCTATTAATGTTAACTGTGGTCACTCTACTGATCTGTCAAATACCAGGTCTTATTTCTTCTATCTAAGTGTGTATTTGTGCTTATAAATAAACCTCTCTTCATCTCCTCCCTCCCCCTACTGTTCATAGCCTCCCTTTATTTCTAATAATTTTTTTGCCCTAGTGTCCATTTTTGTCTGGTGTTAATATAATCACACTAGCTCTTTTATGGTTTCTGTTTGCATGGTAGATGTTTCTTCATCTTCGTACTTTTATCTATTTTGTACATTTGAAATTGAAATGTTTCGCTTGTAGGTAGCATAAAGTTGGGTCTTGCTTTCTTATTCAGTCTAAAAATTTCTGCCTTTTGATGGAAGTACTTAACCCATTCACAATAAATGTAGTTTTTGGCTTTTAGCAATTAAACTGTGATATATCTAGGTATACGTCGCTTTGTGTTTATCCTACTTAGAGTTTTTTTGAGCTTCTTGATTCTGTTTCTTAATATTCTTTATCAAATTTGGGATGTTTAGATCATTATTTCTTTGATGATTTTTCTCCTGCCTTTTCCTCTCCTCTCCTGCTGGGACATCCATTGTTCATATGTTGGTATGTTTGATGTTGGCCCACAGTTCTCTCAAGAACCGTTCCTTTTTCTTTAATCCTTTTTCTCTCTCTTCTTCAGATTGTGTACTTTCTATTGATTTAACTTCAAGTTCACTGAATTTTTCTTGTTATTTCAATTCTGCTTTTTAGCCCATCTTCTGGGGGAACTGGAGCAGCTCAAGAGACTCCTACCATTCTTACCTAGAGTTACAGAAATTCTTCACGAATAAGCATCTCTGTTTGTTGTTTGATCACTTTTCAGAAGTTTCTTAAAAGGTTGTTTTTGAAAATATTGCCCAGTTTTATTTTATTTTATTTTATTTTATTTTATTTTATTTTATTTTATTTTATTTTATTTTATTTGTGGGGAGGATTCACTGACCACTTCATGTTACCATAGCCAGAAGTCCTATCCAAATAATTTATTAAATATAATTGCTTAGCATGTATGTTTAAAATAGTTTAATTATACTATTTTTAAAAAGTAATTAAAGTGTTAATGAAATATTGTTTTGTCTATAAAATCAGCAAGTATTGATAACTTATAAATACTGGATGCTGGCAAGAATTCAGGAACGTTAGTGTTCCCATGAGTTTTTGGTTGCAATGTAATATCAAAAAAATTTATTTTCTATTTTACCAAATTTTCCCCCTGAACCTAATTTCATAAAATGGTTTAAAATTGTTTTTTGACTTTAAAATGTTAATACGAGCACATTATAGTATTCAAAAAATAATTTAATAGAGTATATAGTAAAAAGTAAGTCTCTTTCCCTAGAAGGAATTATGGTTATCTCTTCCTTATAAATAATTCCAGAGATATCTATGTATATACAAGCTTGAGTCTGCAAACTGTAACCTCTTAAAAAATAAAGATGCGTATATTCAATATACAATTTTATCTAGCTTGCTTCTATCATTAACAAAATAAGTTGATAGTCATATCTTATCAGTATATAGAGGTACACTGTAGCAAATCTTTACAATTTAAATATCAAAAAATTATAGAATATCAGTTTTTTTCTTTATAACTTCCCACTTTTTTGTACTTTAAAACATTTCTATAATGGATATTTATTGGCTTTATAATTATAAAATAGATACCATTTAAAAATATGTATAACCTTTAACTCATTAATTTTACCTCTACAAATATTTTCTACAAAATGATTTCAAATGTGAAAAATGATTATTCACAAAAAAGGTATAACTGAATGTATATCAAAATAGGGTTTATCTAAATATCTAAATATGTTGATTAAGTATAATATGGCTCATTCATTTGAAAGATATTTAAACTTCCACCAAAATGATAATAATGTTTAATATTTTATCGAGTACTGTTATTTCATGCTACATGCTATTTTAAGATCTTTAGTATTATCACTTTCATTATAAGAATAATTCTGTGAGATAGGCACTTTTATTTTTCTTCATTTTATAGGTGAGCAAACTAAAGCATGAAGAAGTTGAGTAACTTGCCCAATGAAAAGTTTATAATAATATGCAAAAATACTTATTTTTATCTTGTCTTAGTTCAGGCTCCCCAGGAAAGGGATTTTGAAGATATGCAGGAAGAGGGGTGATTTGGAGGTGAACACAAGAGGGAAAGCAGAGGAAGTAGGGTTGGGATGAGAGGAGACTTAAGATGTGATGAAGATGTGATGTGGTTACAGAGAAAGTCTCAGCAGACCCTACATGGAGCTCTGGAGCTGGATTGATCCTTCAGAATTGTCTTGAACTGAAGTAAGCTGACTGGACCTTTACACCTTTGTTTTGAACAGTCATCAGTGAAGGGTTGTGACAGGAGAGGAAGGGGTGTGATTTTGGTGAGCTAGCTCTCTTTGCGAGCAGTTCTCTGAGAGTGCCTCAGGTGAGAGTACCACCGGCCACCTCTCCTAGCATTTGAGGAAATGAGTGCCTCAGACCTGTAGGAGGGATTTGGGTGTTGCACATGGCCACCCAGATCTCATATAAAAATAATGCATTGTAAATCCATGATATAGTTTGGCTGTGTCCCCACCCAAATCTCATCTTGAATTCCCATGTGTTGTGGGAGGGACCTAGCAGGAGGTAATTGAGTAATGGAGGCAGGTCTTTCCCATGCTGTTCTCGTGATAGTGAATAAGTCTCATGAGATCTGATGATATCGTAAGGAGGAGTTTCCCTGCCCAATCTCTCTCTTTGCCTGCTGCCATCCACGTAAGATGTGACTTGTTCCTCCTTGCCTTCTGCCATGATTTTGAGGCTTCCCCAGCCATGGGGAACTGTAAGTCCATTAAACCTCTTTCTTTTGTAAATTGTTCTGTCTTGGGGATGTCTTTATCAGCACCGTGAAAATGGACTGATACAATCCATATCAGGTAAAATTACAAATATTTATACATGTATATATACATATATATTTTCACTAATATGGCTGCATGACACATGCATCCATACGTATACATATAAGCAAACACACACACATATATAAGTTTGTAAGCATATGTATACATGTGCTTAAAATGAAAAGAAAGCATACCTCCATGGTAGGAAACAAGTACTTTTTTTTCAAATTTAAATTACCTCTTTTATAAGTAGAGACACTTTATTTTAAAATAACAAATGACTCTCAAAACTTTCTTTAAGTGAATTGAAAATATTCCAGGTGTGTAAGATTTTTCTAATGTACATATTGGTATATATAAGACAAAAGTTATATCAATGGAAAGGAGTTCATAGTTTAAAAAGACTATTAATTCCATATTTGCATAAGAGGGATAACTATAGTCATGTCAGTTAGTTATAATATATGTACTTATGAAAGTTTCATAAAATAAAATATAACTTTCTTATTACTATTAGGAAGTTCTGTAATTAGAAGAGCCCTTTTCAGCAAAAAACTTCAAAGACAAAATACACTCACACTTAGGTAATATGAAGTATTTGACCATATGTAATTTATTTCTTGAGCTAATCTAATATACTTTTTAAAATTTCAGCTTTCATCTCCTCATTTTTGCACTCCTTTTTCTATTACAAAAGTGGAGAAAGTCAAGAAAAGAAATGAAAAAAACAAACAAACAAACAAAAAAAAACCAAACCTGTAGTCAGAGAGGATAAAATCATCTAGATTGATGATGGGAATGGCTGCTTCTGGGCGTGTCAAGAGTACAATTTAGCTCAGCCTCTGGGCAGCTTTCAATATTCCTGACCAGCACCAAGGTGCCAGTTGCAGATTGCATTTGGCTATTGCAAAGATCATTTCCACAAATATAAACTGGCCTTTTACAATTTTCTCATCTTTGCTCTGAGCCCTCTCTCTTGTGCTCTGCTCTTAGGAGACCCAATATCAATTTGACACAGTCACTTTAGGCACTCTTTTCTTGTATTCTTCTTGGTGTTTTTAAAGCCAATGCTTCCTTCCAATGCACTTTATTTTCTCCATGTCATTGCTGTGCTCGGCACCTTTGATTGGGAATCCAGGAGAATAGGCTAGGACTTATTGATCTGACCTCTCAAGACAATACTTAAGCAGTATCTCAAAGGGACATATGTGGTGAGAACATGAATGTCTCTAAAATTACTTTCCTAGGTAGGAATTTATTATATTTTTGGACATCTAGCATCTAAATTTTTGTGGCATTTTTATGATTAGGAATGGCTGCACTTTAGGAGGCTTGAAGGGGCATTTTAGCTTATGGGAGCTGAAAATGCTACAGCACAGACATTTGACCTGTCAAACAGATCCACCTGTGACAGACTAAGAGTTAGTGTCACGAGAACAAAGGGAGGGAGAGTTCACACTTGCCTTTTGGTGGTGAGAGCAGTGGTGTGGACTGAATGGGCTTCCAGAGGCCGAGTGACATCAGAGTGGCGGTAGAGGTAGTTGTTGGGTTCATTAGCGTTCTGCCTTTGAGACACAAAGGGGCCAGGATTATGCTTCCTGGCCCCTTTGTTGTTGGGTGGAGACAGGTGACTAGTACTGACTAATGGACTGTGAGTGAAAGTGATGGTGTTATTTCTGGCTCAGAGTGTTCAATAACTGAATTGAACAGTTCAAGACTGTTCAATAACTGAGACCCTTTGGAACTCTTGCCTTCTGCCTCAGTGAACAGTAAAATTAGAACAGTAGAACCCAGATAGTGGCTTCTATCAGCCTGGGACCCAGAGTGGGGATAATAAAGCACAGAGTTGGCTGCAGTCTGTGGTGAGCAAGTGGTGTCAGTGAGAAGCAGCTTTTGCTCCTTTTTTTTTTTTTTTTAAATATATGAAGTCTTGCTATATTGCCCAGGGTTCCCTTGAACTCCTGGCCTCAAGTGATCCTCCTGCCTCAACCTCCTGAGTAGCTGTGAACACGGGGCCTCACTATGTTACAAAGGGTGGTCTTGACCTCCTGGCCTCAAGTAATCCTCCCACCTTGGCATCCCTAAGTGCTGGGACTACAGGTACATGCCACTGAACCAGGGGCTGCTCCTTTAAGCCAGTGTACAGTCTCAGTTGTCATGCCTTATCTCTGGCCACAACAGCAGTGCGCTCAGTGTAAAAGTGGCAGCAGAGCTGATCAGTGTTGGGCCAGCATTCTTATCCATTCAGTGTTGGAGCATGGTTTTGTGCTGTTTCCAGAATACAGTCTTTAGCCTGGTTCTTCATTCTTTCCAATATTTCTGTGAATCACATGGCATCCTCTTAGTAGACTCTATTTTGGCTTATACAGCGAGAGCCAGCACAACTCTGTCCAATACAATTTCCAAATCGCTTGAGGTTTTTTTTTTGTTTGTTTGTTTTATCTTGCTATGACTTTCTTGCTCATAAATTTGTATAACATCTTTGGAAGCTATTAATTTTTGAAATCTAAGTCGCCTTTCAAGAGTGTCAAATTTCATAAATTTAGTAAATGTATGAAAAATGTGTGGACTATTTTTCCACAAATTCATTACTTTCAAGTTCCAAGGGTTTATCTTAATTCTTATACAGTTGAATCTGGCCCAAGTGTCCAATAGAACTGACATTTGTGGTTTCTTTTGAATAATCATAGAAATTGGTCCTCCCAATCTTAAAACTGGAAAAAGTTACATTTGTCTTATCTGAGTTCCCTTCTCAGAAAACCAACCATCAGTCTTCCCAGATAGTATCAAGGAACTGAAACTTACCAGATCACCGCACTTGGACATTGAGACGCCAGACCTCTTACCTGTCCTTATTGCCTAACTAACCACCTGCTTCCTATTGATCAACTCCCCTTCCTTACCCTTCTCTAATTCATGTTTTCCCACACATGGTTACGTTTGTTCCCTGCTATATAATTAAGCTTCTAATTTTAGTCAGTTGAGGAGATGGGTTTAAGACTGATCTCCTGTCTCTTTGGATGTAGCACCCGAATAAAGTCTTTTTCCCTGGTAATACTTGCTGTCTTGGTGATTGGCTTTCTGTGTGGTAAGCAACAGGACCTAGATCAAATCCCTGGTATTTTGGTAACACAGTAACATTCGATGTAGAAATATATGTTTACCTGTTTTCCTTACTTATGCTATTAACCTCAGTGATATTCCTTCTTACTCTTTGCCATCCAGATTGAACCACCCTGATCTTATTAAAGTGACCATTTCAGACAACAGTTCTTAATAGCTCCATGAGATTCTAGGACTGTGTCTACCACTACAAAATCAAGTCCACCCACTGTTCTTCCTTATGCCCCACAGTCAGCCAGGAGTTTGCAGGCTGCAGGCAAGCACACAGCATACCTCCTCATTGGTGCCAAGCTCTGAAAAGTGAAGTTTGGATTAGATAATCTGTTCTGTTCCTTCCAGCTCTAAAGTTCCAGGATATTGTTCTTTCCTAAGTAACAATTGGTATTTCAGAACTCATCCTACTGTAAACAGTCTTGTGGGCTTTTTATTTTATCTTACTACCTTTGTTCATTTTGAAATGAACCTTGGGCCTTGGATGCTTTCTTAGTATAGCAGAGCTCTTGAATCTTGGCACAACTGACATTTGTGGCTGGTAATTCTTTGTTGCAGGGATGAGGACTTTCTTGTTCATGGTAAGTGGGGCCAGGAATAGTCAGCAGCATCTCTGTCCCCACTAGATGCTAGTAGTATCCACTGAATCGTAATGACCAAAATGTCTCTAGACGTTGCCAAATATCCCCTGAGGGCAAAATTATCCCCAGATGAAATCATCACTGCATTAGAGTATCTCCATGTGCATGGGATTTTACTTTCAAAAATAGCTGTTTCATTTTCAAACTTGTGAATTTCATTCGGTAATGCCTCTTTTAGATAATTCATAGGGATATTAACATTAATTCCCAGTACAGGAAATAGCAACATAATCTCTCATTTCAATTACCACTGAACTTTTATCATTATGGGAATGCAGTCATGGGCTACATATAAACATTTACCATTCTCAAGACTGAGTATCATGTCATTCTGTTTCCATTTCAAACATTTGCAGGAAACCCTTTTATAGAACTTTCACAGTTTGAAATTACTTTAAATCCCAAATAACAAAGGTGAGCTAATTCTCTTTTTTCTTTTTCTCCCTTCAAAGAAAATACAATATTCTGACTGAGAGGTTTAAATGTTTTAAAGTGTCCTCTCTGTAGAGAGTAAGAGGAATTAAGATTGGATTATTCTGTGTTTTTAATGACCACACCACTGTTGGTGATAAAAGCTCCCTTGTCAGAAGAACTTATTTATTGCTTTCCCGTGTTTTTCTGCTTGTACCCTTTGACCTGGAGGCCACTTGGCATTCAAAGTGAAATGCTAGCAAGGGCCCAGAATGACAGCTGACAGATTTGTTTAGGTGGGAGTGCACTTGCACACGTGTGTGTGCGTGTGCTCACACACGTGCGTACATGCATGTGTGTAATTCCCCATACATCTAGTCATCAAGCACTTTTTTTTCTTTTGGTGTGGAGGACAGATGTCCATTCTGATAATCTTTACTGATAACCCTGTGACTACAAATTGACTTACTACCTATGATAAAGTAAAAATGAGGCCAAGTCAGATAAAGAGGAAATGAAATAGAGTCTGCAGAGAAGAAAAATGAGTATGAAGTCAATAGGTGAGAAAGAAGGCTGCAGCACAGTGATTCAGGATTATTTGATCAATGCAGGGGAAAATGCAGGGGGAAATAGCAGGCAACCCAGTTGTTTAGTACGCTATCTACAAATCAGTCAGATAGCTGTCTGTGAAATGATTAGCTATTTCAGTGTTGAGCGGGTAATGCTCTAGAGAGAAAAGCAGGAGATGTGAATGAACCAAAGCAACTCGGGTCACAAGACAGTTGTGTGGATAGATGCTATTTGGGCCAGCCACCTACTCATAACAAAAATAGCATGAGACTAGGATTTTAACATTTTTTTTTTTTTTTGGTATCAGCACTAACCTTCACTGTTATGTACATTTTGAATAACTTTTAGAATAAACAGTCAATTGAAGGGAGTGCAAAGGCAAAGACAAAAGAGGCAAGAATTCCTTAAAAATATAAGCATGGGTTTGAAAATGAATGGGAAGGCAGATGTCAGAAGAAAGAGGGTGCTTGACTAGAGTGGTTACTCTGCAGCAGACAGATGATTGGGATTGCTTTGAGGCCTGAGTATCACTGATAGTTACCCCTTTTAGTCTTCTTAAGGTCTTTGTCATCATCTTTTAAAAGTGGTATTTGCCTTCTTTCAAGTCCAGCTCAGAAATATATTTTAATTAAACTTATTATTTTGTGATGTCAAACTAAGAAAGAGCTGCTTTATTTTGGCTTCTCATGAGTTTTGAAATATTTTCATCATATGCCTGAAGATATGTTTTACACAGCAGGTGTTAGGGATCCAATGAGGTCTGTTGGACAAATGATTCATAAATATCTGTTCCCATGCTGTACAATAGTTGAATAGAATCACACAGATGGAGCCACCCTATTCTATTGAGGAAGTGGTATGTGTTTTTGTAAAAACTGTGATACACATGGTTTTTAGCCAAGGAGCCAGACTCTGAGAAAGTTTTTGGAATAATTTACTTATGTTGTACTGATTTGTGCAGTGGGAGTGTGATGTAAATATACCCTTATTGCATATTACAGAAAGGCCTAGGAGGGTCTTAATAAAAGAAACGTGAGGCATCTCAAGGGAACTATGACAAGAATATAGATAAAATGAATGCTATTGATGAAAAGCTGTTATATTTTTTAAAGTGATGAAGATTAAGAAGTGAGCTTGAGTTCTTTGGTGAAGAATATGTTTTAAACCAAATAGAGAGTGATTAAAGAGTAGCTTTTGATTCCAACATATTCTGTTTTGTTACAAATGTCATACTGGTGAGCAGGAAATATAGCTGTTTCCTGAAGGCCTGGGAGTTAGGGCTGTCTAGGGCTTTTCTTAATCACGTTTCTGCTAAAAATTAGTAACTGAAATGACAAGGTTTTAAAATTCATGCATTGCATCTCATGAAGCATCTTTCTGATATTTTGATGGTATATTCAGGATGCATGAAAGACCTGCCCCACTATTCACTTGAAAACACCCTTTTGTTTGTCTCTACATTTCCCTGGGTATTTCATCTTCATGCAGCCATTCACGATGATGGGGGATTAGTGAAGAGACCCAAAGCGGCTGATTTGTGAAAGACTTTGAATTCTAGGAGGAGCAGTTCAGATCTTATTCTATATGCATAAGGGACACACTGACTATACGTGAGTTTTATCCACACTTAATTGGTTAGCAGAGGGACAGAAATCAGAAAATAAATTCAAAGACGTTTCATAGCAGCATGAGAAGAGGCAGGAATGTGGAGAGAAAGAGGAGTGTTGTAGATCCTTATTCTTCTTAATAAAAAGGCTATGAAATCATCTGCTATAGAGAGAGCCAAGAATGAAATACATTGGCATGGCATTTTCCTGAATAACTTATTGTTGGATGACTTTTCTTGGTTAATTGCGCTTCTTCTTGGTTAATTGTGTTCTGTTAGCTTGAAAGTAAAGGCCAATAAAAGAATAAAGCACAGTTCCCACTGAGCACAGGTGAAGGCAAGCCTTTGATTAGTGACTATAACTCTAGCTTAAGTGTTTGTCACTATTTTTGACTTGCTTGCTGGATTCATAATTTACATGAAAATGGCTAATAGGTGTGCAGCTGCTGGGTTCTTCAACTGGCCACTTGATGTTTTTGGAAGCTTCGTTTCAGTGAATTCTGGAAATGCTTCTTCTATCCTCCCGCCTTCTGACTTTCTACTTCAGCTGCCTGTATAATTACTTGCTTAGAACTAGCTTGCTGTTTGTGGTTTAAGTGGTCCAAAGTAGTACGCTCATTCTGATGGTATTGGTGGGATTTTACTTATTGGTGACATTCATTTCTGTTCAGTAGGTCTTTACGTGAAAGTGATGACATTTCTTTTCTCTTTTTTTTTTTTTTTTTTTGAGACGGAGTCTCGCTCCGTTGCTCAGGCTGGAGTGCAGTGGCGCGATTTCGGCTCACTGCAAGCTCCGCCTCCCGGGTTCACGCCATTCTCCTGCCTCAGCCTCCCGAGTAGCTGGGACTACAGGCGCTCGCCACCTCGCCCGGCTAATTTTGTTTTGTATTTTCAGTAGAGACGGAGTTTCACCATGTTAGCCAGGATTGTCTCGATCTCCTGACCTCGTGATCCACCCGCTTCGGCCTCCCAAAGTGCTGGGATTATAGGCGTGACCCACCGCGCCCGGCCGACATTTCTTAAGAAGTTGTTCATAGCTCATCTCTTTTGTACATGAAGAAAATACATATACATAAGTGTCTGTCTCTAAGGGAGAGAGAGAGAGAGAGTAGAGAATACTCTGATGGGCTTTCTTGTGGGTCTATACACAAATTGATTAAACACCTGAGTGTTCTGATGACATTTCAATCAGATTTTTTCTTTATATCTTCATGCTTAGTTTTAGGTATTGCTTTGGCCTGGAAAAGTTAATATTTTTTCCAGAGGGGTCTGACTTAGAAACGGATGCCCCTTAGAGCACATGGGAATCAGACTCAATAGGAGATACGCCCTTATCCCTCTATATTTTTTCCTTATATATGGGAACAGGAACAAATATTTTTATACAACCTAAGGATCAGCTGCCACTCCAATTTTTGAGAAAAACATCCTCAGGTTTGTGTGACATGCAACTGTTGAACTAGAATTGCTACTAATGTTGCCTTAAGCAATAAAAGATTTGATGTGGATGAAAATTATGTACCCATGAAATCATGTATTAGTCAGACATATTTCCCTCTGTGTTTAGTTATCAGGCCAAATGCACATCACTAATATTTTAGAATTTAAAACAATATAAATAAATCTCAACATGTATAGTGAAAGCAAATATATTCATGTGTTATTAATTATAATTGGCCCTATGTAGTGTAGGAGGCAGGGCAAGAGTAAAACAGAAATCAAATATGAAACATGCACTTTTTGCCTGAGTGACTGGAAGAATAACAGTTCCACTTAATGAGATAAGGAAATACAGGGGAGGAGAGGTTGGTGTGAGAATAACCAGGAGTTTAATGTTGAACATTTTAATTTTGTTACGCTTATTAAGTGACTATGTGAAATATATGATGAGATATATGAAGTTCAACTTGATAAAGGCCTGGATGATTATTTACCAGGAAATTTTTTATTACCTTGACTCAATATTCTTCAATTAACAACTGAACAGGATTCAGGGTTGAGTACCAGTCTGAGGCATCCATTTTGCCATTGTCAGCATATAATTGTATTTAAAGTCAAGAGTCTAAGTGATCTAACTAACGGTGAGAATGTGAGGAGAGAAGAGATGCAAAAAAGTACAAGGTCTAAGTACTGGGACATACTAATTTTCAGAATTCTGGAAAATGAGGATAATCTCTGTCTTCATCTCTATCATCATCTCATCTCTGTATCAGTATGAACATATACATCTATATCTGTAGCCATATCTATGTTCTTAGCCTCTTTTCTATATCTACATGTAAAGCTACATCTATATCCACATCCACATCTAGACACACACACATATTTAGTACAATGTATGTAAAAATATTAAATATTAGGCTATTTGTGTTTTCAACTTAATAATACTCCTTTGAGATCATTCCTTGTCATCGTATCCAGCTTCACCTTATTCTTTTCTAGTAGTGTCATGGTGTGTATTGTTTTGAAATTCCATAGTTTGAGTAAACAATTCCTCACTAATGGACATCTAGTTTATTTCTATTTTGATTATTGTCATTACGAACAGAGCTCCAGGGAACATCCTTGCCTCTACATTAGTGTACTTTTTTTTTTTTTTTGAGACAAAGTCTCACAGTCTCACTCAAAGACAAAATGTTGCCCAGGCTATAGTGCAGTGGGGTGATCTTGGCTCACTGCAACCTCTGCCTCCCAGATTCAAGCGAGTCTCCCACCTCAGCCTCCCGAGTAGTTCAGATTGCAGGCACGTGCCACCAAACCCGGCTAATGTTTTGTATTTTTAGTAGCAATGGGGTTTCACCATGTTGGCCAGGCTGGTCTTGGACTCCTGACCTCAGGTGATCCACCCACCTCAGCCTCCCAAAGTGCTGGGATTACAGGCATGAGCTACCATGCTCAGCTCAGTATACTCTTATGTATGGACATCAGTAGGATGAATTTCAATAGATGAATTTCTGGGTCAAAAATATATGCATGTTTACATTTGATAGAAATCACCAAAGTGCTTTGTCAAAAGTTACCTTCTTATTAATACTGCATGAGTTTTGTTAAAGGTTACTCTTAAGTTGAGTGATTGTTATGTAAACTGTTTGATTTGTGTAAAATCAGAATAGTGACTGACACAGTCAGAGAGAACTAAGTTTTGATTGGTGCCAAAAGAGGGTTGGGAAAGTCTTCACAGACATAAAGCCCAGGCATACCTGTGTGATTATGGTTTCTGGCTCCATGAATGCCCAAATCAAGGCAGAACTTTATATGTGATGTGGTGAACTCTTCAATCTGAAATTTCTTTTCTTTTTTTTCTTTACTTCTTCTAAAAAAACAATAAAGGCCAGGCGCAGTGGCTCACACCTGTAATCCCAGCACTTTGGGAGGCTGAGGCGGCTGGATCACAAGGTCAAGAGATTGAGACCATCCTGGCTAACATGGTGAAACCCTGTCTCTATTTAAAAATGGAAAAAATTAGCAGGTTGCGGTGGTGGGCACCTGTAGTCCCAGCTACTCAGGAGGCTGAGGCAGGAGAATGGCATGAACCCGGGAGGCAGAGCTTGCAGTGAGCCGAGATCACGCCACTGCACTGCAGCCTGGGCAACGGAGAAAGACTCCATCTCAAAAAAAATAAATAAATAAATAATAAATAAATAAAATAAAAAACTGGATACCTGTGCAGAACGTGCCATGGTGGTTTGCTGCACCTATTAACCTGTCCTCTAAGTTCCCTCCCCTCACCCCCCACCCCTCAACAGACCCTGGTGTGTGTTGTTCCCCTCTCTGTGTCCATGTGCTCTCAATGCTTAACTCCCACTTATGAGTGAGAACATGTGGTGTTTGGTTTTCTGTTCCTATGTTAGTTTGCTGAGGGTGATGGCTTCCAGCTTCATCCATGTCACTGCAAAGGACATGATCTCATTCCTTTTTAAGGCTACATAGTATTCCATGGTGTATAGGTGCCACATTTTCTTTATCCAGTCTATCATTGATGGGCATTTGGGTTGGTTCCAAGTCTTTGCTATTGTAAATAATGCTGCAATAAACATACATGTGCATGTGTCTTTATGGTAAAATGATTTATAATCTTTTGGGTATATACCCAATAATAGGATTGCCGGGTCAAATGGTACTTCTGGTTCTAGATCCTTAAGGAATCACCATACTGTTTCCACAATGGTTGAACTAGTTTACATTCCCAACAACAGTGTAAAAAATTTCCTAATTCTCCACAGCCTTGCCAGCATCTATTGCTTCTTGACTTTTTAATAATTGCCATTCTGACTGGTGTGAGGTGGTATCTTATTGTGGTTTTGATTTGCATTTCTCTGATGATCAGTGATGTTGAGCTTTTTTTCATATGCTCGTTGGCCATGTAAATGTCTTCTTTTGAGAAGTGTCTTTTCATATCCTTTGCCCACTTTTTGATGGGGTTGTTTGTTTTTTTCTTGTAAATATGTTTAACTTCCTTGTAAATTCTGGATATTATACCTTTGTCAGATGGGTAGATTGCAAAAATTTTCTCCTGTAGATTGTCTGTTCACTCTGATGATAGTTTCTTTTGCTGTGCAGAAGCTCTTTGCTTTAATTAGATCCAATTTGTCAATTGTGGCTTTTGTTGCAATTGCTTTTGGCATTTTTGTCATGAAGTCTTTGCCCATGCCTATGTCCTGAATGGTATTGCCTAGGTTTTCTTCTAGGGTTTTTATGGTTTTGGGTTTTACATTTAAGTCTTTAATCCATCTTGAGTTAATTTTTGTATAAGGTGTTTAGGAAAGGGTCCAGTTTCAGTTTTCTGCATATGGCTAGCCAGTTTTCCCAGGACCATTTACTGAGTAGGAGATCCTTTCCCCATTGCTTGTTTTTATGAGGTTTGTCAAAGATCAGATGGTTGTAGATGTGTGGTGTTATTTCTGAGGTCTCTGTTCTGTTCCATTGGTCTATATATCTGTTTTGATACTTATATCAGTACCATAGTGTTTTGGTTACTGTAGCCTTGTAGTATAGTTTGAAGTCAGGTAGCATGATGTCTCCAGCTTTCTTCTTTCTGCTTGGGATTGTCTTGGCTATACAAGGTCTTCTTTGATTCCACATGAAATTTAAAATAGTTTTTTCTAATTCTGTGAAGAATGTCAATGGTAGTTTGATGGGAATAGCACTGAAACTGTAAATTACTTTGGGCGTTATGGCCATTTTCACGATATTGATTCTTCCTATCCATAAGGATGGAATGTTTGTCCATTTGTTTGTCTCCTCTCTTATTTCCTTGAGCAGTGGTTTGTACTTCTCCTTGAAGAGGTCCTTCACATCCCTTGGTTAGCTGTATTCCTAGGCATTATATTCCCTTTGTAGCAATTGTGAATGGGAGTTCATTCGTGATTTGGCTCTCTGCTTGTATATTGTTGGTGTATAGGAATGCTTGTGATTTTTGCACATTGATTTTGTATACTGAGACTTTGCTGAAGTTGTTTATCAGTTCAAGAAGTTTTTGGGCTGAGATGATGGGGTTTTCTAAATATAAAATCATGTCATCTACAAACAGAGACAACTTGACTTCCTCTCTTCCTATTTTAATACTCTTTATTTCTCTCTCTTGCCTGATTGCCCTGGCCAGAACTTCCAACGCTATGTTGAATAGGAGTGGTGAGAGAGGGTATCCTTGCCTTGTACCTGTTTTCAATGGGAATGCTTCCAGCTTTTGCCCATTCAATATGATGTTGTCTGTGGGTGTGCTACAAATAGCTCTTATTATTTTGAGATATGTTCCATCAATACCTAGTTTATTGAGAGTTTTTAACATGAAGTAATGTTGAATTTTATCAAAGGCCTTTTCTGCATCTATTGAGATAAATTATGTGGTTTTTGTCTTTGGTTCTGTTTATGTGATGGATTATGTTTATTGATTTGCATATGTTGAACCAGCCTTCCATCTTAGTGATCTTATCACCAACTTGATCGTGGTGGATAAGTTTTTTGATGTGCTGCTGGATTCAGTTTGCCAGGATCTTATTGAGGATTTTCGCATGGATGTTCATCAGGGATATTGGCCTGAAGTTTTCTTTTTTTGTGTGTGTCTCCTTCCAGTTTTGGTATCAGGATGATGCTGGCTTCATAAAATGAGTTAGGGAGGAGTCCCTCCTTTTCAATTGTTTGGAATAGTTTCGGAAGGAATGGTACCAGCTACTCTTTGTATTTCTGGTAGAATTCAGCTGTGAATCCATCTGGTCCTGCGCTTTTTTTGGTTGGTAGGCTATTAATTACTGCCTCAATTTCAGAGCTTGTTATTGATCTATTCAGGGATTTAACTTCTTCCTGGTTTAGTTTTGGTAGGGTGTATGCGTACAGGAATTTACCCATTTCTTCTAGATTTTTCTAGTTTATTTGTGTAGAGGTGTTTATAGTATTCTCTGATGGTAGTTTGTATTTCTGTGGGGTCAGTGGTCATATCCCCTTAATCTTTTTTTATTGTGTCTATTTGTTTCTTCTCTCGCTTCTTTATTAGTCTAGCTAGCAGTCTATCTATTTTGTTAATTTTTTTCAAAAAAGCAGCTCCTGGATTCATTGATTTTTTTGGAGGGTTTTTCGTGTCTCTGTCTCCTTCAATTCTTCTCTGATCTTAGTTATATCTTGTCTTCTGTTAACGTTTGGATTCGTTTGCTCTTGCCTCCTTAGCTCTTTTAGTTATGATGTTAGGGTGTCAATTTGATATCTTTCTAGCTTTCTGATGTGGGCATTTCGTGCTATACATTTCCCTCCAAACACTGCTTTAGCTGTGTCCCAGAGATTCTAATGTGTTGTCTCTTTGTTCTCTTTGGTTTTAAAGAACTTCCTGATTCTGCCTTAATTTCATTATTTACCCAGGAGTCATTCAAGAGCAGGTTGTTCAATTTCCATGAAATTGTGTGGTTTCAAGTGAGTTTATTAATCTTGAGTTCTCATTTGATTTCACTGTGGTCTGAGAGACTATTTGTTATGATTTCAGTTTTTTCGCATCTGCCAAGGAGTGTTTTACTTCCAATTATGTGGTCGTATTTATAATAAGTGCCATGTGACACTGAGAAGAATGTATATTCCGTTGATTTGGAGTAGAGACTTCTGTAGATGTCTACTAGGCCCACTTTATCCAGAGCTGAGTTGAAGTCCTCATATCCTGGTTAATTTTCTGTATCATTGATCTGTCTAATACTGACAGTGGGGTGTTAAAGTCTCCCACTATTATTATGTGGGAATCTAAGTCTCTTTGTAGGTCTCTAAGAACTTGTTTTATGAATCTGGGTACTCCTGTATTGGGTGCATATATATATAGAATAGTTAGCTTGTCTTGTTGAATTGTTCCCTTTACCATTATGTAATGCTCTTCTTTGTCTGTTTTGATCTTTGTTAGTTTAAAGGTGTTTGGTTAGAGACTAGGATTGCAACACCTGCTTTTTTTTTTCTTTCCATTTGCTTGGTAAATATTCCTCTATTCCTTTATTTTGAGCCGGTGTATGTCTTTGCACATAAGATGGGTCTCGTGAATAAAGCACACCGATGGGTATTGATTCCTTATCCAATTTTCCAATCTGTGTCTTTTAATTGGGGCATTTACCCCATCTACATTTAAGTTTAGTATCTTTATGTGTGAATTTGATTCTGTCATCATGATGACATTTGGTTATTTTGCACACTAGTTGATGCAGTTTCTTCGTAGTATCATTGGTCTTTATATTTTGGTGTGTTTTTGTAGTGGCTGATACCAGTTTCTCCTTTCCATATTTAGTGCTTCTTTTATGAGCTCTTGCAGGGCAGGCCTGGTGGTAATGAAATCCCTCAGCATTTGCTTGTCTAGAAAGGATTTTATTTCTCCTTTGCTTATGAAGTTTAGTTTGACTGGATATGGAATTCTGGGTTGAAAATTCTTTTCTTTAAGAATGTTGAATATTGGCCCCCAATCTCTTCTGGCTTGTAGTGTTTCTGCTGAGAGGTCCACTGTTAGTCTGATAGGCTTCCCTTTGTAGGTGACCTGGCCTTTCTCTCTGGCTGCTCTTAACAGTTTTTCCTTCACTTGGACCTTGGTGAATCTAATGATTATGTGTCTTGGGGTTGATCTTCTTGTGGAGCATCTTAATTGTGTTCTCTGTAGGTCTTGAATTTGCATGTTGGCCTGTCTTTCTAGGTTGGGGAAGTTCTCCTGGATAATATCCCGAAGTGTGTTTTCCAGCTTGTTTCCATTCTCCCTGTCACCTTTTGGTACTCCAATTGATTGTAGGTTCAGTGTTTTTATGAAGTCCCATATTTCTTGGAGGCTTTGTTTGTTCTTTTTCATTCTTCTTTCTCTATTCTTGTCTGCATGTCTTATTTCAGTAAGGTGGTCTTCAAACTCTGATATCCTTTCTTCCCTGTGGTCAGTTCAGCTATTGATACTTGTGTATATTTCATAAAGTTCTCGTATTGTGTTTTTCAGCTCCATTCAGTCGTTTATGTTCCTCTCTAAACTGGTTATTCTAGTTAGCAATTCCTCTAACCTTTTATTTAAAGTTCTTAGCTTCTTTGCATTGGGTTAGCACATGCTACATTAGCTCAGTGGAATTTTTTTATTACCCATCTTCTGAAACCTACTTCTGTCCATTCATCCGTCTGGTCCTCTGTCCAGTTCTGTGCCCCTGATGGAGAGACATTGCAATCATTTGAAGGAGAAGAGGCACTGTGGCCTTTTGGGTTTTCAATGTTTTTTTTGATGACTCTTTCTCATCTTCATGAGTTTGTCTAGTTTAGGTCTTTGAGGCTGCAGACCCTTGGATGGGGTTTTTGTGGGGTCCTTTTTTTCTTGTTGTTGTTGTTGTTGATGCTCTTGTTGTCACTTTCTGCTTGTTTGTTTTTCTTTCAATAGTCTGGTCCCTCTTCTGTAGGGCTGCTGCAGTTTGCTGGGGGTTCACTTCAGGCCCTGTTCATCTGGTTCACTCCCGTGCCTGGAGATGTCACTCAAGGAGGCTGGACAGCCGCAAAGATGGGTGCCTGCTCCTTCTTCTGGGACCTCTGACCTCAAGGGGCACCAACTTTATGCTAGTAGGATCGCTCCTGTATAGGGTGTCTGACAACCCCTGTTGGAGTGTCTCACCCAATTGGGTGGCACAGGGAGCAAGACCCATTTAACCAAATACTTTGTCTCTTGGTGGAGAGGGTGTGTTTTGCTGGGGGAAACCCCACTCATCTGGGTTACCTGGATTCCTCAGAACTACCAGGAGGAGAGGCTAAGTCTGCTGGTCTGCAGAGACTGTGGCAACTTCTCCCTTAGGGGCTCAGGCTCAGGGCTGAGGCCTAGGATGATCCGAATTCTGTCCCTGAACCTCTGGCTGCAGTTATTGGAGATCCTGTAGGGAAGTCCCACCCACTGAAGAAGGATGGGTCAGGGTTAGGCCTGGCCACAGACTGCCACAGCTGGTATGTTAAGCTGTGGGGACAAGTCTTGGAAACAAGCTGTCCAGCCTCCCAGGTTCCAGCAGGGGGAAAAGCGCAGCCTGGAGCTATAGAAATGGGTGCCTTCCTTCCCCCACCCAGGCAGCTTAGCCTGTTAGGCAGTTGCGAGTTTCAGTGCTGGCTGCTGCCCCTCCCGCAAGCAGCTCAAATGAGCTTAGACAGCAGACAGCTGGTGCTGGTCACCGCTCCCGCTGGGAGTTCAGTAGGCTTAAGAAGATTCTAGCTGAGAGGCTATAAGAATCTGTGCATTCTGGGCTTGGAACACTAGGCCCTGGTGGTGTGGGTTCACCAGTAGGTTCTTCTAATCCATGGGTTACACAACTCCGTGGAAAAAGCAGTTTCCCATGCTGGGTAGCACGCTCACTCACCACCTCCCTGGCTGGGGTCGGGGGTTCCCCTTCCCCATGTGGCTCTCAGGTGGGCCACTGCACCACATTGCCCTTCTTTCTCTCCTTGGGTCACTCCAGCCCTTCTAGTCAGTTTTGATGAGAGAACCGGCTTACCTTGCTGCCGGTGAAGGATTCACATGCTTATTATGTTTTTATCCGCTAGGAGCCTCCGATCACCTCTGCTTCTAGTCAGCCATCTTGGCCCCAGCTCTGAAATTTCTTATTGAAATAAATATAAGCCAAACCTGCTTGTAAGCATTTAGAATTTAATTGCGTGATGGACTGGTGACAATTGATTAGCTGTTTGGACAAAAGTCAATTTATATATTCAACATTATCACCCAAAATAACTTCAAATATATTGGAGGGTTAAATATTAAAAATCAAACAATCAAAAGGCTGAATATTATCATCAGCATCACTACCACAGCAGTAGCAGCAACAGAAACAACCAAACTAGAAATGAATACTTGACTACAATCTTAAAACACTTTCAAAATGTACAAAAGGTAGAAAAAGCTGGTAACTTTTTGAAAAGATGAATATTTGCATAAAATAACCAATTTAAAAGACTTAATCTTTGGGAAAGCATGTGAGAAAATATTAAAAAAGTTAATATTGGTGAGAACATATCAAATAAAATATACTAATATAATAAAAATGAAATTATTAAACTAAACAGAACATCGTTATGACTTAACAAAATGGACCCAAGCATGAAAAACTAGGTTAAAGAGACAAAAACGTATCTAGCATAATAATGCTTAATTTTACTAGAAACAAAATAAATTAAAACGGTTTACCACATTTAATCTATTAACTGAAAAATACACTTCAACAAATACTGAGAATACTGTGTAGTTCATTTCAAAGAGTAAAATGAACATTTTTATACGTTGCTGGTGGCAATTTTAGAAAGTAATATAGTAATACACACCACACTTATAGATGTTATCTTTTAATCCACATGTAAATTATATTCTCTCTCCTAAGAAAATAGTGTATAGGTGAAATAAAAATTCAATCATTAAAATTATTAATTGCAATATTTATGAACACAAACTTTCATAAATATTCTACTTGAATATTCAATAATAGAGAAGTAGATACCTATGAATGTACCTATGTGATAGATTATTATGTAGAATTTAGCATTGCTTAAGAGGAATAAGTAATAAAAAGGAAATAATTATTATATAATAAGTAAAAATTCCAATGACCGTTATGATTAGAGCTTTGGGGAGAAACACTCACTGGTAGATTTTTAAAAAAGGAAATATATCAAAGTATTTATAGTGGTTATGTTTGGCTGGTGAGTATTATGGTAACTATTTTAAATATATATATTTGAATTGTTCTTTAGTTAGAATGTACAATTTTTATAGTGAAATAAATATTTCAAAACTGTAATTCCATGAAATGAAAAATTTTTTGTTTTGTCTAGGAAAAATGTACTTTTGTTCTTCTTTTTTGGCTTTAGAGAAATAAATTTTAACCTCCAGATTCTCAGGCTTTTTAATTCCATATTATAGGCATTCCAGCATTACTTGAGTGAAGAATTATACCTGAAAAAAAGTAGTCTCTGTGTCATTTATTGTGCCTCAAACGATTTTCAGAATTGCCCAGACAGCCCTCAAAGCATTCGGCTCCGTCCTATTTGAGAAAGATGAATTCTGTACTATGTCTGTATTGTGTAAGTGCCAAGTTTGAGAACAAACAGTGACAACCCCCAAAACCCTGCCACTTGAACCTGTGTAAGCTCTTCCATTTTTTACGTTTTTGAGATTGTAAATAATGCTTAGTGCTTTGAATTTGCAGAGAATCTATCACTATGGCTGGCAAACTGCCAAGCACTGTGCCCCATTGAAGGGAACAGAGAATGAAAATTGAGGTGTTAAATAAGTTGCCCACTGTAGGGTAGTTGAAAGAAAATTGATACTCAAAATTCCCACTAAGGGATTTTCAGGTCTTTTAGATTTTTCAGACTATTGGGTTACATTGAAGTGTTTAATTTTTTTCTATCTTATGACCACTGAATTAGCCAAATTAAAACCTGGGAATGTGGATGACAGTATGACGTACAGCAAAGTTCCCTTGGCAACAGCTCAAGATAGGAGTAGATGTGCTTTCTAAACATGAGGATTTTCCAATATACATTTTTGTCATCTATGAAAAGGATCTCCCTGCAGATCAAAGTCTTAGCCTTTTTTAATAGACTGTGGCAGATCTGAAATATGAGTCAGTATAGAGATTCATCAGTAAACTAAATGTAAATGTGTACAAGCATATAAATGTATGTATATAAGTCACAAAAATACATATGTGTACACATACAGATTACATGTAAGGCATGCTCCACGCTTAGTAAGTTTAAGAACTATATTTAGCTTGTTAAATAGAGGAATGAGGTAGGTTACTTCCTGCCCCAACATATCAAATGTCTCAATAGTTATTAATTAAACTAATTAGGAGATACAGTACTTGATCATTTAGAAAATACAATCAGTGTTTAATCTTCAAAACAGTTTGCTATGTTAACGTATTCTTATATGCAGGTGCATATTTATTATTTGTATATTAACCTCTGAAATGTTTTCTCATTGTGAAGAATAAAAGATAATGCATGAACAAGATGACACGGGTGTTGTACATTTTGACTGACTCTTCATGGTAACAGCAGACATCTCACAGAATACATCGGTTTGTCATCATTTGGAATATTGAGTAGCTTATAAATACATTTCCCTGGAGACCTCATTGAGTTATACATTTTTTAAGAGACACCTAGCACCACCAGTAAGTTAAACGCAGTCTCCAGCATCACTGCTCTTCCATCTGGCCTGAGTTTCGCTACCTCAATTTGCACATCTCCACATGAGGAACACTCTAGGAACTAAAAACTGTTCTCTCCTTCATTATGCATGTGGCGCGCGATGCAATTTACCACCTAACAGATGTCATAGCTAAGTACCCAGGATCGTGTCATGATTCATTCATCTTAAGACAATCTGCTTCAGAAATGCAAGGCTTTTTATAAATTGGGAGAATTTGGCTTTTTAGTAATTCTATAAAATGCTCTGTTTGTAACTTTAATTTTTTCTTGAAACACAATTATGGGCTTCAGATTGTTTGTTTTCAGGTTACTGCCTCTTTTTAGTTTTGTTTTGAATAACTCTGTCACTGAAGAAAATAATAAAGAATATATATATATTTTTCCAGAATGGTTATTGAGGTAACTCTGGATATTAACCAGAAATTGAGGTTTTGATGTCTAGGCAAATCTGGTGAAACATTATATCTCCGCCTTCGTAAAGCAGGCAATAAATTTCTGCCGGGTGGTATTTTACATAATATTGTCATTAAACATGGTCTATCTTTAGCGGAAGAAGCAGACGGTAATAAGTCAAATAGGGGTGAAGAATTATCTGAATCTGAGGAGGTACACTTGCAAATGGGTAACTGAAATTATTATTAAAGGTATAAATATGACATCCAGATTAATAGAGTAAAAGGGTGAAAGAAATATTTAACTATTGAGAGTAATTATCAAAGGCTTTTTCGTAAAAGCACATGTTACGTAGTCTCCTATTTTTGGAGGCTTACTTTTCTCTGCTGGAATAAAGAACCCATAGATACTTTGCTGCAGCTGTTTCAGTCTTGATTAATCTAAGTACTATAACCATAAAAGGAAAAGTAGCTTAATTAAAAAATGTTAGAGCAGAATAGAATACATTTACAATAATCTCCCTTCTCTTTTTGCCTAAATGCAAGAAAGCACATCATCCTTTCTTTTAAAGGGAGCAAATCAATATCTGTGCCTTTGCAATTACCCTGGAGGTACAATGTTATATGGCTGGGTGTGCAAACAAAGGAATCATGGGTTAAAAAACCATATCCCTGATCATTAAAAACAAAGAAGGGAACTGTTTTAGTCTTGCTACATTTATTTTTTCCCCTCCCCCAAATACTAGCATCACAAATTCCAACCTTAATCCCATAAAAATGTTTCTCCCAAATGCATAAACTTGTTCTTTATTACTTCTTTTTTAAATTTTCCCCCAAAGGGATCCAAATTGATTTCCTTGTTACCTTGAGGTAAATGCGTCTCATTGGGTTGATGATAAGATTGTTTGTAAAATAAATTTATCCTTTTAATATTTACACAACTCTTGAGAAGTATGAGGCAAAGCCACAGCAGGATAGTTTCCCAGTCCAGACGTCTGTGTTTTTCTCTCCTGTCACTGTAGAAATTGATTTCCTATGTGGATTTGTGGAAGCCCTATGAGAGACAGTTTTCTTATGACTGTGCTGTCAATTGCTTTCAGTAAGTATCTGTAATGATAGGCTATAATGGGAGAGAATACATAGTTTCAACTAGAACAGGTGGATATTTAAAATTTGGATTGTGTGTTGGTGAAAGTTTTTCTTTTTGACATTTAGGAATCCATCCAAAATTTTTCAATAGTCACAACGGAAAAAACAACTCTATTAGGCAGCGTGTTTTGTAATACTAATCATAAAAATCTATAATTCTAATATCATTATCTTACCTTCCCCAGCGATTATCTCAATTGATTTATTATATGACCCACCTCGTTTCACTGTGGTTACTTTGCATCATGTCTGAGACGGATTACAATCCAGACATAATTTATTTCAGTGGGAATTTCCCATGAAAAACTGAATTGTTATCCTCAATTCTGCTGTGAATTTGGTTTAAAGAATTTTTTACTACTTCATGTGAAAATAATAAAACATTTAATAATGCCCAATAATATTGTATACAGTATAAAACCAAGTACCACCCACTGTTTAGCTCCCTAGAGTCCATATTAAAGGCAAACTAAACATACTACGCAAAATTAAGGAAAGAAATGGGACCTAACTGGACTAAACAATAGGAGAACATTTTATTTCTTTGGCTTAACTTAAATTATTGGAATATAAGGCCATCCATACTCTTTATATAAAACTAAAGATAATATTTTGTTTTTTCATATCCTTCAGGAATTCATAGATGAGGGTAAGTTGGTTACAACATTTTTTAATTCTTTTTCTTTTGGCTCAGTTCAACTCTATAAACTGAATATGTTTGAAATAGAAGTTCCTTTCTTGTTTTTAGAAACATGTGAAGGAAATTCCAATTCTTTTTATATCATGAAGCTGATTTCTCAATTCTCTGTTTCTTCTATGCAGAAAATACACCTGCTATTTAGTGGGCTCTTTTGGAAGAGGGAGCTGCCAGGTGTAGACAAAAGTAGCTAAGAAGACTCAATTCTAACATTGTCTTGAGTTGCATTGGAATTGACTGAAAAAGTAAGAGATCTGAAGTCAGGAAATTATCAAGTAAGTTATCTTTAAAGGGACATGTCTTATTTAAAATTTGCAACATAGAATAGTTGCACTTGAGGTATTTGCTGAGGGAGGAGAATCTAAAACCCCCAACAAGTTTTGTCCAGCAAAAGGCCTGGCTAAGGAGAAACCATACATCTGAGGTTTGCTCAGTCCACTGTTTCTATTAGATCCGAGTGTCTCCAGTCTCAAATTCACATTTCTTCAGTGTATAAGAGCAAGTAATGTACAAAAGGGAAGTAGTGTAGGTGAAGCACATGTGTTTCGAATTAATAACTGAGTTTCCAGTGTAAAAAGAGGGGAAATGTACATATCTCTTTTTGTGTGATGAACATGCCAGACACATACACGCAACTCTCTGGCTCCACAGCTTGGCCCCAGTAGTGGCATGTACCGTCTCTTCTGCTTACTGTTTGGCAAGTTACTTAAACTCTCTGTGCTTCAGTTTTCTCATCTGGAAAATGGAATTATAATAATGCCTGCTTCATGGTGTTGCTGTAGGGAACAAGTGAGTTTATATATTAAAAAGTACTTCAAACAGTGCCTGGCACATGTTTCTAAAAACAAGAAAGGAACTTCTATTTCAAACATAATCACCCTGTTTGAAGGTGTCATCTCTTTCTCGCCTAGACCCTGACTGATATAGGCTGTTATTTAAAATGGCTTCATGTCTTCTCTCCTCTTTCCCTAAATTCTGTTATAATGATAGAAGACATAGTAAAATAATAGTAAATTCATACAAAACCTGGCCATCAAATGCAAGCGATAGCAGCAGAAAAGTATAATGAGCAAATTCCACATTGACAGTGAAAATCAGCTGAAGTGAGGACCATGCACCCCTCTACAGATGACCTTCAAAACAATCTCCCACCCTGCAAACAAAAGCCTAGAGTAATCCATACTATGCTCAGAGCAAAAGCTGGTTGAAGTGGTCACCAATAAGATTGGCCCCAAGTTTAACACAGTAAAAATTTGAAGCAGTCCTATCCTTGGGCGGGGTTCCCCATGAATAAGCGGTGAGCATAGCTCTCAGAAGATGGTATTTGATGTGAGACACATCTATTATAGAATGCTTTTTGAAGGCCAGAGAAACAGCCCTTTTCCCCAGGTTACAAGTGGAATAGAGAGACATCTGCCTGGAATGGCTCTGATGAAATTGTGCCTATAGGTGGATTTGTAGAAGAGATAGCCTTTGAAAATACCCAGATGACATTAAAATTATAGTTTTATTGTTCCTAATTATCAGGAAACCAAAATTCATAGAGTTATTACAGAGTGAAAAAAATTAGAATAAAAATTGAAAATATATCATCCAGATAAATATAAAACTATCTGATAATTTGGTTTATTTGAATACACAAAACTGGGTTTTCTCTGTTCAAGCATTATGAACAGAGAAAATATTCACAGCAATGAATATCCATGCATATGTGAAAACAAAATACAGGAAAAAGTGAATTTCTTGATTCACTGAAACTTCAGAGCACTGTCAGAATTCAAGGATGATTTTCTTAAGATAAATGTACAATGCTTAAAATAAGGATAATAAACAAGCACAGATGCATGCACGCATGTATGTGTATGTGTGTATGTGTGTGTTTGTGTATGTGTACATACCAGAGTGTTACTCAAGGCACTGAAAAGCAATAGAATGGTGTCTACATGATATTTGCCTTCCCGTCACTTATAAACTTATTTTTTGTTGTACATTTCTCTAGAAAAAATGTACACAATATAAATTTTCGAGTTTTATAGTTTACATTCTAAGTAGATGAAATAAAAATATTAAAAGTTCCCTTTCCTTTTTTTACATAGTTAATATAAGGAATATTTGGTGGTAATGTGAATGAATTTCTTTCCTATAATAACAACAGCAACTTATAACCACCACAAACAGAACAAAAAAACACCCTGGAACATGTGGTCATTTAAAAATAGCTTAGATATTGTTTACTTTTATGGTTGATGACTATGAATTCATTACAAATAACTGAAAACTTCTGAACATTTTAACATGTTTTAAACATGGTTTGGAGTGGTAGAACTTATTATTATGAGATCATTTTAAAATCCACTTAATATGGTTTCCTAAATTCTTCCCCAACCAAAGCAAAACAAAACCAAAAATAAACAAAGGGCATAAAAGAAAAACAAAGAGGAGAATCGAGAATGGTTAAGGGAAGTAAATAAACTATATATAATGTTTGGCTGTCTGAGTTATGTGGTTCACATCAGTCACACAAATGCATTTTGGAAAATATAGGCTATGTACACACTCAAGAGAAGTTTCTAAAATAGCTTAGTTTGGTGGGGTGCCTACTTCACTGGATAACAGAATCCTTAATTCTTCTCTGAACCCCTGTAAGTGACCCTCAAGGTGTCAACAACAATATTCCCCAGTTTTTCTCCAGACATGAAGATAAGCATATTATTTATCTATCCTTGATGGAGATAAGTCTACTAGATCCTAAAGGGAGTTTTGGTATCAGGTTTCTTGAGCTGTCTGTGGAGTTCCTAACTCATTAAGGGCTTTAAAGATTGTTTCTCTGGCATAGGCATTGGATAACGTTCAGATTTATTAGGTCCCAAATATCCATTGATGCTTTTAAGCCCAGAATAGAACATTGGAATTTTGTTAATGTCCTAGATTATGAGGTTAATAAACTTCCTGGGTTAAATGGGCAAATTCATTTCAAAATAATGTGAATATGTGATATCATTTAACTCAATCTGTATTAAGAAATGTATCTTTTTTTGAAAAAAAATTATTCTGGTAAAATATACATAACCTTTACCGTTTTAACCATTTTTTAAAATGTACAGTTCAGTGGTCTCATGTATATTCATGTGGTTGTGCAACTATCACCACCAATTCATCTCAGAACATTTTTATCTTCTGAAACTGAAACTTTGTACTCATTAAACCAGTCTTCATTTTTCCCTCTCCCCAGGCCCTGGTAACCACTATTCTACTTTCTCTCTCCATGAATTTGACTACTATAGGTACTTCATATAAACAGAATCATACAATATTTGTTGTTTCGTATCTGGCTTATTTCACTTAGAACAGTGTTTTCAAGTTTCATCCATGTTAGAGCCTGTGTCAGAATTTCATGCTTTTTAGGGCTGAATAATAATATTTGTATGTCTATACCACATTTTGTTTAACTATCCATTTGTCGATAGACATTGAGCTATTTCCACCTTTTGGTTATTGTGAATAATGTTATTATGAACATTCATGCACAAATATCTGTTCAAGTCCCTGCCTTCAATTCTTATGTGTATATACTCAGAAATTGAATTGCTAGATTATATGTTAATTAATATGGCAATTTTATCTTTAATTTTTTTGGGGAACCGCCACACACAGGCTGCAATACACAAGGGTTCCAATCTCCACATGTAGCCAACTCTGGTTATTTTCTTTCTTTCTCTCTCTTTCCCTCCCTCCCTTCTTCCTTTCCTTTCCCCTCCTTTCCCCTCCCCTCCCCTCCCCTCCCCTCCCCTCCCCTCCGCTCCACTCTCTCCTCTCCTCTCCTCTCCTCTCCTTTCCTTTCCTTTCATTTCCTTCTTTCCTTTCCTCTCTTTCTTTCTAGTCATCCTCCTAACAGGTGTGAAGTGATATCTCATTGTGGTTTTGATTTGTATTTCCCTAATGATTGGGGATGAGCATCTGAAAAGAAATTAATTTACTAGAGTCAAACAGTTAAAATTTCTTTTTGAAATCCTTTGGGTTGACCTAGCTTATTTTATTTTTAAAGAAATATTGTTAAAAATAACTGAATACTAAATTTAAAAGTTTAATTACAATTACTGTATAAAAAAGCATCACAACTCCTTGGAAACAGTGGAAAAATATTTTCTATACCCTGTAAATTGCTAGTTTACTGTTTTATTTCAAGATTATGTAAGCAGCAGATTTTATTAAGTAAAAAAGTTATCTAAAATGTGAAGAAAATGTGAACACCAAAGGCAAACAAGCTATCAAACAAGCAAACTATGATATTAAATAAAGCAATAGTTGAATTCAGTATCAATAAATGCCAAAAAAGTAAAGTACAAATTTTTAAATTTTAATTTTTTTAAACAAGAAGAGATAACAATTTTAAAAGAGTGTGAAGTGAGTTAGTATTCTAATTTCAGAGATCTTTATTAATCTTGCAGGTAAATAATGGGGAACGTGGTTGGAAGGAACATGAGGAGAGATATTTAAGGCAAAAAAATCTATTTGGAAACTGATGGCTTGTAAAAAAAAAATCAAGCTTTGTTAAAGAGGGTTTTGGGGGAATTTTGCTGATTGGACTTAAGAAGTTAGTTTTTTTTCCCCCTCTGAGTATTTCCATTTGATCAGAGAAACCTTTGTGGTATATTTTTGAAGCCAGTGATTCTGATGCTGCTAGCCAAGAAGTTTCAATGGTTTTCTCTGAAAAGTAGTTTCATACTTCCTTTTCCAAGACAGTAAATTACCCAAACAAAAGTAACATGTGTAGTTTGCTGGAGGCCATATAAAGAAAGAGAAAAATGTGTTTGTGCAGCAACAAAAGACTGTGGCTCTATTGGCAACACCATCAAAGCTAATCCATTTGTTTGCCAAGGCAGTGCGAATCCATTGCAAGATGTGTCAAATCTGTTAGAGAAATAATTTTCCTGGAGCACCTACTTGCAGACTGTAGCTCTTTCTCCAAACTTCTGGTTGAGAGGGAAGACTTTCTATAATAGTGCAGAGCTGTTTTCCCTTTCAGTTTTATTTTCTTCAGAAATTACTTTTATATGTAACATTTTTTATTCTCTTTGGTCAGCATTTTTTCTATCAAATGGCTGAAAAGAATTACTCTCAAAGCCCTCTCCTCGCTGTCTGATTAACACTGACTTCTGATCTTAATGGGTTGGAATCTCTTAAATGTGATTCCAAGAGTTATTTGGAACGATTTTGAACCACTAACTAGAAGTGTTCATACACTGTTTTAAAGGTATTTTGGAAATTAATAGGAAATATTCCAAGTTAGAGAAATTCTACCACTGTCTCATGATAGTATATGCTAAATCTGTGAATAGAGGGGAATACAGATCTACAAAATCTTACATAGCTTCAATCCAAAGATGTTGATGTATTTCTTAAGCTTGCATTTAAAGACAATGAGAGGTTTTAGTTAAACTCCTTTTGCTTGTGAAGATAAACTTTTACGCTGCAACCTGATGAGCATCTCGTCCTCTGATTGAGCCTGCAGCCGGCTCGAATGACACAAACAAACCAACCAAATAAAATGATAGAACCCTGGATTATGTTCTAAAGCTCTTGACCTTGAAGCTAACATAGTGGTTTAGAGACTATAAATAATTCTGTGCTGTAATTTGTGCAATGTAATTTATTATCTTCTACCCATTTTAAAATACATTATTCACTTTAAGTACTATAGAAATGGTCAGTGATAAATGGAATTCACAAAACTTATATTCTTTTAGGTTTAGGAAAAAGAATGTTTCAGTTTGCATATAATTTATTTATTTAAGATATTTTATATTGAAGTATGTTATGTTAGAATAATTTTTATGATTTTGATATGTTCATATTTGCTGTCAGGTAATAACCTAGCATATTTGACAGCATATAACAGTACTGGCTTATATATTGCATTTGATTTGCAAAATCTGGATAGAACATTAAGCTTTTTTTTTTTTTTTTTGGCCATGATGTTTAGTGTTGCTGCATTCTATCACAGGGAGATGACATCTTAAAACAATTGTGGAAAATGCTCTTAAAGGCAGAAAGACAGATCTAGAACACTCTGACCAGAAAGGATATCAGATGTTCATTTAGTCCTTCTTCCTTGATCTAGGCACCTGGATCAAGCCTGGAGAACAGAAAATGGATTGTGGAAGTACAGAAAAATGTTAGTTTTATTTGTATTTATTTTATTTAATCCTTTAAAAACACGTATTTATATTACTTTAAAATATACATAATGTATTATTTCATTAGTGTCTCTAATCAACTTATTAAAAATATATATCTTACAAAAGCACAATGTAAAGATGTTTGGATAACACTTCTTTGAGCAATACTGAAATCATATCACCCTGGAAAAATATTGAAGAGAATATATTGAGGATGTTTTATAGTTCATAAACCATTTTTCACTGCTTAGCTGAAGTGTGGGTACTTAATAAATAGAATTCAATAGCTTTCCAGGATTCAAATTATTCTTCTTGATTACCTACTTTACACATGAGTTGGACAGTTGAAAAGGATTCTCTTCATATTTTCAATAATTTGTGTTTAAAAAATCATTCAGTTTTGTGAGAACATAGGCAAGCTTATCTTTTAGAGGAAGGAATTGAGGGAGTGAGAATATCTGTGTGGTTAGGAGGACAACATTCATCAGATTAAAAAAAAAAAAACCTATCCAGGATTTTTTGTTGTTGTTGCAGTCTTTAATGTCTGATTGAAATTTTCACATTTAAACATGTTCAGAGAAGTGGTAGAAATTTTTTAATCTCTGTAAAGGTTGTGAAAGTTAAGATCTATCTATCATTCTAGATCACTTACTTACATACAAACAATATACCCTGACTAATTGTCTCCAGAGAATTCCCTTAATAATTAGCAAAATCTGTGTGTTCTTGTGATAAAAATTTAGCACAATAGATTACTGTTGTTTTATTTTAAATGCTCTGTTTCAGTAAAGCATATTGCTGTTTTTTACTATCTAGGAATTATTTCCAGTGCAGTTATTGGCTCTACATATTGGTTTTTAACCCCAATATGTAGAATTTGAGGAGTTGCTGAGGCTAGAATCTGAGGAGTTGCTGAGTGGTTAAGCCGTTATCACCCTATTTATGAAGACAGGAATACATGGGGAGCCTGGAGATGAAGGAGATTTAATCCCAGTGCTTTAGAGGAGGAATGGCAACCTGCCTGCTGCTCCCCAATCTGCCTATGGTGGTAGATTATGGTTTTCCTTCCATTTCTTTTGGGATTGCTGTGATTTAAAATATTATAGAATATTGGTTAATTAATACTTAATATTAGTAATTAGGGTAAAAACCAGCAACATATTAATAATCAGCATCAAATACTTTGACTTCACATTTGATCCTTATGAGAACCTTGTAAGATGATTAGTATTAATCTCATTTTATATATAAGGAAACTGAAATTCAGAGAGTTATATAACTTTCTTAAATCCACATTGCTAGTAATGGAAAAATCAGAGGTAAGCCCCCTGCTGAGTGACTCCAAAGTCTATAAGAAAAACCTTTCCTATGGCTATAGTGGAGGTCTTGGCATTAACCATTTGTTTTTTGAATGCATACCCTGGTGATGAAGTTGAGGATGTAAGATTCCTGTTTCTGGAAAAACATTTCCAATCACACATTGAAACTGATGATTTAGTTTATTATTTATCTATTTAAAAAGCCAGGTTTTGTGGTTTAAACCAGGCCATTGTTCTAAATTAAGGAAAAATTAATTCCAGTAGTGTTCTCGATATATTCTTCTTCTTGATTTGGCTGGTTTGTTTCTTCATGGAAAATGTGCTTTCCACCTTAAATGTGATTTCCTAGCACAGTAGATAATATTTTTGAAAGCTAAAGTTTAAACTTTTCAAAACAGTATTTTTCAAAACTAGATATTAAGGACTGAATCTTTCACAGCAAATATAACTAATTCAATGATTGTGTGTGTGTGTGTGTGTACATTTACCATACGTGCTGCAGTAACTACTTTGGATTTAGGGATGAATGACACTTTCCTCTTCCTCAAAGGCAGATATGTACATACTTCATTATGATAACACAAGACATACTACAAAAATTGAGAAATTCCCTGGATTTCATGGTTATACTGAGAAAGGAGTGATGACAAATTTCGGGAGAAATGAAGAGGGAGGCAGGTGAATTTGTCTTGAAAGAATTTTACCAAGGAGAGAAGATTAGAAGGAAAGATTTATTACCAGATTTTTAATGATTTATTTCTAATATTATATGATGAAATCAATACAGAATAAAGCTACTTTCTATGTTGACTACTGAAAAGGGTCGGGAATATAGCTGCCTGAATATATCTCACCTCTCTTTCTTGCCCAGCTCCAATCTGTCTCTTTCTCTTAAGGCAAGTGTTTTTTGGGAGTGTGTACAGCTGAGTATCAGTCAGACATAGGAGACTCAGTGGGGAGATGCAGAACATAACCGTTACTCCTGTGGGCCTGCCAACAACCTGGAGACTAGAAGAGAAGGCCTCCAGTCAATAATTGGTATACAGTAGATGCTGGGAAGAGCATGGCCTTCAGAGAGTTCAGGAGACACAAAGGTTATAATTGGCAAGAATCTGAGGAGTTGCTGAATGGTTAAGCTGTTATCACCCTATCTATGAAGACAGGAATACATGGGGAGCCTGGAGATGAAGGAGATTTAATCCCAGTGCTTTAGAGGAGGAATGGCAACCTGCCTGCTGCTCCCCAATCTGCCTATGGTGGTAGATTATGGTTTTCCTTCCATTTCTTTTGGGATTTCTGTGATTTAAAATATGAAATAGCCATTCCTGAGTCACAGTGAGCTAGAAAATGCTGCCCAGAAATCACAGAGAAGATAAGCAAAGGAAGTACCCAATGGAAAAGACTTGTACAACAAAAATTGATAATGCTTATGAAGATGTGTATACAGCATAAAAGACTCTCTTGAAATAAAAGCACTAATTTTTAAACCAAAATGAAAGTTAATAGAGAAATTGAAGATAAATTGAGTCACTACTAAGACCTGAATTAGTCACTTAGAAGACAAATGGAAAAAATATTTTAAAGCACAGAACAGAAATAAAAGAAATTAAAAGCATAAGAAAACTAGATAACAGATTTGGAGGACACATACTGAATATTTAATGTGCTAATATTAGAAAGTACAGAAGGAATCAAAGCAACAGAAGGAGAGATAATAATAACATAAAACTTTTCTTAAGGCTAAAGAAGGACAGGAGATCACATGTTGAAAGGGCATATTGGGTTTCAGCCATATTCGATGAGGAAAAACTTATATAGGTATATCCTAATAAAATGTCCAAAATCTAACAATAAAGGAAAAAAAAAATTTAAGTTGCCTCAAAGAACAGGTTATCTGGGGAAAAAAGCTAAAGAAAACATGCTTTTTATATTCTAGTTTTTAAATTGACATATAATAATTGTATAAATTTATTGAGTACATAGTGATATTTTGAAAAACATGTATAGTGATAAAAACAGGATAATTAGCTTATCTACCACCTTAGGCATTTATCATTTCTTTGAATTGGGAACATTCAATATCCTCCTTCCTACTATTTGAAACTATATAATATTGTTAACAATAGTCATCCTACAATGGTGTAAAACACTAAAAATGTATTCCTCCTATCTAGCTATAATTTTGTTTCCTTTAATAAATCTTTCTCCTCCTTCTTCCTACCCTTCTCATCCTTTAGTATCCTTTGTTCTTACTTTTATGTGATTGAGTTTTTTAAAGCTTCCACGTATGAGTGAGAACAACTGGTGTTTAACTTTCTGTTCCTGGCTTATTTCACTAGACATAATGTCCTCAAATTACACGTTTCATAGGCATCACTATGACAGCAAAGAACTGTAACTCTAAGATCTTATACCTAGCCAAAATAGCATTTAACTTTTGACGTAAAAAAGATATTTGATTTTATTCAAGAATAAAAGTATTCTGTGGTCATCTTGACATTTGGGGTAAGTAGTTGTACACAGAAATAGAATGTCTTGGCAAGAAATGTAATTCATATCTCTTTTTCTAATAATAGTAGGGAAATATACATTATAACGTAAGTACCAGGAAAAAATGTAACATTTAAAGTATTGAAAGGTAGAACTTCCAAATTAACTAGTGGAAGAAGAGAATAATTTGATCAAGAGAAAAGAAGGAACAACATAAGCATGCACATAAATGGAAGGAATAAATTAAGTGTAATTCTTGTTTTATTAAATGTAAATAGGCTAAATGCTCTTATTAAAAGTAGTGACTCTAATATTAATTTAAAAACAAAACCCTATAAGAAAAACTCCTAAAATAATCAAAGAAAGGTAGAAAATAAAGAGATTTTTTTTTAAAAAACCATGCAAATGTACATAAAACAATATAGAAGTGATAATATTATAAGTTGGAAATTAAGGGACTGTAATTTAAATAGACTATGAATAGATATGATGTAATAAAATACTGCTTTCAAAACTAAACAGATACATTAGACAAAAATATAGAAAGACATAGGGAATTTGATAACTATAATCAATAAACTCATTTTAATATACTGATTTATATTTCTCAAAAGAAAATAAAGGTTTTCTTTTATTTGCCCATGGAATATTTATGAAGATCGCTAAGATACATGGCTGTTAAAGAAAACCTCAACAAATGAAAACAAACTAGAGTATTTGAGGATCATATTTTTAAATGAAATAAATGAAACAGTAAATGCAAAAACCCAATTAAACTACTTGGAAATTAAGAAATACACTCCTGGATTATTCTTATGTCAAAGAGGATATACAAATTGACATTACTAACTCCAGAAAGCAGGGAGTATAGAACTTCACATCACTGCCTATGAAATTAGAAGAAAATGTATACCCTTTATCATATTCCATTTTTAAATGACAATAATAAACATCAACAATAAAGTAACCAGTATTTATCCTAAGAAATTGACAGAAGAATAAAAATTTCACCAAAAAGATGTAGAAAGAGAGAAAATAGATGAATTTAAAATTGCTGAATAAATAAAAAAGGTAGTAGTGATAGAATTAATCAAAACAGATGGTTTTTATAAAATGATCAATTAAAGAAATCAACTAAAAGTTTTGATTATGAAACTGATGAAGAAAAAAGAGATAGAGGAAAAACACACAAAATTACCTTTGGGAAACAATAGAATGACAAGAAAGATGAAAGGAATTATAGAAGAAACTGCAATTATTTGGCAAAAACTTTGAAAACTCATAGGAAACAAATATCTTTCTATAAAAATACAGATTAGATTAGTAAAAGCAATTTAAGATGAATACTCAGACAGACTATTTAACATAGGTCTTGAGTAGATCTTGAGTAGGAGATCATGGAGCCATCTTCGAAAAACACCAGTATCAGAAAGATTTGTAGATGAATTCTATCTAACTTTTAGCAATTTAACTTTCCCATTCTATTTAAACTGTTTCACACCATAAAAATTTTTTTAAAAAGCTTCCTTAGTGATTTTTTGGAGCTGGTATAACTTTAGTAATAAACCTGATAAAGATTATATAGAAAAAATATATAGTATAATCTCACTTAAAAATAGAGGCACAAATTTGCCAAATTAAATATTGGTTAAGAGATTCCAATATGGAAAAAGAATAATGCATCTAGATGATACAGGGTTTGTTCCAGAAATGCAAAGGTGATTAAATGTTAGACTACAGCAGCACGATACTTTACAACAACAAATTAAAAAATATGATCACAGAAATTAAAAATAATGTGCTTAAATACTAAGAAAATGGAACAAATCTGGAGGCATCACATTCCTGATTTCAAATTATATTACAAAGCTATAGTTACCAAAACAGCATGGCACTGGTATAAAAATATGCACTTATACCTGAATAGAGAACAGAATAGAGGACCCAGAAATAAAGCCAAATACTTACAGCCAACTGATCTTCAACAAAGCATACAGAAACATAAATTGGCAAAAGAATACTCTATTCAATAAACAGTGCTGAGAAAACTGGCAAGCCACATATGGAAGAATGAAACTGGATCCCCATCTCTCGCCTTATAAAAAAAATCACCTTGAAGATGAACCAAAGACTTAAATTTAAGACCTGAAAGCATAAAAAATATTAGAAGATAACACTGGTAAAACTCTCTGGACGTTGGCTTAGGCAAAGAATTCAGGACTAAGACCACAAAAGCAAATGCAACAAAAATAAAAATAAGTAAATGGGACCTAATTAAACTAAAAAGCTTCTGCACAGCAAAGGAGATAATCAGCAAACACAAAACCCACAAAATGGGAGAAAATATTTTCAAACTATGTCTCCAACAAAGGACTGGTATCCAGAATCTACATGGAACTCAAATGAATCAGCAAAGAAAAAAACTAATCCCATCAAAAAGTGGACAAAGGACATGAATAGACAATTCTCAAGAGAAGATATACAGACAGCCAACAAACATATGAAAAAATGCTCAATATCACTAATCAGGGAAACACAAATTAAAACCACAACGAGATACCACCTTACTCCTGAAGGAATGGCCAGAACTAAAAAGTTAAAAAACAATAGATGTTGGCTTAGATATCATGAAAAGGGAACACTTTTATACTTTTAGTGGGAATGTAAACTAGTACAACCAGTATGGAAAACAATATGGAGTTTCCTTAAAGAACTAAAAGTAGATTTACTATTCAATCCAGCAATCTCACTACTGAGTATCTACACAAAGGAAAATAAGTTATTATATGAAAAAGACATGCATATGCATATTTATAGCAGCACAATTCACAATTGCAAAGTATGGAATCAACCTAAATGCCCACTGACCAACAAGTGGATAAAGACAATGTGTTTTATATACATCATGGAATACTACTTAGCCATAAAAAGGAATGAAATAATGCCTTTAGTAGCAGCTTGGATGAAGCTGGAGGCCATTATTCTAAGTGAAGTAACTCAGGAATGAAATAAACACCATATATTCTCACTTATAAATGGGAGCTAAGCTATGAGGATTCAAAGACATACAGAGTGATACAATGGACTTTGGGGACTTGGGGAGGAGTTTGGGAGGGGAGACAGTGTACAGTGCTTGAAGGACAGGTGCACTAAAATCTCAGAATTCACCAGTAAAAAACACATTTATGTAACAGAAAACCACTTGTATCGCAAAACAATTGAAATAAAAAATAATTTTTAAAAGTGCTTAAATTTGGCAACCAGTTTTTGAAAACCTCTAGGTTAAATAATAATAAAAGGAGCCAACTTAACAAAGGCTATTTATTAAAAATAAAAATCTTTACTTTTCTAAGTGGCAAAAACCATTACAATAAAATTAAGAAGAGGCAAAGATATCTGCCATTATTGATATTATTCATCAGTGTATTGAAAGTTCTAGATAAACTTTAAGACAATAAAATTAAATAATTGATGTAAGCATTGAAAGTAGAAATAAATGTTGATACATTTAATAAACTTTAGTAAAACACACACACAAATAGAATTAATGAGGATGTGTGGTAAATTATTTGGATAAAAGAAAAACATAAAAAATTTATGAGTGTTTTCCATGTTAACAATAAGATCCTGGAAATGGATATAACAAAAATGTTATTAACAACAATATGAAAAAGATAAAATTCTTAGGAAATAATTTAACAAAAAAGAAACTAGACTTATAAAAGGAAAACCATAAAATTATATTGGAAATATGCAGGACATACAGAATATCTCTATAAGAAGAAGATTATTTAGTTGGGTGGAAATAATCTGATACAAAAATTAATTTAATAAATCACTAATTAGAATCTCAAAAGACTGTTTAAACCAGATAAACCACATAAAAATTTACATAGAAGAAGGGACGCTTTAAGATAATCAAGAAAATTATGACAGAACACAATAATAAAGGGAGACTTGCCCTATTAAATAATAATGAATCCAGAAAAAGATCCCAATGTATATAAAAATTTAATAAGACATAATGACATTTCAACTCAGGGTAAAAAGGGTTTTTCTTGCTGAGTTACCATCTATCTGGAAGACAATAAAATAAAGTAGGGTCCCCATCTCATATCTGGGGTAAAAACTTAAATATAAAGCAATATAAAGAACACTTACAGCCTTGTAAAAAATGTAGGGAAAATATTTAGTCTCAGAAATATGGGGAAAAGAAAGGAAAGCTTTTAACCCAAATAAGAAAATAAGAAATTTTGAAAAGAAAGATGGATATTGCTGACTATATAGAACTACATAGTTATACAGTATAGGCATAAATCATATTATAGCACTTCACTTTTTTGTGCTTTGTAGATACTGCATTTTCTTACAAATTGCAGGTTTGTGGCAACCATGCATTGAGCAAGTCTGTTGGGTTCATTTTTCCAACAACATGTGCTCACTTCATGTCTCTGTGTCACATTTTGGTAACTGTTGCAATATTTCAAACTTTTTCAATATTATTCTATCTGTTATAGTGATCTGTGATGTCACTATTGGGGCACCATAGACTGTCCTCATATAAGAGGGAGAACTTAAATGTATGTATTTTGACTGCTCCACCATGTCTGTGTACAGCCTTTCCTCCATTTCTTTCTCATTCTGCTCTGGCCTTCTTATTCCCTGAGACACAACAATATTGAAATTAAGCCAATTAATAACCCTACAATGGCCTCTAAGTGTTCAAGTGAAAGGAAGAGTTGCATGTCTCTCACTTTAAATCAAAATCTGGAAATGATTAAGCTCAGTAAGGAAGGCAAGTAAAAAGCCAAGAGAGGATGAAGGCTAGGCTTCTTGCTCCAAACAGTAAGCCAAGTTGTAAAAGCAAAGGAAAATTTCTTGAGGAAATTGAAAGTGCTAATTCAGTGAATACATGAATGATAAGAAAGCAAAATAGTGTATTGTTGATATGAAGAAAGTTTTAGTGGTCTAGATATATCAAACTAGCCACAACATTTCCTTAAGCCAAGGCCTAATTCAGACCAACGCCCTAACTCTTTTTAATTCTATGGCTGACAAAGGTGGGGAAGCTGCAGAAGAGAAGTTTAAAGGTAGAAGTGGTTGGTTCAATAGGTTTAAGGTTAAGGTTTATATCACTTCCATAACATAAAAGTGCAAGGTGAAGCAGCAAAAGCTGATGTAGAAGTTGCAGCAAGTTATCCAGAAGATCTAGCTAAGATTATTGATGAAAGTGGCTACACTAAATAGCAGATTTTCAAAGTAGACAAAATAGTCTTTCTTTAGAAGAAGATGCCATCCAGGACTTTAATAGCTAGAGGAAGTCAATGCCTGTCTTCAAAGCTTCAAAGGACAAGGGGACTCTCTTGTTAAGGGCTAATGCCGTTGGTGACTTTAAGTTGAAACCAATGCTCATTTTACATTCCAAAAATCTTAGGACCCTTAAGAATTATGCTAAATCTGTTCTGTCTGTGCTCTATAAATAGAATAACAAAACCTGGATTACAGCACATCTGTTTACAGTATAGATTACTGAATATTTTAAGCTCACTGTTGAGACCTACTGCTTAGAAAGAAGACATTATTCAAAGTATAACTGCTCCTTGACAATACACCTCATCATTCAAAAGCTCTGAGGGAGATGCATAAGGAGATTAATGCATTTTCATGCCTGCTAATGTAGCATCTGTTCTGAAGCCTATGGATGAAGGAGTAATTTTGACTTTCAAGCCTCATTATTTCAGAAATAAATTTTGTAAAACAATAGTTGTCAGAAAGTGATTTTGCTGATAAAATTGAAATCCTTCTGGCAAGGATTCACCATTCTAGATGCCATTAAGAACATTTGTGATTCATGGGAGGAAGTAAAAGTATGCACATTATAAGGAGTTTGGAAGTTATTGATCTCAACCCTCCTGCATGACTTTGTGGGGTTCAAGACTACAGTGGAGGAAGTAACTACAGATGAGGTGGAACTAGCAAGGGAACTAGAGTCAGAAGTGCAGCCTGAGGATGTGACTGAATTGCTACAATCTCATGATAAATCTTGAACAGATGAGGTGTTGCTTTTTCTGGATGCGGTCCCTTGATACGGAATCTACTCCTGGCATAGATGCTATAAATGTTGTTGAAATGATCACAAAGAATATTACATAAAGTTAGTTGATAAAGCAGTGGCAAATATGGAGAAGATTGATTCTGATTTTGAAAAATGTTCTACTGAGAGCGTGTAAAATGCTCCCAAACAGCACTGTATGCTACACTGAAATCTTTTGTGAAATGAAGAGCCAATCGATGTGGCCAACTTTATTATTGTCTTATTTTAAGCCATCAACATTGAGGCAAAACCCTTCTCAAGAAAAAGATTATGACTCTCTGAAAGCTGAGATGATTGTTAGCAATTTTTAGCAATAAAGTAGTGTTTTTTTTTTTTTTTTTTTCCTTGAGATGGAGTTTCGCTCTTGTTGCCCAGGCTGGAGTGCAGTGTCATGATCTTGGCTCACTGGAACCTCTGCCTCCTGGGTTCAAGCGATTCTCCTGTCTCAGCCTCCCAAGTAGCTGAGATTACAGGTGTGCACCACCATGTCCAGCTAATTTTGTATTTTTAGTAGAGACAGGGTTTCACCATGTTGTCCAGGCTGGCCTTGAACTCCTGATCTCAAGTGATCCACCTGCCTCGGCCTCCCAGAGTTCTGGGATTACAGGCATGAGCCACCGCACCTGGCCAATAAAGTAGTTTTTATGTGTATTTTTTAAAGACATGATGCTATTTCATTATGTCTAAAAGAAGAATATAGTAAACACTTAATATGCTATGGTATAGCATAAATATAAATTTGTGTGACTTCCTTTATTGTTATCTTTACTTTATTGTGGTGGTCTAGCACCAAATCTGCAATATCTCTGAAGTATGCTTGCATTTATTTTTGGTCATTGGAAGAAATACCTTTAAAAGTATTGTATTTACTGTTAAGAATATTTAAAGGAAATGAGCATGTACTGAAACTTTGCTGATTCATGCTGCAGGAATCGGCCTCAAAAAGTCTTGAAGCCCAGGCCTATTAATACTTGGAGATATAAATCGAAGAACATTTCCTTGTATTCCTGTATTCAGTAAATGGTAATAATGCACTATGGTTGTTACCAGCCATTGGCATTTGATAAACAAACAAGCACATAGACTGAGTCTCTACAAGAACTGAAAGAAGCCAGGAAGTTATAAGGCCTCTTAGAATGTAAAAAACAAAAACAAAAAAAACAAAACAAACAAGCAAACAAACAAAAAACAAGCTTTCAGAAGAACCAGATGGAATTTTAATCTGAGATCTCATTGACTGGGCTTCCAAAGAGCAATGAAGTTTGTCCTTCAATTTAAAATACGCTCCTGGTTCCCCAGCTCTGATTATTTAGCTGTATGCAAATCCAGTATCATTTTCTTATCTGTCAGTGGAGCTTGAGTCCTTTGTTTGTGTCTGTTGGTGTCTTATTCTTGTACATGTGTCATCCTTGTACATGCCAGAGAACTGCTTTCACTCATTTATTACATGTGCATGCCAGAGAATTCCTTTCACTCATTTATTCAACAAATATCTAATGAATGCCTACCACGGGGTAGGCACTGTGCTAGGTACAATCTGTGTTTAAACTTGTATTAGGGCAGCTTTTTTGTTACCTTAGTAAAGTACTCTCTGGAAAAACTTCAAGACATTCTTGTCTACCTTTCTAATATTAATAGCTTCCTATAAAGGGTTCCTACAATGGATGTGCTAGAGAAAATGCTACTTATTGTAGTGTGGTGGAGTGCCTTACACTGCATTCTGTACAACAATAAATACTATAGAAAGGTTCTAGTGCATTTGATGATATCTGGCCAGCTTACCCATAATAACTCTGACTTCATTGTGGAAGAAAGCCCTTCTATGCAAGGCATAAAATCCAATTGATTTTTATGAAATAAGATGCTATGAAGAAGAAGTGCATTAAGTGTTCTGTATCACAATAATTCTACCTTGTAAGCTAAATGGTTTTTGCAACACTGTTGAAAATGCTGTCACTATTCTGAGCATACATAAAAGAGCAAGATAAGGCCAATAATTTAAAAGTCAATGCTACTCCTACTCAAAGATTTCTTCCCTCAATTAATAAAGCATTTTCTCCTCTGTGTCAGTTAAAAATAAAATTCAAAATAGCTTTATATGATATGATCAGACACAAAGCCATGTGTAAGTTATGTGGATTTTACAAATTTTCTTTATTGAATTCTGGGGTGCAACTATCTTAGGCTTCTACTAAGGTACCTTATCACATCTGTTATGTATATTTAAAATGATATATATTTACTTTAAAAGAATTGATCAATTCTTTTAAAATTGGTTTATTTCAGCAAGCCTGGTTAGCTAAATTTAGTAAACATTTCTAAAATAATGTTATATGAATGTAGACAGGAAGTCAAGTCATCTGATTTCAGGGACAAAGCCGCTTTATAGCTCTTGCAATCAGACAATAACTTGCAGTGAATTTGGTTAGGTTAGTGGCAGCAGCGTTAATTTGTAATCTTTTTTTTCTGATGTAATACACCTAAAGAACAGAATACACTCCCATCAATAATAGGTGCTCATGGTGAGGATGATTCTGTGAATTTAAGAAGTGGAGTAGACTGAAAATCAGCCAGCTGGGTGGATGGTCAACCAACCATCCCACATGAAAGAGGTGATTCTCACATGCTCCCTTGGGGGATATTTTTGAGAGTCATTGCAAAGCAGTTAAAACTGTGGGTAAGATTCTTAGATCTAGCCACATTAATTTTAATTTCTGGTTATTTATTTATTTTATTTTTATTTCATTTTATTATTATTATTTTTATTCTACTTTAAGTTTTAGGGTACATGTGCACAATGTGGAATACTATGCAGCCATAAAAAATGTTGAGTTCATGTCCTTTGTAGAGACGTAGATGAAGCTGGAAACCATCATTCTCAGCAAACTATTGCAAGGACAAAAAACCAAACACCGCATGTTCTCACTCATAGGTGGGAATTGAACAATTTGTGGTAATTCTAAGTGAAATGATGGACTGGCTTTGTACCTGGCATCTAGGTGCTCAGTAAATATATGATTGAACAAAAGAAGGAATGAAAGAGAGATTTTAAATATCTGCTACTTACTATAACGGAAACACAATATATATTTTATTGTCACTTAGCATATCCATGTTAAATGGAGCTTCTTACAGCCTTTAAAAATTCTATCCGGTAGTATCTAGTATAATTAACATATAATATATTTTTTGACCTTGTACTGCACATCTAAAAATCTATCCCATAAAGTAAGACCTAGCCAAAGCAATATTCAAAACAATGTGGAGGCATGACAATACCTGATTTGAAATTATATTACAAAGCTATAGTAATCAAAACAGAATGGTACTGGCATGAAAATATACAGACCAGTGGAACAGAATACAGAGCACAGAAATAAATCCAAACATATATGGCCAACTAATTTTCAACCAGGGCACCAAAAAGACATAATGACAAAAGGATGGTCTTTTCAATAAATGGTGTTGGGAAAACTAGATTTCCACAAGCAAAAGAATGAAATTGAACTCTTACCTTACACCATATACAAAAATCAACTCAAATTGCATAAAAGACCTCAATGTAAGGCCCCAAACCATAAAATTCCTGGAAGAAAGCATAGGAGAAAAGCTCTTTTACATTGACCTTGACAATGATTTCTTGGATATCACACCAAAAGCCCAGTGTACAGAAACAAAAATAAATAAATCAGACTAACTCAACACAATGAACAAAGGACTTGAGGAGATATTTTTCCAAAGATGACACAAAAATGGCCTACAGGTATATGAATAGGTGCTCAACATCACTAATCATCAGGAAAATGCAAATCAAAATCATTATGAGATCCCACCTGACATCTATTAGGATCACTATTATCAAAAGGCAAGAGACAGCAAGTGTTAGCAAGGTGTACAGAAAAGGAAACCTTTGCACATTACTAGTGAGAATGCAGATTGGTGCAGCCATTATGGAAAACAGTTCTGAAATTCCTAAAGATATTAAAAATAGAACTACAATATGACACAGCAATCCCTCTTCTAGATTTATATCCCAAGGAAATGAAACCACTCCTCATAAAGATGTTTGCTCCTATGTTCATTGCAGCACTATTCATAATAGTGAAGATATGGGAATAATCTAGGTGTCCATCAATGGACAAATGGATAAACTGTGGTATATGTACATTGTCACAACATGGATAAGCTCGGAGGACATGCATAGTGAAATAAATCAGACACAGCAAAAAAGTTGGCATGATCTCTTTTATACGTGGAATCTAAAAAAATTAAAAGTCAAACACAAAGATAGAGAAAAAAACGGTTATCAGGGTCAGGGGTTGGGGGAGAAAAATAGGGGCATGTTGGTCAAGGAATACAAAATAGCAAATGGGTAGGATGAACAAATCAGAAGATCCAATGTACAACATAAGGTCTATAGTTAATAATGGAGTGGATTGTATTTGTGATTTTCCTGAATGGGTAGAGATCTTAACACAGAGTCTGGGGGAAATGGGTAATCATGTAAGATGACGGATATGTGAATTTGTTTCAATGTAGTAACCACTTTACTACATATATGCGTTTATAGCATGATGTTATATACCTTAAATATATACAAGATTTATTTTTTAAAAAACCTAAAGACCTCATACATCGAAGACATAGTTAACTAAGGATATTCCTTTTAATACTATTTCTAAAAGATAGAAATACATGAAGTGATCACTGGGAAATAACACATTATGCTTCTAATACAGTGGCATATTATTCAGCTATTAAAAACATGAATTATGTTTAAGTCAACTCACTTGAAGAGGTTTCCTCAAGATATTGTTAATTTTATTTATTTTTTTGAGACGGAGTCTCGCTCTGTCACTCAGGCTGGAGTGCAGTGGCGCCATCTCGGCTCATTGCAAGTTCCGCCTCCTGGGTTCACACCATTCTCCTGTCTCATCCTCCCGAGTAGCTGGGACTACAGGCGCCCCCGACCATGCCTGGCTAATTTTTTGTATTTTTAGTAGAGACGTGGTTTCACCGTGTTAGCCAGGATGGTCTCGATCTCCTGACTTTGTGATCCACCCGCCTCAGGCTCCCAAAGTGCTGGGATTACAGGCTTGAGCCACTGCGCCCAGCCTCCTCAAGATATTTTTAAGGGGAAAAGAAATATCTAAATTTTGTGAAACAAACAATTGCAAAGTCCCCATATGTCATTGCAAATGATACCGAAGAATGGGAAAAATATAGAGAAGACAAATAAGTTCCTAATGTGACTTACCTAAAGGTGGCAGTGAATGGCTGTTATGTGAACATAAGTGGGAAATTGACAAAACTAAACATTAATGATTATGAAAACAAACCACTAAATGTTGTTATGGTTCCATTTATGTAAAATTCTATCTATCTATCTATCTATCTATCTATCTATCTATCTATCTATCTATCATCTTTCTTCCTACCTACCTACCTACCTACCTACCTACCCATCTGTTTTTATATGTAAAGTAATGCAAGTAAGTTTAGTTACCAGAGTGTTAATGATCCCCCTTGTAGACTAGTAGAATTAATTACAAGGTATGTTTTACTTTCTTTCACTCTTATATATTGTTTGTCTTTCTTATCTCTTATATTATTTGAATTTTTAAATTATCAAGGAAAAATAATAAAACTGTAATCATTGTGAAAACCAAATGATTACAATGAATTTCCTCCTGGCTCTCAGGGATAATAAAAATCTCCAAACTGTTAAGTGAAATAAGCCAAGCACAGAAAGACAAATATCACATGCTCTTACTCATATGTGGGAGCTAAAAATGTGGATCTCATGAAGATAGAGAGTAGATTCCCAGAGGCTGGAAAAGAGGGTAGGGGATGAAGTAGAAAAAGAAAATGTATTTTTTATCAGTAAATTATACACTTATGGTAAATTATATATGTATATTTTACTTTAACAAAAATAAATTTTAAAAAAATATCCAATTTATTGACCAAACACCTCAGAAAACTAAACCAATCTCCCTATTAAGCAATCAATTAAAAAATATGTATATGTCTTTGCGAGAAATAGGTCTTTTGAAAACATGTTTTCTCCCTCTAATGGTCTATTTTTCCTTCAAAAGTCAAATGTTTTAAATGGCAGAGAGGCAGAAATAATTAAATAATACTAGCTTAAGCTCTTTCCTAAAAGCTCATCTCAATACAGAAAGAAGGTTCAGGCCAAATAATTCTCAGTAACTCCCTTTCCCTAGATATGAGGCTTACCTGACATGGCTCAGACTCCAGAAGAGAGAACCTATGATGACTCAAAGCTAGGAGAGGACATTTACTTTTTCCTTTTAAAAATCTCTTGAAGAAATCTCCGTAGGCCAACCTGTAGGGTATAACCCATTTATTCTACCTCTCTCCACTGACATGCATTTCATTTTCTTCTAGTCTGGAAGATTTTTCTCTTCATATTTGCTCCACTGTAGAACAAATGAACATCTCAGTTATGATGACAAGGTTGTTTGAAGGCTCTCACCAAGGTCTGCCACTTAATCCAGGCCATGAGTAGCCCCTTTCTGCAACATGAAGGCAGTACCACAGCATAGCAGAAAGCCCTAGGGCCTGAAGTAAAGCAGGATACATTCCAAATCCCGTGCTACCTCTCATGAGCTGTAATGTTTGTTAAGTTCTGGAGTCTCACTTTCTTCATCTATAAAGAGAGTGCAGAAACTCCTATTCTCAGAGATGTATAAAAGCATCAATGAACTGTATCTGTAAGTACCTGGCTCATTCCCCAATACCTAATAACCACTCCATAAGTGACAACCACCATTATTGTTTTATATATTTCCATATTCTCACACGTTCACTTTCTTAGAATGTGTTGGTGACATGGAAAATTATTGCTTCTGTGGGTATATATATGAGCATTATTTATCTCAAAGGAAGGGCTCTCCTTATTTTTTAGCTACTTAAAGAACTTCCATGCATCATAATATAAATATAAGATTTGACTTTTCATAAATTGGGGGGAGTGGGGGAACTAGAGTTGATTTAGGATGATGAAATATTTACATTTAAATGCATTCCCTATCTCTATGCCACGTGATACAATCTGGATCTTACTCTTTCTTTTATATATATGAATTTACAGAAGGAAAATATAAACTATATGTGTGTGTGGGTATATATAAAAAATTAAATTATATATACATATAATTTAAACCAGGGAACCAGTGAAAATTATCATGATGCTGTTGAGCACTGAATCATTAATCATCACTTGCATAGCAGAGAAAATGCTCCAGTTCTTGCCAAATGCACTGTTTACTGAAAGGAGGCCAACATTTACCACTGAAAAGATAACATACTTGGAGAAGTAAATTGAAACACCGAATTAATCTTGTGTATATTAAATATGTTTCTGGAAGCTTTTTAATTTGTGATTTGAACCTTAGAACTCCTAAATTAAGGCAGTATATATGAAGAATTGTCTATCCTACTAAACTGCACTTGTTAAACACTTGCATTTTTTTCCTGCAGAAACAACCATTGAAACAAAACATCAGCTTCAGGTGTTTCACACATTTCTTGAAAAGTATCAGTAAAAATTAAAATTATGTTGCATGTAAGAAACATAAATACTTGTTCTTCTTATAGAAACATCCGTGTTCTTTAAAACACTTCATATTTATTAAGATAGTGGGAAGTAAAGCAAAGGAAGAGAATCAAAATCGCTGATATTTTCATTATTCAAACACACAGTTAATGATTTGGTGCATTTTCTTCTGTTCTTATTTTTCCAAGGTTAAATTCTTAGTTTATGTAGTTGTAATATTGCTCTATGTGCACGTTGTGTTTGTCACCAGCTTAAAATATTTGAGTAATTAAAATAGACATAGCATTAACTCAGTGAATTAATATTTTTCTTTCCAGACATAGTGAGTTAAGATTTACCCTTTCTGATTCAATGTTCTGTTTTCATAAGCAATGTCTGTGTCAAAAAAATCATATAGTCAGATGAGAAAATAATTTACCCAGGCTGTGTAAACTACCTTGACCTTTTCTCTGTAAATTTGACAACCTTTCATGCAATTCCTAAATTGGATATTTAATTTGATTAATAACTATATTCAAAACCATATATTTTATGTAGGATATTTCCCATCATCATGCTTTTAAGGAAGATTAAAGAACTACTGTGTTAAATCTGTTTATTCTGTGGCAACATGAAAGATTATAGGGGAAAAATGTCCAGGTTAATTCTCTTATGTTCCTCTTCAGCTATGTCTTCTTTTCATTTACCATTGTGTAATAAAACATTTGGTCACTGTCACCAGTGAGCATTAATTGCCAGGAAATACATATTTAAATAGCTCATATTTTAGAGCACTTTAGTGATCACAGGATTTTAAACAGTATCTACGTTAGATTAAGATGTCAGAAGTATCAAAACTTGTGAAGTGTGAGGTGAAATAGTCCATATGCTAGCCAAGAATCATCTCAATAGAAAGCTATTACATAATCATCACTGTTTTCCTCACACTTGACAGTTCTTAATTGTCAATTAAGAAGCCTAGTTCCTAGGCTCAGATGCTGGTCCAAATCTCAGAGAAAGCTTCATTTGTTTGACCCTTGTAAACTAGTGCTAACTTTGATTTTATTTGAGTTTGTGACTAATCCAGTTGATTCAACTAGGTCATCTAGACTATGTTATTATTATTATTATTAAGAGACAATCAGTTCCTATGAAAGCAGAGTTAGGTTTCCTTGAGATATTGATTTTTTTTTTTAAAGAAAAAAGCTCAGAGAACCTTTGACCTACATTAAATCTTTTTTATTTGCTAACATAAACAGGAACTGATCATAAGTGCAAAGGATTAACAGACACAGGAGACTAGATTATACATTTTAAACTTTACTTTGGAGACCTGAGGGAATGCTTTAGTGTGGAATTGGATTAACCTTTTTGGCACTTTCTTTAAAATACTTTAAAGTTATATGGCTTTGTTTCCTGATTCTGTGGGTACTCATGTAATGGTATAGGTTTTGAGGTTATGAATGAAATACGTTTAAGTTTTACTAAGCATATAAAATAAAAAAAAATTTCATCATTTGGCAGTCTCTAGTTCCCTTCGTGCAGCTTTTTTTCAATAAAGAAAACAATACAACTTCAATAGCATTGGTTGGGGGCTCTGTATATAGCTGAGCATTTCTTGAGACATGATGTTTGCCAAGAATGTTTCTTAGTGGATCAGTATGGTTCTTTTTAATGAATTCTATTTAAAATATTTTCTAAATCATTTCATCAATTGCAAATAGTTTTAGTGTACTATATTTATGAAGATTGGATAAAAAGATAACTTATTCAATATTGCTCAAGTATATTTTTCTTTGCCTCACCTAGTATTTACCTTATCTTTTAACATGAAAAAGACATTGACATGAAAAGAGAATAATCCTTGCATTAGTATTGATCTTCATTTATTCACTTATTGGATAGATGTAAGAAAATATTATGACCAGTTATGAGAATTTTGAAGCATAAAATTATCTAACTTCTGATACAAACAAAGGGTCCTCCTTTGAATTATCTTTCTCAAAAATTATATAGAACTACTTTTTTCTTTTTATTCTTTCTTGTCCTACTTTACCTCATCCCTTTATTTCTCCTTTAATGTTAGATATTTTATATAAATTATTATCAGTAAAAGTACCATTTAAAATTCTTAGTACCTGGTTACAGATTTTTCCGTTTAGTTTAGACATATGCCATTTCGAAGTTTCAACACCACTTAAATATTCAAGTAAAATTTTCCTCAAGTGAAAGATGTCTTCTAGGCATAGTAAACTATTTTTACAATATTTTTCATCTCGATATTGACTTCTCAGTTACTTTTTTGCCATTAAAATTACTCTTTTGTGAGGTGCTTTTTCCCAAAAATTTTCACATTGGCTTCAAATCTGTGATGACATCATGGAATGTTTAGCCAGATTCTACTCAGTCTTTTGTTCCTGTGTCTGACGCACCGCTAGGTGTTGAACAACAGTGAGTCAAAAAGTATTTGAACATCTTCTGTTTGCCCAGCCCTAAGCACTATGAAGAACCCAGAAAAGACATTGACACATGGTTCCTAAATTTAATCCAAAAATAGTACCATTAGGCTACTGAAAGTATTAATCCCTCTTTCTTTGGACTAATTTGCTGATAGTCTTTAATTTAGGTCCTGGGAAGACCAATAGAACCCTTTCAGTGAGGTTTGTAATGAAGTTTTATGTGCTCAGAGACCATATATCTGTGAAACTGACCAAAGTCACAAGATCCAATCACTTCTTCAGTTTTCTTGACATTGTCCTCAAGTAATATGGGGCAAAATTTGGCCTCTCCTTTGATACAGTGTGATTCTACTACAAATACTTAGTTCCATAATTGCTGTTCTCTTTAATTAGGTGCAGTGTTCACATTTAAACTTTGAGTACATTGTTTCTCCAGATGTTTTTTGTTATTTTCAGGTATCCCTTCAATTGCTTCTTTTCTTCTTTGTAGCATACCAGTGAAGACTTAATTGCTTCTTTTCTTCTTTATAACATACTAGTCAAAACTTAATAATTTGTATAGCATCTTCTTTATGTGTCTAATAAACTTTTTTGTAGTTTAGTTTCAGAAAGAAATGATCCTGTCTTGTTCATTGAGGTTAGAGACATTGTGAAGTGGATAGATAGAAATCGGCAAATTACACACTGTCTTTCAGATTATTTCCCAGTATTTTTCTCTTCTTCTCAGTTTTTGTTTTAAAAAAAGTATGACCCTTGAATCTTACTATAATATTGGCATTTTTCATTTTTATTACTCTTCCATTTTAGAGGAAATATGGAGCATTATAGTGTATTATGTAGAAATGAAATTCTTGCCTTGGCCCCAACAATGCTGTGAAATATACAGTCTAACATTTGAAGTAATCTGTTTTTCCATCTTTCAAAAGCAAATGACAACATGTATATGACCCCAACAAAAAAGGACCCAAAGTAATTTTTAAAAGTTAGTCTGTAAATAAGGACTTCATTTCCATTTGTGTCTAATTTTGACACCTACATCCTTGCTATGCTGTCTGATTTCAAAATGATATTTTAAAAATATTCTGGGGTCATATTTGAAATACCAATATGGATTGAAACATACCATTATGTTTGCAAGTGAGCTCATGTATCAGACTATTTACAGATGTTCTCCTAATAGAGTACTCACAATTCTAAGTACAGTTTAGAAATTCCCAGGAGTATAATTTAGGTGCTATTTGACAATTTACCAAGCAGAGAGCAACACTTGCCTAAACAAACATTGCCCCTACCACATGCTTCAATGTTAAGAACTAAGGAACTAAAAAGTTATCTTAAAAAAGCATTTTATAGATAGATACATATTTAACAAATTACCTTTTTCATTTTCATATGAATAACTATCAAATGAGAAAAATTCAGGAATTACTTGTGTGTATTAAATAAATATTATGTATTTTTAACCTTACATGTACAATAACTATATTATTTATGTATCTATATACACATTAAAAATTGTTTCTATTCAGCACAGTGGGACAACATCTCTTTCCACATAATTTTGCTGTATACAGGAAACCAATAAAGTACTGTAACTTCAGTATGTGATTACTGACTTAAAGAAAGAGAGAATGAGAAACAGAGAGAAAGAAACAAAGAAAAAGGAAGTGTATGCCTAATTAATCATTTTAATCCAGACATGATAAATGGTATTTGTTTTTTCCATAGTGTTGAGAAAAATACTATTGTATTTCTGTTTAGTGATATCTAGCCTGTTTTTGGACATTAGCTGGGTTAACAAATTTCCTTTTAGTAAGTGCTTAAAGAACGATGGCTGTGTTTAGTCAGGGGAAAGGTAGAAATGCCCCTAGTATGACATATTTCTATATTAGGTTATTCTTCAAAAATTTGCAGCTGTTCTTACTTTTCCATAGAACAGTGGAGATACTCCTCTGGTTACTTCCCACAGGAAATTATTCCCTGCAGACACTGCACTTGAGATGAAAATATGTGAAACTCCTCAGCTAAAGTTCATGTAACTTCTTTCAAGTAAGATATGAGATGTGTGAATCAAGGAAATCAGTTAAAACTCAATATTAAAATCTATATTTAAAAATGTAAATAGTGTGATCAATTGATTATTAGCAAAATATAATGGTCTTGGCTAAAAACAGAAGGAGAAAAATAATATATATGAGTCATAAATTTATGATTTTCCCATAAAAGCTCGGCCAAATTTTAAGGCATTTGCGCATTTAAAACCTGTGCTTTCTGGCATGGTTAGGTTAGTTTTCTGAAATGCAAATTATAAGAAAGGAATCTTATGCTTAAAAGGAGCTAACCTTAAAACTTTGCAAATTTTAGAATGACATGTTCAAAATGTCATATGATTGATGGATTTTTTTGTATTATAAGATAATAGCTGTATCCCTTTTGTGATTAAAAATAGTCATCAGCATTAGTGTGGTATTTGGTGACTTTGTCATTGAGTAGAAGCTGAATGAGGAGCTGATAGGTTGGATGAAAGGCTCACAGGGGCCTTGGTGACCCATATGCTATGAGAAGTGACCTGACACTCAGGAAAAGCAATTAAGTTTGCTATCACCTCCTTGTTCCTATTTGAAGTAAATGTAGCTATCTTTTCAGAATATAGCATGAAGACATTTCGGTCAACAATGTACCGCACATATTACGGTGGTCCCATAAGTTTACAATTATCATGTCTTTACCTTTTCTATGTTTACGTATGTTTAGATACACAAATAGCTACCATTGTGTTATCTTACGATATTCAGTCCAGTACCATGTTATACAGGTTTGTAGCCTAGGTCCAACAGGCTATATACCATATAGTCTAGATGTGTAGTAGACTATGCCCTCTAGGTTTGTATAAGTACACTCTACGATTGTACAATGACAAAATTATCTTTGATGCATTTCTTAGAACGTATACCTGTCATTAATTGATGCCTGACTATACTGAGGTTGCTCGTTTAGCTATGAATTTCTTCGGCCCTAGCAGAGGTTTCTTAGCGACAGTAAGGGTGTATACCAGACTGGCACAGGAGAAGAAATGTAGTGAATACTAATTTGAATACCGATAGAATGAAAATAGTTGTTGGAAACACTGGTTTCTATAGAATTGTTTAGCAAATTAGTATCAGTTAAAGAACGGAAAAGCAAAAAAGGGCATATGCCTTTAACTGCCCAGTTATTTTGCTGAGAAACTGAAAGAATCCTCAGGTGAATATATCTGTTGTAAGTCACTCTGTTAAATCAGCTGCTTTCACCAACTGTGACACTATTCAGGAGTTTAGAAGAAAAGGCCTTGCTTTGCCTCAGGCCATGCTTCTATTCTTTTTGCTTAATGTGGACAGGAGAGGAGAGATCGAAATCTCAGGTGAAAACTCCAGGAGAAAATGCCCTTGTGCATTACAACTTATTTTTCTGGTCTCAGAGAATTTAAAATAGATTAGTTTTGGTGTCCTTCTGATTTGGGCTTGGTTGGCCAACTCCCTGGGAGCGAGGGGTTGCATTAGCTTTTGCACTGAAGCATTTGTGCTGTGATACACAGTTTTCTCTATGAACAATTTGCTAAGCTGTTTAAAAATCACAAAAGAAGAAAGGGACGTAAAATGTACCATTAAGTCATTCTAGGAGATTTACAAAGGCTTTTAATGAGTTAGAGATGGATGAAAAAGCCCTTTTTGATTCATTAAAGGTATTCATCTGATTAGAAGAGATTTTCATCACCTTATCAACTAATCCAATAAATTGACTATCCATTTCAAAATGACTCCAATCGGATTCATGTCCATCAGAAGGATTTTCTGAGAACCCCAGAGTATTGTATAAAGTTGAAAATTATTATCAAATTGCCACTGGAAAAAAATTTAGTAGATCCTGATAAATCTAGAGGATTAGGGGAAAAAAATGCCCTGAGCTAAAAGGTTACCACAAATCAAAGTTCAGCCTGCATAGTCCTCTTCAAGATTATTATTTATCAGTGAAAAAAAATCCCTAAGAGAAAATCCATTTCTTGGTAGCTGAAGTGCAACTATTTCATGAGCAGGAGATTGTTTGGTATGTTTTTTGCTAACCCCATCTAGATCTTGAAAAAAAACTAATGTGGCTTTGTATATCTGGAAAATATTTTAAAATGCCATACCAATGAGATAGTTAATGCATGGGACCAGCTAATCAAATTTCCAGTTTTTGGCTGGTGTATGCCCCAGTCTAACAAAGTAAGATTAATGGGGTGTTAAAAGTCTGTATGGGCTTGTCAGTTTTATGCTGCAAATAGGGTTAATTTCATCCAAATGTAGAAATTTTAAAAATTAATGTTAATGAACTAAAGCTTTATATTTGTCTTTGCTTTTAGGAAACCTGTTTGCAGGATCAGTTCTATCCGTATTTGCCTGGCTAATGGAGAAAGCTGAATGAGGAAAGAAATGCCTTTCAGGGAATAGAGCATTATGAGGTCAGCTACAATGGAGAAATGCCAGACGTTGAAATTTAGAAGCAGATAATTTTACCTATTGGACTAGCCAAAAGCATTTACTCTGGGCTAGTGTCTGATACTACACAGGAAGACAGGCCCCTTTATCTTCTCTCCAAATCACTTTTTACATAGTCTCCACAGGAAAACTTGAGGTGAAGATATTTCACCCTTTGTGGAATATTTTGGGTAATGAGAAGGCGTCTTCATAAACTATCTCCAGCATTTTAACAACCTGGCCATCATCCATATATTTGTCTACATAATGCCAAACACTTGGATCCTTGGAAACATCCAGATGTCTCTTTGCATTTTTAACTTGCCATTCAAATGGTATAGACCTAGGCTATGTCTATGTGTAGTTTGAATTGGGTGGTAGTTGAATAGGCAAGGGGCAAACAGAATTTTAATAACACCTTTTTTTTTTTTAATGTTCCATACATTGTGTTTCCCCTGAGATAGCTTCAGTTTAAATCATGGAAATGTATACTTTTAGGATCCCTAAAAGAAGTAAAATTCTTTCACTGAAACAGAAATATAGATACCATTAAAAAATGGACATTCATTCAAGATGATGTAGGGGACGGGTATGAGATGCTTAGGCAAAGATCTATGGAGCCTCAGCTGTTTGACACTTAGTTTTGGCACCCTGAGGAAAAAGGGTAAAGGGCTGGCTTTATAAGAGCACAGTTTATATTGGTGTGATTTAAAGAGTACCAAGAATTATATCTTTCATCAACTGTCTCTCACATCTATATAACTTCCTTCTCTTCATTCTGCCTTATTTTCTATCCTGTATCCTTAGAGAATAATAAATTTGTATTAATAAATCTCAATGTCATTCCTTTTTTTTTTTTTTTTTTTTTTTGAAACAGGGTCTTGCCCTGTTACTAGGCTGGAGTGCAGTGGCATGATCACAGCTCAAGGTAGTCTCAAGCTCCCAGGCTCAAATGATCCTTCCACCTCAGTCTGCCTACAGGCACACACCACCATGCCTGGCCAATTTTTTATTTTTTTATTTTTTTGTAGAGATGGGGTTTTGTTATGTTTTCCAGGCTGGTCTTGAACTCCTAGCCTCAAGCAATCCTTCCACCTTGGCCTCCCAAAGTGCTGGGATTACAGGTGTGAACCACCATGCCCGGCCAATAAATGTCATTTTTTAATCTATAATCCTCTTTCCCTCAGTAGGATGGTTTTGAATTAAACATTTATTAGAAATGCATTGATAAAACTGCATGTCCTTCTCTCTTAGACTTGTAGACTGGGGTAAGGCAGAAGAAAATTGAGAGAGATGGGACTAAAGCACCTAGTAAGACAGGCCAGTTCTGAGTGGGCGACTATCAAAGGGGGTTAGGGGAGACTAGTGTGAGCGAGCTGCAAAAGAGACTGGTGCAAACACAATGAAGACGGCTGTGCTTACTTAGCCATTCACTTTTGCCCTGTCCTTGTAGCAGTCTCCTCTCTGGGAGAGTCTGTAGGCCAGGAAACTTGTCTTACAGCATCGTGTGCATCATTGCATGCCCCAGCACTGTGCACAGGACCTAGCACATAGTAGATGCTCATCAAATGTTTTTCAAGTGAATCAATAAATGAAGAAAAGAACTGTCTGGTCTGAAAGCTCTTGGGTTAAATTTCAAAGACTCTAGGCTCAGAGAAATTTCAGAAAGTCATATAGTTTAACTTGTCTTCTGCAAACACTTAAACCACACCATGAAATAGCTTTCAATAATTTTCTTTTGAGAAATTCCCACATCCTTTCCTAAAAGCATATTTCAGCATCATTTACAAAATCTATCTTGAAACCTTCCCTCTATGATTCAAGATCATTTTTCTTCTTAATAGAAGTAAACTTTTGCATACTAATACATCTTTTAACTTATCCAAAAGCTTTTGCATACATCTTCCCCTTCTCTCCAGAATAAACTTCTAAGGATATAGGGCAGGGTTTGCTGTCTTTATTTTAGCTTAAATGTATTCAAAATTTCTTCATCTTAGTTTCTCATTTTAAAAATGGGAATGGTTTGAAGAAGCTTCTGGCAAGGTTCAGGCAGATCACAGTTTTTCAACTCTTCTCTCTTAAAATTAAGGAAAACTCAATATAAGGTACTCAAGGTCTGGGAGTTTTCTCAGGAGCCAACAATGAAGGCAGATCTAAGACCAGCATTCCATTCATTTCAATCCGATAACAATGTTTTACATACTCCGCCACCTATTCATGTAGGCTCACAAGTGACTCCTATGTCTTTTAAATATGACATGGGTTTTCTGTATTGAGATAGATTTTCTTTCATCACCTTGATTCTTACTTTTAAAACTTTTTTATAGTTTTCCAAACTCACTGGGTTGTGGGATAAACCTTGTGGCTAACCCCATTTTGACAATAAAACTAGGAATGTTTGATGGCTTTGATAGATCATTCTCAGTGTTTACATAACTGTTACCTTTTTGAAAATAATGAGTTTTGGGGAAATTGTGAAGTGAATGTGGGTAAAGCAATTCTAGTTTTGCTTATTGTCTTATTTCCTGTGTTGCCATGGGAAAATACTACCTGAAAGGTTAATTTGAAAACATTGGTTTGGAAATAGTAATACTATTTGCACTTTAGAAGATTCAAACAAAGATAATTCTTTCAGTTGGAGGAAAATATCGTTTGATACATAAAACAGATGTATTCTATGCACATTAATTAAGTTTATATTATTATTATTATTATTCTTTTGAGATAGGGTCTTGCTTTGTCACCCAGGCTGGAGTGCAGTGGCACCATCACGACTCACTGCAGCCTCAGCCTCTGGGCTTAAACAATCCGCCCACCTCAGCCTCCTGAATAGCTGGGACTATAGGCATGTGCCACCGGGTAAAATTTTTTTTGGTATTTTTTGTAGTGACAGGGGTCTCGCTATACTTATCAGGCTGATCTCAAACTCCTGGGCTCAAGCAATCCTCCTGCCTCGGCCTCGCAAAGTGTTGGCAGTATAGGCGGAGGCACCACACCTGGCCAATTTATATGACTGAGAAAATTAAAGTATCAAGAAGGGACAACTAATCCAGTGATGGATTTGCTGATAGGGCTAGGGTCTGCAGGTCTGCCTGAGATCTTGGTCAAAAAATTCAGTTTAGGGAGTAAACAGTCACAGCCAGTTGGGGAAGCCAGTTAATAATATACAGACAGCAAAAGCTGTCAGCTCAAACTGCCAACTTTTTCCAGCTCCAACTGTTTGAGCAGGCTAGACGAAGTGGGCCAGTTTGTTCTCATTTGCTAGTATAGGAGTCCCACCTTGGGCTTAAGTCCCCCTTTTCTTTTCTCTGTGAGTTAGCTTTAACAGAGGATGCCTTACACAGCATGGGGCATTTCCAGCTGAGGTCCATTCTTTAGTCCTTGGCCTCAGCCTTCACAAGATTTGCGGCTTTAGAAAGAATAAAAGTCCCAGTTCATTATTCTCCTAATTTGTCCCAACAACTGTTGAGGCACTTTTCAAACATGTTCAAAATCGTGACAAGCCCAAAAGCCTGTGCTAATTTTCCTTGCTTTTTGATGAGAACATTGAAATTCAGAGATGTGAAATAATGTTTTCCCAGATACAAAGTTGGCAAGTAGCAGAGTCGGGGTTTGTATCCCGATCCTTCTAGCTCCACTGGGTCACATGGTCTTGGGAATGGCAAGATCGTTCCACTTGTTCTGATGTGGGAGTGGTAGCATCAAGGGTTCAAGGTAAGAAGGAGCAGTTTCCCCAGGCTGTGTCTGATCATCTGAGATGGAAGCTGCCTCTTTCTGCTTAAAATTAGTTATCTTTATATCCAGAATAAAGGAATAACTCAGTTTTCCACTTTTCTAGTTTTTATGAGCTAAGTAGTTTAATAGAATCTCAAAGGCAATCTTATTTGTACCTATCTATAGCATGAGAGAAAAAGCTCAGTCCTTGAATTCAGTCAGATCTAGATTTGAAACTTCACCCCGATTAAGTGACATTACTTATTCTGTCTGAGTTTTAGTTTCCTCATTTATAAAAATGTGACCACATCTTTCGCACAGGGTGGTTATGAGCAATAAACAATTACAGGAAAAGGTGTAATGCATGGCACATAGTAGCAATAAAATCAATTATGATTTTTACTACTATAATATTTATAATTTAATATTGATATAATATTAATTTGTATTAATGATAGTAATAATTATCACTTTTTACTTTCTCATTATGTTTTTTTCCAAAAAATACAATTTCCTAAAAGCACAATAACAAGTTATTTCATTATATATAATTGTAATAATTATATTTGTTTGTAGGGTCAGGTATTTAAAAAATATTTTTCCATTTGGTCCTGTGATTTGTTTTGTGTGTCTATTGAAATCCTATCAGCCAGAATGTAAATTTTGTAAAGTGCACTAAACTGAATTTAATTGTTAAACATGACTCATTCTTTTCATAAGACAATACAAATTTTTTTGCAAGATAATGATAGTGCAACTTGGTAAATCATATTGGATTAAATATTTTATTAATATTTAGTGATCGCTAGACATACTGCATTAATATTTTATTAATATTTAGTGATCATTGGATTCTTAATAACTGCTTCTTACTAATGTATACTTGACTAATATGCTGTTAACTATCAACTATGTAAAATAACACAAATGAAATGACTTACAGACAGCAGAGAATTTTCATGACATTAAAATGGTGTTTCTGCTACTACTATGGGCAGACTGATGTCATGCCATCTCCTTTGTTTCTCCTCTCTTTTGTTAGTGCCCTAGCTTTTCTATCACATTCTCCAAAGCATAATGGTTCCATGCTGTTTCAGCTACAGCCCTCTTGATGGGAAACTGTGTCAAGCACAGGAATTATGACAGGTAGTCTGTATCTACCCTTAAAAATCTCAATACTGGAAAGTATTCTTCTATTGCTTGCTTGTTAGAGTGCTCATAAAATGATTTGCTGTTTCAGCGAGTTGTAGTCCAGTCAGACAGTGGTAGAAAACCATCAGTTGTCACATGATAATATCCTTTTTTTAAACCACTGAAATTTATCAAGACATTTCAGGACAATCGACAATGCCAGATGCTATTATTGGCCTAATGGTTAATACGTTTGCACTCTATTCTACTTAGCTCTTTCTGCATGCTTACTGTTCCTTTTGTGTAAAACATTTTTAAGATGTGTGGGAGCATCCTAACTTTTCAACATCTATTTTAATATACATATATTTATGAGCACTCAGCAGCTTTTCAAGTCTTCCACATAGATATTGTTTATGCCTTAAAGTGCAGGCACTCCCCAAATGATAAGAACTTGATTTGCAAACATCCTTGCATTCAGTTTGCTCTTGGGCCCTTTTCCCTTGCCCTTCAAATTCAGATACCCCTCATTCTGAGCCTGCTTCTGACTTCCAAAAGAAATTTCTTTAAGGATGCTCTTTTCTTGTAGTTGGTGCATGTCATGATTTTAATCTATCTTTGCCAATTCACAAGTATCTTGGTATTTGCTTTTGTTCATTTCAGATCACAGTCAACACCACTTCTGGCATATGTTTTTCATTGCATATATTCATGCATTTATTTTAACTTCTCTTTTCCCTTGTCTTGTAATTATTTTTCAACTTCTATTTTAGCTTCAGTGGGTACATGTGCAGGTTTGTTACATAGGTGTGTTGCATTCGTCTTGTAATTTTTGCCTAGGTCCGTCTGTAAAGTCTCTCTCCTCTGCCTTTTCTTTCTATCTTTCCTTGTGCATGTCTCAATTGTGAGCTCTCAAATGACCATAATCATAAGCTACATAAGGGTGATTGGACACATCACTATCAAGAAATTATGTAGCCTTTATGTGAAACAAGCAAACAACAACAAAAACTCAGCATTGACACTAAAACCTGAGAGTCTTGGGATCGATCTTCAGTTTTCTTTCAGAATTCCTAAAACTCAATCTATCTCTTCTCTCTAAATAAACCTAGTTTTCCTCAAAAACCAGAGTGCAACTAATTTATTTTTGCTTTGTCCAATTTTATGTTATTTAATTCTTGCCCGATTTCGCTCTAATTTTTTTCATATGTGTGGTATTTCAGGTTCAACATGGACTTGTTAGGCTTGTGTGGAGACCCAAGCATTACTTATTCCTATTATTATAGGCAGATGATTTTGAGGTTGTGAACAAATGGCTTCCTAATGAAATTTTGGAATATGAGAAGCTGACTCTATTTTGTTGGCTAGTAGACAGAAAGTAGCCCACACCAAATGATTCTAAGCACAGAGCAACAAACAATGATGGCGGGGCAATTTCTCCTGTGAAACATGATGGGCAGTTCTAGAATGTTACATTAAAATTGTTTCTCTTTGAAAGCTGGTGATGACTGAGAAGGGAATGACTGAGAAGGGAATAGATGATGGAAGACTGTTCATCAGCATCTCTCTTTCCCTTTCCTTATCTCCATGAACTCACCTTGACTCAATTTGTAGACATCCCTAGTGCTGCTTTGACATTACAAGGACTCCAAATCAAGCTGGCAGCTGCAGGGCATAACGTTTTCTGTCCACAGCAGAAAATGTCTATGGAGTTTTTTTCCCCAAAGTGTAGAGAAGATTTTTTTTTAAATCTGAGAGTGGGAAGGACCTATGTCTCATCATTTGTTTTATTAAATAAAATACAATGGGTTTAGAAATGGGGTGGGTGGCGTTCTGATCTCAAAAGAAAAAAAGAGGAAAAATAAGAATAGTGGCATTTGATAAGTGACAATTCATATGTCACCATTAAGTTTTACATACATAATCTCATATAATTACTGCACATTCCTGTGGGATAGATAGGGCGAAAATGATCCTTCCCATTTTAGAGGTGAAAACTCTGAGTTAAATAAGTTCAATTGTTTTCTCAAGATCACATAGCTGGTAAGGTTCAACAGAGGGTGAAACTGAGGGAATAATTGCAGGTTAGACGTGGAAAGAACAGAGAATCTATCTCAAGTATTTATAAATTGTTTAATATTTAGTAAAACATCATTGAGCTTTGCCAATGACTAAGAAAACCCTGAAAATACTCACAGTGACTTCTGTTTGTGATAAGTCATTTGTAAGAGCCCCACCAAAGCTCTGCAAGACAAACTTATATTGCTTTTGAAAATATTTAAAATTTTGTAACTTGGAAGTGAGATGCAGCCTTCTAAGGTTTAAGACATCTTAAATGTAGAACCTGAAAGATTTGAGGTAAATTTAGAACCCTAAGGATTGGGACATCCCCACAAAGATCTACTTTAATGCCTGGAAAAGAAAAGCTATTTTTGGGATATAAATGGTTAGAAATCAAACATGATGGAGAACCCTCTTTGCTAAATGTTAAATATTCAGGTCCTCTTGATGAGCCAGTGTAATTCACAGTTAGACCAAAATACCTAATATCTTTTTAGTGAGACCAGTGATAAACCAGAAACATGGTTCCAGGTGAATTAAAAAGTATGCTTTTTATAAAGACCTAAGTTCTTTTGGTAATCAGAAAAAAAAATTTAGACAGTAAGGAAAAAATGACATCTTTTGTGAATCTTTCCTGGTGTCTCCTCAGTCTCCTTGATGAATTCCATTATCACAAAAATGAGCTTTCCAGTTCATATCTCTTTTGAAGCTAATGTAATTCTTCGCCATTCTGTTATAATGAAAGTATTACATGGATAACTATCCAGCATTATCTTTCAGAAAGAGAACTAATTTGGGAAAGAAATGAAGTACTTTAATATAATATCAGATCCCTCTCACTTTTTTTAAATCCTTGTAGAGACCGGCTGCCTAGAGGTACACAAATTCTGTACATGGTAAATACACTGAGCTAATACAGAAGTAATTTTTGTTACTACATTCATGAACAGTCATAGGAATGCTTTCCTTGAAGAACAGAGCCTCAGATAAATTCAAAGGCATGTCACTGAACATGCTACAGACATCTTCCTGTTGAATTTTCTTTTTGTAGATGTGAAAGCAGAAAATATTAATATCTGTGGCATGCCTCCTAGATGCAATGGAAGTTTTGGACATGTATTGCCTGTCCCTACCTGTGAGAAACATCAAGATAGTCTGGACAGGGCATAAACTCTAATTATATACTCTTGTTAATTGTGTATTTCTTTGACATGGTAGCATAATGTAACCTAGTGTATGGTGAAAAGAGCTGGAAATGATGACGGGAAGCTTTCTTGGACAGGTTCGTACATGCAGGAAGGTAGTTATTAGTGATCTGTGGTGGTGTCACCTGAGAAACTGACACTGATTTTCAGTCTTTCTGAAAAAATCTTTTCTCTTATGAGTATAATTAGGGAAATTATAATGACCAATTAGCATACAGAACACAAATCCAAATCATGATACGTATTTAGAGCCAGGTCACATGGCTTGAGGTCAAGGCCTGTCACACTCTTTGCAGGGAGCCAATTCAATGGATATATAAATCTCTGCTTATTCTGTATGGCAATCAACTTCTTAGTGTAATTCCTTAGAAGAGGTAAACCACTTTGAAAAAATGCCTTTACTATTACACTCCCTATGAGACAGTTAGCTGGCAGAGATTTAAATTACTGTGTTGTGAGTGTGGAAATTGAGGCTCAGAGATTGTAAGTAGTTTACCTAAGTCATACATGTGGGCTAAAACAATACAAATTAAGTTAAACATTGTGAAAGTAGAAGGCAACTGGATAGAACAAGGGGCCAATGTAGCTACTCACACCCATATTGAATCTGCAATTAATGACTTTGACTGTTAGTAATATGTCCCAAATTTTGCTGCATTTTACTATTAATTAAAGTAACTTTGAAGGATTATTTAAGCATGAGCTTTCCAATATTTTCAAAATAATGAAAAGAGTACAATATTAAGAAAATATAAAGTGAAAGCCTCATTTTTGTTTTATAAAACTGTCAAAATAGCAAGGGCATCTCAGAGATTTCTCTCAGTCTGCTGTGGTCACACTAACGTGCTAGGCTTACACTGTTTACTTGTGACCCAGGGAACAAATATTTACCTTTACTCTCAATGTGTTGTTTCTTCCTTTCATTCCATTCTGAATATAATTTTGTCTTTTCCCTGCATTCTTTTGTACTTTCTACTACTGTGGCGTTTGTTTTTTCTTTTCAAAAACTTCTGTTCATACATTTTACTTCTGGCTGAGTACAGTTCCATTAAACTCTAACCACCCAATGTCACTGCCTCTATGACTACCTTTAACATCCCTTTCCAAAGTGGCATATTTCATTTGGCTGGGATGCTGCAGGTTTGGGATTTGGAGATCAGAGCCTAACTCAACTCAGTTCTCCAATTCTTAATGTATAATTTTCATCTATACTGTCTTTGACACCACGCAGACATCCCATGTTGAAATGTTTTTCAGAGTCTTGACCTGTCTGCTAGACTAAACAGAGACAAGGAAACAGGTAATGACAGGATTGAAACATGGTTTGGGTATCATGGGAAGAAAAAAGAAAGTAAAAAAAAAAAAAATTGATGAACAACATAGTCGCCCAAGCTTGTGGTGTCTCATCAGAACCTCTCAATGTTTGGAAGTTTTCCCAAGACTTGCCCTAGTGAGACAGAAAAGACTTATTAGATCATTGCGTCTGCTTCCCCACCTGGGCAGGAAAGAGTCTCCCATACGGAGAACATATGGCTTGGTCTTAGATTAGCAACAAAGAATGTCAGTTGGCAGACAGATGGAGGAGAAGCAGAGCGTTGTGTGAGCTTTGCTATCCTGGACCTCACAAATTTAAAAAATCGTATCCAGTTAGTTCAGTTATGAAAACAGATACTGACCAAACTATGCAAAGGAAGAGGAGCTAACACTTATTGAACACATATTGCAATCTAGGCATAGTATTTTACAAATTTTTTTTTTACCCTCACTTAGTTGTTTTACTTCTCCATTTCATGGATGAAGAAGGTGAGGTTCAGATGTGTGGGGCCACTTTGCCCAAGGTCATGAAACTAGTCAACTGGTGAAGCCCAGATTCCACCTGGGAGTTTGATTTGAAATTCAGTGCTTTTCGGAGGACATAGGTCAGAGAACATAACAATTACTTTTTAAATTTTTTAAATTGATATATCATAGTTTTACATATTTTTGGAGTACATGTGATATTTTGATACATGTATAAAATGTGTAATGATCAAATTAGAGTAATTGGAATATCTACCACCTCAAACACTTTTCTTTGTAGTGGAAATATTACAATTCTCTTCTAGCTAAAAAATGACTTTATATGCTATAACTTTTCAGTTACTTCTTTCACCTTCTTTTAAAACATGGATATTGGGAGTCACTCCTTTCCTTTTTTTTAGTTGTGAAATTCAATGAACAGAAATAGCCCCCCCCACCCCCGGCCCCTGCCAGGTGTTTGAGGGGTACAAGTTGCTGCTTACACTGCTTAATTTCATGGTATTGGGAACATATAGTAGGCTTTGGGGAATAGGAATGAAAAAGATACTATGGAAATAGGGCAGGTATAAAATGACATTGCATTATAAATGTTTGCAGTCTCCTCTATCTCCCCTCTTCTTAAGGAGGGAGAATTCTTATTCTTGGTTTGAAATGAAAGCTCTCCTCTGTTGAGCAGATTGGAGTGGAGATAGAGGAGCAGATGTCTTCTCCCAAAGTAAAGGAAGCAAAAATGTAGTATTTATCTATATCATGAATGGAGAGGAATTTGTGGTGGTGGGTGGAGCTGTGAAGGAAGTTTTGTTTTTCCTTTTCCTTTTGCACTTCCACTAGTATGGTGTTTTTATTTGCATCTGTTCCTATATTATTTAACTTCTGTTCATAGTTCACGGCTTCAAAGGTGAAGCTGTTAGAGAGATGGTTTGGGGGTAGAGAGAGAGAGAGTGCAGAGTCTTAGCACAGCTGTGAGATGGAATGCCCTAGAAGGATGGTAGGAAGTTTATTGGAGATTATGAATTGGAAATGATTAGATATTTTTTCAAGAGACTCCAGTAAAGACTTGGGTTTAATTCTACTCTCTTAATAAGTATCTCATCTGTTTTTGTTCCTTTTATTTTCCTTTCTTGCCTTCTCTTGGTTTATTCAAGATTTTTTTTCTCTTAATCCACTTCCCCCTTCTGTTAGGATTCTTTTATTATTATTTTAGAGGCTACCATTGAGTTCTCCACAGGAATCCTTGAATTATTAGACTCTACCTTGGAATATATTTTTTATCACTTTCTAGACAATTTAGAGGACCTGAAAAAATTTAGTTTCATTAATCACTCTTCCCACCATCTGCCTTTCATAATATTGTTGCCAAATACTTAATAATCTCTGTATTTTAAACTCCGCGTAGTAGTGTTCTTATTGTTTATACAGCCAAAATTTCATTTAGATTTACTAACCTATTTACTTATTTACCCTTTTTGATAATCTTTACTTCCTGCATTACCTGTTCTTCTACGTGGTATCATTTGCTTTTATTCCAAGGACTCCCTTTAGTATCTCATTTAATCAGATCTCCTACAGTGAATTTTCTCAGCTTTGGTTTTCTTGGAAATGATTTAAATTCACTGTTATTTCTGAAAGTCATGTTCTCTGGGTATAGAATTCTAAGTTGGCACTTATTTTTCTTCCATCATTTTAAATATCGTTTCTCATTGTCTTCTGTTTTCATCGTTTTCCCCTTTCCAGTGATTTTGCCCTCCTCCTGCAGCTTTTAAGAGTTTCCCTTTATATCTTGGATTCCCATCAGTTTCACTATTGTGTGTCTAAATATGATTTATCCTGTTGCTGGTTAGTAGAGTTTCTTCAATCTGTGGCTTGAAATAGTCATCAGTTTTAAACAATTATCTGTAGTGCTCTCCAAATAGTTTGTCTGATTCATCCTTTTTCTTTTCTCCTTCTGGTGACCAGATTAGATGCATGTTAGAGTTTTTCACTGTTTAAATTATGTCCCCTTGAGCTTTTATGTATTTTTCCTATTTTTTCCACTTACATTTCAATGTGGATGTTTTCTATTACATATCCTCCAGTTTAGAAACGTTACTTCTTCTATATCTTCTCTGCTATTAAATTAATTTTGATTATTGTATTTTTCACTTCTAGAATGTGCATTTGATTATCTTATATTCAAATTTTTTGTGGAAATCCTCTATCTTTTAATCTATTTTGAGTGTAGTAATCATAGTTGCCTTGAAATTTATATTTTATTCCTACCTAGATAACTGTCTACAATATCTAGATCATCTCTCTATTATTGCTTATCTTGGTTTTTGGTATTTTAAGGTCTTGTTTCCAAGTCTTCCAGGTAATTTTTAAATTTATTACCAAACATTGTCTAGGACAAATCTTAGTGTGTCTTGGATGATGTCTTCCTCCAGAGAGGACTTGATTTTCTTTTGGTAGGCATACATAATATGGGAAAATCCCATTGATTCAGGTGGAGCTAGATTTAGGAGCTTCTCTCCTTTTGATTTTTCCTCACTCGCAGTGCAGAGCTCTTCAGAGTCTCAATGGAGAGCCTGGAGTAACTACAAGAGTCCCTCTTTCCTTATGAGCACTGAACTTCAATTTTTATCTCTCTAGCTTTGTAAAACTTCAAACAACTCTATTTAACATTTTAGCCTCTTGTAAGTATTGGTTTGATGACCCTTTTTCTGCAGATTCACAGCTTAAGATCTGGCAAGTGATTTGAGGGAAGATTTCATGCAGAAAGTCAGGCTTACTTAACTGGACTTCCTTTTTTTCTGGAACATAGGCCTATTGAGCAGTGCTCTCTTGATAGCCCTAACTCAAATTTTTGCCTCCTTAAGCAGGAGTATGCCGCCAACTTTCTGTTTATATGCCCCATATATCTTGGCATATACTGCTATATTATATCTTTATTCAGTAACTGCCTAGAGAGAAAAGACTTCCGTGAATTTGGGCTTTCCTCAATACCTTCTCCTGTCTCTAGAATCTTTGTCCCTCTAGTCCTCACTGAATTCAACTTCAATGCTGTCAAACTCAAATTTTAAATTTCTATTCAAGCTATTATAGTTCTTCTTGGCAGGAGGGTAATATGACCCATGTTACTTTAACATGGTTGGAAGCAGAAGTGTCCAGTAAAAACTGAATCACTTTTTAGTTATTCTTGGCTATTAAATTGCTCTCTTGTGCTCCCTTGCATGCTCACTCTCTCTCTCTTTTCTCTCTGCTTCAGTGGATAACTGATCTACATAGTGCCCCTGATTTATATGGATTTATAAAACTTAAACATTTCATAAGTGCATGTATTTTTGTGATATTATTTACCAAAATGGAATGGAATGACTCACCAATGGGGTGGGAAAATTAAGAGTTGGTTGTATGTTGAATTTAAGATGCCTGTTAGACAAGTAAAAGAAAAGGAAGAGTAGAAATCAGCGGAATCTGCATGTCTGAAGTTCAGAGGAGAGGTCCAGGCTGGAAATATATTTTGGGGAGTTGTCTGGCTGTAGAAGTCCTTTGAAAATATGGGACTGGTGATCCTCTGTGAAGTGTGTGGGGACAGAAGATGTAGGAAAAGAGCCCAAAGCTCTCTCTAACATTTAGATGTAGAAAAGAGAAAAGAAATTGGGCAAATGAGTCTGAAAAAGAGTTGGTCCTGAAGTAGGAGAAAAATTAAGACATTGTGTTGTCTTGGAAGCCCATCAAAAACTCTTTCCAGAAGGAGAAGATACTCGGTAATGTCAAATGCTGCTGACAGAGTAAAATAAGATAGAAGGCTTGACCACTGGATTAGGCAATATGGAAGAGCATAGTGACCTAGATAAATGCAGCTTGAGAAGAGTTTTTCTGAGGATGGAGCCATTTTAGAGTAAAGAGAGAAAGGCAAGTGAGAAAGTTGAAGCAGAGATTATAAACAACTATTTTGAGTCTTAAAGGAGTTTTACAAATACAAAAATTGATGAACAGTTTGCAGGCTATTCAGTAAAGATTATTTTGAGATGCAGTTATTTTTGCTTACTTACATAGTAATGGAATGAATGGAATGATGATGGTGTGTGTGTGTGTGTGTGTATGTGTGTGTGTGTGTGAGAGAGAGAGAGAGAGAGAGAAAGACAGAGAGAGAGAGGAAAATAATGATGTTTCAGGAGAGACAGGGGATTATTATAAGAACACAGTTTTTAAGTAGAAGATAGGAAATCAGATCCAATGGTCAAGTATAGGAACTACACTTTGGTAGGAGTATGTACAATACATCCAAAGGAGGAAATATTATTTAGCTACAGATACTTAGGTATTAGTAAATTTGGTAGTGCATATATATGACATATGTCTTTGGATTGTTTTAGTTTTTATTTTTAGTGAAATAAGGGGTAAACTGAGAGTTAAGAATGGAAAAATTTGGAGAATTCTGAGGAGAGAGAAGAATGTGTGAAATAAACATTTCGGAGAATAAGAGAATGAATTGATCAGATGAAGGCAATGTTTGAGAGTCAATTTGAAATGTGTAGTCATAAATTTAAAGTGCCATTGGTCAATATGACAAGTTTTTTTCTAGCCATGTTCAGTTTCATGAGTAAGAAGAGAACAAATGGTAAATTTAGTTTCTCTTCAGTTGTTTATTGTGAGATGTGTAAGATAGAGAGAGAAAAGAGCAAAGAATTTAGGGTCCGTGCAGGCAATGGATTGTGATTAAAATGATGAACCACCATGGAATTCTAGGCTATTTTAACAGGGAGGAAAGGACAAGGTAAGTGACTGCTGATAAACTTATTAGGGCCACTGTATTGTGGATCCCATGGAGTCAAAGAATCATTGGAGTGGAGGTACTTCTGGAAATGGATGGAGAAGACAATAAGTGGTTGTGATTTAACAGGTTTTATGCTATTGGTGATTATAAGTTCTAAGATGTGACCATGGGAGTGGGGTGGGAGAAGTGGCCTGGAGATTAGAAAATCTGACGTAAGGAGTTCTAGGAGCTGAAATACCTGGATGGTTCTTTTATGTGAACATTGCAATTATTAAAAATTATTATAGAAGAAATGTGGAGAAAAAGGCAACAATCCTAGGGTTTATGTCTTTAGTGAGTGAAGGGGGATTGTCTAAGACCATTTGTGCAGATACAACAAAATACCACAGACTGGGTAATTTATAAATCATTATTTATTACTCACAATTTTAGCAGCTAGAAAGTCCAAGATCAAGGCCATAGAAGAGATTGTGTCTGGTGAGGGCTGCTCTCTGCTTCCTTCTTGTTATATCCTCCAGAAGGGATGAACACTATGTCCTCACATGGAGGAAGGGATGGAAAGGGCAAAAGAGAGAGAGACAGTGCTCCTGTACCTCTTTTATAAGGTCATTAATCCCATTCAAGAAAGTTCTGTCCTCATGACTTAATCACTCCCTAAAGGCCCCAGCTCTTAATACTATCATATTGGTGGTTAAGCTTCAACATATGAATTTTGGAGGGGCACATACATGTAAACCATAGCAGGGATAATCAGGAGGATGAAAGATGACTGTGGGAGCAGGGGTAGAGGAGTCTGTAATCTGATGGCCTGTACTTTAGAGTAGCTAAGTGGTTTCATTTGATTTTTTTGAGAAGGCAAAAATAATGATGGGAAATAATAATGAAGGGAAAAATAATAATAGGGTACAGAGGAGCAAAAATGATGCTCTCATTTTCAGCCAGGTTAGCATTAGGATGGGAAGGAATGTTATTGGAGAGATTTAGAAGAGAAGTCATTTGCTGATGGCAGACTATGAGTTCCAAACATTACAATGAAATGTTTCTGCAGTAATGGAGGAGTAAGAAATTAGGCTGGACCAGGAGCTACAGAGAGCCTTATGAAGAGGGGAATCTTGGTCATAAGGGATGACCTGAGGTTTAGAGCTCCTTGTGATGACTGAGACAAGCAGAGATGTAGTCAAGGAAGATATTCAAAATATTTTGCTAACAACCATTATGGCATGGGCCCTCACCAGTCAGAATGGGCACCATTCTGTCATAATGGCCCAGTTATAAACAATTGTTATTTTGCTATCAGTGCTTCCAAACTGAATCCCACTTTTGGATGATGGGGCTGGTTCTCATGGCAGGCTCCTCCTTGGGTTTGTTTTTTAGGGCAGTTTGGTATGGCAAGGCTGAAAATGTGTAGTTGGAGAATATTGGGAGCTCTGTGGACTCCATCTTCAATTCTCCTAGGGCACTCCCAATTATAAATGTCTGTAATATATAGTTGTAATATTTTCTAAAAGAAAAGAACTTGGAGTTCAAAGATATAAAAGCAACCCTTGCTCTGTATTGACTAATTGCTTGAGCTTTAGAAAGTACTGTAACTGTTCTGGGCCTCAGTTCTCTCACCTACAGTATGAATTAGACTGGATTAGAACATTTCTAAGGTCCCCTTTGGTGGCAAGGACTTGAAATACGACTTATAGCTTGCTTATAAACATTTGCTTCATCTACATTTTTCAGCTGAGGTGCTATTTTGATTTTGTCATTTGCACTGAGTCTTTTCAGTCTTTTGATAAATGTTCCCTACATCAAAATGTCCCTAACTTCAAACAAGTTATTTTCAGTCTATTATGTAGTGATTTTCTGATTTGGTAAGGAAAAAGAAACCACGGAATTTCTATTTTCTATCTTAAACTTGTTCAGTCTTTCTTCTACTTACTCTTTCAATACTCCTAAGGGAAAAATAATTTTTTTTAAGTCTTCTGGGAGAATTTTTCATTTTTGCTAGTTGTTACATATTTTCCTGAAAGTTTTTAAAGTACTTAACTGTTAAGTGCATTTAAATTATTCCTAAACTTTTAAAGACTTTTTTAAAAGTTAAAGATTGCCTCCTTTGTGGTTAAAATTAAAAACAAGAAACAAGGGACCCTGAAAAAGAACTCATGCTATGTCACTTGTTTAGACAGTTTCAAGGCCACTGAGACTGTTACTAAAACTTCATCTTTTCTTAATGCTGTTCATCTTGCTGCTTCTTTTTTATTCTATGAAAAAAATATTTTTAAACAAATTGTCAGGAACTTTTGGATGCTAGACACAGAAGCGACTTAAATGGATTGTGTTAGTTACCCATTACTATGTCCCTGGTTGCTCTGAAACTGAGCTTCTTAAAAGGACCCACACTTTTTAATCTCAAGGTCTCTCTGGGTCAGGAATCTGAGCACAGTTTAGCTTGGCTCTCTATTTCATGGTCGCTCACAAGGTTATAGTCATGCTGTCAGCCAGGTGTCAGCAGTGTCATCTGGCGGCTAGAATGGTAAATGATCCACTACCTAAATCATTCAGTGGTTACTGGTAACATTCAGTTCCTTGGGCCACTGTTGGACCAAGTGTCTTAGTGAAATTGGGGAGCTCCCTGACTCCTTTGTGAGCAGGAACTGGAGAGGCTCATTTCACTCAGCCTGCCTCTGGCCACTCCTCACAGGAGGAAGCATGCAAATTAAGCGAGTGCAGAAACTGGAGCGAAGGAAAGCTGGAACGGCTGGCCACTTCTCTCTGGTGGGAGCAGGCCCTGTGCTGGCCCCACAGGATTGTCCAAATGTATTACAATGCTCTTTTAGCAGTTGCTGTCCACTGACGGCTAAGTGTTAACCAGAGCAGTGTAGAGTCAGGGCGAGAGCCTTTTACAGCCTGCCATCTTGGTACCCAGGTCCTTGTTCAGTGTCCAGGAAGAATCAGGTCTTGAAGGATGGTGAATGCGGAGGTTTTATTGAGTTATAAAGGTGGTTCTCATCTGAGATGGAAGCTGCCTCTGTCTGCTTTAAATTAGTTATCTTTATAGCCAGAATAAACAAATAACTCAGTTTTCTACTTTTCTAGTTTTTATGAGCTAAGTAGTTTAATAGACTGCCCAAAGGCAGTCTTATCTGCACCTATCTATAGCATGAAAGAAAAAGCTCAGTCTTTAAATTCAGGCAGATCTAGATTTGAAACTTCACCCTGATTAAATGACATTACCTATTCTCTCTGAGTTTTAGTTTCCTCATTTACAAAAATGTGACAACATCTTTCACACAGGGTGGTTATGAGCAATAAAACAATTACAGGAAAAGGTGCAATGCATGGCACGTAGTAGCAGTAAAATCAATTATGATTTTTACTACTATAATATTTATAATTTAATATTAATATATTTGTATTAATGATAGTAGTAATAATTATCACTCTTTTTACTTTCTCATTATGTTTTTTCCAAAAAATATGATTTCCTAAAAGCACAATAATACGTTATTTCATTATTTATAATTGTAACAATTGTATTTGTTTGTAGGATCAGGTATTCAAAAATATTTTTCCACTTTCTCCTGTGATTCATTTTGTGTGTCTGTTGCAATCTTATCAGCCAGAATGTAAATTTTGTAAAGCGTGCTAGACTGAATTTAATTGTTAGACATGACTCATTCTTTTCATAAAGACAATACAAATTTTCTTGCAAGATATTGACAGTGTAACTTGGTGAATCATATCGGATTAAATATTTTATTAATATTTAGTGATCACTAGCAATATTGTGTTAATATTTTATTAATATTTAGTAATTACTCTCCATGTGCTGTTTTATTGAGTTATAAAGATGGTTCTCAGTGGGATGGGGAGCTGGAAAGGGGATGGAGTGGGAAGATAATCTCCAACCATCTAGCTGCCTCTTCGACGTTCAGATGCTTCTTCTCTTCTCTCCTCTGCCGTGCCACTCTGTTCCTCTGCCAGTGGAGTTTGGGGTTTATATGGGCACAGGATAGCAGGGAGGGGTTGGCCACAAAGCAACATTCAGGTGCAAAAACAGGAATGCCTGTTCTCATTTAGGGTCATGGGTCCAGGCTTGAGGGTGGACCCCTCACCAGGGACCCTGCTCTCCTGCTTCCTGTCTGTATCATTAGTTCCTCCCTTGTATTGACCAAAGGTCATCTGAGTTCCTCACCAGGCATCTCACCCTTGTGGCAGCTGCTTTTTCACAGTATGCAAGCCAAGATGGCAATTGAGAGAGCATGCTAGTAAGACAGAAGTCACAGCCTTTTGTAACTAATCATGGTGTTGACATCTTATTCCTTTTGACTTATTCTATTCTTTAAAAGCAAATTATTAACCCATATTCAAGAGGAAGGATTACACAAAGGCATGAATTCTAGAAAGTTGGATTATTGATGGTCATTTTAAAAGTCATCTGCCACACAGATTCATCCACATAATTGAAAAGGTGAGGTATAACTTGTCTTCAAGCACAAATGGATCCAGAAACTTAAAAGTTGCCATCAAATGTCAGTTTCTTTCCATCACCTTTACTCCAGTTAGTTTGATTCTTAGGTGAGTTATCCTTTCACAGTAGCCCATAATGGCTCCAGATGTCTATCCCACTTGTTCAGCAATTCAGTGGAAAGTGAGTGTTTCTTTCCTATCAGTTCCAGCAGAAGTATTGGGGTTACAACCACTGATCCTGTTTGAGTCCCATGATCATTCTTTAATCAATCATGTGACTTTTATTGGCCATTCCAGGCCATGTCCCTTTTCCTGAAGGAGAAGGGACATCCCCATCTAAACAGCATGGGGTGAGACATCCATGTTGTCACATCCATGCTGTCCCATGTTTAGTGAGACATCCCTACCTAAACAGCATGGACTGAGAGTTGTGGAGAAGTACTGCCTCAGAGAATATTAGGATGCTGATCTCAAAATAAGTGGCAAAGGATTATGGCCATAAACAAAACAACAACAAATAAGTCAGGCTGTTCTACTTTAACAGAGATGGATCTAAATGCAACATGAAAGGCACACTCCTGTTTGGGGCTCTGCTGCTGAATGGTAGTTCAAGGACTCTGGACATACCATCATTGTCACACCGGAATAAACCAGACACCTCCATGACTGAGTGCATATAATGTGTGAGACATTGTACTGGGAACTTGTATGTCTTCTCATAGAATACTTGCAGCAACTTTATAAAGTTGGAATTGTTTCATCTTTACAGAGAAGGGAGTATGTTTTGACATTTGAATTCAAATCAAAGCCATACTGACCCCAAAATAGTGTTATCATGATACCATAATACATGCCAGAGTATACAAATATTTTTATCCTGTTCTATTTTACACTTATAAAAATGAGAAACTTGTATTTATATTTTTTGCTTTGTTTTATCAAATCATACTTTATTAAAGTGTGACTTGATATCTTGCATAATTTATAGTTTAGCAATCAAATAGTTTATGGAAATAAACTTGCCTAATAGGATTTGAGGCACCAAAGTACATGTAGGTACTATGTTTTAAAAAACTAGAATAAAAAATGGAAAAATAGAGTCAGGGAAAATGAGGAAGCAAAATCTTTAAACAATGCTGGAACTGGATTTGATCTTACCAAAGAACCGTCTTTCATTTCTGTTTTTCTGGGCGTCTTTATAGTTTTTTAGTGTGCCCCCTTAATATGGAAAATATGGGAAAATTAGTAAAGAAGAATAAATATAGTTGCACTTGATAACACATAGTAAGTACCAAATAAATGACTAATTGCAGAACAGAAAATATAATTCCATATGACAATTGTTTTTATCTTTTTGAACCTCAGTTTTTCCATCTATACAGATAGTGATAATCATTCAGGTTGTTTAAAGAATAGGAATAATGTATAAAAAGCAAAGTGTGTAATATGTAATGTCTGCTCGATAAGGTTTTTATGCTGTTATCCAAACAAATTAAAATATTGCCCTACATAGACTCACAAAGTAATCAATCTATTCAAATAAAGAACTTCAATAAGCCTAGTTTGACTTCATAATTTTTTAATGTTACAAACTATTATTTTTAGGGAAGGAGTAAAAGTACGAGAACTGAGTATGTAAAAGCCATGTGACTCCCTAAATGCCAAGAATGTTCTCTTACATGGCACATCTTCCCGGGTACCATAAACTCTTCTTGGGTGACTGAGTAGAGCAAGACTCTGGGAAGACAGTAATTTTCAAGACATTTTATCTGGCTCTTCTATACTCTTAAGTTTTCATTATTATTTGGGTGACTCTTAATGGACTGTTACTCATTTTTTAGATATTTCTGAATTTACACATAATATTGGTGGTAATTGTCTGAAGATTTTTGGAACATTCTCAATATTTGTAATCAAAGTTGTTAATGTTTTGTTTGCCCAAGGGAATTCTTCATCTTTTGGGTCTTCAAAGGAGTCAGAGGCAGTCTCCCATATGAAAGATGAAAGCTGCAGCTACCTGCTTTACAGGATTCCTGTGGAACTATGGTGCAGGCATGCAATCCAGGCCACTATGGGAATATTGAGCAAAATTTGAAGGAAAAGAGAAATTTGTCCACGAACAGATCTGGGGGGACAAGCATTCCAGAAAGCAGGAAGAACATCTCCAAAGGCCCCAGGGTACAGGTGCTTGTGTATTTAAGGAATAGCAAGCCATTCAGTCTGGCAGGAGTGTTTTGAGCAAAGGGCCGGGTAGGAGATTTACAAACATATGCTATACACATTATCCCAAGAACCCTTTAGAACAGAAGAAATTGGGACCAAGAGAGGTTAAGTGATTTGCCCAAGATTTCACAATAAGTAGCAAAACCAAAAGACAGAGTCTCCTCTTCATACCGTAAGTCCTGTGTTTTTACCATAATGCCATTGTGTATTCTCCTTGAAACTGCCTTAATATTTTCTTCATAACTTCCTTGCGTATTTTTTGTTAAAGCAATCAGAAGGCAGGAATCATGCCTTCTCAGGTTGGATTTTATGTAGCACAAAGTTCCAGTAGACGTTTTCTAAATACTTTTGATGAATCATTGTAGCAGTAGGCTTATCTTTCTCCTTTATTTATCCTGGTAGACTTGGCTGAGACTCCTAATTGAGCAGAAATATTTTAGTGTAGATGTATTTGATTGTCTAGCTGTTTAGCAAATACACTTTATACCTATATTATATTATTTATCTTAAAACCATTTAAAAATTTTACATGGAATCTAAAATTGCTTGTATATTCAAAACGTTCAACTAAGGAAACAACAGTTAAAATCACATTTAATAGTTGAAATCATTCATAGCATACTGGCACATAGACACAGACACACCCACACTCACACATATGTGCACACACACACACACACAAAGCCAGAACTAAATGAGTGTTCAAGCCACAAATATTTTTAAAATCCCTAATGAAGAATTAAATGGGTATTTATTGACAATAGAGCAGTAAAACAGGTGATTTAATTTGTGTTATTTAAAAAATGTAATTATTAAATATTAATGACATATTATACTTTAAAAGACTTAACTACTCATACCAAAATCATATGGTGAAGATAAAGTGCAGACAAAGAGTCTGGGTTCCCACAGCAACCGACCCCCAAATGACCTGCTAATAAATGCCAGATCCTCATCTTGTAAAACTCCTATGGGGGAATAATAAAGGATGAACATTTGGTCCAACATTTATTTTTATAAAACAAGCACCTTTAGTTTTCCTTCAAGAGAATCATTTTCCTGCTCTATAAAAGTCTTTGGCCCTTTATGAAAATGTGTACCTCATGTCACGCAGCTAGAGTCATAAATTTGGGCAGTTACACACGGAAGTTCAGACATCCGGTCCAGCCAATATAGACGATTCAAATTCAAGTTGATTTTTACTATAACATTTTCCTAATTCCTAGTACATTTACCAGCTAATTATATAATTGTTCATTTTTCTTGGACCATAGCTTTGATTGGGAAATTTTAGGGAATAAATATATGTAGATTCAAAACAGAAATACAGTGGATATAATCAGCTATGTTATTAGTAAATACTCGAGGCCAGAGATTCCCAAACTTTTTAAAATCTGAGCAACTACAGAACAGATACTCACAGCACACTGAAAAGAATAATAAGGTTGTGACAAATGCAGATAGAAAAGGCACTGAGAGGCGAAACGAAACTAAGAGGTCAGGAATAGGTGTTTCAAAAGATACCTACAAAACTCCACACCTTTACAGTTCTTCCTTAACAAAAGCATCTCCGGTAATCTCTGTATTTAATAGATGCTATGACTCAGGCCAGCGAGTTTGTGCTGGGACCAAAGACCTAGCCTATAGATAGATATTTAATCTAAAGTAGAGTGGTAACAAAATTTTGTTCCATGGACTGAATGTTCCATGTTGGATAATAGCAAATCCACTTAATCACGTCCTATCTAGGGAAAAAGGAATGCTAATTACATCTTAAAAGCCATATAATTAGCATTTGCAGATTTCCCTAGTTTTCAGAATCTCCCTGCGGTTTGCTGAGAATCTTAGTGTTTGAAGCTCTAGGACACAGATGAGTGTTTGTGTGGACAATGAAAGGTTCCCCAAGCTATTTTCTATTTCTTTCATAACATAGTCTTATGGCAGGGTCATCGAAAGTACTCAGCGAGAATCTCTTCAAAAGAAAAGATCTGGGTCTTGATAGCAAAAAGTGCTAGATGGAGTAGGAGTTGGGAAGTGGTGGGGAAGAGGAGGCATGAGAAGAGAGAGAATAGAGAGTGAGTGAATGGGAATTTACAAAAACATAAATACTTGTCAATTTATTTTATCTAAAAAAACCCATAAATTCCAAAACCCATGAAGAAAACTAAATTAAGGTAGAGAACCAATAAAATAAACATTAACAGTTGGAATTTTAATTCAAAGCAGATAAAATAAAAATGTATAGAACTTTGGAATAAGTACAGTTTGGAGCTTCAAAGAAGTAAAAGAAGGAAAGATATCCAATAGGTAGAAATAGTGAAATAAAACGTGAGTAAGAAATAAAATCAAGAAGAAACCTTAAATGAATAAATCACAAATAGGATAAACTCTAGAACAGAAGTGCTTCTATCTTTCCTGCAGTGGAAGGCTTAATGGCAGAGTGGGGAGTGTGGGCATAGTGGACAGACAGCCTAGGTTTGAATGTGAGCTCTGCATTTTTATCTGCATTACTTTTTGCAAATGGCATAACTTTTCTTTGTCCTAGTTTCCTCCACTACAAAATGGAAGTAAAATTACTTTTTATCTCGAAAAGTTATTACAAGAATTAAATAAGTTAATTATTTTAAAGTACTTAGAATAGTGCCTGGTACATAGTAGTTGCTTAGTAAATATGAGCCATAATTACTTCTTTCCTGTATGTTTGAAATAGTTCATAGTAAAATATTTAAAAAAAGGAATGGGCCGGGTGTGGTGGCTCACGCCTATAATCCCAGCACTTTGGGAGGCTGAAGTGGGTGAATCACCTGAGGTCAAGAGTTTGAGACCAGCCTGACCAATGTGGTGAAACCCCATCTCTACTAAAAATACAAAAATTAGCCAGGTGTGGTGGTGGGCACCTGTAGTCCCAGCTACTTGGGAGGCTGAGACAGGAGAATTGTTTGAACCTGGAAGGTGGAGGTTGCAGTGAGCAGAAATCGTGCCACTGCACTCCAGCCTAGGTGACAGAGCGAAACTTGGTCTCAAAAAAAAAAAAAAAAAAAATGGAATGAAGGTGACGTTAAACCCCTAATACAAAATATAATTCGCTGAGAATATGCTTATAAAATAAATATAAATTTCAAAATTTTTTCAAAGAAGATATACAATGTGAAATATTAATTTTAACAGAAATCTGATTCACAAATATCATATTTTATCAGTTAAGACTGAGTGAGGCAGAGAAGAAATAAGGTAATTTTTCTATTTTGAAAAACTCAAGAGGTATCATTTTTATTTGTACAATATTAAGAGAAATATAATATGCAAAAAAGGAAAAAGTCAAATAGTATAAATGTCATAGAATAGAAAACAATGAAAAAAGCAAAAAAGCCTAGAAAAGTAGAAATTAAGAACGAGGGTGCCAGATATAAGAATAGATATATGTCAATAATCTAAAAATATACGAAAAATATACATAAACTCTCTAAATGATGTTATATAAAGAAAACCTCAAGTGTTGAATTAAAAAGCAACATGCGATTATCTGCTATTTAAAGTAGACAAACCAAAATCCACATTACACGCCTGTCTGAAATTAAATAATGTTGAAAATTTATCAGGAAAATTAAAAATTTAAATTAAAGAGTAGCTTAGTTGGTAACCAATGAGTAAATATAATAAATAAAGTAATTTTAAATTGATGATATACATTCTACAATTTTGATGAAATAATGGGTTTTATGACCTTTTCATGCTATAATATCAAAATACATAAAGGAAAAAGAAAGCAAAGAACAGATAATTTTACAAAGGTACAATTATTGCATATAGACATTAAGGATGTTCTCTTAATCTTTGATAGATGCTGGAATAAAAAAGTCAAGTCATAGCTTATATAACCATAAATAAGGTTTGACATTTCATATAAGCATATATAACTCTAACAAGTGTAAGATTTTAACATGGTATAACTCTGTGTATATATAAATTATATAGCTTACTATTCTATAAGCAGATTATTTTGCAAATTTACAATGGTTGGACAAACACTTTAAACAATTGAAAATTGTTTTAGAAAGTAGTATTTATTTACTCACTATTTTCTGCTCATAACGTGATAGAGATGACCTTATTAGCAAAAGCTTAAACAACCAAGCAAATAACGTTTTGTTCATCTGAGCTTTTGTTAATTGACTTCTACTTAAATCCACTATGAAATTTAAAATCACTTTTCTAAATAACTTGGATCAAAGAAGAGATCAAAACTGCATTTGTAGAGTATTAAGAAAATATTAGCTGTATCAGAAGATAGAAAAAAAATGGAAAGCTATCCAATTCATGTTATGAATCTATCATAACGTTGATACCAAAACCATAAAGAAGAAGACATCACACAAAAAAATTAAACTTTTTCATATTAATATAGACACAAAATTATAAATGGAATATAACACTAGGAAACACTGGCAGAATTATTCACCCAAACCAAGCAGGATTGATCCCCCAAATGTAATCAATTTTTAGTTCTCTCTTGTGATCATTGCATCATCAGTATAAACAAAACAAGCCATATGAGAATTTTAATAGAAGCCTCTTCAAAAGGAATCTTGATAGAGTAATAGAATATTAGCAGGCAACCTATCTGTGCTCCAGTTTCTTTATTTGAAAAATGCAAATACTAATGGCATGTGCCTCAGAACTTTGTTGTGGGAATTAAATATATTAATTTAGTTAATATGTTAACAGTGACTTAAAGTGTGAAATAAATATTAACTTCTATTTTAAGAGCTATATCTTTTAAATTTAGATAAATAGGGCTATATTGTTTAGTATAATGAAGACTATCTCTTTTAGGCCCAGAGCCAACATGATATTTAACTGGGAAACAGTGGAGTTATTGCCACTGAAATGATTAAAAATGTTATATGCACATGAGTATTATTTTCTAACTTTTTAATAAAAATTTCAGCCAAGATTTATTATTTAAAACAAAAATAAGAGAAGAATGATTGACTGAAGAGGGCAAAAATGGTAATTTTCATATAGTTTGCTTACATCAGCTGAAAACATTTTAACTTATAGAAGTTGGTGGTAACTCATTGAATTCTGTAAAATTGAAAGATATAAAATAAACATATAAAAATTCACAGCTTTTCTGGACAACAAAATATAAGGTAATGATAGTTAAAAAGACTATTTTCTCATTAATATAAATAATATAAAATAGTAAAGAAAAATCCTAATGAGTTAAATGGTAGAGCATGTGAAGCAAGCTACTCATGTGTATGGGTAGCTATCAAAGAAGGATAGCACATGGAGAACTGTGCTACGTTCCTGGATAGAAAATATTGAATATTATAAAGATAACAGGTTTTCCTAAGTTAAATCATGTGATAGAAAAAATAAGAACAAATGAACAGGTAAAAATAAAAACAAGGACTAAATAAATCACTCATAATTGAACCACCCTATTGTCAACATCTTGGTGTAAATTTTTTTCTTTCTCTTAAAACAACAACCCAAGTCATATTGTAAATGATACTGTTTTGTATCATTTAAAAATGGATACATCAAAAATAGAAAATTAAAAATTAAAAATAGATACATCATGCTCAACTTTTCAAGTTGTATAAATTAGAAATTGTGTTCAGCTTTGAATAGCTGAGACCAACAATAAAGAATAAGTTAAACAACGTAGAAGTTTATTATAAATGATAGAGACGGAAATCAAGGAAATACTGGGTAGAAGAGGGCAATTCCCCAGCAAAGGCCCTAAATGGGAACAGGCATTTCTGTTTTCACACCCAAATGTTGCCTTTTCTAAGACCACTCTGGTCTGCCATGCCCCTATCCTGTGCCCATATAAACCCCAAGCTCCACTGGCAGAACAGAGCTGTACAGCAGAGAAGGAGCATTTGAATGTCGAGAAGCATTTGGCTGGGGACAGTTGGAGAGGAGATCAGCCATGGGATGGCTGAACTCCAGGGGAAGATCATCTTCCCACTCCATCCCTTTTCCAGCTCCCCATCCATCCTGCTGAAAGCCACCTTCATCACTCAGTAAAATCCCCATATTCACCATCATTCAAGTCCACGTGACTTGATTCTTCCTGGATGCCAGACAAGGACCTGGGTACCAAGAGGGCAAGGTGTAAAAGGCTGTCACCCTGACTCCCCAGTGAGCTGGTTAACACTTAGCCATCCACAGACGGCAAAGCTAAAAGAGCATTGTAACATCCCTTGACACTGCCATGGGGCTGGAGCTCAAAAACACTCGCCCTGGCTGACCTGTGGGCTCCCCCTCCCATAAATGGTTTGAATGCATGGCAGCCGAGTAAATGAACCACCCCCTTTGCAAGTGGTCCTGCAGAGGAGCCAAGGGAATTTTCCCGTCTCATTATTTTTATTCCCATAAATATGTACGGAGAAAAGAAGTCCAAGGTTGGTATGGTGGATCCTGGATATTATCAATGCACAGGTTTGTTTCAGATTTTATCTGTACTGTTCTCACTTGAGGGGGCTATCTTCAAGGCCATTTCTCAGTCCATCCAACTATCACATATGTATTGCAGGCTGGAAGATAATGAGAAGGCAAAAGGGTGCACCTTACATTCTAGAAATATACAAAAATGGTTTCAGCCTCTGTAGTGAGTGAGGAAGTCCAAGTTAGACAATATGATACCACTTACCATAATTATCAAGCTCAGTTAAAATTTCATAGTATTCTTTCTGAAGTAGTGTTATGACTATTCTCATATCCTCAGATAATTGGATAAATTAACACTTTGTAGAATGCTATTTAGCAATACATGTTACAAAAACAAAAAAAGTAGATGTCTACTATGTCTACTTTTAGGAATTCTTATGAAATAATACAAAATGATTTTAATTCAATATTTTTCATTGCATTATTTTTACAATAGGAACAAATTGGAAATAAAGTTTCTGCTTAGTGAAAGGAGAGATTTATAAAATTTGTGGTGTAATTATAAATGAAATATTTTATAAATATTAGGATTGAGGTTTTGGAGAATTTTAAATTGGTTGCAGATGGAGATGTTTTCTGTAAAACAGTTGTAGAATAAAAGCAGAGTATAGGCTGAAACTATGTGGTCTCCATCTATAATATGTAGAGGGGCAAAAAAAAATTAGTGTTAAATTATAAAATATTAAGACTGCTTATCTCTGTTAGAATTCACCTTAATTCCTATTTTCTTATTTCTTTTATACTTTCTAAATTTTCTGCGTGATTATTGCATGTCTTCTGTAATTGGAAAAACATTTAAAAATTGTAGTAATTAACACTTAGGTGTAATTTTAACTTTATTAGCTTTACCATACACAGAAAATATTTTATATTTAATTATTTTTGTATAGCCTATATTAGCATGTTCTGAGACTATTTTAAGGCTTAGGAATGTGTATAGAAACATGAAATTTCCATGATAGATCTGAATTTACATTTATTTTACGTTTATGTTATTTATATTGATGTATCATTCAGAGCTACATCAGAAATTTCCTCTTTTAATTGTTTGATTTCTGGAGTTAATGATTAGAAAACAGAGTAAACATATCTAAGAAACTGATACCTTCACTATTAGTCCACTGGCAAAGATGAAAATGTAGAAGACATTGACATTCCCTTAAATTAAAAGGAGGATACCAGTCTATCCTCTGGTATGTTGTAGCATGTGATCAGTTGACAGTACTCAGATAGGAACATCCAGGAGGCCAGATGCCAGGCATATGGGCTCCTAGCCTATGAAAAATACCTACTCCCTAAATGAAGCACAGGAACTCTTGAGTCATCAGTTGTAAAAATATCCTGGGATTATGAGTTTATCAGTGGTAAGTAGTATGAATATGTCCTCATGGAATTTTGGGAGGCTCCCTGAAGTTCTGGTTGGTGTAAGACCTCAGGAAGTTTGCACATGTCTGTGGTACTGAATGTCCTGCTCTCTCTTCAAAATGAGAACCTTAATGAATCCACTCCACTGCATATTACTTAGTGGTGCCCTTTAAAACTTCAGGAAGAGCCATGCCTATAGAAGACCCAACCATAAGCAGCAGCCCCGTATGCCTGTTTACCTGACTTGATCTAGTAACCTCATTCCTTTTGCCTTGCTTACTATGCTCCACCAACCTTCTTTATATTTCTTCTTTCTGTTTTTTAAGCATATGTTCACATTGCATGCAGGCCTTTATATTTGTTCCTCGTGCTATAAAATGTCTCACCAAAATATGGACATGACTACCTTCTCACTATCTACGTTTCAGCTTAAATATAACCTTTCCACGGACATCTTTCCTGTCTACCTAACTTGCATCCCTTCAATCATTCTTCATCGCATTTCTCTATTTTAGTGTTTTCACAGCTCTTACGACTGTCTGAAATAATCTTGTTTGCTAATTATTATGTTATTATTATTAATTTCTGTCTTCCTCACAGCATAACATGGGGTCAGAAGAATAGAGACATTATCTATAGAACCCACTGTTCTGTCTGTAGTGCTTAGGACAGCATGTGGCACATAAGAGATGTTCAATAATTATTTGTTGAGTGAAAGAATGAAAGAATACATGAGTTGCAGTAAACTTGAAACTTGAGACTGTACCAGAGGTTATGGATACTGTGACAGGAACCACTCTTTCCTCTCCTGTCACCTCCATAATCACTTCCTCTTAATATATTTAAGCATTACATAAAATATTTTTGTTTTATAATTTGATTTGTTGGATCTACAAAGTGATTGCAGAGAAGATAAAAGCTGGAGCCAGGAACAAGTAGGAAGGATGAAAAAGTTTAGTGTAGACACTTTGTTAGATGTGGCATGTTATCTGTGTATATCTGTGAGTCATCAATCTTTATATTTTGATTTTCCTTTTAACATGTGCAAACTCCAGATACAAATAAGTTTTGTGTTTGAGTAACTATTTTTTTTCCAATTCTCTTTTTATATTTTATCTTGTATTGCAATTCAATTATCAATTTTGAAGAAAGTTGAAATTGATATAGTAAGCGTTCTCAGGTCAAGTTATCCATGTGTCTACCATTTTCTAAAAAGATGTAGTTTGAAATATCTTCTTTGACCATGTTATGTATCCTTTATATGCTGTTGAATCTTTTAAGGAATGTAGATAAATTTTTGGAAATTTTGCATGGGTTATTTAAGTCACATCTTTAATTATTTCTAGCATATAATCCATAAAACATTTGGATTCAAATGGTGATAAAAATGATTAAAAATGATTAAAGTGAAAAATTAAATGAACATTAATACCAATATTTTTGATCATTTGGGATTTTTAGATCCAAAAATGGAAAGTATTTTAAATATGCACTCACATAACTTGTTTTGTACATAGTTTCAATATTAAGAAGTGTACACATTTGAGACTAATATTTCTTTCTGTTTTATTTCCAGCAGTTATTTTTTGGTTAAGTAACAAAGACAAGAAATTATTCTCTAATGTGTAGTATTATTAATAACTTTTTATTTGTGTATGTTATAGTATACGATTTTTTAAACTTTTTCTAACAAAATAATCATTCTTTGTAATCAAAATATACTTTGCCCTCATATGTTGTTCAATGTATATTAAAATTTTGTGTACATATTAGAATATATGTGTATTTATTCATATATAAATTAGGAGTTCTGCATACCTTGAGGATTATAAGCACTAATCTAAAATAGTTACCTCTTTTTTCCAAAGAAAATAAAAGATTTTTTGCAAGAGATAAGAGCTGCTTAAAAATATTATTGATTCTTAGAACCTGTTGGAAAATGAAGCTAAAACAAGGGTATAAGCCCTAAGGGAGTTATGAGGCCAGTTAAGCTGCATACATATGTTTGCTGACAGTTGGAAGAATGAACATTTCTCATCCCCTTTTGACTGCATTTAAAAGCATTGGAAAAGCTTGTGGATTCAGGTTTCATGCTCTTTGCAACTAAATTCCTTTCCTTTTCATATTTTAAATTTGTAACATGTTCTGTACAGTCCTTAAGTGAACATCCTGTTTTCAGGACTTCTAAAACTGCATTGCTTTGAACAGCATGCCACATGGCAGTACTATAAACATAAAGAGTCCAGCTGTTAAGATGGAAAATACCATATAAATCACTGTAAAAGCATCTTGTCTTACTACTTTAGAGAGCCCACTGAAGTATTTTAAAGGAAAGGGATACTAACTTTAAAAGCCTCCGAAAAGCTCTGTCATGATTCTTTGAATTTTAGATTATAATCTCAGACTGTTTCATGAAGGGAAGGTTTACATAGCTTGTTCCCTGAATAAAGTGATATTTTTTTCAATCATTTCTCAAGTGTGCCTTTGTCCCTGACCTCCTCCATGTGGTTTGTGAGATCTAAAATTGTATCATAATTAACTCTATTTAAATAATCATTTTAAAAATAGAAAGTTCTCTGAAATAATATTCTAGTTATCTCCACTGTATCCTTAAACATAAAAATAAACTCGCAGGCAAATCTTCTGGGTTGAAAATGTTTCTGGCAAGAGAAGCAGCCTCAAGTAGGACAGTCTTAGAATTTGGGACCATTTTGGAAAAATACTGTGGCAAAGTATTGCTCTGAGTACTTATGCTGTGGATAGTTTTTATTCCTGATATTACAGAATTTTGAATTAAGGAGATGTTTTACAAGCTGATGGAGGGAATTATAGTGACAGAAGAAGAAAAAGTCTAACTGTTATAAGAGAAAGGGCTTGGATTTAGATACATGGATCTGGCTGAATAAATGTTAATTCCTTCTTCTGTTTTAGTCCAAAATTCTAATGCATGGATCCTATTAAGGTGTCTTTATTATCTCACTTCAATTGCTTCTTCACTTATCATGGGGTTTTTGGGGCACCATTCTAGTCAATCTCCAGGATTTCAACAAAAATCTCTGCAGCTAAGAAATTAATTGGAAATGGGAGCCTTAATCCATGTCAGTTTGTCCCTATTTTGTGAAATCAATTTTGCTTTCCCGACTTCCAAATAAGACTCTTAATCACTTTATTTACTAATCGAGCTATTTCAGAGGGCTTGGTTGAGCTTTCTCTTCCTTGACAGAATTGTTTCTTTATCTGTCTGATTGGAAGGCAGTAGAGAATGGAGTTATTATGGATTATTATACTGAATTCAATATAGAGTTTGTGGCAAGCTATTTAATTTTTCTTTTTCCTCATCTGTAAAATAGAGGAAAAGGATGACAATATCTTTCTTATAGAGTTGTTATGAGCATTGAGTGAATAAATATTTTGTTAAGAATTTACCACCATCCCTCCCAGTATGCAACAAGTGCCTGTACCTGGACAGGGAGTGGGGATGGACAGCCTGATGCACTAGAATTTACAGTCTTAGCTGATTCTCTTTCTGTTTAATGGCAGCTTGGGATAATTTAGAAATACGGTGTTAGAGATGGCAGGGCCTTAAAGACTGTTTAGTCAACAATTTCATGTTATAGCTGAGGAGCTGAAATCTAAAGTAAGACTGTGACTTACTGAAGGCTACTTAATGAAAGATCTAGAACAAGACTCTCCACTTCCATTTCCTAAATTCTGGGTCATACTGTCACACCCACATTCCTACTACTCATCTTTCTATTTTTATTTCTGGCAACTTCTCAGTAGGGGTGAAACATGCTTGGTAACAAATCTGCTGTGAAGATACCAGAGAAGTTCATTTTCTCATTGAACCCTTTTAGAGTGTCATGTTGATTGAGGAAAATAGGATGTGTAGAGCAAAGCATGGAAGAGATTGTTTCAATGTTTCTATTATGTAGACATGGCCATGATTTATTTCAGTAACCATCTTTGTAAAGAATGAGCTCCTTGAACCTAATGTTCAAATAAGAAAGTCATCTATTTATTTGACTTATAAGAATGAAACATAGAAGCAAGATTTGGATGTGCATGTTTGTGAAGTCATTATGCAATGAAATGCAAAGACAGACAATATAATGCCTTTTATGGATCAGGTTAATGCTTACTGTGCCTGAAGCTTCCCCATTTGACAAATAAGAACTTACATTTATCAAATGTTAAACACGTGGCTTTAACGGTTCATATTAGGAGAATTCCCGAGGGATTTGCACTAGTTGTGAGGTTGTATTCACTTCACTTGATTTCTTTTCTGTGGTTCTCCTATTTCCCTTTGGGATGTGTTTCCTGTGTCTGTTATTGCTTTGAAGATTTTTTCATTTCTATCTCATGCTTAACACCTGCCATTGACTCCTTGTATAACTTATGAGAAATGAATGGCATTCTTCCCCCAGGTACCAGTCTTTATAAAGTAAATATGTGCTGATTTAGAAAAAAATGTATATTTTCCCCTTATTTGTACTAAAATAATACTTCACTTTTTGGTGTTGATAAATTTTTGGAAACTTAATATTTTGGTTTTATATTTTGTATCCTCAAGTATTTTTTACTTTGTGGAACAAAGCAAAAATGACAGACATCCTGTGATTTTGCTTGTAGAAAACAACATATTTGAGAGAATGTTAAATAAAGGGATAACTTGAGACCCCAGGAAATTCTTTCAGAGGACGATTTGATTCTCAGTTATCTTTATAATTTTGAACTTTATTTTTATGGTGATAAGTATTTTATAACAATTTGAACTTGAGGTGAGACATACATATTGTCATGCTGTAAAAAGTGTTATCCAAGGTAGTATTTAGGACCCATTTGTGAATGCTTGACTGGCAGTCAGATGGAGAGATCATCTGTATCTTTTGGCTTCTTTCTGTCAGTCTGTAAGTGGCAAGAGCAGTATGTTTTGAGTATAAATTGATCTGCATTGATATAAATAACAGAGAAAATTATATTGGTGAATTTTCTTACAGAATGAATCACTGGAAAGTGTTCAGCCTGTATTTCTGTGGTTGTATCTGTTCTTTTTCTGTTTTTATTAAACTTGAATGACTAAATAGAAAGCAGGTTAAAAGAAAAAAAAATCATGATTTGAACAAAACTTACATTCAAAGGGATATTTCTTATTTCCTTACATGAAATCTTCACATTGGCCCTTCTGGCAGAGCTCTTCTGTCTCAAATTTTCTAACCCTTTCTCAGTTGGTACAACTACCTTATAACTTCTATAAACATTACCATTACCACACCATTCAAACCTTTATCCTTTTTAAGTTAAAAAAAAAAGAGCATGAATCTCTTAATCTCTTCAGAATTATGTTTTAATTATAAACAGATTATTTGATAAATAAAAATAATGTTCTAAGGGAACTTGGGTGGTGATTTTGGCAAATAGCATGTGTATGTATTATAGTAGCGATGATTATCTTCAAAAAATAATTAGGCTAGTTGCTTGATGTCCTACTTCTGAATCTCTTCCAAAATGAGCAAAATATGTTTAAGGCTACATAGAATCATAGTTGGAACAATTGATGCCTCATTTCTGGGGTGAAGGAAATTTATCATACTGTTTCTTTCCAAGCTAAAATGGCTATAAGATCTATAAGGACAGAGGAAAAAGCCATGCCCTTTTTACCATTTTCATGTGTTCTCAGTGTTATCTGCTGGTGCCACATTGACTGAAATTGCTCACCGCTCCCACTAAACTTGCATTTGGTGTAATGTGAAGAAAAAAATGAGTTATTTAGTCATAAAGTTTCTGCTATAATAATCACATTTTCATTTTTTTCATCATTTTGTGCCCATTATAAAGTGTATTCTTTTGCCATTTTGCCTATGAACCCTAGATAAATGGTGAAAATATAGGATTTAGCGTTGACTAACAATTCTCTAGTTTTCTTTAGTGAACCATTATGTAAATACCTAATTGCATAAATTTCACTTAATGATTGCTCACTCTCCTCTAAATAAATTTTGCTGACATCAGTGGCCACGTGGAACAATTTATTGATTCCTTCTCCCTCCTGTCTTTTAATATGGAAAGTCCCAGGCTTGGTCTTTGACCTTGGTTCCCTTCTCTATTTTTTTTTTTTTTTTTTTTTTTGAGATGGAGTTTTGCTCTTCCACCCAGGCTGGAGTGAAGTGGCTCACTGCAACCTCCACTCCCTAGGATCAAGTGATTATCCTGTCTCAGCCTCCTGAGTAGCTGAGATTATAGGCACCCATCACCATGCTGGCTAATTTTTGTATTTTTAGTAGAGATGGGGTTTCACTATGTTGGCCAGGCTGGTCTCAAACTCCTGACCTCAGGTGATCCTCCCACCTCGGCCTTCCAAAGTGCTGGGATTATAGGTGTGAGCCACTGCTCCTAGCCTCCCTTCTGTATTCTTATCCTTTTGCTGTTCTCTTCCAGGCTGAGTCTTAAATATGTGTGCGTGTGTGTGTGTGTGGGCATGTGCATGCATGTGTATATGTGTATTTTTGGCATATGTATACATATATATTTTAAATTTATAATTTTAGTTTGAACTGTTTTCTGAACTGTAGACTTAGATATCCAATTGCCTACTCAACGCCTCCACTTAACTGTCTAATTTGAATTTCAAACTTTACATGTCTGAAATAAAGCATGTCCCTGCCCAAGCCTGACTTCTCAGTAGACTGTCCTATCTTAGTTAATGGGAACTACATTCTTTTAGGGGATCAGGCTTAAATCATCCTTGACTTTTCTCTTTCTTTTACACCTCATATCTCATTTGCCATCCAATTTTAATGACTTTACCTTTTAAATATATTCAGAATCCACCTATTCCGCCACCTTCATTGCTAATTCCTTGCATCAAGTCATCCTCATCTTTCCCCTTGGTTACAGCAGTAGTCTTCTAACATTAATATTTTGCCCTTGTCACCTCCCTGCTTCCCTTCCCTCCAGTCAACTCACCAGCAGGAGTCATGTTGTCATTCTTTTGAAACATAGTCAAGTTATGAAACCCGTCTTCATGGAATTCTCCATTCCCATCTCACTTGGAAAATAACCAAAGGTTTTACAGTGACCAAGAAGGTCATAACTGATCTGGCTTCCCATAACCTTTTGACTTTTTCTCTTGCTTCACTCCTCACTCATTTGGCTTCAGTCCATTGATGTCCTTAAAAATGTCAGACACTCTTCTGTGTGGGTTTTCTCTTTGCCTGAATTGAGCTTCCTCAAAATATCCACAATGGCCTGCAAAGCTAGTTTAAAGTATTTTATCAAATATCACCTTGTTAGTGAGGATTTCCTAAACACCATATTGACTTTTTCCTAAGTCATAACACCCTCATTTCTCAGGCACGCCTTAGCTCCCTTTTCTGCTTTTTTGACTCTATATAGCATTTAGCACCATCTAAAATTTCATTATTTTACTTATCTTTTGGAGTGTCTATTTTCTGCTCTAGAATGTAGAGAATAAACTCTATTAAGGGCAATATATTTTGATTTTGTTAAAACCACTCTATCTCCTATACTTAGAATAATTCTTGGCACATAGTAGGTGCTGAATACATATTTATTGAAAGAATAATGTGAAATGAAACTGTCATAGTTCATGTGCTTTTTCTTTAGTGGCTTTGAAGGAAATATAAAATGTTATGAAAGCAACACCTGTCCAGGATTTGGAATGGCATCAGTATTTATTAGAAATGTGATCACAAGTAAATCCCATAAACATTTTAAATTTTAGTCATTATAAGTATAATTATGGAGCTTAAATGAGATAATGTATGTGAAAATGCTTGTCAACTGCTAAGCATTTTACTAATGCTATTAGTGCGTTTTTCCCTTAGGGTTGAATTAACTTAATCTTATGAATGGATTGATTTTATTAGTACTAGATTAACCTCTCTATATTTGTTCTTTGAATCATTTTCTCTTAAGTGTTTGTGATCCCTTTTCCATATTAATGTAAACACTTATGATTGGTTAGGCATTAAGCAGTTACTGAATGTTTATTACTGGTATACATGATACAATAACTACAATCTAATGAGAGTAGGCATATTTAATGTGTTTCCAAAATCTCTTTTTATATAGTTAGTTAATTTATATTATTTACTTTGTGCCATGATCTCTTCTAGGTGCTCTACGTGTATGAAGTTATTTAATACTTATAACAACTTTATGAGGTAAGTACTATTTTCTATATTTTGCTGATGAGAAAACTGAGATACAAACAGGTTAATTTGTTCAAGGTCGTAATTTATATTGCCTGTATGTGCACACATGTGGTTGTATGCTTAAAAGTAAAATAATTTTAAGATTAGTAATATAGTTTAAAAAAGAAACATTATGCTTGCATACTAAGTAGTTATGTGACTAAACACCACTATTGGCTGATCTTTTCTCATCATACAGTATAACCTGTGTGTGTTTTGAGCTGCTAAGATCTTGATATTCTTTCTGAAGTGTCATTGTGTTAGTCCTTAGAACTCTTTTTAAAGAATAGAATATTATGTAATTTCAATATACAAAAAAATATTGGCTTATGGAAACATTTCCACTTCTCACCAACGTGTCCACAGGATCCTAAAGTATGATTAGTGGGAGAGGGCTATTTGTTTTCTGCCATGTTCCTGCTGTTGTCTTGGCCTTGCTTTCTTCTTGGCTTTATCTGCATTTTTTTTTTCTATCAAGGGTGTTCACTTTCACTAAGGCTATAGCTTAAAAGTAATCAGAAGGGATCCTTATCCAGTTCTTTTCTTTTTACGATTGCTGTTCAATTCCATACTTGGATAAATATGTATTGGTTTTCTGAAAAATTGGATACAAAGTCATTGGTCATTATATATGGTTATCCATAGCACAAATATTATTTGAGAATCTACTATATATCAAGAATTAGGTAAGATAGGCAAAATTCTTACTCTTGAAATTTAGTTGGGAGGCCAATATGGAAATACAATGAGTTTTCTGTTAATACGTTCTGGGAAGAAAATAAGGCAAAGTGATAGGAGAGTGACTGGGTGGCCCTTAGCACTGGGTGGCCCTTAAGTGTACATGAGCTAATCATGTCCAGATCAGAAAGCCTAGCGTGGCCAGAGCACAGTGACTAGAGCAGAAGGCAGTGCAAGATGAATTCAGGGTGGCAGGCAGGGGACAGAGATATTGATCCTTATGGGCAAGAAAAATAATTTGAATTTATTTACGATTGAAAGCCATCTGTAAGCCAGGGAATGACAGAAGCTTAATCATGCTTAGAAAATTCATTCCGGCTTCAATATGGAGAATGAGAACTGGGGTCATGGGAAAGAACACATGTGCTCCATGGGCTCTTTGAATTGACCTTTGGCAGTTACACACTAGGTGAGTAGCTTTACCTCCGTTCATCCCTCTCTATGAAGGAACAGAACATTTTTTTCCACAAGTCTTTGACATATATTCTATCTTAATCTTTTACTTACATTTGCTTTAGACAAAATACTAACTTATGTTTACCTCATATAGAGTTAGGCATATTTGGATTTTGGTGATTATTTGTTAAATTCATACTGAAATGAAAATAAACAAAATGTAACATTACAGGATACATGATATAACAGCATGTGATTTTTCAGGGGGCTTTTTTTTTTTTCTTTTTTGGAGACAGAGTCTTACTCTGTCACCCAGGCTGGTGTGCAGTGGTGCGATCTTGGCTCACTGCACCCTCCATCTCCTGGGTTCAAGTGATTCTCCTGCCTCAGCCTCCAGAGTAGGTGGACTTACAGGCAACCGCCACCACACCTGGCTAATTTTTGTTTTTTTAGTAGAGATAGGGTTTCACCATGTTGGCTAGGTTGGCCTCCAGCTCCTGACCTCTGGTGATCCACCCACCTCGGCCTCCCAAAGTGCTGGGATTACAGGCGTGAGCCATCACACCCAGCCTCAAGGGGCAAGCTGATATGGTAAAGTTGTTGAACCTTTTTAATGTGATATGATTTGAACTGTTACATTGTTCCTAATAATAGTATACATTGGTACCACAGAACTGGGCAATTTCATGCAGCCTTATGCAACATTGCACTGGTGAGATATGAGATCATGTCATAAATTCCAGGAGTGGAATTTATAAGATCCTTTATTCAATTTTGCCAAGTGTCATTTAGTAAACCTGCCTGAAGGACTATGTAGAAAGTGAGGTATGATTTCTCCTATCTCATTTTGTTTTCATTCATTTTAATTAAAACGAAAAAGAGTAAGAAGACATTTTGTTTCTCTGAAAGTGGCCCTCCCTTTTACTTCATATTGTTTTCAGGAAGTTTGTTTGGTTTTTAGGGATATTATTATTGACATAACTCTTCAGTTTTATGAAAATATTCCAGTTGTTTATGGTTTCATCTCTACCCTTTATTCATAGTAGTCACAAGAAAGAAAACAACAGCCATATTTTTTAAGGTCTAATAGAAATATATTTATTGATAGAAATGAATTGCAAAGGACAGCATGCAGAAATTTTTATGTAGTCTCAAGTGATAATGGGAGAAATTATTTTTGACATAGTGTTTCAAAAAATGCTGTAGAAAAACAGAAAAAAAAGTGATGCAACTGGCTGGTTTTTACATGCATCAGAGTATCTCTTTGGCCTATTCTGTTCAGTACAGTGGAAAATAGAGCATCTGAATATGGGTACCACAAAAAGCCAGATCTTATAATTAAGTGACATTTATTTATTTTCTGGATACACAGTCAAGGAGTACAGAGATTATTCTGTAAATTTCATATATGCATTATTAAAGGTATTATGTAGTTTTCTGCAATTATATAACTGGTTTCAATCACAAAAGGAAAAGTAGGATATTTGTTTTTTATATCCTAAGTTTCATTCTACAAGGGACTAAGATATAGTACAATGACTAGGCTATTGTCTAAAGAAGGCACCAGAAATTTTACATTGGGTTTCTGCAACATGGATTTAGGATGAGTAGGTTTCATGCTGTCATGGGTTACACTTATAATGGATGAGTCTGTAACCACTGCTGCTCTCCTCTTTCTCACTGGCAGCCAATGGGCCTCACTTGCAGTTTTCAACACTTAGTAGAACTGATATCAATACCAATACAAGCCTGTTTAGGGTCAGTGTAATGGTCCCTTTAGGAAAAAGTGGCTCATACCAGCCACTGCAGTGTGGCTCTGTGATGCAGCTTTCAACTTGATGACGCTACCTCTGGAGCACCAGCAGTATACCCTCATGGGTGCTAGATAAGATAGAGGAGGCTGAGGGTCCTGGACAAGAGGTTTCTCAAATCATGAGCTTTAGAACTGCAATAACACACAGGAAAAGATAGCTGCAGACAATGTCTAGGGCAAATTTTACTTAGGACACTTGCCATTGGAAAATAGAAAAATATAGTTTAAAAAGAACATTAAATTCCATGTGCATATGTACTCATGAAACTGTTTGTTAGACAAATTCTAAATGGATAGACATGATGCTGAAATTACATATGAATAATGATTAAGTGTATCTCACAAAGTAATTTTAATTTTTATGTATTTTACATAAAAGGGATACATTTATTTAAAATTTCAAAAAATATAAAACCCTCAGAAAATATAAAAGCCATTCACAATATCAACACTTAGGAAAGTAATTGTTATCTATTTGGTATATTTTTGATCAGTGATTTCCATAGATATGCAAATATGAATAACATATACAGTTACAAGTATAGAACTATATCCATTTTAAGAAACATAGAAATAAGCAATATTTTATGTGCTTTCCAAATATTAATTAGTTAGATCTTCATAAGAACCCTATAAGATAAGGACTATTAAACAAATTAACTTTAATGTTAATTAATGGATAAATAGATAAGCAAATTTTTGTATAGCTGTACAATGGAATATTATTCTGCCGTGGAAAAGAATGGAGTACATACTGCTTTTTTTAATTCTATGATGTGGGTCAACCTTGAAAACATTATGCTAGGTGAAGAAGCCAGGTAAAAAGCTTACGCATTACATGATTCCTTTTATATGAAATATCTAGAATATGCAAAAAGAGACAGAAAATAAATTAATTGCTAGGAAATGAAGGGGAGAAGGTGGTATGGAATAACTCAGTGTGATACTGTGCTTTTCTGGGGTAATGAAAAAAGTTTTGAAACTAGAGAGAGGTGATGGTTGCAAAGCATTGTGTATGCACTAAGTGTCACTGAATCGTACAGTGAAAAATGGTTAATTGTGTTATATGAATTTCACCTCAATTAAGAATAAAGAAAGAAACTGAGGCAGAAAGAGTTTGAGTAATTTGCCCAAGATTACAAGGCTAGTAAGTTGCAGATCTAGGATACAAACTCAGGCAATCTGCCTCCATATACTGTGCACTTAAATATAATACGCTACTGAAAATAGAATTTTATTTCTTGCTTTTAACTTGATGATATTATAAACAATCTTTCTTATCATTATGTAAATCTTTTCAAAAATTTCCATTTTTAAAATAGAAAATAAATGTAACCAGCATACTTCTGCACTTGAAATCTAAGGTCTTAAATAAGATTGCTTTTTGTTCAGTGTTTTCTTTCTTGATGCTCCGGGACCAATGACCTGAGGGTAGAGGGAGTAGTGTATATTATTGTTTCCTGTCCATACAGCAGATCTAGGAAACTCCTTACTTTGAGGGAGGAAGATGGAGACAGAAATAGAAAACCTGGCTTCATCTATTGCTTGTTTTTTTCTGGCAGTAGAGCTCTGCTTGTTAAGAGTCTAATGGGGTACAGAGAGGCTCTTCCATATCAGGTAGAAAAGTTTTGGACATATTCAAGGGATCTGGCTGATTCCACAAAATGTGGTTGTTCAGATTAACCATGGCATTTCCAACCAGGGTAAACAGGTGCATGAAGAAATTAGAGAATTTCCTTTCAACTGTCCATTGCCAAACATCATGTTGTTGGCAGTGGGGATGGATATAGGGGCTGAGTAACTATCGGAGGCACTAAGATGAAAAGTCATTTTTTTTTCAAATTATTTGGAGCTAAAATAAGTCATCCAGAAACATTATTTATCCAATGAAAGTATTTTTTAAATAAATATATGCCACACTGAAAATATCTATGTTATACTTTTGGAGGGAATCGGAACAACCTATCATGGCATATAGTATGACTTAAAAAATAGGATAAGAAAGGCAGGAAACAACGTTTGACTAGTGCAATTTCCAAAAGGTATATAGCAAATGTTAGTCATAATTATTCTTTGGAAGATGTCAATAGTATTGATTTTCACTACCTTATACTTTTCCTTTTGTATCTTTTGTGATTTCTATAAATGACATTATGTTGCTGTTCAATAGACAAGAGTACTGAAAATTAATTACAAAGGAATAAGCCATTTCACTAGATTTTGCAAATTTAGAACAAATGCATTCATGAATATATATTTATTGAGTGTCTGTTACGTGTCAGGTACCATGCCAGGCTCTAAGTATTCAATGACGGAAAAAATAGATATGATCTTACTACTCAGCCAACTTACTATTTGGGAAGCAAAGAAGATACAGATCTTTTTCTCAAATACTCCTCAACACTACCCCATTCTCTCTATTTAAATTCTCTTTCACTCTTCCTCCTCCCCATCCTCCTCCTCTCCTCCTCCTCCTCCCCCTCCCTCCATCTCCCATGTCCTCCCATTTCTTTTCTTTCTTCCCTTTTCTCTCCCTCTCCTCCCCTTCCCCTTTTCTCTCTCTCCCCCTTTCATCTCCTCCTCCTCTTCTTCTTTCCTCTTTTTCTTTTCCTCTTCTTCTTCCTTTTTCTCCTACCCCTCCCCCTTTCCTCTTTTTTTGGGGCTCTTATTCAGAAGCCCCCTGCCCCCTAAAATGGCACATGGAGAACCAAGAAAGAATGGGATAGAATGAGTTATAGAGAGAGTTACATAGAGGTGAGGGCCAGACTTTGCATCCTATGTCCTTTCTATGACTAAAGAAAGAGTATACAGGCAATGGGAAAGTACTGCAGATTTAAGCAGATCAATTTATATCTTGCACAAAAAAACAGTGATTGAAGGAGAATAACAAATTAGAGAAAGATACACTTGGAAGGAAAGAGACAGAGAGGAGGCTATTGCAGTGGTCCAGGTGAGAGTGAATGGTAGCATTCTGGTGACAATGGAGGAGGAGGAAACAGAACAGTTAGCAAGAGGATTTCATAATTTGGAACAAGATGGGGTAGTTTATCACAACATTTCTTCTGACCCTTGGCACAATACCTTCCTGACATGACATTGGCCCTGGTAAAGAAGCACAGGGACAAAGATTCAGCCTTTTTCTGTTCTCCATTCCCTCTTTAATGATGTTATTATTATCAAATTAAAGCATTGTTTGTTACCCTTTTTTTTTTTTTTTTTTTTTTTTTTTGGATAAGGGCATGCTCTGTCACTCAGGCTGGAGTGCAGTGGCATGATGATAGCACAGTGCAGCCTCGATCTCCTGGGCTCAAGTGACCCTCTCACCTCAGCTACTCTAGTAGCTTGGACTACAGGCAGGTGCCACCATGACCAACTGACTTTTATTTTTAATTTTAGTAGAGACTAGGTCTTGCTGTGTTTCCCAGGCTGATCTTGAACTCCTGAGCTCAAGCAATTTTCTTGCCTCGGTCTCCCAAAGTTCTGGGATTACAGGTGTGAGCCACCACACCCGGCCTATTTCTATTTTTTCTCTTTTTCTTTTATTAAATACTGCTTAGTCTAGTAATCAACAGCTTGGCTGCTTGTAGACACATGCTATTCTTTTCCCTGTAGTGATATTCCTAAAAAGCAAAGAACTGCAAAATTTCCTTTTCTGTATTGAACTAGGAAATTTAACATTTCCTACTGTTTATTGTAACCCCCAAGAATTATAGCACTTAAATTTTTAAAAAGAGAATTCTTTAAATAATTCGCATCTGTCTATAAAAATACTTGAGTGTAGTAATGCTTGCAATGGGTTTTGGAATGGTAGATATAATTGGAAAAATAACCTTAGATGAGGTATTATTACATGAATCAATCCAGTGTATTTAATTGCAAATTTTTTCAAAGCCATATATTAACAAGAAATTATTTTCACATGGATTTCACCCAAGACTTAGTTTTATTTTCTGCATGGATTATATCTGGTCCTGCAGAACACCTAAAATAACATCAAAATCAGAGGTCAGCAATTCATTTTGGTTGAGGTCCATAAATGTACTATTAAAGTTTTAAATCAATGAATAACCTAAGGAATATATTTAGCTTTTCAGAGTATTAAATGATGCTAGAAACATATAGCTTTGTCTGGAGCTGCCATTTGTTCTTCTTATTGGTTTCCTTTTTAGTTTTCCCTTCACTCCCTGTCTCCTATGTTATAGTAATCTCTGCCTGTCTTTTTTTCTCACAAACTGGACTGTTTTACACTTGACACTCAGAATACTCCCCTCTTCATGTCGGCAGAGCAACAAAGGCAAACTTTGGCAACCACTTGATTGTCTAACTGAAATGAGCTGAGCTTTGCAAAACTGGAAGAGAAATATGCCTTTTGGTCACTATATGTCAGAGTGCTGAAAGAATGAAATGGACGCATGTCAGCCCAAAAACATAAAGCAGAAAGAAACCATTTCATGTCCAGAAGCATATCCTAGAAGACAACTGCTAAAGAGAAGGGATTAGTAAAAGAAAAAAAAAAAGAAGGAAAAAAATCTTCAAAGCAAATGAAAAGAAACAGACAGTTCTTCAAAACAAGAGAGGAAATTGGAAAAAGAACATTTGGGGAAGAAAAAAGCATGTGGAATTTCTCTAAACAGAAGGTACAAACCTAACTCTTAGATGTAAGAATATATCAAAGCAATTGATGGGATGGGATGATGATTATTACAGGCATGAGGAACTGCAAGTGCAAAAGGCTGAGGGGAGAAAGATCATTAATTGTTCTGTAAGTCAGAAGGCTCCTGTGGTCCAGTAAAGAAAAGGAGGAGGCAAGTGGTCCAAGAGGGAATGGAAAGGGGCTGGTGCCAGATTGCAGATGGCAGAAAGAGTTTCTCAAACTCTTTGTGGTGAAGGACTATTCTCTTAAAATCTGTGATTTGTAGTGGAATGACATGGGGGTCTATTCTCAAAACCCGTGTGCCCACCAAGCCACACACAACCTAACCTATGATCCTGGCAACACTAGAACTGGTCTACACTTGCAACACAATGAGTTCACTGCTCACATAGATAGATGTCATAGTACTGTCAAATTAGTATAAACATTCTAAATGATTCTCTTAATTTTTGTACTTATCATGTTATGTTATAGATTGGAACCAGTTCATAAAACACACTTTAAGTTGCATTGCTATAAGGAAGTTTGATTTTATCCAAGGTTCAATGAGAAGTCACACAAGGGTTTTCTAAAGCTGAGAAAGATTAGCGGATTTGCATTTTGAATCCCAAACAACAGCAGGCAAACGACATATTGTAGGCAGGCAAGGGTAGAAGTAGGCAGTGTAGAAGATGATTGTGATAATGAGGTTGAAATCATAGGTATTGACTATGAAGATAGATAGATGGATTCAAGATATATTTTGGTAATAGTACTAACAGGACTTGTCGATAGTTTGAATGGGAAAATTGAGGGTGAAGGAAGAATCAATGATGATTCAAATATTTTGTCTTGAGCAACTGGGTGTATATCACATATTGAAATGGGGAAAACAGAAGGAATGGCTTGGGATGCACATGGAGTTGGTGTAATCAAGAGTTTGATTTGGGGCTGGGCGCCGTGGCTCATGCCTGCAATCCCAGCACTTTGGGAGGCCAAGGTGGGCAGATCACCTGAGGTCAGGAGTTCAAGACCAGCCTAGTCAACATGGTGAAACCCCATCTCTACTAAAAATACAAAATTAGCTGTGTGTGGTGGTGTATTCCTGTAATCACAGCTACTCGGGAGGCTGAGTCAGAAGAATTGCTTGAATCCAGGAGGCAGAGTTTGCAGTGAGCTGAGATCACACCATTGCACTCCAGTCTGGGTGACAAGATCGAAACTCTGTCTCAAAAACAACAAAACAAGTTTGATTTTGGTGATACTAGATATAAATGGATTAGGAGTGTCATTTGTTTAAAAGATTGTCCCTCTGTAATTGGGGTAAGACAAGATACTTCTATCCCTGATCCCATAATTCTGAGCAATCATCTCCAAAGTGGTTTTGAGGAACTAATAAAATTTATGTGTTTTTATTAATAGATAATAAAATTATCTATTACTACACAATAGATAGGCCTCTGTGCACAGTTAACAGTTACCTGTGGGTAGATAAATTATGAGCCTATAAGCAGAAAGAGTTCCCAATATGTATGCAGCATCTCAAAAATGTCCCATTAGCCTTTTATGAATCAAAATTATTTGTTTTGGATTAGAAAAAGTGGCTTTGTATTTGAAGTTGCGTTGCAAGTATAAGTTTACAATAGGATCTAAATGGTAGAAATAAAAAAAAAGTCTCATAAAATACCTTAGCTTATGGGAAAGAGTGCCAGAAAGGAGAAATAGAGACAAGTCAGCAACTTCCTTAGAGTTCCAGAGAATAACCTTTGAATTCCTACTAATTAGCTACAAAGGTCCTGGAAAATTTGACCCCATAACTGCCCTGTTGCACTTTGCTAAGCATGAGTAGCAATTTAATTCTCTGGTTGGCTGGTAAGGACATGACAAGCTATCTGAAGAATTTCTCATTTACTGAGAAATTTCCCTGTGGTACACATGACAATGTGAACTCAATACCTCAACAAACACCCAGTTGTCTTTTTACCAATACTATGTAAAATATTATGCTCGATGTTACCAAAACAAGACTCACTATGTCATACCATTTGTTACACTTTGGGATTATTCTTACTCTGATAGGGCTTCTCTTTAAAAGTTCATGTATTTCCATTCTGGTACATGCAAAGTTTGCTTTCTAAAACTGTTACTAGAATTACCTTTTCTCTCTGACCACAGGTTTAAACACTATTCCTCCAACCTCGAGCTTCAGTAGAAATGAGCATAGAGCACAAATGGTGAATCTAATGCTAAAGATTGTGGAAATAATTTCAAACTGTGGTCACTGATTATTTTATTTTTAATGCATATCACTTTATAATGAGAGAAGAAATTTACCTAATTCTCTCTAGTTTCTCTTTCCTGAGGACATTCCTAGTGCATAAAGCAAAGGTTAGTTGTTTTATTAGGAAAATAATTGAACATTATAATTTACTTTGCAGGCCCACCAATTTTCTAAGAAAGTTCAGTAGTGGGAACACATATCCTTAAGGAATACATTTAGTCATCATTGAAAAACTTAAATATGACAAATTCTTAACTTTGAAGACAAGGGTTGACAGAGGCCAACTACTTCAACTTCAAAGATAATGACAAAAGCCAGTATTAATTGTTGCTAAATACATTAGACATATCCTTTATTTCTAAGTGGATCATATCTGCATGGTGAGAGATTTCTCAGGGATGCTATTGTGTGCACTGTATTGGATTTTTTACTCTGATTTATCTCAGGAAATACAGTTGTAATGACTATATTTTGATCAAGGTTTCAGCTAGTAGCTTCGCTAGCTCCCAGGTTCTAATGCCCACAGGTAATCCATTTAAGATAGTATTTTTTACTCTCATCCATGGAACAAATTCCATCCAAATGTGTATTGTGGACTCTCTTTTCATGCCTTTGAAAAAAACTTGTATACTAAATATAAATATTTCTCTCTAGGTGAGATTAGATTCTGCTGAGCTAGTATCTATAACTATCCATGGTCTGCACAGCTATTATCCCTAATGTGCTGGCTGCACCAAGTGGCAATAACTTAGTCAGCTCTGTGCTTTGTAAATCAATCCTCAAACCCACTCCATCAATTTTTGTGTGTGACTAGTGTTAGTTCCTGTTGCTTGCTATTGCTAAAATCCCATGCTTTTCACTGCATCGAGGTTCCAAAGCAGTAGGTACTGTTTGTTAAATCTGCGGAGATTTAAATTATTGGTTATCAATACACCACAGTTGTTATTGCTAAGGAATGATATTTTTTATCGTCAGGCTAGTTCTACAGATCTCAACCGGCAAATGTTGAAGGAGTTGCCATACATTTCAGTGCTGTAGGGATTTTTCTCTTTCTAATTAACCTAACGCTATATAATTGATTATACTGCTAGAACTCTACCTAATATTTACACTGTAAAAGTGAGCTTTCCATTTAAAAATAGCACCAGTAGATCTTTAGATTTTACGATTAACCTAGTCAGAAAGCATTATAGAGATGAAGATAAGTTCTTACCCCTGAAACTTTGCCCCTACACATGTTCATTTTTAAAACAGTAGTAGTCAAGCCCATACACTGGCTAGGCAAGTAAATCATTGAGTCTTAAGTATGTTCTGGGGATTAAAAAGATAAAAAAGACAGATGACTGCACTTTATTCGAGGAAATTGGCATGTAAACAAAAAGTTTACAAATCTGTGTATTAACTATTGGGATAGAGATATGTAAGAGACATTGTGAGTAATTTTTGTTCTTTTGTTTATTTGTGTTCAATAGATGGAATGATCCATTTTACCTGCAGAGAGTGCAAGGATCAAGGAAAGGTCTGTAAGAGTGGGGAGGTGTATGGCTCATATCTTGAGGAATTTTTCCAGGTGTGAAAGATGGGGAAAGACTCTCTAGCCAAAGGGAAATTACAGACATACCTTGTTTTATTGCACTTTGCTTTATTGTGCTTCACAGGTATTACATCTTTTACAAATTGCAGGTTTGCGGCACTCTTGAATTGAGCAAGATCATCAACACCATTTTACTAACAGCATGTGCTTACTTGGTGTCTCTGTGTCATATTTTAGTAATTCTTGCAATATTTCAAACTTTTTCTATATTATTGTATCTGCTATAGTTATTTGTGATAAGTGGCCTTCGATGTTACTATTGTAATTGTTTTGTGGCATCTCAAACTGTATCCCTAAAAGATGGCAAATTTAATCAATAAATGTGTGTCTTCTGACTGCTCTACCAACCAGCCATTATTCAATCTCTTTCCCTGCCTTCAGGCCTCCCTATTCTCTGTATTGAAATTAGGCCTCTAAGTGTTCAAGTGCAAGGAAGAGTCACACAGCTCTCACTTTAAATCAACCTTGTCCAACCCACAGCCTGTGGGCTGCATGCAGCCCAGAACAGCTTTGAATGTGGCCCACCACAAATATGTAAACTTTCTTAAAGTTATGAGGTTTTTTTGCAATTTTTTGAAGCTCATCAGCTATTGTTAAGTGTTAGTGTATTTTATGTGTGGCCCAAGACAATTATTCTTCTTCCAGTGTGGCCCAGGGAAGCCAAAAGATTGAACACCCCTGCTTTAAATCAAAACCTAGAAATGATTAAGTTTAGTGAGGAAGGCATGTTGAAAGCCAAGACAGGCAGAAAGCTAGGCCTCTTGTGACAAACAGCAAAGTTGTGAATGTAAACGAAAAGGTCCAGAAGGAAATTAAAGTTACTACTCTACTGAATACACTAATGATAAGAAAGTACAACAACCTTACTGCTTATATGGAAAAAGTTTTAGTGGTTCAGATAGAAGATCAAACAGGCCACAACATTCCCTTAAGTCAGAGCCTAATTCAGAGCAGCAAGACCCTAACTCTTCTATTCTTTTTTTTTTTTGAGACAGAGTCTCGCTCTGTTGCCCAGGCTGGAGTGCAGTGGCACGATCTTGGCTCACTGCAAGCTCCGCCTCCCAGGTTCACGCCATTCTCCTGCCTCAGCCTCCCGAGTAGCTGGGACTACAGTTGCCTGCCACCATGCCCGGCTAATTTTTCATATTTTTAGTAGAGACGGGGTTTCACCTTGTTAGCCAGGATTGTATCGATCTCCTGACCTCGTGATCTGCTTGCCTTGGCCTCCCAAAGTGCTGGGATTACAGGCTTGAGCCACAGCGCCCGGCCAACTCTTCTATTCTATGAAGGCTGACAGAGGCAAGGAAGCTGCAGAAGATAAATGTGAAGCTAGTAGAGGTTGGTTCGTGTGGTTTAAGGAAAGAAGCTGTTTCCATGATATAAAAGTGCAAGGTGAAGCAACAAGTGCCGATGGAAAACTGCAAGAAGTATCCAGAAGATCCAGGTGAGATTGTTGATGAAAGTGGTTACACTAAACAGCAGATTTTCAATGTAGACCAAACAGCCTTCCACTGGAAGAAGTTGCCATCTAAAACTGTTGTAGCTAGAGAGGAGAAGTCAAGTCAATGCCTGGCTTCAAAGCTTCAAAGGGCAGACTGACTTTCTTATTAGGGGCCAATGCAGCTGGTGACTTTAAGTTGAAGCCAATGTTCATTTACTGTTTTGGAAATTCTAGGGCTCTTAAGAATCATACTAAATCTATTTTGCCTCTGTTCTATAAATGGAAAAATAAAGCCTGGATAATAGCACATCTGTTTATATCATGGAATACTGGATATTTTAAGCCTACTGTTGAGACCCACTGCTCAGAAGAAAGTTACTTTTCAAAACATAACTGCTCACTAACAATGCACCTTGTCATATCAGATCTTTTCTAAAGATGTACAAGGAAATTAATATTGTTTTCATACCTGCTAACATAATATTCATTCTGCAGTCCATGGACCAAGGAGTAATTTTGACTTTTCAAGTCCTATTATTTAAGAAATACATTTAATAAAGCTATAGCTGTCCTAGATAGTGATTCCTCTGGTGGATCTGAGCGAAGTAAATTGAAAACCTCTGGAAAGGAATTAGCATTCCAGATGCCAATAAGAACATTTGTGATTCACGGGAGGATGTCAAAATATTGATGTCAGAGAACTTTGAAAGACATTGATTTCAACCATCATTGATGATTTTGAGGGGTTCAGGACTTCAGTGGAGGAAGTAACTGCAGATGAAGTGAAAATGATGAGAACCAGAGTTAAAAGTAGATCTTGAAGATGTGACTGAATTGCTGCATTCTCATCGTAAAACTTGAAAAGATGAGGAGTTGCTTCTTATGGATGAACAAATAAAATGATTTCTGAGATGGAATCTCTCCGTGGTGAAGAAGATGTAAATATTGTTGAAATGGCAATAAAGGACTTAGAATATTATGAAAACTTGAGTTGATAAAGCAGTAACAAGGTTGGGGAGGATTGACTCTAATTTTAAAGGAAGTTCTACTGAGGATAAAATGCATTCAAATGGCATTGCATGCTACAGAGAAATCTTTTGTGAAAGGAAGAATCAAGCAATATTGCAAACTTTATTGCTGTTTTATTTTAAGAAATTACTGCAGGCACCCCAGCCTTCAGCAACCATCACCCTGATTGGTCAGTTGCCATCAACATCAAGTCAAGACCCTCCACCAGCAAAAGATTAGGACTCACCGAAGGCTCAGATGATTGTTAGCAATTTTTAGCAATAAAAGTGTTTTGAAATTCAGGTATACACATTATTTTTTAAACATAACGTTGCACACGTAGTAGGTTACAATATAGTGTAAACATAACTCTTACATGCATTGAAAAACCAAAAAATTTGTGTGACTTGCTTTGTTGCTACATTTGCTTTACTGTGGTGGTGGTCTAGAACCAAACCTTCAGTATCTCCAAAATATGTCTGTAAATTTAAAAGGGCACAATGTCAGGTGAAAGCCTGCCCCTTTTCCCTTCATGTTAGTAAAACTTCTCTTTCAGTGTGATTTTAATCTTTAAGGTAACATATGTCATTTACAACTGAATTTCAGGTACGTAGATTGGATAATAAAGGTGAAGGGTACAGCTTTGTGGTTTAAAAAAAAAAAGGTATGATGAGATTGAATTTTATGCCTGGATCATAACTTACTGTGAAGGGAATTTTTATGCCAGAAAAAAATGAAGAGTCAATATTTCTGAAGTAAGGATGAGTTTCAGGGGAGGAGGGTTCATAACTTCTATAAATACATAAATTTAAAAAAATCATAATAACCTGTTCAGTTCAGAAGAAATACTATTTACTCAAAGCTCTTCCAGATATTATTATTTATTTAAAACCATGTAACAAGGTGGGTAAACAATAAATATACATTCCCTGAGAAAAATAATTAGATGATAGTCTGGATACCATATTGATAAGGTGTTTGAGAGTTCCCTCTTTATCAATAAGACAGGAGGATAAATAATGCAAAATGTTTTATTCTTTTCAATATGAACTAGGTAACTGAAGTGGTTGGTGCACGGAGGACAATATGACTATATAAAAATAATTTTATTGTTCAGCCTAATTTCTACATCCCTAAGGGAATTGTTGTGGCATTGTTGTTATAATTACAACCTCTTTTGAAAAGGCAAGGTATTGAAATAAAATGAAATATGAATAAATGTCTCTAAAAAAGCCAAGAGACTGTAGGCACGTACCTTATTATTCTTGAGATTTATGTTTATGAAGTGGTACTTGATAATTGTGATTTGTGATATCAACAGAGTAGTTTCTAGTAGGCTCAAATTCTTGACGAGGTTAATTACACAATAGAAATTGTTCTTTTCCTGTTCACAAGTTGGCATCTTCGTTTCTGTCCACAAGCCCTTTCTTATTTCTACCATGTTGTTAAAACTGATTTTCTTTAACTTTCTCCTATGACACAGATCAACAGGGGAATCACTTCTATGAAAGGAGATCTTTAGAATGAAATCAACTGTGGAATGTTTTACAAATGTGGTTCAGTAAACTCCATATAATTTCCAAAGAAAATGATGCATATAAGAGCATCTTGGGAATTAGCATAAAAAACACCGTTTCACTTAGACTCATGCAAGAAGGACCTTTGGGAGAATAGGACTACTTTCAAATAGCCTGATGGAAAAAGAAATCTCTTACTGGGGTTCTAAAGAACAAAATTTGCATATTAATAGAAGATTAAAGTGCCCATCAAGTATTCTGAAGCAGTTACTTTCTCTTGTCTATTTTGTTCTTCACATAAACATCTTTCATAATAAAAAGAAACTTGTGCCTTTGCTGCTATTTCAATGAGTCTCCAAGGTTTCTTATTACAATAGAACAGATTTTTAAAATGTCTAAAACCCTTGAATAAAGCTCTTTGGATTTTTATTATTAACACAATAAAGGGGTTACTTTTAGGAAAAAATAGAACAGTTTAGAAGAAAGGACATATCAGAAATTTTTTTTTAAGAAAGACTCCCTCCACCAAAAAAATAGAAAAACAATATATACAACTAATAAATAAATATGAACTCAAAAGCTCTTATAATGAATAATATATATTTCAAAAATAAATTTTGGATGTAGTGACAACAAAAAGAGAAAAAGGAGACATTTACAGGTGGCAAAAAAGTCCTGTGTCACTCTAATAGTGTTCCATTGTGGCAAAAATACAATTGCATTTCTCATGTTAGTTTCTGATAATATCCTTGCAATATATTGCAATAAGATAGGTGTTCCTTAATCCACAAAATTTAAAATTCAGAAATATATTTGAAATAGAAAGTATAGAGCAAAATCAAGGAAATTTGTAAGGTAAGAGTGTGTGCCGAATTTTAGGCAGGAAACAGAATTTATTTATTTAACAACCAAGGATGTGGGAGTCAGAATAATATTCTGCACACTTCATGGGTTTCCCTCAATGTTTCCCTCTTTGTCCCCCTCCCCTGCCCATTTCTGTTTCTTTTGGTTTTACAGCTGCCTTCAAGTTCAAAGACCTGAGAGTATTGCCTTTCTACTGCTTTATCTGGAGTTTGAAAAGGAGCAGTCATACTCAGTCATATGAAACATAGTTTTTTTTCACTGATTTTAATATAAACGACTGCTATTTTTCAGATGAATTCTCTAAGCTGGACAATTTACTTTTTAAAGAATAGTATCTTTCTGTCTCTTCAATTAAGAATGTGTAGAATAAAAGTAAATCATATGTGGATTCCCTTTTCACACTCTCTCAGGGTCTTAAATATGAAATAACCATTTCCATGATGAGTAGGCTGGTATTCCCGTTCTATGAATGTATTATATGCAGCCTCAGCTTGAAAATGATACTTTTTACAATGGACTTTTGTGTGCCTGTTTGGTCTGTCTGTCCTGCTTTCAGTTCCTAGCCCTCTCTAACCCCAATGACAAATAAGACCAGAAAAGTGTGAGGACTAGAGCTATGAGGGCTTTGGAGAACTCATCTCACGCGGAAGTGCCCTTCTTTTCTCTCACTTTGAAGATGCTTGCACAGCGTACTTGTTAGCAGCACCAGGCATTCCTGGGCCCCAGCCTCAGCAACTTGCTGCCAGGGCACACTGTCTGGGGCATTCACTGAGCAGCAGCGCCAACTCTTGGCTGAATCTCAGTGCTCCCAAATATTCCCTTTTTGTTTGTTTGTTATTTTGCTTTTGCTGATCTAATTTTAGTCCTTGGACTTTCCTATCCTACCTTAAATATTTTAGTATTTGCTCTGGTTTCATGATGTGTTTCTCTCACTCAATCCCTTTTAGACCTAAAGGTGCTTCCAACTATGCTGCCTTTAAAAAAGGAAAGAAAAACCAGTCAAGACCCTCAAAGAAAGAAGTTTCCTACACAGACATTTCTTCCCATCTCTCTTTCTCACCGTGAGTCCTGTGGAGAGATTGATAGAACAGAGGCACTATCAGTATTTTTAAGAGTAATATTTCTATGACAAATACGTTTCTGGCTTGTAACTCTGAAAGACTTTCAGAAACCATTGTAAAGTCCTTTTGTGAGGGACATGCACCCAGAAATATTAGGTAGAAAGGAAACACAACAACCCAAAGTAAAACCTTAACTCTTTCATTGTTGCTCAGTGGCAAATTTTTACTTTAGTAATTTATTAACTTTATCTTGACAAAATTCCCACTATTTATGAATTAAAAGTGGATGAATCACAAAATGAAACATCAAGAAATAGTAGTAACCATTTGTTAAGGGTTTTTTTTTTTTTCAAGGAAATATGACTAAAAATCAGATATAATTATTTTGGCAAACATCTCAAATGACCTCGTAAATTTCAATGCCATTGGATTTGGTTTGCATCTTATTTGGATTTGACTCCATTGATTACTGCCATTGCTTGAAGTTCCCCTTTTTTGTCTTTCGAGACATCACTTTTTTTTTCCTGATGTTTCATCCCTTTCTAATAGTTCCTTATTTTTTTTTACTTTTTATCTACTACCACTAAGAGGACAAGGCCTACTATTAATATTAGCTACCATTTATTGAGCCTTCCTGCCATAGTGAAGACATGCTGGAACTCTACGAGGCAGATATTATTGTTATTATTACCTAACAAATGAGAAAATGCAGCTTAGAGAGTTTGAATAACACACAAAAGGCCACAGGTGGTGAGGTACAGATTTTCATTCAGGTCTGGTTGAGGCTAAAGTTCACCTTCTTGACCAGTGTGCAGCCATATCTGCCATGCCAGCTTTAGCCTACCTGGTAACTGTTGGTTGGGACTCTTCAAGGTGCTTTTCCATGCTTTCTTATTTTCTTATATTTCATTATTCCTAGGTAATTGTATGCATGCAGTGATTTTAACTCTACCCAGTATGTTGTTGGCTTCCAAATCTATAGTTATACCTGATTGATCACATGGCTGTGTACTGGTTTTCCTGTCCATTGGGCACATCCACCTACATGTTTTGCAAAAACTTAGGAAGAAAAAAACCCCAGAAGTGTAAAATTTTGTCTTTAAAGTCAGTTCCTTTCCCTGAATTCCCAAATTAAAAAATAATGATGTTGTTTACCCAAACCAATTTCTTCATTTCTTCCTTCCATTTTCTTCAGTTAATAGATTAACAAATTCAATAAATTCTCCTGAACATTTCCCACTATATTTTACCTAGCTTTCCTTCCCACATCTACTCTCTTTCTTCTGGTTCTCTTTATTGCAGGGCTGGACCGTTAATAGTATTATTAACATAAAATGAAGCAAGGTATGTTCATTGTAGAGAATCTGGAAAATGTGGAATTCAAAGAAAAGAAAACTAAAATTACTTGTTATTTTATTGGAAAAATACTGTGCCTATTTGATATATTTCCTCTAGCATATTTCTGTTGTTGCACACTAAAAATATTAGCTTCATACTCTGCATATTACTTCATAATTTTCTTTTATTAATGTGTCATTAACAGTTTCCCACATAATGATATTTTTCTACAATATGGTACCTAATGTCTGCTTTGGGTTTCATTATGAGGTTATTACACAATTTGATCAGTCCCCTATTGTCAGATAGATGAAATGTTTATGGATCTTCACACACTTAAATCAGTGTGCACATCTCATTAACTTTTTCGGGTACACCCCCAAAGGGATCAGCGTGTTTATGTTTTGTGTTTAAAAAATAAAATATTTTCTTGGAGTAAAAGTAATAGACATTATTTTGGATAAATCAGAAAACACATATTAGTGAAAAGTTATTACCATGTAACTCAAGAAAAAAATGTGTGTTTGCGCATGTTCTCACTCATAGGTGGGAATTGAACAATGAGATCACTTGGACACAGGGAGGGGAACATCACACACCAGGGCCTGTCTTGGGGTGGGGGGATGGGGAAGGGATAGCATTAGAGAAATACCTAATGTAAATGATAAGTTAATGGGTGCAGCACACCAACATGGCACATGTATACATATGTAACAAACCTGCACATTGTGCACATGTACCCTAGAACTTAAAGTATAGTAAAAAAAAAAAAAAGAGAGAGAGAAAAGAAAAAATGTGTGTTTGTTACAACCTGGTACATGTTATTTGGGACTTTATAGCTATGACAAATGAAATCATTCTGTATATAATATTAAAAATGTTTCTCAATTCTGTATGTAACTTTTCATTTCAAAAATATCAGTTTATAGGATGATAATGCCTAAAGTGTACATGATTTTGTGACTGTAGCATATTCTTGAAAAAATTTCTTATTGTTAAATATTAAGGAGGTGTTACTATAGTTAACCTTTTAATACCTATATTTTTGCAGGTAATTTTTTGCTTGTTTTCTTCTTTATTTCTTTAACATGATTTCTGAGAACAGAAATCATTGAGTCAAAAGGTAAAGGTGTTTTTTAAGACTTTCGATAAATATTTCCAATTTTAACAATATGACGGATTTTTTCTACTCTCTTAAGACATTTTTATAATTTATTTTCTTTCACTTCTTTTTCTTTTTTAACCAACTATATAGAAAACATCTCAATAATCTTAAATTTAAAATAATTTTATTTGTAAATAGACCGAATATTTTTCACAAGGTAATTGTCTATTAGTATTGCTTCCTTTGTTCTAATGAGTTATACTCATCCTTTAAAAATTGTATTTGAAGGTGCTCTTTAAATATTAAATAAGTGCTATTTTAAAAATATTGCAAATAGTTCATTTTTTTCCAAGTTTGTCTCCCTCCCTCCTTCCCTCCCTCCCTCCCTTCCTTCATTTCTTCCTTCCTTCCTTCCTTCTTTCCTTCCTTCCTTCCTTCTTTCCCTTTCCTCCCTCCTTCCTTTCTGTCTCTCTCTCTCTCTCTCTTTCCTTTTTTCTTTCTTCTTTTTGAGACAGTGTCTGTTGCCCAGGCTGGAGTGCAGTGGCACAATCATAGCTCACCGCTGCCTTGAACTCCTGAGCTCAATCAATCCTCCCTCCTCAGCCACCCAAGTAGATAGGACTACATGTGGTATGTGCCACCATGCCAAGCTAATTTTTAAATTTTTTTGTAAAGATGAGGTCTTGCTGTGTTGCCCAGGGTAGTCTCCAACTCCTGGTCTCAAGTGATCCTCCCACCTTAGCCTCCCAAAGCACTAGGATTACAGGTATGAACCAACGTGCTGGGCTCTGTCTCAAGTTTCTTAATTTTGTTGACGGTATTTGATAATGCATGCTAGTTAAAAATATTATGTAATGAAAGCAGTCTATTTTCAATTTGCCTTTCCTTTATTTTTTATCCATAGAAAGTCTCTACTGAACTGAGATAGATAAATTCTCACATTTTACTTTTCACTTTAACCTTTTAAATTTAAAAATGTATAAAAATCTTAATAAAAGTATTATAAGGATATAAAGGACTTTGAAAGATCTGATATTTTACCCTACATACAAACTATCAAGTTAGCCCAGCACAGTTTCATGGATGCTGGTAGAAGATTCCAGACTTCTGGGTCAGAGATGAACAATATATTACTCATAGCAATAGCAGTAGCCAGAGTCCCAGAATTATTTTTGTGCTACTTAATAGATCCTCAATTCCCACAGGGCAAAACAGAGAGAGGGAGATGGTACCTGTAAATGCAGGTGGTTGCATTACAGGAAAAAAACTTCTCTGAAAGTTATAGTCCATATAAGAGAATATGAGTCTTTATAATGGGCAATAAGCAGGCCTATAAGGAAGACATTGCATCTTCCAAGACTATAAGAAAACCTGCCCTATATAGGGGAAATACTATCTCTTTATGCCAAGGCTATTTGTTACACAAAAATTTTTTAAAGATAGTTATGGGACTTGCTACCCCAAAATATGGCACATTGGCATTTAACAAAACAGCTGAAGCAGGAAGCTCCCTCTGACCTTCTCCCACCCCTCTTCCCTGAAGCAGGTCAAAAAATAATTATCTGATCTTCCTCTAATGTATTAATAGGTCCTAAGATCCTCATGTAAGAGATACCCTCTCTATACTCAAAGAAAAGGAATGTTCTTGTCTCTGAAGACACAGAGACATAGAGAAGAATCTGAACAAACCTGTCTTGCTAAGTTTCCCCCCAGTTTATTACTATTAGATTATATCCTCTTTGTCCAATCATACTCATGCCTTACTGTCAACTATTCATCAAAACTAAGCATAAAAATACACAGGTTTCCCTGTTTCTTTGATTCTTCATTTCTGAAGACTCCCATGTCTTGTAAAATTATATTAAATAAATTGGTATCCTTTTCTCTTGTTAGTCTGTCTTTTGCTTGAGGAGTCTCAGACATGAACCTAGCAATGTGTGAGAAAAGAAATTCCTTCTCACTTACCACAGTTTGCAACTAAGGTTAGCCAGTGTCTTCCTTGTGAGATGAGTTGAAATATGAATTATCAATAGATGATTGTCTTACAACAAAACAAAACGGCTAGTAATCGACATACAACACCATATAATACAAAACAAAATTCATTCTTCTACCTCTTTTGCTCCCAAATCCCAATCTTCAAACAAAATTATTTTGGCTTGTTCTTAGCTTTTCTCACAAATATGGAAAACTTCCATATTTCTAAATAGCATCTTGATATTGTGTATTATTTTTAATAGATTAAATTATGTTGTGGTAACAAACTGACAAATCCTAATGAATTAAAACAAAAATTCTGGGTATGTTTTCTGCAAAAAAGTTTTATTTTTTCCTTTATAATATTTTTATACCTTTTATTTCTTCTTGTTTAGACAATTTGTTTTTTTAGTACAATTATGTCACATATAAGTTTGTCTTTTATCTTAGTGTAGTTTACTCTTTCAATAGTTAATATTGGAATATATTTATCCATTATTTCTCTACAATTTAAATATTACTGGGCACCTTGTATATTATCTGGCAACACTATGTGGTTGTCCTATGAGGCTTGTCTGTAGGAGTGGCCTCACAAAAAGGTTTTATAGTGGATACTGATAGAAATTCAGAGGATTCAAATGTTTTTATTTTAATTTCTTATGTTAGGATTTCTAGACAATGCAGATGGTTTAAGCTAATATCCCACAGCCACATTTGGTCTGTGTCGAGTTATTATGATTTTTGTAGCTCCCCCCGCCGCCCCACAAATGGCCTTGTTGGCACCTGGCACCCTGGCCATTTTTCCTAGATTAGTTAACAAGGTGCTATAATGTATATATGGGTCTCAATTCCTTCACCCTGCCTCAGCTTCCTGAGTAGCTGGGATTACAGGCAACTGCCACCACACCTGGCTAATTTTTGGATTTTTAGTAGAGGTGAGGTTTCACCATGTTGGTCAGGCTGGTCTTGAACTCCTGACATCAAGTGATCCACCTGCCTTGGCCTCCCAAGTATTGGGATTACAGGCATAAGCCACTGCACCAGGCCTACTTTTATTTCATTTAAAGATTTGTTTTTTATTAAGCATTTCTAAGTATTTAGTAGAAGAAAGCCACATCAATGTCAGTCTACCATATGCTCTGTTATTGTTTTTTCTGAAGCTCAGTTTTCTCTTATTATTGGATATAATAATAGTGTTTCCTTTATGAAGCTGTCAAAATTAATAGGTTCATTAATGAAAAAAATCATATACTGCCTTAAGCATAGAATGTAGTTGATAATGAATCAGGTTTCTCTACATTCTCAAATTTTTCTTCTATTTCAGTGTAGTTTTCTCTTTCAATACCTTTTGCAATTTTTGGTTCTGCTCCAGAATCAACAGTTTCCTTATATTCTTGCCCTATTTTACTTAGCTCTTTTTTCAAAAATTTCTCCCTGCCCTTCAGCCAGTTGCTTTTTTATATTTTATGGTTCATTTTTATTTTGGAGAGCAAATATGCTCTTGGATTTAAAAGACAGTACAAACAGATGCTATAGGAAATTTGCTTCCTTAGTAAATGTTTTCCCAAAGCAGATTTTCTTTTTTAGTGCTATGCTTTTCTCTTTTTTTCTTTCTTTCTTTTTTGTTTGTTTGTTATAAAAATTTTCGCTCAGTTTTGTGTAAATCACTCTTACTGATTCTTGATTTTGGAATAATGTGTCTATCTGGTAAATGCCTCAAAGAAAAATGTCTGTATTATTTCTGGATCCAAGACCCTGTCCTTCAGGATCTTGTTAGAATGACCTTCTCAGATATTCATAGAACTGCATGTCAGTTTGATGATCTAGCAACAGCTGGAAAGAGTGTGGATTCTCCCAGAAGAGCAAATTTGTCTCTCTCTTCAAGCTTTCTTCCTAATTACCGAAACCCAATGAGCAGATTTTCATAGTTTTCTGTTTGGCTTGATCTTCTTCTAGGCCTTTATCTTTGCAACCCCAAGAAAAAGCTCCACTGTGTTTATTTCTGGAATAGGTGTAGTTGTCCCTACCCATCTGTTTGGCTTACCTTACCTACATTGCTTTGTCCTGCAAATAAGGAAACATTCAATGTAAAGTCAGCCATTAGAATTTATTGGGCATCCATGAAGTACAGACCACACAATTAGGTATTAGAGGAAGAACATTGCTTGTTTTCTTTTCGCTATCATCTTTAGTTTCGTTAATGTGTTAACAAGACAAGTTGAATTCACATAAAATATTAACATAAACTACATTTGTTATAGTGTCTATGACCTGTCTTATCCTATTTGCTTTTACTTTTTATCTATCTGCTCTGTAAAACAAAAAGTATCAATAAAACAGGGAAGAAGGATTGACTATACCAATCACAATGCTGGGACTTTCTATCTTAAATCAGTTCTCATGTGGGAATTTTTGATGTTTAATTTCCCAAGTAACAGTTTAGATAGAGGAATACTATGCTCTTCTTTGACACCTCCTTATATATTTCCTGATCTTCTGTCACTTTTTCTAGACATATATTAAATCATCTCATTAAAGAAGGTTAGTTCAGTTATTCAAAATTTTAAAATTACGTTTAGATCAATTCAATGTCTGAATTATATCAATTTTATTTCACCACTTTGATTCCTGCCAAATAATATTATTAACTGGAGAGCTATGGAACTAGAAATATAGAAAAATTTCACTTCAGTTCATTTATATTTTCTTCAATGGAATTCCTTTAAAAATAGGGTTAGTATCAATGCAGGATATAAAAATTTATAGATTTGGAATATACAGGATATGACAAAAAGAAAAATTCTCATCCATAATTCCTCAAAACAGTAGTTATCATCTTTGCATAGCCATTTCATCAATTTTCTGTGAACAAGTATACATTTATATTTTTGCAAAATATTAGAACACTATATAATGTTTTCATATAAACAGCTACTTACACTAATAAGATACCACAAATATTCTTCCATGTTGTTAGGTATTCCTTTATGACCTTAATTTAAATGGATGCATTGCATTTTATTTAACCAATTTTATACTGAGGATATTTTAGGTTCTTTCCATATTTTCTTCATTTTAAACATAACTTCCATGGACATTGTTTTTTAAACACAGTTGTAATTCTATAGAGTAAGTTTCTCAAAGTGGAATTCCTGGGTGAAAGGGGATGCACCTTGCATAAGACTTGTGCCACAACACAAAACTGCTTCATTTCCCTACTGCAAGGGTGCAGCAACCTCTGCTCTCTCTAGCAGCTTCCTGCTAATTTTTAAAGGGACCTTGTAAGGTTTTTAATATAGAAAATAGTGTTGGTGAATTTAGAGCTGTTATTTATTAAAAAGTCACAAGGAATATCTGGGCTATATATAAAGAACTTCCTCTTTTCTGATTAAATTGTCAGTCCTACTAAGAATGGGGTAAGAGCAATTACTTCTTATTTTATCTTTTTCTACTATTCATATTTCACAGTACTTTCATTCAGAAGATAGGCAGAAGCATATGATATTTTCCCTTCCCTTACAAGCTCATTCAGTAGAATAAATGTACACATACAATGTGTTAGAAATTTTTATCAATATTCGATTAGTGTCTAATTTGTTTTTATATGAACCCTGAATACTAAAAGACTCTTGTGGCCTAGAGCGAATTGACAAAGGCAGAGGGGTCATACAATGGGATTTAATTGGAACTTTAAGGCTAAATTGATGTAAATGGACTAGATGGAGGTAGGCCAGAAGCTGAGTTCCGCATGAGCAAAGCTTCAAAAATGGGAAATGGGCAGGGAGTATTCAGGGTATGCTAAGGAAAGGAGCTAACAATCTCAGATTTCCTGCTATGTTCTGATGTCTACGCCGGGCACTTTATTCCAAACAACTCTATTGGTTTCATTATTCCCATTTCACTGTATCTCAGGGAGGTTCAAATACTTCCTTGCCCAAGCATATCTGCATATGGCTCACAAATGGTTATTCACTCAAATACATGGTTTGCCTTAACTTCAGTCTAGTTCAACATGAAGTATCAGCTGTTGCCTTAGGGATTTTTTGGGTTCTCTGGAGCAGTTAGTGCTTCTTGTATCACAACTGCTTGCTCATTCTAAGTCTGGCATCCAGACATTGTAATGGTCAAATATTGGGGAATCACAAGTTGGTGCTGTAGTGCTGAAGTGACACATGTCTCCATAGAACTAGTAAGTATCAACAAGGTGCTTTATTTGAGTTAAATTTATAGTTCCAACAAAACTAGAAAGTCATCACTTGATTTGGTCAGTGGCAAAGTAAGCACTGACACAATTATACCTTCTAACATTAGGAACAAGTGAGGTAGAGGGAGAGTAAGCAGTTGGCTGGACTTCAGGCAACAGGGCAAGTTCAGATTAGTTGTCTTCATTGCAGTAAGAGCCAGGACATTTTCTCCTAGTTAAACTGCTAAGTGAAGGGTATATTGTCCTAGTCATTAATCATAGCCAAGCCCATGTGTGTAGAAACAAGCTATGTTACTAATGATGTCAGAATTGCAAAACTATTTTGTAATATAAGCCATGATTCCAACCCGGTATATTGATGGTAATGCCATACTTTCTGCCCACACCCACTGTGCCCACCTTGAGTACACCAGCCTGAACTCCACAAAGGATTTTGTTTGAATTAAGGGAGATAATGCTGGAAAGTTCAGGTAGGGTGAAATTATAGAGCCCTTACAATGTTGAACTGGAATTTTACAGACCTGTCTCTTCTTGTTGAGAGGCTTCCAGTTTAATCTCACACTGGGCTATTTTCTAGCTTGCTTGATCATTAGATTCACAGAGGGTACTTGTTAAATGCATTTCCTGGCTCTACTCTGAAAATTCTGATTCTGGGAGTCTGGGGCAGAACTGGGCAATCTGAATCTTTTTTTTTTTTTTTTTTTTTTTTTGAGATGAGTCTTGCTCTGTCGCCAGGCTGGAGTGCAGTGGTGCAATCTCAGCTCACTGCAACCTCTGCCTCCCGGGTTCAAGTGATTCTCCTGCCTCAGCCTCCCGATTAGCTGGGACTACAGGAGCATGCCACCACACCAGATTTTTGTATTTTTAGTAGAGATGGGGTTTCACCACGTTGGCGAGGATAATCTCAATCTCTTGACCTCGTGATCCACCCTCCTCGGCCTCCCAAAGTTCTGGGATTACAGGCATGAGCCACCGTGCCCGGCCTGAATCTTTAACATGAGCTTCAAGTAATTTTTTAGAGAGAATGTTTGAGAAGCTCACCTCTCCTGCTAGTGTGGATATATACTCCGTCTTCAATCCAGATAGGATACTATGTCTTGAGCAGTTCCTGTGAGAAAGGTGCTATGAGAGAAAAAGAGGAATACAGTTGGGTTCCTGCCTTCAAGAAGTTTCCTTTGGTAATCGAAAGATATCGCTTGCCTCTTTCTGAACTACATGTAATAACCTAGTCATATTATTAAGAGAAAACCTGATTATGATTTGATTTTCTGGCTTTACAAAGAAATACATTTAAAAGTACTGATTACTGTGCACTTGGTTAAAAAAAGATTTAAAGGGTCTCTTTTCTTCACTTTGTGTGTTTTCCATATTTAATCTGAATTTTAATTGTTCTAAATATAAAATTATTTATATTAAACACATAATCATAATATTTATATTTCTATGGTAGTTACGGATTAGAGTTACATAATTCTCTGAATTATGAAAGAGAGGCCAGATAAAAACAATTCTGTTACTTATCTATTTAACTAAGCCATCTGATGCTTAAAACCTCATTTTGAAGGTATTGTAGAAAGCAAGGAATATTTTAATTTTAAATTCAAAATCTGGCATCATAGCTCTTTTTTTCCTTAGTTACACAGAAAATATATGGCCCTCAAACCTCTGTATTTCACTGCTAGCCCAGCTCTGTAAATGTGTCATAGTCTTGGGTTTGCACAGAGAGTATTCCTTGGGGCCATTTCCACCAAACTAAAACGGTTCCCAAATGAAATACAAATCACCACTGAGATTGTGTCTACATGTGCAAAGTTAACTGAAAAATTGTGATATGCATATCCAGGCCCCAAACATCTTTGCTTGAAATATTCTGATATTTGAGGTGATAAACATGTATTCTAGCCATCAGAAGGGACTCACAAATCCTGTAATCTATTCATTTTTAAACTCATAAGCTAAAAAATCTACATTTTCTTTAATAAAAACACACATTTTAACCTGAAGTATCCAGATAATTTTCTTACTCTTTCATTTCATTTTGCTTAAGGTCCTGGCCCCATTTTAACATCTGACATCAACAGCTTTTCTTGGGCATCTGCAGTCTGAATTGGTAACACTGTTTTTTCTATTTTGAGAAACTGTGAAGCTTAGATTGGACTCGACTGAATATAGTGTGTCATGTGATTCAGATCCCTGGGTGTTAAGCATACGACCTTTGAAACTTGTTATGTTCTCAGCATTCACCTTCACTCTCCTGATTTGAGCACCTTCCAGTTTATTCTTCACTATTGGCTTTTCTGTTCAATTTAGTTTAGTCTAATGTTCTTCTGATTTTTTTCCTTCTAAAGGAGAAGAACTAATGCTCTAATTTAGAGGACTCAAGTGCCATTTTTGCCCATTCTTCATCAGAGATTGCACTATTCAGGTACTTTGCTTTTTTTAGATGAATGCCCTAATTTGTTCCTGTTATACAGTGGAGAAATCTTAGTTTTATATTAAAAAGGTCTCATCACCAGCCTCAGACACCTTGGAATATGGAATACAAAGAAACTACCATTGAATGAATAAAAAGGTTTCTGACTTTAGGAATGAAAGCCCATAAAATAGAAGGTCAAAATTAGCTTTTTTTGAATAGATAATCAAGGAGAACCTCCAAAGCTAACCTGAGTCATGTCTGTGTTCCAAAGATGGTTGAACTTGAAATCACGATTTACTAAGTTTTGCAAATAATGACAAGAAGGAGTATTTGAGAAACAAAATATATTGACAAATAAATGGAGTCAATGTTTAAGTTAACCTTTTACAAGTCATATTTTAAATTATTAAAATCTATTTTCTTTGTACTGAACTTAGCATTAGGATGAAATAACTTTCTGTTTAGTATTAGACCATATTTGACTAAAACCAAATTCAAATGTTTTACGTGATACTTTCTTTGTTTCTATCCATATTTAATGAAACAAACCTAGGCTTTGGGAACTAAGAAAATTTAGAGATTTTCTTAGTAATTTCCAGTCTTAGAGGCAGATCACTGAGTGGTGATGAAGGATCATTTATAGTCATAGCAGGGAAAAACAACAGCAGAATAAAAAATTACTAATTTGTTTAAAATATGTTTAGAAGATGTGAGCCATTAAAATCAGGTTTCTAATATTCATCAGAGTTTATTTTCCCCTTTTATTTTTAATTGGAACATACTTGACATAAAGCAAAACACACAGATCTTAAGTGTACAATATGGTAAGTTTTGGCAAATGCAGCCATCTCTGTTAGCCACTTCTCTATCAAAGTATAGAATACTTTTATAAGCTAAGAAAATTCTTATGTCTCCTTCCAAGTCAATCCCCCTCCCCAACCCAAATGGGCAATCACTGTTTTGATTTTATTACCAGTTTAGTTTGCTGTCCTAAAATTTTATATAAATGTAATTATGTGGTAATACTCTTTTGTGTCTGGTTTCATCCATGTTGTTGTAAATATCAGCTTGTACATTTTTATTGTTGAGTAATAGTTGTTTGAATATGCCACAATTTGTCTGTGAATAGGCAGTTTACAAAAAGATTTTGGCTTTTATGAATAGAGCTGCTATGATCACTGTTATATCTGTCTTGGCTGTGGATATTAGCTCGATTTCTTTTGGGTACATAGCTAGGAGTGAAATTGCTGGACCAAACTTATATTTACTCTTCAACTTTATAAGAAATTTCCATAGAGTTTTCTAATGTAGTTGTACCATTTTTCATGTTTACCAACAATGCATAAGAGTTCAATTTCCTCTTTATCCTTGCCAAAATTTAAGGTTTTCAATATTTTGATAGCTATTCTTTTGAGTAGATAGGGACATCTTACTGAATTTAATTTGCATTTCCCTGCTGCCCAATGATTTTTGAGAATTATTAACTGCTTACTGCATATTTGTGAATCTCCCTTTGTAAAGTTTCAGTTTAAGGTCTTTTATCCATTTTTAAATTTGCTTTTTTTGTTTTTGTTAATTATTATTAAGTTGTAGACATTCTTTGTATATTCTAGATTAGGGTTCTTTTAAAAAAAAAAAATTGAGATGGAGTCTCTCTCTGTCACCAGGCTGGAGTGCAGTGGCACAATCTTAGCTCACTGCAACCTCTGCCTTCCAGGTTAAAGCAGTTCCCCTGCCTCAGTCTCCTGAGTAGCTGGGACTACAGGTGCATGCCACCACACCCAGCTAATTTTTGTGTTTTTAGTAGAGACGGGATTTCACCATGTGAAATCCAGGATGAAAGCCAGGGTGGTCTTGATCTCTTGACCTCGTGATCCACCCGCCTCGTCCTCCCAAAGTGCTGGGATTACAGGCGTGAGCCACCGTGCCTGGCCTAGATAAGGATTCTTTTACAAATAAATGTTTTACAAATATTTTACCCAATCTGTGACTTGCCATTCATTTTGGTAGTGGTTTATTTTAATGAGCAGGAGTTTTTAATTTTGGTGAAACCCATTTCATCAATTATTTACTTTTAGGGATAGTGTGTTTCCTGTGCTTGGTATAAAAACATTCATTACATATTCCAGGTCATAAAAATATTTTCCTTTTTTTTTCCAGAGGTATTAGAGTTTTAGTTTTTTTACTTATAATGTCTATTAAATCAAATTTATAAATGGTGTGAGTTTTTCCCAGCACTTTTTTTCCCAGCACTTCCACTTTTTCCCAACACTATTTGTTGGAAAGCTTTCTTTTTTCATTAAATTGCTTTGAAACAGTTGTCTTAGGTCAAGAGCAGGTATATTTCTAGAGTTTTTATTTAGTTCCTTTTATCCGTTTGTCCATCCTTAGGCCAACACCACACTGATTTGGTTTTTAGAGCTTTAAGAGCATTAAATTACATTTTGTAAATCCTCTAATTTGTTCTTCTTTTCCAAGATTGATTATTTTCCCTTTACATCCTTTGCATTTTCAAATAAATTTTAGAAACAGCTTGTCAATTATGTAAAAATGTCTGCTGGGATGCTGATCGTGATGATAACATATCTGCAGATCAGCTGGGGAAAGAATTGTCTTCATAACAATACCAATATTTCTGTTTATGGCATATTTCTTTATTTGTTTTAGTCTTTATTTTTTTCAGCATAGTTTTTATAAACATAATAGTGAAGCCTTGTACAACTTTCACTGAATTTATTGTTAAAGGTATGTGTGTATAGATTTGCTTTTAGTTATTCAAAAGGACATTTTAAACATTGTATTTTCCAATGCTTACTAATATATAGAATTAGAATTTATTTTTAAAATACTGACATCATGTATGATGATGTATTAAATTAATTAGTTGTAGTGTTTTTTATCTAAAAAATTTTACTTAGAATTTTTTATGTAAAGCAATCATATTGACTGTGAATAAAAAGAATTTTATTTCTTGCTTTCTGAACTTTATACTTTTATTGCTGGTTCTTACTTTATTGCACTGTGAGATTCTTCCAGTAAATTATCAAATAGATGAGAAGTTTGGGTGAGCATCTTAGCCTTTTCTCAGTCTTAGGAGGAAGTCGTTCAATATTTCACCACTAATTGTGGTGCTAACTGTAGACTTTTTTTTTTTTTTTTTTTTTTTTTTTGAGGCAGAGTTGCACTCTTGTTGCCCAGGCTTGAGTGCAATGGCACGATCTCGGCTCACTGCAACCTCCGCCTCCCGGGTTCAAGCGATTCTCCTGCCTCAGCCTCCTGAGTAGCTGGGATTACAGGCATGCACCATCACACCTGGCTAATTTTGTATTTTTAGGAGACACGGGGTTTCTCCGTGTTGGTCAGGCTGGTCTCAAACTCCCAACCTTAGGTGATCCGCCCCCCTCAGCCTCCCAAAGTGCTGGGATTACAGGTGTGAGACACTGTGCCCAGCAACTGTAGACTTTTCATAGATGTCTTTATCTGACTGAGAAGTTTTCTTCCATTTCTAGCTTGTTGAGAGTTTTTAATCATTAATTGTTGCATATTGTAAATAATGTTTCTGTAGCAATTGAGATAAGCATATATATTTTTTCTTCATTCTGTTAATATAGATTATAAATTATAATCAATATAATTTATAATATGTATGTTGTATTGATTTTTTAAAAATATTTTGAACTCACTTTGTACTTCTGGAATCAACCCCATTTGGTTATGTGGTGTTATCCTTTTTATATGTTGCCAAATCTTATTTGCTAATATTTTATTAAGACTTTTTGTGGCTATGTTATTTGTTCTCTAATATGCTTGTCAGGTTTTAGCGTCAGGATGATTAGTTGTGAAATACTTTTTCTGCTTCTGTATTTTGAAAAAAGTTGATGGTATTGGTATTATTTCTTCATCAAGTGTTTGCTAGAATTTATTGTGCCTTCACATTTTCTGTGTGGAAATGCTTTAATTCCAAAAGCATTTTCTACAAAAAATACAGGAACATACAGAGTTTCTATTTCTTCTTGTATCAGTTTTGGTAATTATTATTTTGATAATTTATTTCTTTCAAATAACATATCCATTTCCTCTAATTTGTCAAGTCTATTGGAATAAATGTGTGCATAATATATTCTTATCTTTAATATCTATAAGATTTGTCATGATGACCTCTTCACTATTTCTATAATTGATAATTTGTGTTTTATTTTTATGTTGGTTTAGCTAGGGGTTTATCAGTTTTATTAATCATTTCAAGACAACCTATTGTTTTTATGTATTTTTCTCTCTGAACTTTGTCCACTATTTTGATATCAGCTATTACCTTTATTATTTTCTTCATTTTCTTTTACTTACTGAATTGAATTTTCTCTTCTTTTTATAGCTTCTTAAGGTGGGAAGTTTTAGTTAAAATCTTTTTTAGCAATAAAATCTTTATACAATTTCTATAATCTTCCCTCGGATTTTCTTTTAAAGATTATTATTCATTTGGAAATGCCTTGTAATGTATCTTGAGAATTTTTTCTTTGATCCATGGATTATTAAGGAGTGTTTTTCTTAATTTGTAAATATTTGGGCAATTTTCAGGTGTATTTTTGCTACTAATTTCTATTTGAATCTTACTAGGTCAGAGAATATGCTCTGTGATTTTAATTCTTTAAAAATATTGAGACTTGTTTTATGGTCCAACTTATGGTCTATTTATGTTGGTGAATTATTTATGCAGACTTGAAAAGAATGGGCATTATGTATTAATAGATGCTGTCCTCCATAACTATTAGGTCAAATTGATTCATAATGTTTTTCAAGTATTATATTCTTACTAACTTTTTATCTACTTAGTCTATCAATTAATGAGGGCAGAATTAAAGTCTCTAACTATAATTGTGTATTTATGTGTATTTCTCTTTAGTTTTTTGAGTTTTTTGCTCCACGTATTTTCATGCTCTTTTAATAGTGTAATTAGAATGTTTTTGCTTTTATGGTGAACATATTCTTTTATGATTATGAAAATCCCTTTTACTCTTGGTTAATATTTTATGTCTTGAAGTGTATTTGCCTAATATTAGCATAGCTTCTCCTGCTTTCTTATGCTTACAGACTATATGGTATATCTTCTTCCTTTCTTTGATTTTCATCATCTCTGTACTTGTTTATTTAAAGTAATTTACTTATAAACAGCATATGTTTGGGTTACTTTTAAAAACTGCTGTGACAATTTCTGACTTATAATTGGTTTCACACATTGACTGTAATTTTACTGTGTATCTACTGAAATTTTAGTATGGTTAGGTTTCAGCCTACTGTCCTGTATTTATTTTCTCTTTGTCCTGTTTGCTCATTGTTACCTTTTATTCCCCTCTCCTGGCTTTCTGGCTGCTTTTAAGTACTGTTTTCTATTCTCTGAATTGGCTTTTTAATTTAACTTTTTGAATTTTTATTTTTACCAGGTCCTTTAAGGGATCCAATATGCACACTTATCAAATACTACCCTGAATATCACATCATTCCATGTATTAAAACTTATGATATTATAGTTTTATTTACTTGACTTCTGTCCTTTGTACTGTTGTTGGCATACATTTACTTCTATATATCCTATAAAGCCCATAACATATGACTTTTATTTTGGTTTTTAATTATCTATTATTTTGTAAAGAAACAACAAAATGAGGAAAAGCATCTTACATTTGCCACAGTTTAATCATTCTGCATTCTTCATCTCATTGCTGAGTTTTTCTTCAAATTGAATAACTTCCCTTATGATTTTTTGTGTGCAGGTCTGCTCTTTTTGTGAGAAATTTTCCCAGCTTGTGTTTATCTGAAGATGCATTAATTTTGATTTTGTTTTTTAAAGGTATTTTAACCTTTAATTCTTAGATACAGAATTTGAAGTTGAGAGATTTTTTTTCCTCCCAGCACTTTGAATATTTCTTCCATTGTCTTTGACTTGCATTGTTTCTGATAAGAAGTCAAATGTTGTGGTTAGTCCCCTGTTTATAAAGCATTCTTTTTCTCAAGCTGTGTGTTGAACACATCCTTTTAGCATTGGGAAATGACTTCTTTAGCATCATGAAGTCCCCTTTCCTTAGGCTATATCTATGGTTTTTATAAAATTAATGATTATTTGCCTAGATTTAGTTATTTTATAGTTATTATTCTTATGGCTTGTTAAATTTTTTTGACTTGTGTGTTCAAGTTTTTTTTAGTATTTGGACAATTTTAGCCATTTGAATTTTTTTTGGCATTAATCTCTATATCCTCTCTTTCTGATATTTCAGTTACTTATGTGTTGGACTACTATATATTGTTTCACAGGTCCAATATAGTTATGGACATATCTGTTATTCCTTGGTGGATGTATTAGTCTGTTCTCACACTGCTAATAAAGACATACCTGAGACTGGGTAATTTGTAAAGCAAAGAAGTTTAATTGACTCACAGTTCCACATGGCTGGGGAGGCCTCCCAATCACGGTAGAAGGCAAATGAAGAGCAATGTCATGTCTTACATGTCAGCAGGCAAGAGAACTTGTGCAGGGGAGCTCCTCTTTATAAAACCATCAGATCTCATGAGACTTATTCATTTATAAGAAAAGCAAGAGAAAGACCCGCCCCCATAATTCAGTTACCTCCCACCAGGTCTCTCCCATGACGTGGGCATTATGGGAGCTAACATTCAAGATAAGATTTGGGTGGGGACACAGCCAAACCATATCAGTGTATTTTTGATTGGTTTTTGCTTTGTGTATTTTGAATCTGTATTAACAGAAACACAGCTTTTTAGGATTTTGATACCATCATGCTCTGCTACATTACTTGGTTTTCAAATCACCACTCTAGCTAAAGCCAAAACCTTGATTTAACTGTGAACAGTTTACTAGGTTCCAGATTTTATTTTCTCCTATAGTAATGTAGAAACTTGTGACCAGTAATCACAGCTATGTTGATCACTGTCCACTCAGAAACATGAAGTTGCAACCCATTTGATGTTATGTATTACTGTTTGTCATTCAATTCCATCTCTTACTGTGCCCAACTTACTGGTAAAAAACCCTGAAATATTATATTTGCCTAATTCAACCTTTATACTCTTAGGTTTTTTTTTGGTCAGTGTGTATTACAGTCCTAACCACTTCCTTTGTGATACTGTGGGATGAGTATCAAATTGGAATAGTTCTTTCTAGCTCCCATTCAATATGGTCTTAGTTTTGTCATTGTCTGTATTGCTAAGTTTCCTCATAAATATGTGTCTGAGGTATGAGAATATTTCTTTTTATTTGGCTTGACACCAAGTATTTTCCCAAGAAATATTTGTAATTGATTGAATTAACAAATTAGTTAACTCAGAAATTATCTTTTTTTTTTCTGTGTAAGGAGTTATTGGTGACCAAAAGATGGCTGTGCTTTTAAGTGACTGGCCATTCACTTGGAGCCAATTTTTCTGCCTTGTATTCCATGCAGACTATTTACTAGGAAGCCTGAGATAAGTAAGTGGTTAGGGAACTCAGAAATATTAACAATCTTAATGAACCTGCACAAATGTGACTGACCCTTTGAATTAGATAGGAATCAAATGTCAGGTGTAGAATTTTAGTGGAAAAGATACAACAGAAATCCTGCTTGTTCTTGATTACTCTATCTTGGCTTATATAAGTTAATTAATATTTTCATAGTAATAAACTAGCTTCTACAATTTCATGCACCAGTTCTCACTGTTCTTTGTCAAGCTTAAAAAAAATTATCTGCTATGTAAGGACATTTCCATCCCTCTTCCACCAAGAGAAACCTCTTAGTTGATGGTAGTTGATTCTTTCTAGTTCACTTTCACCAAGACAGCCCCTGATTGGCTAGAAGTGGTTAAATGTCACAATTTATCTTTATCTGTAACATCTGATCAAGGCTTATTGGTAGTGTATTTCAGGTCAAAGAAAGCATTTTCATGATAAGTTATATGGAATAGTTTGGCCCAATCCACTGGAAAATGGTAGCAGTTATTCGGGATATGTAAAGTCCCTCTTCCTTCCTCTAAAGTAAGCTTTAACTCCCAAGTCAGCACAACTTGGACAGTGTACCTAGTGGTTGTGTGGTGAAATCAAGAGATCTGATGTGTTGCACTGTGAAAAAGCTTAAACACATACAAACTCTTCAAAATCAAATTATTGGGATTGATCGAATTCAATAAATATCACAAAATATATGTTTATGTTTACTGAGGATCAGCAAATTATTTTCTAGGTCTTATAATGAGTCACTCATATTTTAGAAAAATATTTACAGCAAAATGATTATGAATTAAAAAAAAGAAACAAAACACTGTTTCTTCTGCTATTATGAATGATACCTAGTCTATTTCCATCCTGAAAGTAATTAATTAGAAAGTCAAAATTAGGACAGTTATTTGCAGTTACATCCTGCAATCATTAAATAATGCTCTTATTGAACTTTCCTTGCCAACAAGGAAATAAATTCTTATAACTTATTATGACTTCCACATATAATCTTGAACAATGACCAATTAACAAAGAAGAGCTTGAACTTAAAACACTGCAAATCGATTCAAAGTTTAAAATCTCCTGATATTACATACATCTGGAACCACTGTTAGGTACATGATTCATTTAAAATTTTAATTTTATCAAAGGGAAAATTTTTTCTACTTGTACAGAGTTTTAACTTTAGAAATAACCTTAAGATTAACTTGGGGAGTATTCTTTTTCCAAAAATATCATTTGTAAAAAGATCACAATACAAAAATTGTTAGTCTTATATACTAACAACATAACAATGTTGAGTAGCATATACAACCAATATAAAACGAATTTAGACTAAATGATACTCTAAGTTTTGATCGCTTTGTCAAGATCATTTAATCAAATTTTCTCTACTATGTGACTATGCAGGTTTGCCTAGAAAACTTCAGCAACAGGTACCTTGGAATCTGATGTGATATGAGCAACTTTATTAGCTTTGTCTGTTCTTGTTCCCATCTATAAAAACATGGTTTTGTAATAGTACACAGGTATAAAAATAAAATCATTAAAATAGATTTTACAGGCTGTAACTTATTCACTGCACTATCTCTAAATGCCTGACTCAACAGGTACTCAATAAGTACTTGTGGAGTGAATATATAAAAATCTGACTTTTCTGTTAATATTCAGAGCTTAATCATTACTTGTTACTTATAAATTAGCAATTGGCATTATTATTATTTTGTTAATGCTATTTTGTTAGGCTTGTTTAATCCAGCTTTTCACAGGTAGTAAAAATTGTTTGAGGATTTGTTCAGTACCCTGCAGACATTTATGGTTCAACTTACGAGGTGAGGCTTTAGAGGACAGAGGAAGAAAGAGATGTGCTTTTCTCCAGCTTTCTGAACCGGCCCTTTCCAACACCCCTAAAAGAAACCCTGCACCTATTAGCAGTCACTCCTAACTCCACCCTCCCTGATCCTCTGGGATTTATCTATGCTCAGTCTCTATGAATGTGCCTACTATGGATATTTTATTTACATAGAATGATATGTACATACAATCAATTATTACATGACCTTTTATGCCTGGCTTTTTTCACTTAGCTTTCAAGTTTCATCCATACTGTACCATGTATGAATACTTCATTCTTTTACATGGCTGAATAATATTATATTTCGTGAGTATATCTTGGTTAAAGTTTATGTCCTTATCCTTGTTTTTCCCATCACATTATCATTTACTTTTTAAAAAAATTGAGATCGAATTCACTGAACTTGAAATTGATCTTTTAATCATTTTAAAGTGTACAGTTATGTGGTTTTTAGTATATTTCCAATGCTGTACAAACATCACCACTGTCTCCATAGATTTTTCTAGTCTGGATATTTCATATAGATAAAATCATACAATATGTAGCCTTTGTGTCTGGCTTCTTTCAGTTAGCATCGTATGTTTGACGTTCATCTATGTTGTATGCATTGATGTAGAGATTTTGAAATATGTCTTGAGAATTAGATGATCCTAAGAAAACTGGAACAAAGTAGATGGCAGAGTGACTGACTGTAAAACTAATATGAGACACATGAACAAAGCTAACTCATATTGAGGACAAACAAGAAAATATAATTTCAATATCACAAGAGTAATTGCTACTAAATTCTGTGTTGGTCAGATAACATCTTGGGTAATGTGTACAGTTCTGGACACTGGTTAAAAGAAGTTCATTGATAACTGCAGGTTATTTAACATTACAAAACTGATGAGGGATACCATAAAGTAGAAGGAATGAGAGAAACCAGAAATGTGTAGCTTGCAGAAAAGCCTAAGGGGACATATGGTAGTTCCTTTTAAGTGTCTCAAAGATTGACATTTCTTCCAGGGAGTAGATTTTCTTTTGGCTCTAGAGGAAGGAATTCAGATCAGAGGGTGACAGTCAGGAAAACAAAACTTTTGACTCAATAATAAATGTTTGAGATTTAGACATGCCTAAAACTGGATGAGCTAAGGAGTTTGGGTTGGGACAGGTGAGTGGGCTGGATGATTTCCCTGGTTCCTTGTAACTCCTTCAGGCCAGTCCTGTAATATTCACTTACGCTGTGGCAGCTGACCTCTGGGGAAGGCTTTAGTGACGCTTTATTTGAAAAGAAGAGGACTGGCTTGTCTAACTCCATACTTGTCTTTAGTATCTTCGATTTCTGTTTGCAACAGAAATCTGTGCCTTAGAAAGGTAACTCTTGTGCCTTGAGAAGGTCTACTCTTTTCTTGAGGTACTTAGTTTATCACATTTTGTTTACCATGTCTCTGGTCCACATCTGCCCTCAGAAAAGCCTCTGCTATCAGTCATTTGTACCATAGTGTGAAATAGCATCATTTTTCCCCCTTAGGGTTATTTTCATTTTGACTCTTGTTGTAGAATAAAAGGCTTTATTTCTTGGTAAGGAAATTGAGGCACCATGTAGAGATAACAGCTTTATTGGAACCATTTGAATAACCGTCTTTCATATGCTTAAGACTAGGGAGATGCCGGTATGTTCCTTTTCTGGTCACCATACAGAATGAAGAAATATTACTTTACATTTCACCTAAATAGTAACAAAATAAGTGAGAGGGAGAATATCTAAGTACTCCATAAAACTGTTATTTTTAGTGTATTATGGAGGAAAACTTAGCTTTATTTCTGATTAGATGCCAGATTTAAAAAATGTTATTTCAGGAGACTTACTTCTCCATCCTTCCTAGTGAGTCTATCTACTACAAACTATTTTTATACCATTTTGTAGAGTGATAGAGGAAAATGTTTACAACATAAAATTAGGTGGAAAAGCTATATACCAATTTGTAAATTATTTTGTCTGCGTTTTCAAAGAAACAAAAAAGGGAAACAAAACAAGCTGTTAGCAGTAGACAGTATTAAGTAGGATAATATTTGATTTTTATTTGATTTTTATCTTCTTATTTTAAAAAATTCTCTATAATGATTGCATATTATTTTCATAGTTAGAAAAAGAATCCTTGAAAAGTGCAAGCTATATATTCTCACTCTGGTACTATATTTGAACACTGTGTATTTCCTTCCTTTCCTCTACTCCTTTGTCATGAACATTTTCCATTTTCCCCTTCTCTCCTGCCCGCCTATCCTAATTTATATCTTTGCATTTGTGCAAAATCTCATGTTCACTTAAGTATTTATGAATGAAGTTCACGTTGCCCATGTGGACACTCTTCCAGATACACTATGAGGCCCATCAGTGGAATAGACTAGATGTGGAAATCCTTTGTCACAAAAATGTCTTCCAATGTTACTGGATAAATAGTCTAAGTAATGAACTTACCTTGCCTTTTTCTCCATGGGTCATGGAGGTGTGGGCAAGTGCAGGGCCATGGACATGGTGCAGGGGAGGGTTCTGAGAGGCAATCCAGTGAAGCAGGAGGAGCCCTGTTTGGCTGGCTTGAGGTGTATATGGTTTGTCTCGTGATGAGAACAGTGTATGATTATGGGCAAATATTTTTCATATTTGTTTCCTCTGTTTATAAAGTCTGGATTTTGAGGTCATTTCTGAACTTAATATTTCATGGAACTGTGTTTTGGACCTTTTTTATGAGCCTATATTTATCTGAGGTCCCTCCAGTTAAACTACTGTAGTAACTCTATAGAACTTACTGACTTTGAGACTTAATAATCAATAAAGGATGAGGTGGACATTGACCATAATTATGGAGGCAGATTGCTCTTTAGTTGCTCTTTAACTATCTTTAAAATTCATTTCCTTACTACTGTCTGCTGCACATGGGTGTATATGATGGAACTCATAACATGCGTGTGTCATACCTGGAATGAATAGTGTTTGTCAAGTCTAAAAGAGAATACACATGAGAAGGACTGCCTGAGTTCAGAGAGTAACTGCTGTCCTCCTTGGTGCTGACAGCTATTCAGAGTCTGGGAAGGAATACAGTTTCACTACCTGTGAAGTGCTGCAAAGAGACATTTTCCAGCTACCAGAGATAAGAAGCAGTGGCTATGGAATGATTCTTTATTAAAGTTTGATGAAAGTGAGAATTTTAATTGAAGAAGGTAGTATTCAGCTATTAGGCACATGCTAGTATAATTTCAGAGCTTTATTAAGTACCTTAATTAGAGCTATCAGCAATCCTGTCATTGGAATGAGAATGCATATGAAAATGCTTATTTTAATTTGCGGTATCTTATGTTGACAATCACTACTAATTTAATGTTGTTGGTAAATTTCCCTAAGAATTCAAATTTTAAAAATCTACTTCTACGATCCAGTGTTTTTGGGGATTGTTTTTGCACTGTTCTAATTATTTTATATGCATTAATTCATTGAGTTCTTGTAACAACCAGTTAGGTAATAGTATTGTCATCACTTAGCAGTAGAGGGACTTGAGGAAATTTAGCAGAAGTAAAGTATAACTTACCTAAAGTCTTGCAGAGGAGAACACTGAATTCCTACCCAAAGACCTCCGAGTCCAGAGCCTGAGTAATTACCCACTAACATCTGTCTCTCTCCATGGCTTTTGTCTATGTGATATTCTTATGTTAAGTATTCAATTGCATTGATTATTGCAGAGGCTTACAGTGCAACATTCTGAGTCCCCACCTGATTTCTGTGCAGCCGTGGCTATAAAGTGCCACTGCTAGCATTACTTGTCGGGCCTGCATCTCTGAGTGTCCCTGCTCTGCTTGCCTTCTTCAAGGCAAAAGAAGGCTTCAATCCATAGGGAGGTATACAAAGATGTACAGGGAAGATGATGCCACTGAGGGCAACTCTCAGCCAAGGGTGAGGAAGTCAGCGGATGAATTCCTTAGCCTCCCCAGCTTCTGGCAGGGCAATTCTCAAACATGCTAGTCATGGTTTCCGTGGAGGTCCCCAATAGAATCGAGCCCTATTCATCCACATTGCTAGGCAGCTCTTTAATGGTACCCTTCACTGGCTTTTATCCTTTCTCTGCTGCTTTCTCCCCACTTTCTCACTCTTTCCTTCCTAGGGACTTTTCTCAAGTAAACGACCTGCATCCATGCTCTTGTCTCAGGCTGTGCTTTCCGAGGAACATAAACTAAAACAGTGTTATTATGTTGTATGGGTGTCTGGTTGTTAACTCATGTAATATATATTCTAAGTTATAATATAATCCCTCTCTACTATTTCCATGCAGTTATGAAGACCTATCAATTTTTTCTTCAAAATGTCAATTTTCTATTCCCACAACCCACCTTGTAGTCCAAGCCTTTATCATATTGTCCCTGAGGTATTTTTTTAGGCTTCTAGTTAGCATACGCTCTTCTATCATCTAAGACTTCCTGCATACTGATGCTCTATAAATTTTCCTCTAGTGTTGGTTTCATCTGTCACTCCCCTGCTCAAAAACCTACAATTACTCTGAACAATTTATCACATCAAGTCTAAATCCCTCTCTCCAAATTAAGTTGCACTTTCTTTACGAAATTCTCCAACCCTGATAAGCTCTATTGATTTTTCATGTCTCTGAATTCTTATAACACCTATAATTTTGCCACAGAATTTAACACATATTTATTACCTTGTATTATTCACATATTTTTATGTTATCTTTGCCCACTAAACTACAGGCTCCTTGATGCCATAAACTATAGCTTGTAGTTAATTTGCGTTTTATATAATCTAGCACAGTTTTAGGCACAAAAGTACAACTCACTACTTTTCAACTGGATAATTATTCATTTTTAGAGACTATAAAAGGGGAAAATTTGGTACTGATTTTGCACATATATTTTCTAAAAAAGACAAAATCTGGAAGGCATATTGATTTGATCAAATTCTCAAAGTAAACAACAAATAAATGTCAGTTCTTTTAACTTTTAATTATGGAATATGATTTTTACTATTCCAAGCGGCAAAAATCAGCTTCAAAACCGAGCAAGATTTGCATGTGTTTTTAAACCTAGAGCATTGTTAAATATTTGACCACATGGCTGAGATAGAAAGAAAAATGAAGGTCTTCTTATGGACCCTCTGAGGACTTTAACACCTTGAAGGGAATTATTTTTAGCCAAGATATCACTATTGTTTGGCCTAGTTTTAAAGGCATCTTTCAGTAAGATAGTGGAACCCCATCTTGATTAATATAAAAGGCTCTGGAGAAGGAATGATTTCATATTCCTAAATAACTTCCCCAATATTCCCAAAGATACATTTTCTTTTGGTATAATTTTTCCTCAAATTTAAGCTGTTTTAGGGGTTCATTTCTTTATGGAAGTACATAACAAAGGTTATTTAAAACTGGAAAATAATACTAAAGAGTAAAAGATTCTAGAACTCACCATACTTAATATCCTAATTTAATGTAGTGAAAGTAGGTGTGTGTGTGTGTGTTCTCATAAGGTAGATGGGAAAATATTTCGATAAAGTATACAAAACTTGAAACCAAAAGCTCTATTTAATTCCCCTGGGAGTCTGTCCAGGTGTTTTTCCAGGCTAGATTTTTATAATTACTGAAGCATGCTCCATTGCAGAGATCCTAATAGAAGCATCTAAATCTTACTGTGCAACCTCAGGGAACAAAGATATTCTCTTGAAAACTTGATTGCTTTTCTATGGAAGCAGTTAGCTTTGATTTATGTCACTTTTGAAGGGAGCTTCACTGAGGCTTTGAGTAATCCAATAAGGATCATATAATATACTCCCCTTTACATCTTGTAGAGTTGCTGTGTATGGAGCTCTTTGTTTATGATTCAGGAAATGGGCTAAAAGCTTCCTAGGTTCATCTCTGTTCACAAAATTTGTTCTAGGGGAAGTAATGGCCTTTTGCATTTTAATAAGCAGTAAATCTCAAGTATTACAATGCTACAGTAGCAAGCTATCTTTGGCAGTGTGGGTCTTTCCCTGTTGAACTTGCTCTTATTCAGCAGTTTGGATATGAAGATGATTCTTATCTCATCACTGTGTTTCCATTGGAAGACACTGCACTGGGAATTGCTGCCCACATTTTTTTTTCTGAAAATAGTCTGAGCCTCTTTCATGAGTGCCTACGAGGGATATGAAAAATTTAACAGAAGCTCTATGAATGGCCAGAAGTTTTATTGGAGTTATATAACCTCATCTAAAAAGACAATGATATGCTATTTTACATCATTTCCCTTTACACATTGATTACTTAAGTATTTATAGTTAATTTAATATTCGGTGTAACGTCTTAGTTCCTGGGGGTGATACAAAAATGAGCATGATAAAACCTCAGCTTATAACTACTTAAGGAAATCTTGATGTTAATGAGTTTCGTGGAGTATACCACAGTGGGCCTTTTCTGAGTTTTAGGACATGAATATCCTTCTAAGTAGGTTCCTTGGAGAATTTCTTTCTTTTAAGTAGAACTGTCTGCAAAGATGACCAGATATATAAAAGCCCAACTGTGTAAACCAGTTCTGTTTGAACAATGAATGTGGTTTCCACAACTAGAAACTTCTAAAGGAAGTTCTCATAAGGATAGGGTTTTTTTCACCTGGCTCTTTGGCTGTATCTATGTGACATGACATACCTACCGCAGAATGATGTAAGGGTCTTGATAGTTCTAATTTGATCTTATCAATTGCTTAACAATCAATTAGATTGTGGTTAATTAAACATCCATAAGCAGATGTAAATTCCAATTTAATCACTAGCTCAGTGTCTTTATAGCAAAACTTTCTCTAACGTTATGTGATTAAATTTGCTTTTCAAAATTTTACTCCGTGAACATTTAAGCAGCTTAAGACTATGCAATATGATGATGATTTAAAACATAGTTAAAATATTCACAAACTATTGGCATAAGACATGGTATATAAACAAGTATTTTTCTAGATATATTAAAAATATTGCATATTTCTCTTGGGTTCAACATCTTCATTAAAAAACAGAATTTGGAACTGTAATGAATCTTTTAACTGCAGTCTGAATTGCTTTTTTAATAAATAAGATGGAAGCTCTTAGAAGCAAAATATGTCCAAGATAGAGGAAGAGCTGGAATATAAGCATTGGACTTGTAATTCAGTTCAAGATGTACTTACTGAATTCAGTATTGTATATATTAGGAGCCTTCCCTTTATTTTTGTGAGATGTTTTCTTCTAAATATTAATATATTTGACGTGATATGTCCTGTAAGTAGTAACATATTCCCCCCCACCTGCCTTCCTTCTACAGTATTTATTGAGTGACTGTTATCTGCCAGACACTAGTCTACGTATAGGTAATACAGACATGGACACAAGACAGTTGAAATCTTAGTACCGTGGAGATTAAATTCTTGTGGGGAAGATAGACAACAAACAAATATGGCCAAGAGACATATGAAACAGCCATAAATGCTGTGCAGAAGTTTGAACTGGGTGATATAAAGGGACTACCTGGGTGTAGCTGTAGCTTGATCTGGAAAGATGACATTCACACTGTGACAGGATTCAGGACCTACAACTCTAAAATATGGCTCCCTGGCATTTGAGAATACAGCAGAAGCAGGAAGTCCACTCTCACCTTCCCTTCACCCTTCTTTCCTGAAGCACGTCATAAAACTTTGGAAGGTCACTCCCTGACCTTCTCCCCTGAAGACCCTCATGATACACGTGTCCTGTCCTATAGCTGGAGGGAGTGGACATCACATAAAGGCACCAAGAAGAGTCTGAACAAAGAGGCCTTTCTAAGTTCCCTTCAATTTGTTACCATTAGAGCGTACCCTTTTGTCCTCCAATCGTACTTCTGCAAGACTGTCCATAAAAATACACAGATTTATCTGTTTCTTTGGGTCTTCATTTCTGAAGTCTCCTATGTTACATAAAACTTATATTAAATAAATCTTGATGCTTTTTTTCTTGTTGATCTGTCTTCTGTTATAGGAATCTCGCCCAAGAGCCTTGTAATGATGAGACATATTCTTTCTTCCCCAGCTGAGATGCCAAAAAAGAGAAACTATACACACAGACTGGGGGAGATCAACCCATGGGGAAAGAAGAACAAGGGTAGAGACTTGACGGTGGGGACAAACCTGGAATATTCAAGAAACGGGGAATAAGCTAGTTTGTCTACAGCTGCACCATCCAGTAGAACTATGTGCAGTTATAGAAATCTTCTCTGAGCTGCCCAATACTGTAGCCTCATGTGGCTGTTAAACACTTGAAATGTAACTAGAGTAAAGGAGGAGTTGGTTGTGATTCAAAGTGGATTGGAAATTATCAAGATATTGTACATAAGGCAGTGACACAATCTGATTTATATCTTAACAATACCATTTTTGTTGCTAGGTGGAGAATGCTGCTCAGGCAGCAAGAGTAGAATAAGGAGGCCTATTAGAATGTCATAATGATAACACATGGGAAATATGACTGGCTTGGATCCAAATTGCACAATTTTAGGAATATCTTTTTACATGTGGAATTTTAGCACATGATGATGGAATAGATGAGGAGAAAAGAAGGATAACAAAAAAGAATCAAAGAAAACATCTAGAATTTTATTGGAGCAACTGAGTGGATAGTGGTGCTACTTACTAAGTGGTAAAGATTGAGAAAGTGCAAATGTGAAGGGATAATTATGTCTTATTTATTTATTATTATACTTACATACTTTTGGCTGTATTAAGTTTGAAATGCTTCTGATACACTTAGCTAGAGATGTTACATAGTGAGTTGTATACATTATTATTCTAGTCTGAGAGGACAGGGCTGCATAAATAGGAGGCCATGATGTATATTTGTTATTATGTATATTATATATATATATATAAAATAACATATATATGCCATACGTGTATATATGTACATACATACACATAAAATCTGAGGAAAACAGAAAAATAATGGAACTGCTCTTTCTATAAAAGCAGACTACTATAGCATAGCTGCTGAAGCAAATCAAATAAAGCAGCACTTATTATTAAAATAAATATCTTGACAATGTGAATGAAGAAGAAAATTCTTAGTAAGAAAGATGGTACTCTGTATATAAATGGAAGTTTTAAAGAATCAGCAAACATATCTTTCCCAGACATTGTAGTGGCATGTGCTGTGTGGAGATGGCAGGACAACCTTTTAACTCATTCTTTGCCATTCTTTCTTTCCTCAGTTCTTTGTCACCCATGCATTTGTACAGTACTGGAGATAGATGAGGTTTTCCAGAGAGATTCCATGGCTCCATGTTGATGGTGGCCAGTGAGTGTCCAAGGGGCTTTGTGAGTAGCTATGCATATCTCTCTCTTTTCAAAAATCACCTAGAAGTTTTATTGTTATTTTTTCAATTGATATATTTATACATATGTATGGGGGTCCATGTGAAATTTTGTTATATGCATAGACTGTTTAATGATCAATCAGGGTATTTGGGATATCCATCACCTTGCGTATTTATAATTTCCATGTGTTGGGAACTGATATGGTCTGGCTCTATGTCCCCACCCAAATCTCATCTTGAGTTGTAATCTGAATTGTAATCCCCATGTGTTGGAGGAGGGACCTCATGGGAGGTGATTCGATCATGGGGTCGGTTCCTCCATGCTGTTCTTGTGATAGTGAGTGAGTTCCCATGAGATCTGATGGTTTTATAAGGGGCTCTTCCCCCTTCACTCTGCACTTCTCTCTCCAGCTGCCTTGTGAAGACGGACATGTTTGCTTGCCCTTCCAACATGATTGTTAAGTTTCTTGAGGCCTCCCCAGCCATGTGGAACTGTGAGTCAATTAAATCTCTTTCCTTTAGAAATTACCCAGTCTCGCGTATTTCTTTATAATAGTGTAAAAACAGACTAATACAGGAACATTTCAAGTTCTTTCTTCCAGCTGCTTTGAAATATACAATACATTGTTGTTATCTGTAGTCACCCTATTCTGCTATTGCATATTAAAACTGATTCCTTCTATCTAACTGTATGTTTGTATCCATGAACCCACCTCTCTTCATCCCCCCAGTCCCCCAACACATACCTTTCCTAAACTGTGATAGTTATCATTCTACTTTCTACCTTCATGAGATCAACCTTTTTTAGCTCCCACATGAGTGAGAGTTCATGATATTTGTCTTTCTATGCCTGGCTTATTTCACTTCACATAATAACCTCCAGTTCCATCCATGTTGCTGCAAATGACGTAAGTTCATTCTTTTTTATGGCTGAATAGTATTCCATTGTGTATATATACTATTTTTTCTTTATCCATTTTTCTGTCAATAGGGCAATTTGGTTGATTCTAAATATTTCTTATTGTGAATAGTGCTGCCATATACGTGGGAGTGCAGATATCCATTTGATATGCTTTTTTTCCTTTGGATAAGTACCCAGTAGTGGTATTACTGGATTGTGTGGTAGTTCTATGTTTAGATTTTTGAGAAATCGCCATACTCTTTCCCAGTGTAGTCATCCTTATTTCTTCTGGACTATTGTAATATCTTCCCAAGATGTAGGTTTTTGTTGGTAGACAGATGGACTGAGCTCTTCTCCTCTCTAGATAAGCCATATTACCAGTTGTAACTTTGCTATACCCTAGAAACCATTCTGGTACCAACATAAGGCTTTGGTGTGTCTTAATTTTACTAAAAATTTGAAGATGAGTAAAGGGAGGTTACATTTTAATACCACATAGCAAATTAGCTTTTCATGTTCTTACAAATACCATTAGGGACTCTGGACTTTCATTAAGGGGCCTGCTGTATTTCTATAGCTTTAAGCATCGGGCAGAGGTGTTAACGAAGTTACTAGAAGGGAAGGAACAACAGGCATATATCTGGTAGTCAATAAATACTAGCTGAATGAATGAGTAAATAAAGAATTTTATTTTGAGAAAGGTTACCATAATTTGTAAGAAAATTACATTATGTCTTAAAAGACAGAAGCATATGTAGCCACTTCACTGGCATAGTGATTCTCAAACTTGAGTGTGTTACAGAATCACCTGAAGGGCTTGTTAAAACAGCTTGCTGGGCCCTGTCCCCAAAGTGTCTGATATACTGGTCTAGGATGAAGAATTTGTGTTTTCAATAAGTTTCTTGGTAATGCTGATACTGTTCTTCTGAGGATGAGGCTTTGAGAACCACTGCTTTAGAATAGTTCCCCCATCCCATTCCTGATGCACATGAAGCTCTGATGCAATCTACAGTCTACAACCTGTTCCATAGTTAAGATGACAGAGACACTCAATCAGGCCTGAAATGTATTGAGTATTCTACAACTCTAATTACGCAGTATGTTTCTTAACAGTTGTTGAATTTTAAGATTATGCAAATATTCTGAGAAAAAGCCATCTAGGAATCACAAATTTCTTTATAATGTTTTAATAATGAGCTTTGTGTTGTATTAGGGTGATAGCTATAAAACAAAATAAAACTAAACAAAAATCTTTCTTTTCTAGCTGAGGAATAATTTTATAGCTAGAAAGGCTATAACTATTGGCTCTGGCCTTTGATTTCAGTGAAAACTTTCATAGCATGCTTGTTGAGAGTTTCAGTGTGTGCATATTAATTTAAATGTCATAACACCATATATCTGCAGTTCCTTATCATAAGGAAAAATATGAAATGATTAAATGGGCCAGACCCTATTTATAAATAGAAACTTTCTCTTTAAACTATTTTAAATTATGCTTCATTCATGAGTAACAGAGCGCACTAGAATCAAAAACAAGTACAATGGTGAAATATTGTCTTCATTTATACCAGTATCTTTTAATCATTAGTGGCCAAGATAATTCCCTGGTGACATTTATTGGAATAATACCAAAGTCTTACCTGCCTCAGCTCTTTACTCAGCTTGTCATATTATTAAACTATAGGTTTGCTTTGGAATGGAGACTGAAGTAAACAACTATGTGTTTAGTAGTTCTCACACTTCAACAGAATCAGAATCACCTGCAAGGCTTGTTGAACAGAGATTTCTCGACTGCGACCTCCAGAGTTCCTGATTCAGTACCTCTGGGTGGGACCTCCAAATTAATTTTGTACATATACCCAGGTAGTGCTGACGTTGCTGGGAAACTTTGAGAACCCTATTCTAGGTTCTATTTGGGTAATTGTAATGTTCTGCAGATGTCAGAAGATCCTATTTATCTGTGGCTACTGAGAGAATGTAGGTAATCTGTCTGGAAATGTGAAAGTTCGTTATTTTCAAATGCGGTGGAGTTACGTTATCCTTCTAGAAGCAAACCTGAGAAATGTCTGTCCTGTTCTAGTATCAGCTGAGGACAGATTTGACTTCTTGAAGTTGTGTGTCAATCAGCGTATACACTTAGGAAGTCCTCTATATTGAGGCCAGGTTTTCTGCCTCACTGGATTCTCTTTGTGTTGTGGCAAAATGGTAACTGTTCTAATCTCATTAAATTCCTTGCTTATAGAATTCCAAGGTATTTCTTCTATTTATAAATGAATGGGTTTAATTTTAATATCTTAGAAAGTGTACATTGACATAAACAAATCATAATGAGAACTTTGGACTAGGGGATCTATAGAGGCAAACAGATCATTTCGGTGCACTTTGGTCCACTTTGTTGTTTTAGGACTAAGAAGATGATTGACTTCTATTGTGTATTGAGGTAAGTTTAAACGTATCATAGGACAAAGGTCAAATGGAAACGCTTATGCCAATTAAGTAAAAGGAAAAAAATTAAGAAAACAGCAAAATGAAAATCTCCAGCACTTAATTGGTGTCAAAAGCTTTCTAAACTTTAAACTTGTCTACAGTTTTACTTTGTTGTGATACTCAGCAACTTAAGTGCTACTCTAATTACTTTCATTATTAGTGGCCTAGATCTCAGGTACTCCTTTCCTAAGTAAAATGTTCCCTTTGGGTATTTTAAATTCCCTCTTGCTAATTCCTATTCATTGACATTATCTAGTATAAGCTGTATTCAGTGAAATTTTATGTGTAAATGGGTGTCATATATCTTCCCAGGTGGCGGGATGGATAGCTGGACAGGCAGCTGTCTTTCTCTACAAGGAGGGAGTTAGGAAAAATGTCAGGCAAGATAATTATCTAAATGTTGCACAGATTATATTCAGATTTTACTCTTATGTAACTTATATAGATCCGGATCTATTAATGAACAATCAGTGATTTTTCTCATGGTTTAGTTTTCCTTAGTTTATAGTTTATACTAGCTTTATTTTTTAAAGCTCCATTTTTGTTACTTTCATATATATATATATAATTTAACATAATGACCTACAGTTCCATCCACGTTACTGCAGATGATATAAGTTCATTCTTTTTTATGGCTAATATATATGTTTATATTTTTTTTTCCCAAGGGTAAACTTTGTTTCTTTGATATCCATAGTTATTGTGATTGGCTGAATTTCTGTAGTTTTCTTTTTTTTTTTTTTTTTTGTTGTTATTGTTGTTTTGTTTTCCATTCTACAATTTGGAAACTTTCCAAGTACTGATATGATTGTAATTCCTCCAGCATCTACAGTAGCTTGTTTCCCTGAGGTTAAAAAGTATATTTGGTGGCTGAGAAAAGTTGGTGCTCTAGAGAAAGAAAAGTCAGTGTCTTTGGAAATTCTGTTTTGGCTTTATTTTCTCCCATTAAAGAAGTTTCTTTACTATTATGCAAGTATCTTTTCTGGTGCTCTACATATGTGTAATATATGTATTTATGTGTGAAATTTTATTCCCTAATTTCACACAGAAAAATAAAGTTGAAAATAGTGAAAATATTTGTAGCACATGTGCAACTGAAAACCTAATGATGGATTCATATTAGATTGTCTTACATTTCTGTTATTAGGCTACTATGTATCATGAAGCTCAGAGGTGTTTTTGTTTGTTGTTGTTGTTGTTTGTTTTTGTGGCTAGCTTTTCATTAAATTCTCCAAAGCCATTAAGTAAAGGAATGTGCTATTTTGACAGCTGTGAACATAGCCTTCTATAAGCTTTCATTGTTGTCTAAGGAAATTGCAGGTTTCTGTTGCTGCTGATCTTCATCAAAATATATGGTAATCTGATTACTAAAAGTCATGTTGATTCATTTCCTCTGGGCCAGAGATTCTCTTGAAATGTTCTCACTTTCTGATGCTTGAGTCAAAGATGTAATTGCCCCTGGACCTGGAGTTAAACCCAAGATGATCTTCATTTTTGTCTTTCATGTTTCTATTTCCTTCTTCTTTTATCAGCAAAATCATCCAAAATATACTTCTCAGAAATATTAGCAATGCCATCCAGAGAAAAGATATTGAAATACAACTGATTCCCCTCCCATCTCTGAACAAACAAAGAAGTTTGGTGGTCAATAATTATTCTTCTGAAATGCCTGAGGTCAATTGCAGACTGATTTTTGTAGATGAAGGCAAAAAAGATTCTTACTCTCAGCTACAGGGAACTTCTTTAGAGCTAGCCCAGAGAACCTCCATAAGAGCCAAGCTGGCTAGACTGGATAGAAGTTGGTTCAAAACTAAATATTTTTTCTTCTTTCTTACAAAACAAAACAAACAAAGCAAAAAAATTGCTTGTAGAAGTTCAGCTAACAACCCGCTCCAAGGTCATTAGTCAGCCATACAGGAGCCTTCCTTTTTTTTTAGCTAGAGATAAAAACACAAGTTGCAAAGTTATTGTAAACCTTTCAAGTAAGTCATCTAATCTATACTTAAACAAAACCAAGACATGTTTACTTTGTATATATAATTTTGTCTTATCAAATCATTTGAATTATTTTTCTTTAGTTATTGTAATGATAGGTGGTTTTCAGTGATAAAACTTTTGTTTATAGAGTATTTGCCAATCCAGAGAAAGCTTTCTTCAGATCTCTGGAAGTTAAGAGAGGAAACTCAGGGAAGACAATTATGTCTCCCAGGTCATACATAGCAGGTACCAGAATCTAGGCTATGTTTGCCAACACATATTTCAGTGGAAAGTTTGAAAGCTTGTCTATTACATTGTGAAATTTGCTTAAGTTCTCCTGTGATATTCCCTTCCTTCAAAGAATGCTAACAGCCATTTCTGCCTTTTCTCTTCTGTATATATGTGTTATTCTTTTCCTGAGTTTATTACCATAGCAAGGTAAGAACCACTTATTTTTAGTACTACTGGTAAATTTATTTTTAACATTCCTTTGAAAGAAGAATGAGGATGAGGCATTTTAGAATGAAATATGCTAGTCATCTATGATCACTTGTCCTGCCTTTTGCAATTCTGAACCTATTCTCTTTAATGGCTATGGAAATGCCTTCCTTGATACTATGCTTAATTTCTATTGTTACACCTGTACAATTTATTTTTTTAATAGCAACATCTGAACAAATTTGGGAAATTAGAAACTTTGAAAGACCATACAGTTTAAGGAATAATAGAGTTTATTATTATTATTTTGATTCACATCTCTGGAACATTCTGATAGATCAAATTTGGTAAGGAAAGCCATCATATCATGGAAGATTGAAGGGTTAAGGAACTTCAACAACAGATAGGAAGAAATGACTAAGAAGCAGAAAGAACTAATGCAGTGATATTATTGTGACTGTGACCTCCAGGACAGAGCAAAGGCAAAAACAAAATCTTGGAAAGCAACTGCATTACAATAATAATAATAATAGGCCAGGTATGGTGGCTCACGCCTGTAATCCCATCACTTTGGGAGGCCAGTCCACTTTGGGTGGATCACCTGAGGTCAGGAATTCGAGACCAGCTTGGCCAACATGGCGAAACCCCATCTCTACTAAAATACAAAAAAATTAGCTGGGCATCGTTGTGGGAGCCTGTAATTCCAGCTACTCAGGAGGTTAAGGCAGGAGAATTGCTTGAACTCGGGAGGTAGAGGCTGCAGTGAGCGGAGATTGCACCACTGCACTCCAGCCTGGGTGACAGAACAACACTCTGTCTCATAATAATAATAATAATAATAATAATAATAATAATAATAATATAAATACATTTGACTCAATAAAATTATGAATATTTAAATAGTTATACATAAAAGATCATCCTTAGTATTCACACAATCCAAGTGATGCTTACTCAAGTTCACATCATTTTTTTCATTGTGGAACACAAACAACTCTGAGAATATGACCTCATGAATACAAATTACTAAAGTTTGCAGCCTAGATGAAAGGAACACAGACAGATGGTGTTCTGGCCATTTAAAATTTAGGCTTTTTTGGGTCTCTTTTGGTAGTGTTTAAAATGACTCTATGTACTTTATGTACTCCCTATCCCTCTAGGTTAGTGAATAGTCTCCCCTGTGGTAGACTGATCTATTTTACCTTCATGTGCCCTACTGCCATGCGACCAGACTTACCTGCCATGCTTTGTACACAGTAGATGTGGAATAATTATACACTGAATTGAAGTCATTGTGCCTAATCTATTTATAGAAAACAGGAGTAAGCGATGACAACTCATCAAAACCAAGTAGCTAGTGAAGGGTTTGATCTTATTCCCTTATTTACATTTGATTATTAAATACTTCAAAACACATGTGGTCATCATATGTTGAAACATCTAAATTTGAAGTGACTAGCTGGTTTTTTAACTTCCATCAGGATAAAGCATGTTTCTGACAATTCTTCTGCAGCTGTGGAACAGAAAAATTCCTGTCATTTATTTTTCTGTCATACTAAAATCTAACTCATGATCTAAGATTTTTTTTTAGTACTTTGAAGGAAATTGCTGAAGAGGATTTGGCCAAGATCTTCCTGTCAGGTAATAGCCTTTTCCTTCTTCCACACCTTACCCTTCTTCCATATCATTACTCATATTTATGTACATTTTTGATGTGAGATACTTGTGATGCATTACTGCATTACAAGTTTATCAACTCCTTGATGACAGGCACTATAACTTATGTATTATTGTATTTTATGAAGCATCCATCAGAATGTTTTGCATATAGAAGTTTCTCACATATTTAATGATTGAATAAGTATTGTCCACTGAAAGATTTGTTTATCAGAGGCAGCACTGGGGAATAGTTCAGAGTTTAGACTCTAGAATTAAGTCACCACCAGGTTTGAATCCTGATTTCCCCCCTTTCGACATGAGCAATCTTGGGTTAATTGCAAAACCTCATCAAAGTCTCACATTCTTGTGAGTATTAAAAAAGGACATAATGCAGATGTCTTAGAGCAGTGCCTGCTTCACAGTCAATGTTTTGTGGATGTTAGTTTTTGTTCTGCCATTTCTATGGCAAATCTTATTTTCTGGCTAAAGAAGCTACACTGCCGGGGCTTAGGAAAATCTGGGATTTTAACTTCCTTCCATATTTCCATGATAGCAATGTAAAACCGTGCCATGGATATCTTTTATATCAATATTTCAGTAGATTGAGAAGAACTAAAAAAATTGTTTATTGTGACATATTCTGCCAGTATTTTAATGTCACTGTTTTTAATGAAAGAAGTATTGAAATGTTGTCTACAATGAATATTGATAAATACCAAACGGATGGTGGTGGCACTCAGTGTTATCACCAAGGAATAGAGAATACCTAAATAAGGCCTTGTCAATCACTTGAAGTTCTTGAAGAAGCTATGCCCACAAGCAACAATGACAAATGAGACAGCATGGGCTGTTTTATGTGGACTTGGCTAGTAATCTGATGCTGCAAAGTTGAGCTCTCTGGTCAGTTGTGTCAGAGAGAACCCGCCTCAGGTGCGTGACCAGTTAGTATTCTATGTATCACCTAAGACATAATTTCATTCTTACTCAGCTGCTAAGTCCCCATAGGTGAGAATGAGAACTCCCAAGGGACCAAGTCTACATGTGAGAAGAAGGAAGAAGAAGACAAGATGGCATGGCCCTAAAAGGCCTTGGCCTTTTTTACCAATCCCATTCCCTGGAGGCCTGTGAGTTTCTGCTCAATAGTAAATGCAATGAAACAGTGGCCTGAATGTGACCAGCCCTATTAGTTTTTCCTCCTCTCAGGAGGGAGAGGTGGAGCAGGGGATTGCTATATGGGGAGAGAGGAGAGACATCTCTGATTTGGGAAGTGAAAAGGCAGATTTTTCTTCCCATAGAAGCTGAAACGTGTTCTCTTATGAGATTAACCCCTGATTTTAGATATGAAGTGCTGTGACACACAGATGTTTGCATCATTACTGATATGTAATGGTCGAATCAAATTTATTCTCTTCAAAGAATTGTAAAGAATTGTACTCTCTTTTTTTTTTTCCAAATAGCTAAATGTCCTTAATATTGGTCTTACTCATTTGTACATTTGTTTTCTTTACTATTAATTTTTACAGTACTACAGCATTATCAACAGAAAATACCCTAATAACCTTAAGTAATTTGTAAATAGTTTTCCATATTTATTAAATGCATCCTTGAATATGCTTAAATAAGGATTTTTATGTATCTTTAAGGAATTCTAATACAGAAAACATTTCTCAATATTTTGGCTCATAGATTTTCTGGTTTATTTATAAAATCTATTTATTTTTAAGGCACTGGAGAAACTAGACCCATTTAATTGTGCCATGAATTCTTTAATTTTTACCTGTGGAAGTCTTAGCTTTACAATAGCAAATAATTAGAGGGAAATTTAATATTAACTAAGTAGGAGTAGTTCTGATAGATATTATTTCTTGTTCTAAGTATAAAAATGTGGATTTTATGATTCTGGATTAACATTTTAATCTAGTATAATAACTACAGCAATATTCAGTTCTCAGATAAGGAACATTGTGATATTTTGTGTTTTTATGTGAAGTAATGGAGTAGTAATTGTGTTGGTGGTAATACCAAAAAAACAAAAACAAAAACAAAAAAAACTCAAAGGGCAGGTGGTGGTAGAAGGAAGCTAACATTTATTCTACCAATTGCCAAGTGCTAAATCAATGAAATTATTCATGTTATCCTATTTTACTCTGTCACTAATCCTGTACTATTCAATTACTTTTCAGATGAGGAAACTGGTTTGTATAGAAGATAAATAGCTTGCTCAAGATCATTCCAAGAATTAGTAGCAGAAATGGAGTATTAACCCGAGAGTTGTCAGGCTTCAAATATATTCTTTGAGTGTTTTTTCTATACCTAAAAATTTAACACTAATATGACACAAACATTGGGGCTTCTTCTTTTTTGTTGATGGGAATCTTTCTACCATGATGTCAAAAAACTTGGGCTGGCCTACTGGAAGATAAGGACATGAGGCAAGAAAGGCCCCAGCTGTTCTAACCAAGTCATCACAACTACTCCAGCTGAGGCCCCAAGCATGTGATTGAGGCCATTCTACACCACCGTTGAGGCTGGATCAGAAGACCAGTCTGACCAGTCTACACAATTATGGATAATGCAGAGATATAGTTATTCACCATTGTCTTATGCAACTAAGTTTTTGGGTGACTTATACATCAGAAGCTGACTGATACACACGAAGTAGTTTTTGAAGTGATAGTTTGAATTAAATTGTAAGGAATGTTTTAGAATCATTACATTGGAGATAACTGGCGCAATTGAAGTGAAAGAGTGTTAACTTCAAATTCAAGTACGATGACCTATACAGTAATATATTACATATCCTGTACTATGCCAATATTTTTCACATGCTTGATCACTTTTAGTCCTTATCACTGTCTCATGAGGTGAATATTGTTTATCTCTATTTTACAAATAAACCAAGATTCAGAATAGTTAAGCAACTTATCTAGGCCACAGACACTTAATAAGTGGTGTTGGCAGGATTTGAAATCTCAGGGGGCTAATGTGAAAGTCTTCTGTGTTGCTTTCAAACAGCCTCAGGACAGAAGTCATGGAAGAATGGAAGAAGTGATTTGAAGAGGAGGAAGTTTACAAGCAGGATTGCTGCGCTAAAGCTGTCCCCTCAAATTATGAGAATCTGTCACTTTCTGATAGGGAGGCTTTTGTTAAAAATGATGGATCAGTGGAAAATATCCTGTAGTAAAGTTCAAGGAGATTACAGGATTAAATTAAAAAGAAGAAAAAAAAAAGTCAAAATGAGATGGAAAGTGAATGTGAAAAGAATATTGAAAAAAAAAAATCACATCACAATTCTTGTCTCTGTGTCTAGTAGCCAGCCTAAGGCGTGGAGAGAGGAATGTGAGATGTCAATGTGACAGTCTCAACCTGGGATTTAAAGAAGGGTATGGGTGGCAGATAATAAAAAACTTTAAAGAATCTCAGCGATATTCTTACAGCAGTCTCTTCATTAGCCTGGATACCTTGTCTTGGACCATTTAAATTCTCCTTGTGCCTGATAGACTTAAACTAATTTTGACTAGCTTATTATGAGCAGATGTTCATGTCATATATTAGCTATGATAAATTCACTTTGTCTCTCTTTCTCTTCTATTCTAGATGAATTGAAAACAGTATTGACAAAGTTTAACTTAAGCTTATAGCATACAAATGGCTACAAGCTTGCACATTATAATTTTTGAATTATGTGGTTAAGAGTTATCACTGGCAGAAACATCTCAAGTCAAACCTTGCTCACAGGAGGGAATAAACCCATCAGGAGCAACATCTTTGAATCATGAGTATGTTAATGTGTGTATCATGGCAACGACCTTCTCCACTGATCAACATATGAATAGATCCTCTCTTAACCAATGAGTAATATGGCATAATCAAATTAAGAGTGGTGTCATATGACTTCACAGTCAAGTAACCAGAATATAATTAGTTTGATTTAATCTGGAAAGCAAATTCATTATTGCCAAGACAGTGATTCAGTGCTCTGTGCTAAATGAGCTAGACGTGGATGTTTAACAGTCAATTTGCACCATGTGTTTTGTAAAAAAAAAAGAAAAAAAGATCCAACTAAGGTTGTGAGGAAACTCTTTAACATTTCAAAACTAAATGGGAACTCTTGGCTTTTTTTAAAAAGGAAATAAATAGAAGTGTTTTGTAGTCATAGCAAGAGTTAGAGTAATACTTACTTCATGTAAAGTAACCCTGTCTCTGTAGTAGATTTATACCTGTCACCACTAGTTCACAATCTTCCTTGCTACATCTAAGATACTAACGATTTGAGTGCCATGTGGAATAACTTAATGAACTACACATGTTTAATGGAATTACTTTCATTACCAGTCTTGATGCATTTCAGTCTCTTATAGAAACTCTCCACTATCAAACTTACTATGAAAGTGTATTGAAAAATCCAACAAAACATTTAACATTTATGCTGCCTTACTAGAACATAACAATAAAATTTCTTAAATTTGTATAGCTTTTTACATTTTTGTCATGCTCACATGCCTGCTCATTTAGTCTCACATGGACACAGCCTAGGTAGGGGCAGATGAAATTACACCCATTTACATATGAGATAACTGAGACTCAGACATAATGTCCCCTGTTTATGGTCACTCTGCCAAGAGGAAATGAATAGAAGAAAACTTGTCTGATTTTAAGAGAAAGGTCTCTATAAATTCTTACATTGCTTTTTTTCTGTGGAACTAAATATGGTTTTTACTCATCCAAATAAATTACTGAAAAGTATGAAACAGACATCTAAAAATCATTTGAGATTGATAATGGCTATGAATAGTTCAAAGCATGGAGTTTATATTTCCTGAAATGTTGCTAAACCTTCAGTGTTAATTCCCAACATATACTCTAGCATCATTTCAAAACTATTCTTAGGTAAGCTTGATTCCCATTTTCAAAAATTGATATCACCTTATAGGTTCTAAAAGTTTGGTGGTTTATTCAGGGCAAAGCCAAATGTTTTGATCTATAAAATAGACCTGCAGATCTTGTGAGAGCAGCTTTTTCAAGGATATTTCAGTGTTAGACCATCTCATTCCCATCAGTTAGATACATTAGAGAAGATAAATGAAAAGCAGTATGTGACTAAGAACAAATTTGAACTGGGCAAAAAGTCATATTTTATGGTCAGTAACTTAGATGATTTGAATTTGAAGACACAATTACATAAAAACAACCAGATACTGGGGCAGCTTGACAAGAAGGCACTTTGTATTAATGTTTTCAGATTTTTCCAAGGCATCCTTGGTATGATTCCACTGACTCTAATAGAAGTTTCATGTTTAAAGCAAGTAGTCTATAAAAATTCAATAATGGGCTATAAAAGCCATCATAGCTCTTCTGTCAATTGAATGAAATATACTTGATTGTTTCAACTTAGAGCTCAGAAAATCACATGCTGAAGAAGAGACTAATCGAAATTGTTTTATGACAGTGTGCCATTATTTAATTACTAACACTTGATATGTATATAATAGAGCTTGAATAATTGACAATTAGATATAGGAGTAGATATAATTATTTTTAGAATTCCCCAATACCTATAAAAATCCTCACAATCCAGGTACAATCTGAGTGACAAATATTAGCATTATTAGCCTAAAATTAATAGCATAATTTTTCTTCTTATTGCATGTCTTTTGTATTCTATGTCTAATGATATCATTTAATTTAATGTCCAGGGGATATTTTCAAAATACAAATTCATAGGTCAATATCCAGGCATTCTGAATTAGAATTTCCAGGGCTGAAGCTTGTAATTTTTATTAAAAAGGAGAAAAAATTGTTTTTAGGCAAGTCCAATATTCAGCTTGGTTCGGGGATTCATTGGGTAATTTACTGATAATTTTCTGTTCTCTATTTTGACTCCCTTTTGTCTCCCTAAGACTTTTCAATTTTATGCAGTAATGATTCCCCAAGGACCCCATTTTCATTGATTATTCTTATTCTCTGATCCCCTTGACTCCCCTACATTTTGTTCACTGTTGCTTCCCTCAGGCTCTTAAGCTTTCTTCTGAGATCAGAATCTTGCTTGTTCATCCTCACTGTCATTCTGTCTTTCTCATATCACTTTTCTTTACCAACTTTGAGTTTTACAAAGCTCCTTAAAAGAACTACTCAGGATTTCCACTTTCCTGTCTAGACTTGTAACTTGAGTGTACTCATGGAACTAAAAGCAAAAACACCAAGGCCCAAGTTCCCATTTCTGAGAAATATTCCTAAACAAATAAAAATATGCACAATGATTCATCCACTCATTCATGTTCCAATATGTGTTCTTGGGTCTCATATGATATATTTGGTATTGTACTACATTCTGGGGATTCAGCAATAAACAAGATACACACAGTTCTTGCCCTCATGGAAACTCTATTCTAACAATAAAGACAAAAGTAATTCATTAACCAAATAATTTCATATAGCAGTAAGTGCTTTGAAGAAATGTATTGAAAGGTAAGGTGTTCATGTCAGAAGAACAAAAATGGCCAAAAATGGAGAAAAGTTTGAATGAATAATGGTGAATCAACCTGAGGGAATATTATTCAGTTACTGAAAGCTGTAAATGTTAAGACTTTGCCACTAAATCTGGAAAACATTTGTGGTGCAATAGTCAGTTAAAAATATAGGATAAATTATATATCACTATATCTCTGCAAGACATATAGAGAAGAAAACAAAATTGGAAAAAAGTCCATTTTTGAGATAATATACTCTTCATAATTGCAGTGTTATTTTGGATTAATCTATTAAAGAGCATGAACTGTGAAAAATATAGTTTATTTAATGTCTTGTTAAGCAAAAGAATTCTATTACCTGGTTCATCTATACACTACAGCACTTGATTTTCCATAATGATAAACTTGAGGCTTTGAAGTACATCTTAAGTCATCAAGGAAAAGATAATACTTTACTTCAGTCTAATTTTGTGCTAAGTATATATTATTGTGGTTTAATTTTTCATAATCAGTGATATATGCATGGAATTAAGTAGGGTAATAATATATTAACCAGAATATTTTATTAACCAGAACACATCATTTCCCGATACCCTAGATAAGAGAGTTATTTATAGGCAAAAATAAATAAATTAAACCTCATGCTCAGACTGCTTTTTGTTAACCTTCAGTTTCTTAGAGGATGTTGGTTGCTAAATTAGAATCCTGCAAAGGTGTCTGGAGAGGCATAGAAACCTGTCTCTTTATTTCACTTCTAAGTAACAGACAGTTATTGAGTGAGTGCTCTTTTCCTGTCACTGGATATTGAGAATTGGAAATTGTTAAATATATTTTATATTTTTTTGTCTGAACATCTATCAGTTCATTCAAAACACATAGCATTTTTGTAGACTATGGTATCAGTGATTATAAAGATCCATTGCTGAATTAAATACAGCATTTGTGGAGAAAAATAAATAATTATATTAAATGTCTATTGAAATTTTTAGTCATATCCCAATTTAAAAAAATTAAAATGTGACTTAGAATCAAAGAAATATGATACATATTCTAGAGAGTGTTCCAAAATTTGTCTGCAGATGATTCAGCTATAATAAAATTCCAGCACTGATTCTGGGCTGATACTGGAAGGTAGCTGTGGCAAAGAACAGGATCCTAAATAGTGATCTATGAACCACTCCATTCCGAGGCAGACGTCTCACCAACGTGTGGTGAAATGACCAAAAAAAAAAGGGAAATACTCAACTTTTCACAACAATAAATTTATTTAATTTAAAGAGTAAAATGCCCTTTCTTTTGTGAACTGATGATGATTGGAAGCAGCCTTTTTTTGTTTTCGTTTTAATGTGCTTGGCAAAAGAAACATTAGTAATGCCGTGGTGGCTTCCCATATATTTTGGAGAAGTTTTCGAATCCATGGATGAGGATAAGTGGTCTGGTGGGAGGAGCAGTGAACTTATTGTCAGGAGGACTGGGATTGATTTGGCTCTGTCAATTAATAGCTATGTGTTCTTGAGCATTTCTGAGTCTCAATTCCTTCATCTGTGAAATAGGTCTAGTACCAAGTGCATAGGCAATACTGCATTAATGACATAACATTTGAGTTTCTCACATATATTCCTGCTCCATAAATACAACTAGTTACTTTGGTTGACTGTGTCTTGTTAACGATGTTGTTTAATTTCAGTTTTCTCAAAGCTCTCTGATTGAGAGAGTGTTAGTCAGCCACCCTGGGCTAACTTCCCTTTAAACCTCCAAGTTCCATTTGTGCCCATAAGAAATCCTCAGTGTACCTTCTTGACCTTCTGCAACAATACTGGATCATGTCATACCACTTTCTTACCTCATCTGAACTCTGTCATTTGATTCTTTCGGTGACACAGTGGACTTCAGTGACCACTAAACAACATGGATTACAGCGTGAACATGCAGTACAGAAACCACAAGTTGTCAAACCTGCTAATCATAATTTGGTCAGTAAGAATCTAGGATCCTGAAGAAGACATGAAGATAAATGACTCTTTAAAATTGAAGAAGGAGCAATCATTACCTCTGTTGTTTTGAACCAAAAAGGTCTTACTCTATGCAATGTTAGTGCAAAAGACGAAAATCGGTGAGTTCAACAATATTTTTATTGGAATAAATTTTCATGTGGAATGTCGATTTATCTTTGAGTATGCAATCTTGCCAAATTGAAAACTCTCATATATAGTTCTTTTAAATTTGATCTCTTGGTATGTCAAGAATTCTCATATTACTTTTAAAATAAGATCTCTACCTAATACTGGAAGCATTTATCTCAAATTCAGTATTTAAATTACTACTTTGAATGACTGCTGAAATTAATCTAATATCAAGTTTATATACCTTTATAATTTTTTTATTTTGACAACATGGTTTCATAAGCTATGATTAGTTCAGGGATTTTGTGGGCGTAATGTACAAGATAAGCAGGTTGAAAAGTTTTTTGACTTATCAAAGCCACATTTTGAGAAGTAAGGAAATGCAGCTTTCTTGACTGGCATCTCCATAATTATTTGCACAATTTTCTGAACTGTTTGACAAGTTCTCATTTGTCTTTAAAATAAAAGGACTATAGGGAGAACACCCTCGGACCTTCGAGGTATTTTAAAAATCTTTCATGAATAAACACTACTTCAGCCAGAGGGGAAAAATTGACACGTTTTGAATTTTTAGATCATATCATAATGCTACTACTCCAAATTCAATGAAATTTTGACTCTAAGGGACATTTTGACATCATTCTTACACTCTCTGAATTAACATTTAAATATTTATGCAATGTTTCAGTGTAGAAGAGGAACTGTAAGACTTCCCTGAATGAGAGGTTAAGCAAAGGTTATGATATTACAAATGAGAACTAAATAGGACACTGATGCTGAGAAACTGGGATCCTGTTAGCTAGACTAATAATGAATCAAGTCAACGAGAAAAAAGTTCCCTCAAGGTGAGGTTTGCTAAAGTCTGAATATAAATGGCCATATTATTATTAATGCATCCATTCATGAAAATGCTATAATACTAGTTTATGGCACAGAAAAGATAGAGTGTGAGTCACTATGAAAGTGTGAATAAAAAGGAATTATTCATACCTCTCAATTTAAACAAAGTTTAATAAAGGGGTAGAGAAATTTGCCTAATTTGTAATATATTTCTCCATCTTTTCCTTACTGAATAAGAGTTTTGCATTTTATTTTCAATGGGGGGTAATCATATTAGTTTATTTTAAAAGAAAGCATTAAAAATCAAGCAACAATTCCAGGACCTATTTGGAACATTGCATTGCAACATATCCTTTTTTATTGACTGTTCTCACTCTCGTGGTACATTTCTGCCAATACACTTTGAGAGAATAAAGTAGTGAGAATGTCTATAATGATGTTTTTGTTCTTCCACCCAAAGTTTTTATCCTTGCTCTTAAGTGTAAGTGAAAATGAACTACTTTCCCAACCTATACTTTTGAAGACACCTCAGAGTTATACAGAATTAAATTTGAAGATTGATATGGTTTGAATCTGTGTTCTCTCACAAATCTCATGTTGAATTGTAATCCCCAATGTTGGAGGTGCAGTTTGGGTGGGAGGTGATTGGATCATAGGGGCAAATTTCCCCTGAGTGATGTTCTCATGCTAGTGAGTGAGTTGTCGTGAGGTCTGGTTGTTTGAAGTGTGTGGCGCCTCCACTCCCTTCCTCCTGCTTTGGCTGTGTAAGTTGTGTCTGCTTCCCTTTCTCTTTCTGCCATGATTCAAAGTTTCCCGAGTCCTCTGCAGAAGCCACTATGTTTCCTGTACAATCTGCAGAACTGTGAGCCAATTAAAACTCTTTTCTTTATAAATTACCCAGTGTCAGGTTTTTCTTTATAGCAATGTGAGAGCAGACTAATACAAACATTTTAATCATTTTGTTTGGTTTGTTTTTTAGAGACAGAGTCTCACTCTGTTGTCCAGGCTGGAGTGCAGTGGCTCAGTCATGACTCATTGCACCCTTGAATTCCTGGGCCCAGGCAATCCTCCCACCTCAGCCTCTCAAGTAGCTAGGACTACAGGTACATGCTACCACACTTAGCTAACTTTTAAATTATGTGTGTTGCCGAGCTTGCCATGTTGCGGGGCTGGTCTCAAATGCCTGACCTCAAGAGAGCTTCCTGCCTTTGCCTCCCAAAGTGCTGGGATTACAGGTGTAAGCCACTGTGCCTGGCCCTTTATCAAATTTAAATATATCTTTATTATTTTGTTTCATATTCGTATTTGAAAGATTATCTTTTTGTGCAATTAATCTTTGTAGAAATGATATACAATGATCAAATGTGTTGGAAGTTAAAGGTCTTCTACTAAGTTTGGAGCCAAAGTAAAAAGCTGGTAGTTGAAATGAACATCTTCACCTTAAGTATATTGAGTGAAATAATTTTATATGAAACTTAAAATAAAAACAAACCTATCTTGACCTCAAATTTGGTTATCTTTCTCTGCAATGCTATAAGAAGTCATACTGTGCTGAGAATGATGTTGTTGCAGTAACATTTAATGTTGTTTATTGAAACTTGAAGTTTAAAAATTGAATTAGATTCACATTGTTCTGCTTTGGTAAACTTTATCTGGAATCTGATGTCAATAAAATTTCTACAAATACTCATTTATGCTTTCTGATGTTTTAGTAGATAAGCCTGGACACATGTAAATTTTAATATACTACATATCAATTATTTGTCTCACTCTTTCTAAAACAAAAGAATTTAGATATATTTAGGCCCAGTGAGAATATACATGTGAATGAACAGTGTAACCGAGGTGAGCACTATAAATATTCACCATGTATTTATTTTGCATTCATTTTGAGCCAGATTCTGCGTTATGTGAATATAATGGTGTGCTAACCAGATGAGGTTTCTGACTTCATGGAGCATACTATCAAAAATAATAATGGGGAACTTTATTAGTAATAAATAATTTATTCTGAAACCAGTCAAAAATATTGTAAACACTTTTACGATAATGGATCTTTTAAACTTTATCTCTCCAGTGTCCTACTCAAAGTCTTCATATTTTGAAAGTCTTTGGATTCTCCATGTTAAAAAATGAAACTTCTCATGAAAAATTAGTAAAATGCATATACTAATAATGATCATATTTCTAATGATGTTACCATAACCATTTTCACACATTGAATTTAAATTGATGAAGTATTTTCTTTGACTAATATGTTTTGAGCATTTTGGAATTGTTCATAAACTTTGGCAGAATGTCCCAGATTGGACACTGTACAGCAAACAATTGGACACAATACAAGCTAGGAATTGCTTATATCTTCTCAGATTCCTTGTTGAATTGGCCCTGGGCTTTATTATCAGAATTTAGAATTTTCAGAACTCTTTTTTAGAGATATGCTTCCTGTTTCCTCACATTCCTTCACTTCTCAAGCGCCCCTCCACCCACACCACCGACTGGCTTCTGACTTAAGCACTCTATGCATAATCCAGGTTTATAATCCAATCTAAAGGGACATTTTCACTCTTAACCCTTCATGAACCAGCTTTAGGATTTGATACAATTGACGATCCCTAACTTCTTGAAAACTTCTCTTTATTTGAGTCTTACAGGATTTTCTCCCTTTTATCATGTTCTTCCTTCTGTTCTTTGCTCCTTATTTCTTATCCTCATCCATGAATAATACGATTTTTTCCCCCAAAAGACTCACCTTTGATCCACTTCTATTCACAACATGTATGCTCTCCTTAGTAACTCTAATTTGCACTTATCAAACACAATTTACAATTCTGGAGGACTCCCAAATCAGCATTTCTCATCCTCCTGGCACCAGACCCATATTCCCCACTGCTTTCTGCATATATTCATATGGAAATTGTGCAGGTGCTTATCTATAGCTAAACTCTGGGCACCAAGTCTCCTTACCTCCTACAAACATACCCAAACATGCACATAGACAACCAAAACTTGTTTCTCTTCTGTATTCTTAATCTTTCCTATAGGAATTAGTATTAAATTATACTTGACTTCTCATTCTAACTCCTCGACCCAATTTATCCCATTTTATATCTGCTATTTTTTATATCTTCTTTATGTCTGCTATTTACTCTATATCTCCTCTAATTTAGTTTATCTGCTTCCTTTTTTCATTTTACAAACCTTAAACCCTGTATTAGTTTGCTAGAGAAGCCATAACGAGGTACCACAAACTAGGTGTCTTGAACAACCGAAATGTATTGTCTCACAGTTCTGGAGGCTAGAAGTTTGAAATCAGGGCTTTGGGAGAGTTGGTTCCTTCTGAGGCCTGTGATAGCCATCTTCTCCCTGTATTTCTTCATCTTCCCTCGAATGGATGTCTATCTCTTTGTCCAAATGTCCCCTTTTTATAAGGACACTATTGCTGTTGGATTAGGGCCCTCCCTAATGATCTCAGTTTAATTTTATTACTTTTATTAAATGCCTTTCTCTCAGTAAGGTCATATTCTGAGATCTTGGGTATTAGGATTGTCTCTCTCTCTCACACATACACACACACACGCATGCATGTGTGTGTGTATATTTTAGAGGATGCAGGTCAACCAATAAGAAGCTCCTACTATGTGTCAGATACTGTTCTAGATGCTGAGGACACCACGTGATGGGTGAGAGTACTATTTCATGGAGCTTAAAATCCAGGGATTGGGGATTTCTCTCTCTCCATGATTTGGGAGAGACAGATGACATATTATCCTTAAAAATGAACAAAATAATTTAAGCTGGTGTTAAGTGATATGGCTAAGATAAAACAAGGGGATAGTGTCTCTGTTTTTGGAATTCTATAATAACTTTCCACCTCTCCTTGTCCTCCTCACTTTCTCCACTCTGTGACATTGCCTTTGTAGCTCAGTAATGGCATTTAGAACTTTGAACTATAAGTTACCTGTGTACATGTCTGTCTTTAAAACCACTGAGCTCCCCAAGGGCTCATGCTCGTATCCCCAGGACATAGCATGAAGCCTGGCACATAATGGGTTTTCATTAACTGTTTGTTGAATGAATTTATTTTCTAATCATTACTCTGTGACATGCAGCAAACTCAAATAGGAATAAAAACCATGAAAGGAATACTCTTTAAAAATGATGCTTTTTTGGGTTGTGACTATAAATGTAAGAATGGTAAATAAGAAGGAGCCCATCTGGTCTAGATATCTATACACATAAAGGATTTATTAGCTCAGGGCTTTACGATGATAAGAGAATAGATGAACTCACACTGCAGAATAAAAACAGTGGAATAATGCTAGTTACCTGTATAGTTACTTATTTATTAAATAAATACACTGTCAAGCCCTTATATGATTGTCTATGTTTTCCTCATTAGGTATTGGTAGGAAACTTAGCCAGGAGCGGTTGAGTCAAATACTGTCTCTCCTGTAGTCCAGCCCTTATTTTTCTTTTTGGGTTGTTCTGGTACTCATGGGCATCCTCGGTATGTCACAATTTGGCCCTGCTATGTTAGTGACAGCAGTCTCCCCTTCTCCATGGTTTCACTTCCCGCAGTTCCAGTTACCGGAGGTCACCGATGGTCCTAAAGTAGGTGAGTATACTATGAATATACTACAATAAGATATTTTGAGAGAAAGAGAGAGAGAGAGGGACCATATTCACGTAACTTTTATTATAATATATTGTTACAATTGTGCTTTTTTATTATTGTTATTAATCTCTTACTGTGCCTAATTTATAAATTAAACTTTATTATAGGTATGTATGTATAGGAAAAGTCACGGTATACATAAACTGTGGTACTGTCTGTGGCTTCAGACATCTACTCGGGGTCTTGGAAGTTATCCCCTGAGGGTAAGAGTTGGGGGATGGCTACTAAACAAAACTTTCTCAAAATGTTTTCATGTATCTACTTAAAGTTTACTCTTGGTATATGATTGTTTATTAATGACATTTCCAAGTCATCTTTGTTTCTTTCTAGTAAGGGCCATTATTGGAAAATCAGGATTGGCTTTGGTGCCTCTTCACTGCATCCTTATCTGACCTTTTTTTGGTGGTGAATTGGACATAATTAGAACAGCAGGAAAAGTAATCAAAGGAACTTCCACACAAGGGTTAAGCTGAAAAGTACAACTCCATTGGGCAAAAATATCAGCTCCATGGTAATATCTGTGTCTGCCTCAATGTCATAGAACCTCTCTGTCTGAGTATTGCCTGGTCTCCCCCCAGGTGACAATGTCTGCCTTTCCTCCTCACAGGATTACTAAATGATAGATGCAAAAGTACTTAGAACAGTTAAAAGTGTTACGTAAATGTTAATAGGAATATGACTATGGTGACTTATCTAGGACCAAAAGACTAATATATAATGAGCTAGGTTGAAGACAGAGCATGATTTGAATTTCTGCTCTGAGATACTGTCTCTTTGTCCTGAGTTTGTATATTTTAAGAATGGAGAACAGGAATATGATTTATTTATTTATTTTTTTAAGCCACCCCCTGACAACCTTGTTTCTGAATATTTTTTGATATACACAACCAGGGGAAAGACTAGCATGAAAATAGAGTAGATATGTGGCATGGAGATTGGGGACACTAAGCCAGGCAGAGGAAGCTGACATAGTGGAGAGAAGGAAGAGACAGAAATGGTGAGAGAGCAGAATAAAAAGTGGTTAAAATCTTGGAGGCTTGCAGGGTGATGGGGTCTGAGGTGGCTGCAGTTTACAGAAGAAATGGGTTTGGGGAAAAGGGATTTGATTAGGTGTTTTTGTAAGCAAAAATTGAATTACCTTTAATGTTCCTTTGAAGTCTGAATTAAATATTGGATTTCCTTTTTAATTATTTGAGAGCTGGATTTTGCTCCCTCGACTTCTTTTCCATGCATGGACTGTACAATGTGGTGGTTGCATTTCATTTTTTGGTTTCAGATGAATAGGCAAGTACAGAATAAGTCTTTTTCTAAGAATTCAAATATAGAGAGTTTGGCATTTGAATTTTTCAATTTCAACTTACCTGTATTACTGAGCTCTAACATTTGGTAGTCAGTTTTAGATAATAATTGAAGTAAAACAGGAAATATTGAGATTAGGATTCTAAGAGTGACTGGTATTTCCATCATGTCTATTTAATGAGAAGTACCAAGTAAAGAAATACCTAGATGGAAATTCAGAGCTTTGGGAGGAACATTCCTGCTTCCAGGCCACCAGGGTGTCATTTAGTAAATTGCTTCTCCAGCACTCTGACTGGAGTTGCCAAATTTCTATGAATTTAGGATTCAAATCAGAAGAAGAATCCAATCTATTTCAATTATTAGCCTAAATGGTGTGTCTGGCTGAGTCCTTGTGACGAGTGGGTTCATTTATGCTGAATGCCACCTATAAAAATCGGTCTTGGTTCACTGCCTGTGTCTGCAGGTCCAATCTCTAATGTGTGGAAGTCTTCCAATCTTGTTTTCAATCTGAAAATCAACTACTGTGATTTTTTTAAGTAGTAGTGCCTTTCCTGAGACAGAAATACGGATGTGTCCATGAAGATGGTGTGAAATACGTATGTGTTGCGTTGAAGAGCCTTTTGCCCTTCATCTCTCTCTCTTCCTTAGACATAAAGACTCCACATTCCTCACATTACTCTTTTTTTTTTTTTTTTTTTTTTTTTTTTTTTTTTTTTTTTTGCTTATAACCAGTTTTAGCCACTGATAAATGTAATTAAATGTTGCTGGAGCAGTAACACATTTTGATATTTTCATCAGAATTGCCTCAATCTGAATTAGTTTATCAAAATAGCTTGCATAAGTCAGAGTCCTCAGGAAATGAGGGGGCGAAGTGTCTGAGAAAGAGGAGGTGAGCAGAAGGGCCAATGGAACAGGAGAGAGAGGGAATTAGAATCAGGGAAAGAATGGCTGTGGGGAGTTAGTGAGGGGGCAGTGTGAGAAAAAGGAGCTTTTTCAAAACCCGATCTGAGATCAATCTTTTCCTAAACAAGTGAGTAGAAAAGAATCCAGCATATATATGTATCTCTAGCATATATATATGTGAAATATATATATATATTCCACATTATGTGAAATATATATATATATTCCACATTATGTGAAATATATATATATTCCACATTATGTGAAATATATATATATATTTCACATTATGTGAAGATTTTCTTTATTACACAACTACAAAGAGTTTTAGTCCAAATGTTTCTGTTGATGATAATTAGGTTGTTTCCAGATAATAACAAAGTAGAAACCAAAAAAAAAGAGAGAAATCCTTGGATTGCATCCTTACTACATGTAGAGATGGATTTTGAAGAATTCATTTCAGTAATTCTTCACATTTATAAAACATATCTGAAACTAGTTTCTGATCGTTTAGTAGAAAGAATGATAAAACAAAACATTTATTATCTGTTTTATTCATTCAGGGTTCATTTTATTCATATAGAAATGCAATATTAAGCTCTGATGTTCCTATTGAAAATAGAATCTTAGAATGCATGGGAAGAAGACCCTAAGCATTTTATTTAATTTGATGTGAAATCCATATGCTGTCACTTACAGACATCAAGTCTAAGAACCTGGTGGGTATAAAATGTGCTCCGCATGGTCCTATTTAGAAAGACGCCTCAAATGGGAGTTTTCACAAGTTCCACAAAACACATTTTCACACCAAATTTGATACAGACATGTATTTCGAAATCCCCCTATTGACATTTGAATATAGAATGGAACAGTTTCCCTTGAGTTTGCAAGTGTGTTTCAAGTATAGGTAGGGGAAAGTACAAGCTGTGTAAACATCTGCCACTTGAAACTGCATTGTGGCATTTAGACTTTCAAAGAGATTGTGTTAAAAAATCTATTTTTCCTTAATGTAGATCCAATGGAGTTTTATATATACAAAACAGAGTCTCTGATGGTTTCTGTCATTAATTTCCAAATTAAAAATGACTTCAGCCACGCATATACTCCTGCTTTCTCTGCCATCAGTCACATCGTACACGTATTTTAACTTGTATGTGTTAAAATGTGCGGGCAGTCTCGGTGGCTCCGGGATTTTCGGTTGAGTGCTGGAGTAGTGGAGGAGAGCCCAGCCTGGCGCATGTGTTCATGTGCACACTTGGGAGCACACACTGACACGTCTTCACTGATCCGGAGAGATTGGTATGGACATTTCTTATGCAAACCACACTCAGGCATTACCTAAACATGTTATATGGTTTAGATTGTGTGAGAAAGTACTAATTTAAGTTTTTGGGTTTTATCTTGAGAAAAGGTTACATATTCTAAATTCACACAAAGTCACTATGTCGGGTAGTGGCAGCCCTGGGTGAATTAGGGCACATTTTACTCTCTTTATACATTTCTGTTTTACTTGTTTTGTTTTTAAAGTATTTTAATTTTGTATTTTCTATATTAAAAGGCAAGAAATTTATGTAAGTAAAGTTCCTTAATATTGCTAGACGTTTAATACATTTTTCTGGAAATACTGAAATAAGGCTTCTCTAGGAGCTGCAATAGAAGCCTGTTTTGTGGAAAAATGAGCTCGTTTGAACAATGTGCATGTGAATTTTAGATTAACACAGATTGCACATGTAAGCAATACCCTGATGTGAGGTTCTAAAAGATGTGGACATGATTACACTGTTCCATTGATACCAGATTTTGACATAAACCATTCAGAGTTGAGTGTACATGTGGATGCAAAGCATGTGATCGCGTCATGCAAGGGCAGGTGCCTGTGAAATCACAAAGCTCTCTAAGGCATACTGGAGGAGAGGTACATCTGTTGCACTGCCTAAGGTTTCTCCAATTACATCTTGATTAAATAGTCAGTCATTCAGCAAGTATTAATTTAGCATTCATCGGATATCTGGGGAAGAAGAACTTGCTGGCCTTGATCCAGATCTTTTGCCTGGGCTCACACTGTGCATTTCCTAGCGTTGTCAGTAACCGCATTTCCCTCAAGATGGCCAGATGAGCATGCTGTCCAGCCAGCCAGCAGCTGTCTTACCGACAGCACAGTCATCTCTAGTTTCAGCGCTAGGCCCAAGCCACAGGAATATCAAACGAAGGAATCCATATTCAGTATGGCACGTAAATGAATTATTGGGATGTTTTCATGCTGCAGCAATTAAGGATTTCAATCTATTGTGAACCTGTTCATTTGCTTTGGGAATTCAAATTTCCAAAAAATTTGGACAGTTTAGTTTCTATCTACAATCTGATGTAAAGGTTTGTGATTTTAACTGCATCATATAAATGTGTGTATATTATTGTACTAAAGTTACATATAACAGAAAAAATGAAAAAAGTCAGATATGTCATTTCTACAAGATGAGAACAGTTAATAATTTAACGTGTATCCTTCCAGACTTTCTCCCATGCAGATTTATAAGAAATGAATTTTCTAAACACGAGGTTATGATATACATACCGATCCGTAACTTGTTTTCGTACTTAACAAAATACGATTGACATGGCTTGGTTCTTTGTCCTTACTCAAATCTCATCTCCGTCCCCACGTGTTGAGGTAGGACCTGCAATTCTCACACGTAGAGGGAGAGAGGTGATTGGATCATGGGGGCAGTTTCCCCCACGCTGTTCTCGTGACAGTGAGTGATTTCTCACGAGATCTGACAGTTTTATAAGAGTCTGGCGTTTCCCCTCCTTGTGCTTTTCTCTCGTGTGCCATGTGAAGAACCTTGCTTCCTCTTTGCCTTCCACCATGATTGTAAGTTTCCTCTAGCCTCCCTAGACATGCAGAACTGTGAGTCAACTAAACTTCCTTCCTTTATATTAGGTTGGTGCAAATGTAATTGTGGTTTTGGCCATTAAAAGTAATGGCAATTACATTTGCACCAGCCTAATAAATTACCCAGCATCGGGACTAATACAATGATGAATGTCATAACAATTAATGTAATCTTTACAATCATCTTCTCACCTGTGTAATATATCTGTGTTTGTCTTTTAAATATCGTTAATACTTACATTCCCTGAAAACGAAAGTTTACTTTTTAACAGAAATCAGTTGTACTCAGACTTTGCTAGTTGTTGGTAATTCATAATCTTGCTTCATATATTAATACAAACTGCTAAGTTTTGTTTGTCACATTGTTCCTGAGGCTACGCTCTTATATAATCTCTGAGAGAGATGAAAAGTTCTAAAATTCTACTTTATATGGTAAGGAGAATCCATATAACTTTCATTTTAAAATGTTTATGTGCATTTTTTTAAAGTTCTGCAATGCAGACCTGCCTTTTCTTTCTGACTTTCACAAACTTGATTTTATGAGCATACAGGAGCTGTGTTTACCGCTCAAGTGGGCATATTCTCTCTCCATAGTCCCAGGCTCAGAGACCACTCCTCTCATGTCCAAAGTAGTGCAGGCCCCGGGAACCCTGCAGCTCTTTTTGACCGGATCGCTTGTGTTGAGACTTGGTGCGCAGCAGGCTCAGGTTGCCTGGGCTTATAGTTTCTTTTTAATCAATAGTTGGCATAACTGTAAATAGCCATTCTTTTGCCTTCTAATAAGACCCATTTATGTTAAATGGGAATGCCATTTCACTTTCCGAAAGCAGTAGCATTGTTCCCCAAGGCACTTTGTGTTAGAGGATTGAGTAGAGAGAGAGAAAACACTTCTTTTTCTTTGATCCTGTGGAGCTGTTCATATTAAGAGAGTAGACATTCACATTATGGAATTTACCTTTGCTTGTACTAGGATTGGCAAAAACCTTACGTAAATAGGCAGGTTTCCTGAATCTAACCTCTGAATCTTCAGATAAACGACTACTCCATGTCTTACTGCTGTTAAAAAGCAATCAGTCGTTCAGTGCTGTACGGTGTGGCTCAGAGTCCACCAACTGATTTTCTTTCGGGTCTAGAGGTTCCTAGCAGGTTTCCAATGACCTGCAGTAATTATTTGCTGGCCAGTGTGGTGACACAGATATACACACACACACATACATATTATGTTAAACATATATTTAATAATTAAAGCCACACCTTTAGTACTTTAGGTATTATACTAGATACCTTGCATTTATGATCTGATTTAACCCCATAATCTGCAATAAATTCATATTACACTAGGGAAAAAAAATCCAAATTTCATGTCAGACCCTACAAAACCCTATATGATCTGGACCCTGCCTGCCTCAATCAACTAAATTCCTATCACTTTTCTATTTGCAATATCCAGTAGTGGTCCACTTATTCTCTGTGTTTGCTATGTTTCAGGCAATGCTTCACACTTTGTATCTATTGACTCAGGTAATTTGTAATCTTCACACTAGCCTATGAATTAGTACTATCATGAGTCCTGTGTTACACCTGAGAAAATTGAGGCACAGAGAGGTCCTCTAAAGAATAAATTGTGGCCAGGTATGGTGGCTCACGCCTGTAATCCCAGCAGTTTGGTAGGCTGAGGCAGGTGGATCACTTGAGGTCAGGAGTTCAAGACCAGCCTAGCCAACATGGTGAAACCCGGTCTCTACTAAAAAAACAAAAATTAGCTGAGCATGGTGGCACGTGCCTGTAGTCCCAGCTACTTAGGAGGCTGGGGCAGGAGAATCACTTGAACTTGGGAGGCAGAGGTTGCAGTGAGCCAAGATCGTGCCACTGCACTCCAGCCTGGGTGACAGAATGAGACTCCATCTCAAAAAAAAAAAAAAAAAGAAAAAGAAAAAGAAAAAGAAAAAAAATTTGTGAGACCAGGATTCCAATGTGGGCAGATGGGCTTTGAAAAATGAATTCTTAACTGTAACACCATATAACATGGTGTTACTCCTCAGTAGCATTCTTAAAAAATTACAAAAGTAGGTGATCTCAGGGGTCTCTAGGCTTAAAGTGGTAAATGCATGTGAAGCACTTAAGTGCCGCTTGGATGCAGCTGATTGGCATAGAAGTGCTTGTCCTTCCAGTGGCTGAGTGAATGCTGTCATTGAAAAGGAAGGGAGGACATGATTTCCATTTTTTTCCTTCCTGGTTGACCATTCCTCCATTCACAGTCCATTTCATATTTGAACATTAAGATGAATGACTGCCTAAACAACATGTAATAATGTTGGAAGATTTTTTTTCTCTTACCATCCCCCAGATACCTAGTCTCAAATAATTATTACTATAGGTTCATTATTCAATTACTATTCAGGCTGCCTAGTGCTAGATTTATGCAGTAGGCAAGCTGAGTGAACATTTGGAACACTAACAAAGCAAGGCTCTTGTAAGAAAATAAGAAAACCAAAACAAAAATAAATAAAATTTTAAAAATTATTTAGAAATAAGTTAATTTCAAGTGGTACATTAAATAAGTCACCATTGTAGACAAATTCAAACCTTGTTGAACATCCATACACTTATTTATGGGTGTGTGTGTGTGTGTACAAATGCGATACTATAGCTTCTTCAGTGGTTATAGTCTCTAAAACTTTAATCCTTCCTTTGCCTGTAGGCTGCACCTCAATTAGAGAGGTTCAGCGAAGAGCAAATGTAAGAAGGACTCACTGTGAAGAATTAGCACCTGGAAGTTGTGGTCATGTCCCTGATGCAATAAGATTTTGTCAACAAATGTATCTGTTTCAGGATGCCATAAGAGAAGGCGATGTTTGATATTTTATGAAACTCTCCCCAAAGGGAACATTATTATGACCATATATATGACTTACAACTTGCTTCATCACATTCCTCAAATATATTGCTTATATTAACATTGAACTTAGTTAAAATAATATAACAGGAGTGTCTAAATTTAAATGAGTTTAAGATTGTGGTTAGAAAAAATGTATTAAGTTAAAGACATTTGGAAAGTCTTTTCATGAGAGAAAAGCATTTATTAAATTTTCCAAGAACATCTATTTTATACAGAATGGGATGTGATAATAGAATTCATCTACCTTTATTATTAATGAGCTAGACTTGGAACTATGGCTGGTTTGGAGTAATATAGTTTGGGAAGCCAAATAAACCAATATCATTTTCTTCAGTACCTTGTCTGAGAATCCCACTGTCAGGTTCACATTAACGAGGCCATTCCAGAGGCCTAGAATGTTAAAAAATTTCAATATTTTTGCGTATGACCTTGATATATGCTCATTTTATAAAACCCTGCAAAATAGAGAAAAACATCTAGGGTTTTCAAAAAATTAGTCCCCCAACTAGGTAAATTCTGTCCTGTGGTAAATTATTTACACACAGATTATTATTTTACAAAACTTGCCTCATGCATAGTATATGCCCATTTATTTATTTATTGAACATCTTTTCATGACACTAAATATTCTTCTTTATACCATTTTATAGGCTACCGAGTATGCTGTTGAGTGTGCTTCATATTTATTCAGCGTAGCACATATTATTGGACATTTGTTTTCTAAATCTTTTCTATTATAAACATGCTTAAAAAAAGCATTCTTACAAAAAAACCTCTAAAGACCTTCATGTTTATTTCCTAGCAATGAATTAACTAGATAAAAATTACGTACATTTTTAAGGTTTTTGACCCCAACTGCTAAATTATCCACCACAACATGTTGCCATATTCTCTGATATGTTTTATTTTTCTCTTTTTATGTCCACAAAGAACACGGCTTTGGAGAAACGGCACAAAACTTAGGCTGGAATATAAATTAGAGGGAATGTAGAGAAATTAAAGGCTTACTAGTAGCATTGGTCTGCTTAGTATGAGCTGTAATAACAACAAGTATTATCATTCTTCACATAAAGAACTATGCTAAATGATTCACATGTACTGTCCAATTTGATTCTCAAATCAACCTTTTGAGACATAATTATTCCCTTTGTAAGTTTAAGGTATTGAGGCATAGATAGGCTAATTGACTTACCCCATGTCAATCAACAATGCTTTACCAAAATTTGAACTCAGTTATGCTTGATTGGAAAGTATATGCTCTTAACCAATATGCACATTACTCTCTTGGCTATTTTGGATGGACTTGGACAGTGTATACAGGTTTTGGTACTGGGTGCCAATTGGAATGGGAATTGTAAAAGGGGGCAAATGGGACACCAGAGTATTGGGGCCATCAACAACATAGGTTTTTAAAGGGCAGAGCTGATCTCATGTAAGTTAGATTAAATCTTCAAAACCTGAATTCATAATCCATCAGCTAAATTGTTTACTACTTAATTTTGTTGCAATGAGTATTGTGCCCTACATAGAATGTGCAAACTTTAAAGTCAGTAAGAAAATAGCAGGCTGTGTGCTGATGCTGAGTTTGCATCTCTATGTAAAGGGAATATTGTGAAGGCCAAGAAGACACTTAGGCTTGTATATATGTTCTGTAATTCTTCTCTGAAGTGATGATTAGAATGTGTCATTTAACAACAGGAGTGTTGGTTCCAGCTGGTTTGATAGCCACGGATTATCGGCAATGGAAATGGATTCTTATCATAGTTGGTCTCATTATTAAGGCTCGCAAGTCTGTGAGCCTGGGAATGCCTCCGCAGTTTTCTCTATCTTTCTCCACTCCTCTATCCCTATTCTTCTGTCTGCAAATGATACATTAGATTCTTTAGAGAATGGCTTATGCTATTTAGCCTGAATTACAAATCTTGAGTTTGGATATAGTAAAATAAATATCCAGCTGTTAGCACACACCTTTATAAAAGTCCTTTAGATTGAGTGGAAACTTGGCATGTAACAAACCTTTTACCTAAAGAACACATAATGTCTCCTTATCTGCTGCTACTTGATATGCTTTAAAAATATAAACCAGACACAGAAAATGAAAAATTGCATGACTCAAATTGTTTTTGGACACACCACCCACAGAAGATAATCTGTGTTCATTTAGTTTTAAACTTGTTAAATTGTAGCTTGACGTGTAGTATTAGTTTTGAGCATCTGCCAGTCATTAAGTGCCTTAGTGGCCAACATTTTACAAGTCTTTGAAACTAGCCTTTTAGTTCACTAATTATTTGATATCAGTTGATGGCAGCAGCCTTAGAAAGAAAAATATTTGTAACTATGAGAGAGTTTAATATGCACAGTTTATCTCAGTGACTAAAGTTGTGTGTGGACAAAACATGCTTTAAGGCAAATTGGTCTTTCCATGTGTTCTTTGTCCTCTGGTGTTTTCATAAATATGTTGATTTTGGTTGATTCTTTGAAAATGGGTTGTATATATGTTTCACGAAGTTAAAAGATTACCTGCCATGTGACTACCTTAACACTCCCGGCCTCATTTTTCCCTCTAGCAGGGACTGTGTGTCTAGGTTCTCCTATACGGAATATCACCCTTTTCAGGATTAGTAGCCTTTGTTGACCTAAAGGAAGAGAGTTTGTAATGTGCTTGAGGGCTCTAGTCTTTTACATAATGACAGGAGGAGAGCATGTTAGCTCTTATTCAGTGGCTACTCAGTCCAGATAGCCATATGTGATTGGAAGCTTTTCCAGGACCGGCCTTATGAAGAGGATCTCTAGACAGTAAAACTTACAAAAATAAGATGTTTTGTTCTCTTGTTCTCCTCTTAATCTTTATACTTAGTACTATGCCTATATCCACATATATTTGTGGATGAAGAAATTATAATTTATATAAACTGATATAATTATACTGTTATCTTTTTTATTTTTCTAATTAATTATACATGTCCTAGTAGCAGAAAATTCAATTATCCTTATTTTAATGCCTTCCCCTGAACTTCTAATTTGTTTAAGAACTTCAGAAGCATATTTAATTGGGGGAGGGTGGGTAAAATTTTGCTTTTAAAAATCAGTATGATAAGAACAAGAGCAATTAGAGTGCTAGCTTTCTGAAGACATATAGTGTATATAGAGTGGCCCTACAGAATCCTGGGAACAATGGCTTCTCTCGGCTGATGCTCAGGACACAGTGGTGCCTCACTCCGGGGACCAGCACTATACCTCCTTTTGGTGCATATTTTAAGTTCAGCCGTTTCTCCCTCAACAAAACCAGTTCCAGGGTGTCTGGGTCTATATGAATTTCACCGTCAGCCACCCTAATAAGCCATCACATTGCCTAAGGAGCCCAGGTCTCCAAACTCAATTCCCAATGTCCTCTTAATAGATATGGCTTCTTGCATCTTTGGTGCCTTTTCTGCCTGAGAATTCCTATCACTCCATTCTGGTCCACATGCTGGTTTCCTTCCCTTAGGTCTCTGAGATCAGTCCTTCCTCTCCCTGGAGACTTTGGGTTTCTTCTGCAAGTTAAGTCAGTGTCGTCTCTGTGTCTGTCTTGCATATCATTCTTCTCCTCATAATGGAAAGTCTAATATACTCCCAAAAGACACATTTTTGGTACAGTGAAAATGTCTGATAGTTTTAAAGTGCCCATTCAATAAGAAGGCAGTTTAATCTCTCCTTTTACAGTTGCCTTGTTATAGAATGAATAGGACATTTAAGCAGTATCTTGTGGGAAGATGTATTTCTTGGTAAAATTGTACTAAAAGTACAGAATACAATAGCTCTCATATATTATAAAGACATATTTGGGACATGTTCTTTTCTTTAAACCAAGTCTCACCATTTCTTTAATATCTATATCCAATCCCAGTCACCTTCGCTGTGTCTCTGATTCCTTATTAGCACTATTCTCTCTCAGTTACCATTTTTCTCCTTCATAGTCAAGTACCATATTCCCTTTCAGTTGGTCCTGGGCATGAACAATCTCATATTAATAGCTGCCCTCTTTTGCTTATTTCTGCAACTAGACCTTAAATTTCCAAAGGCAGAACCCATGTCCACAACTGGAACCCATGTAGGCAGTTGGCTTTTAAGAACCCAAGGGCAAGGGCTTCCACGTACTTCTTTTCTGCTTATGTTCTTATCACCATTTCCTGCACCTAGGAATAGCAGAATACGTACTAGCTAATAGTAATTATGATATGATAGTGTTCATGCATTTATGCTGGAAGAGAGTATTTGTGAGCAGTATTGTGTTGAAAAGCCTGTGGGAAGATTCATAGAGAGCTTCTCCAGGATTGATAGGGAATTGTGAAAACTTTCATACTGACCTAGGTGCCACCTCTTTCTTTCAAAGACGCAGATGAGAACCTTAGCCCTGTGTATCCTGCTTTCTGAATAGTGCTTATACTTAGTAAGTGGGTGACTGAAAATAGCCATTCTCACATGGGAGTTTGTTCGAAATTAAAAAATTATAAACCTCACCCAGACCTTGTGAATTACTCTCTGAATTTATCAAGATCCCAGGTGTTTCTTAGGCACTCTAAAGTTGGAGAAGCAGGAATCTAAATATCCTCCACACATCCCTTTAATCACTTTGGCCACTTATATATAGTGACTGGTCCCCCTTTCTGCCTGATACTTGGGAATAGATTTGTAAGTGTCTATCTTCAAGAGAAATGCTTTCTTCATGTCTTTGAAACACAGCATGTTCATTTTTCTAAGGATTCATCAGGATAAAAGAAGAAAAATGAAATGTGATATAGCTTAATAATATGAAAAAAATTATGGCTGTGTGTACTGTGTTTCATTCTAGAATTCAATATGTTACTCAAAAGGTCAAAGAATATATCTAATACATTCCCTAATGTTCTGAAGAATGATAATGAAACTGGCCAGAAACCAATTCGAATACTCTCTGGTGCCATTTAATCAAAGAAACTTAGATAAGGTAACACTTTGTGTAATGGGTAGGCAAAACATTTCATATTAAAAATTCGTTATCTGCTCAAACTAACCAAATGTCTTCATTCATGCTTTTTAGCATCAATTTAACTTTTTTCTTTCTATAGTAATATCCCTCAAAAAGGTAAAACGGGGTTTCTTTTAACCTCAACTTAAGAAGAACTAATTTTGAAGTTGTTTTCTAAAGAATCTTCCTCTTGGTATGGCTTACAAAGAAGTAACATTATTCAATCCCATTGAGAAAAATTTCCCCTAAACAAGTTGATATATTATAGAAGATGCTTTCTAATAGAAATCTGAACTTATAATTAAAAAAAGATTATCTTGAAATGGTGTTATCATCCCTACCAATATTTAAACTTCTTACTATGGTGTGAAACCTATGACACCTGTCTTCTGGAATATTGTACTTTAACACAAAATTGTGGTGTATATATAAACTGAAGGATTGTGTCCCTTGAAGTGCTGTCACTTACCCCCTTTGAAAAAAGAACACCACGTAAGAAATTCACTTAGGTGAGTTACTTTTCTAATGTCAGAACATGTAGTTCAAAAACAGTGTTTTAAAAGTAGATCTTAACCCTAAAGGATTCCACTTTATTTTCAGTAGATAAAGTTGAAAATCAATCTGGAACAACAGTTTGTTTGTGATGTGATGTAGACATATCATCATGAAATTTGGACAAATTCCCACTCTTAATGTTCTTAGTGGCCAGATAATTTCATAAGAATACACTGGATGATAGCTATTAATATATCATTATCTGATTTCCCAGTGAAGTGGTAGATTATGAACATGAGTTTTATATGGCTGTCTAAGTAAAGACTTGGGAAGTTGTAATGAAGCCTAACATTGGCTCTGAAATAATAAAATAATTGAGTTCCTTAAAAATTTATTTATTCACTTGTTAATGTGTTCATACTACATGTCTGGCATGAACATACATAGGATGAAAACATGAATGAATAAGTAAGTCATTCTGTAATTCTATAATTAGAATCTATTGGGTCAAATTGTAATACTGCATCTTTTTTTCAAGGTTTTTGTGATAAAACACCCCAAATGGCTTCCTAGGAATATTGTTTCAATGAACTCTCCTACCATCAGAATACCAGGGACCCTTAAACTCTCAGTATTATCAATAGGGAGGTTGTGCAAAATAAAAAAATCCTAACTCGTTACTGCTTGCATTTCAGTTAAGTATTTTAAATTTATTTTCTCTCTTTATATTTCTTTTTTTGCATGCAGCATTTATTCTTGCCCTGTGGCATATTTTGGAGTATTAGCATATATTACTATAATAATTATTTTCATTTGTTATAATTGTTTTTCCCAATTTATTACAACTTTTTTTTACCAATTTTAATTTGTTTATAATTTTAATAACAGAATTGTTAATATTTGTATGTTATGATATGTATGATATTTGATAAAACTTATATCTTAATTTGTTCAACCAATATTTTAGTTTCTTGTTTTCTCACCCTGTAATAAAGATAACTGCAAGCCAGGTATGTGCCACCAGACACAACCTGAATACTGTCCGCTAGGTCAAATCCCTTTTTCCTATCTTTGCCTAAAAGACAGGCAAATATACCCAGCACCAATTCCCAATTGCCAGCGGGCATATTTTCTCACCGTGACTCTGCTGAGCTGAGAGGGCATCTTCCCTTACCCTGCTACCTGACCCTCTGAGCTCATGGACTGGGTGAAGAATGGCTGTTTTGGCCTTTGCCTGCCTCTCCACAGTGTTGTTTGGAAGACACCCTCGGGTGGAGTGAGCATAGCCTTGCATTTTTTGTTATCTATACTTCCTTATTGTTATATTTGGGAATTTTAGTCTGTTAGTAAATATGTATAGGAGACACGGAAAATATTGTTTTTTTTTTTACTACCTTAAAAATATTGTGTATTCTATTGATGGTCATTTGCCATTTTTATGGTTTATTCAGATCTTAGGTTTCTGAGAAAATTTGGAAAAACACTAAAATTCTCTGTGCTTTTCCTAAGGCTAGCAGACATTAGGCAAATTGTCTAATAAATAATATTCACTATAATAGTGGTATGTTTAGTGAAGAAGAAATGTAGGGTATTGTGAGGATTGAATAGAAGGATTGATTCTGAGTTTAACTCTCATAATTGCTCATTGTATTGACTTGTGACCTATAATACAGGTACAATATGCCTTTATGAGCACCTAGAAGTGTAGGCATCCTTATTTCATGTAATTATCATAATGATTTTGATATTGAGAGTTTTGCTGGAATTGGGATTTAAATGTTTGATTCCAATTAACTACTTATTTTTTCTTATTTTACTTGTCCTCATCATTTGTGCAAATCTTGTTATTTCCAAACTATCTTCTAATAATTTGCTCAAATGAAACCAATAAAAAATGAAAGAAATGATAGATAGCCTACTAAAAGAAAGGCCCCCTGGAAAGAGAATATAGAACTTTTAAAACTATTGACTAACATAACCTATATGAATCAATATCTTTAATGATGTAGGAAGATGATTACATAGAAATTTTAGCTGGTATTTAAAGTAGCTAGAATTGCAAGAGCATTATCTCTCATTTCTGTTCACTTTAATCATGTATTCTCATATTTTTGCTATTCTACTCTTTTAAAAATAGTTTTAGGGAAAAGGTGGCTCTGGCCAGGGTGGCTCAGCTTCTTGGGGCTATGTAGCTGAGCTCGTCAGCTTGGGGTTCCTTCTTTGCTGCCCTTGCTGCGTGCTAGCACAGACTTACCCCAGCAAGACAGAACTGTTCACTCCCCTGGAAAAAGGGCTGAAGCCAGGGAGCCAAGTGGTCTTTTTCAGTGGGTTCCACCCCCACAGAGCCCAGCAAACTAAGATCCACTGGCTTGAAATTTTCACTGTGAGCACAGCAGTTTGAAGTCGACCTGGGATGCTCCAGCTTGGTGAGGGGAGGGGCATCCACCATTACTGAGGCTTGAGTAGGCGGTTTTCCCCTCACAGTGTAATCAAAGGCACCATGAAGTGTGGACTGGGTGGAGCCCACCGCAGCTCCACAAAGCCACTGTAGCTAGACTGCCTCTCTAGATTCCTCCTCTCTGGGCAGGCTATCTCTGAAAGGAAGGCAGCAGCCCCATTTAGGGGCTTATAGATAAAACTCCTATCTCCCTGGGACAGAGGACCTGGGGGAAGGGGCAACTGTGGGTGTAACTTCAGCGGACTTTTAAACATTCCTGCCTGCCAGCTCTGAAGAGAGCAGCAGATCTCCCAGCACAGCGCCCGAGCTCTGCTAAGGGACAGACTGCCTCCTTGAGTGGGTCTCTGACCCCCGTGCCGCCTGACTGAGAGACACTTCCCAGCAGGGGTCAACAGACACCTCATACAGGAGAGCTATGGCTGGCATCTGGCAGGTGCCCCTCTGGGATGAAGCTTCCAGAGGAAGGAGCAGGCAGCAATCTTTGCTGTTCTGCAGCCTCCACTGGTGATACCCAGGCAAACAGGGTTTGGAGCAGACGTCCAGCAAACTCCAGCAGACCTGCAGCAGATGGGCCTGACTGTTAGAAGGAAAACTAAGAAACAGAAAGGAATAGCATCAATATCAACTAAAAGGATGTCCATAGAGAAACCCCATCCAAAGGTCACCAACACCAAAGACCAAAGGTAGATAAATGCATGAAGATGAGGAGAAACCAGCACAAAAAGGCTGAAAATTCCAGAAACCAGAATGCCTCTTCTTCTCCAAAGGATCACAACTCCTCACCAGCAATGGAACAAAACTGGATGGAGAATGAGTTTGACGAACTGACAGAAGTAGGCATCAGAAGGTGGGTAATAACAAACTCCTCTGAGCTAAAGGAGGATGTTCTAACCCAATGCAAGGAAGCTAAGAACTTGATTAAAAAAAAAAAATTACAGGAACTGCTAACTAGAATAACCAGTTTAGAGAAGAACATAAATGACCTGATGGAGCTGAAAAACACAGCACGAGAACTTCGTGAAGCATACACAATTATCAATAGCTGATCTGATCAAGCAGAAGAAAGGATGTCAGAGATTGAGGATCAACTTAATGAAACAAAGCAGGAAGACAAGATTAGAGAAAAATGAATGAAAAGGAACAAATATGAGAAATATGAGACTATGTGGAAAGACCAAACTTACAATTGATTGGTGTACCTGAAAGTGACTGGGAGAATGGAACCAAGCTGGAAAACACACTTCAGAATATTATCCAGGAGAACTTCCCTAATCTAGCAAGACAGGCCAACATTCAAATTCAAGAAATACAGAGAACACTACTAAGATACTCCATGAGAAGAGCAACCCCAAGACACATAATTGTCAGATTCAGCAAGGTTGAAATGAAGGAAAAAATGTTAAGGGCAGCCAGAGAGAAAGGTCATGTAACCCACAAATGGCAGCCCATCAGACCAACAGTGGATCTCATGCAGAAACCATACAAGCCAGAAGAGAGTGGGGGCCAATCTTCAACATTCTTAAAGAAAAGAATTTTCAACCCAGAATTTCATATCCAGCCAAACTAAGCTTCATAAGTGAAGGAGAAATAAAATAATTTACAGACAAGCCAATGCTGAGGGATTTTGTCACCACCAGGCCTGCCTTACAAGAGCTCCTGAAGGAAGCACTAAATATGGAAAGGAGAAACTGGTACCAGCCACTGCAAAAGCAAACCATAATGTAAAGACCATTGACACTAAGAAGAAACTGCATCAACTAATGTCCAAAATAACCAAACAGCATCATGATGACAGGATCAGTTTCACACGTAACAATATTAACCTTAAATGTAAATAGGCTAAATGCCCCAGTTAAGAGAAACAAACTGGCAAATTGGATAAAAAGTTAAGATCCATCAGTGTGCTATATTCAGGAGACCCACTAAATGTGCAAAGACACACAAAGTCTCAAAATAAAGGGATGGAGGAATATTTACCAAGCAAATGGAAAGCAAAAAAAAAGCAGGTATTCCAGTCCTAGTCTCTGATAAAACAGACTTGAAACCAACAAAGATCAAAAAAGTTAAAGAAGGTCATTACATAATGGTAAAGGGGTCAACGTAACAAGAAGAGCTAACTATCCTAAATGTATATGCACCCAATACAGGAGCACCCAGATTCATAAAGCAAGTTCTTAGAGACCTACAAAGAGACTTAGACTCCCACACAATAAAAGTGAGAGAGTTTAACACCCCACTGTCAATATTAGGCAGATCAATGAGTTGGAAATTAACAGGGACTTGAACTCAGCTCTGGACCAAGCAGACCTAATACACATCTACAGAACTCTCCACCCCAAATCAACAGAATATACATTCTTCTCAGCCCACATAGCTTTTGTTCTAAAATGGACCACATAATTGGAAGTAAAACACTCCTCAGCAAATGTAAAAGAATGGAAATCAAACAGTCTCTCAGACCACAGTGCAATCAAATTAGAACTCAGGATTAAGAAACTCACTCAAAACCGCACAACTACATGGAAACTGAACAACCTGCTCCTGAATGACTACTGGGTAAATAATGAAATTAAAGCAGAAATAACTACGTTCTTTGAAACCAATGAGAACAAAGACACGATGTACCAGAATCTGTGGGATACAGCTAAAGCAGTGTTTAGAGGGAAATTTATAGCACTACATGCCCACGTGAGAAAGCGGGAAAGATCTAAAATCGACACCCTAACATCACAATTAAAAGAACTAGAGAAGCAAGAGCAAACAAATTCAAAAGCTAGCAGAAGACAAGAAATAACTAAGATCAGAACAGAATTCCAGGAGATAGAGACACAAAATACCCTTCAAAAATCAATGAATCCAGGAGCTGGTTTTTCGAAAAGATTAACAAAATAGGTAGACCACTAGCTAGGCTATTAAAGAAGAAAAGAGAGAAGAATCAAATGATAAAGGGGATATCACCACTGATCCCACAGAAATACAAACTACCATCAGAGAATACTATAAACACCTCTATGCAAATAAACTAGAAAATCTAGAATAAATGGATAAATTCTGGGACATATACATTCTCCCAAGACTAAACCAGGAAGAGGTCAAATTCCTGACTAGACCAATAACAAGTTCTGAAATTGAGGCAGTAATTAATAACCTACCAACCAACACAAAACCCAGATCCAGACGATTCACAGCCAAATTCTACCAGAGGTACAAACAGGAGGTAGTACCATTCCTTCTAAAACTATTTCAAACAATAGAAAAAGAAGGATTCCTCCATAACTCATTTTATGAGGCCAGCATCATCCCAATACCAAAAGCTGGCAAAGACACAACAAAAAATGAAAATTTCAGGCCAATATCCCTGATGAACATCAATGTGAAATCCTCAATAACATACTCACAAACAGAATCCAGCAGCACATCAAAAAACTTATCCACCATGATGAAGTCAGCTTCATCCTGGGATGGAAGCTGATTCAGCATATGCAAATCAATAAACATAATCTGTCACATAAACAGAATCAATGACAAAAACCACATGATTATCTCAGTGGATGCAGAAAAGGTCTTCGGTAAAATTCAGCACCTCTTCATGCTAAAAACTCTCAATAAACTAGGTATTGATGGAACATAGCTCAAAATAATAAGAGATATTTATGACAAACCCACAGCCAATATCATTCTGAATGGGCAAAAGCTGGAAGCATTCTCTTTGAAAACCGGCACAAGACAACGATGCCCTCTCTCACCACTCCTATTCTACATAGTATTGGAAGTTCTGGCAAGGGCAATCAGGCAAGAGAAATAAATAAAACGTATTCAAATAGGAAGAGAGGAAGTCAAATTGTCTCTGTTTGCAGATGATATGATTGTATATTTAGAAAACTCCATTGTCTCAGCCACAAAACTCCTTAAGCTAATAAGCAACTTTAGCAAAGTCTCAGGATACAAAATCAATGTGTAAAAATCGCATGCATTCCTAATACACCAATAATAGACAAACAGAGAGCCAAATCATGAGTGAACTTCCATTCATAATTGCTTCAAAGAGAATAAACTATCTAGGAATACAACTTACAAGGGTTGTAAAAGACCTCTTCAGGGAGAACTACAAAACACTGCTCGAGGAAACAAGAGAAGACACAAATGGAAAAACATTCCATGCTTATGGATAGAAAAAAATCAATATTGTGAAAATGGCCATACTTCCCAAAGTAATTTATAGATTCAATGCTATTCCCATCAAGCTACCATTGACTTTCTTCACAGAATTAGAAACAATTACTTTAAATTTCCTATAGAACCAAAAAAGAGCCTGTATAGCCAAGACAATCCTAAGCAAAAAGAACAAAGCTGGAGGCATCATGCTACCTGACTTCAAACTAGACTACAAGCCTACAGTAACCAAAACAGCATGGTATTGGTACCAAAAGAGATATATAGACCAATGGTACAGAACAGAGGCCTCAGAAATAATGCCACACATCTACAACCATCTGATCTTTGACAAACCTGATAAAAACAAGCAATGAGGAAAGGATTCCTTATTTAATAAATGGTGCTGGGAAAACTGGCTAGCCATATGCAGAAAACTGAAACTGGACCCCTTCCTTACACATTATACAAAAATTAACTCAAGATGGATTAAAGATTAAAGGTAAGACCGAAAACCATAAAAACCCTAGAAGAAAACCTAGGCAATACCATTAATGAGACAGGCATGTGCAAAGACTTCATGACTAAGACACCAAAAGCAAAGGCAACAAAAGCCAAAATTGACAAATGGGATCTAGTTAAACTAAAGAGCTTCTGCATAGCAAAAGAAATTACCATCAGAGTGAACAGGAGAGCTGCAGAATGTGAAAAAATTTTGCAATCTATCCATCTGACAAAGTGCTAATATCCAGAATCTACAAAAAACTTAAACAAGTTTACAAGAAAAAATCAAACAACCCAATCAAAAAGTGGGTGAAGGATATGAACAGACACTTCTCAAAAGAAGACATTTATGCAGCTGACAAACATATGAAAAAAAGCTCATCATCACTGGTCATTAGAGAAATGCAAACCAAACCACAATGAGAGACCATCTCATGCCATTTAGAATGGCGATCATTAAAAAGTCAGGAATCAACAGTTGCTGGAGAGGATGTGGAGAAATAAGAACGCTTTTACACTGTTGGTGGAGTGTAAATTAGTTCAACCATTGTGGAAGACAGTGTGGCAATTCCTCGAGGATCTAGAACCAGAAATACCATTTGACCCAGCAATCCCATTACTGGGTATATGCCCAAAGGATTATAAATCGTTCTACTATAAAGACACATGCTTGTAGCACTATTTACAATAGCAGAGACTTGGAACCAACCCAAATGCCCGTCAATGACAGACTGAATAAAGAAAACGTGGCACATAGCAATACTATGCAGCCATAAAAAAGGATGAGTTCATTTCCTTTGCAGGGACATGGATGAAGCTGCAAACCATCATTCTCAGCAAACTAACACAGAAACAGAAAACCAAACACTGCAAGTTCTCATTCGTAAGTGAGAGTTGAACAATGAGAACACATGGACACAGGGAGGGGAATCTCACACACTGGGGCCTGTTGGGTGGTGGAGGGCAATGGGAGGGATAGCATTAGGACAAATACCTAATGTAGATGACAGGTTGATGGGTGCAGCGAACCACCATGGCACATATATACCCATGTAACAAACCTGCACATTCTGTACAGCTATCCCAGAACTTATAATATATATATATTCTATTATAATTATATATATATATATAAAAGTATTAGTATTTTAGGTATCAAATACTTGTGATTAGTGACTTTTGCTGCCATTTCAGGGTGTAGTGTTAGGCCTGTTTATTTTATATTGCTTTACATCACCAGTTTTGTCTGGTTGTAGTGACCATTTTAAGGACATAATGCTTTATTACTTGAACCTAAGTATAAAATACTACAACATTTTTCATGCTATTATAATAATGTTGTTTCATTAGCCCCAAACGCTATGTTTTAATATAAATAATATGCACTCAGTAAATATTATGAGTGATCAAACATTTTTTTCATTTCTTCTTTTTGCAACTTAAAAGATATTCCAATAAATATAGGCTAAAGTAAGTGCAATAGATATTTAATGTTTCAATTATAGGAAAAAATTGATGCCACACTTTATTATTTGCTGAATTGTAGAATAGATGTGAAAATAGTCATACGGATTCAAAACTAGATTTTGGACCATAAATAAAGCCGGAGAATAAAGTGGCAATGACACAAAACTGTAGGAGGTGTTTAGAAGTTTGCAACAAAAACTGGCATTGGGATTGATCATTTTTAACATTTGTCATTTATTAACGATTCAAAAAGAATCTGTGAATAGCACATTGGGGAACTTTGCAGCCTGTGCTAAACTGGGAGTTTTTGCAAGCAATAGAAACTAAGAAAAATAATTGACCTCTAAAAACATTGTAAATATAGGAAATTTTATTATCACTACAAAGACGTATATGTTGGAAATAATTAAAATACAGCATTTATATTAACAAAATCCTGAAGAATGATCATCAAATTGTTGGGAGACAGTGTTCATGCTGAAGGCTTAGTGGCTTTCATGGTTATCTTATCTCTGTGCTTCTGTTTGCCTTCCTTGCCATCGAGGTAACATGGATGCTTGTCTTAAACTGCCCCCTTCATTATCATCTATTTGCCAACATTTTTTCTTAACAACCAGCTAATCAGAAAAGAGAGAAGACTAGCATGTTAAAACATATTTGTCTTTAGACATCTATAGCATAATGGTTAAGGGTACAAACTCTGGAGCCAGATTGTATGTTTAATTTATGGCTCCACCACTAGTTGTATAATCTTGGCCAGGTTCCTTAATCTCTCTGTGCCTCAGTTTTCTCATATTTACAATGAGTTACTAATAATGTCCATGAGACTATTGTGAAGATATGTGAAGTGCTTGCTGCATAGAAGTGCTATGTGTATTAACTACCAATACTGCTATTATTAATTTCATCACTTTATGTTTGCCTTATGAATAGAGATTGAGCAAATAACATTTGTGAAGTGTTCATGTCTAAAGAGAAATTATGTAACCAATACTGATTTTTCAGGTTTTGAAACTCCTCTTAGTAAGAGGTTCTCTTGGGTACCAAGCCTCCTCAGTGATATTTTAAATTATATGCACATAGGTACCTCTGGTTGAATTAAAATTCATTTTAATATTGTGATTTTTAAACATCTAGCTCTCTTTCTCAATTAGATAAAAACTATTACTGAACTGGGTATTGGGTCATGCTATCAGGATAAGTGTCAGAGAGTTTATATCAAGCTGAGACCTGGCAGAGTGTAATTTAATGTGCCATCAGTCAGGCAGGCAGATGCCCTGACACCATGGATGTTAGGTTGGGTAGATAGGCAGTTTCCTTTCCTGATGAACATTAGAAGGAAAAAAATGACTTGTCCTATTAAGTTATCACTGACCATAATGCAGTATGGTCAATACTAAGTGAAACTGTGGGGTAAAATCAAAGCTAAATAATATAGAATGTGTATATACCTTTATCTGATACAGATGCAATCCATATCAGATAACAGCATAAAAATGATAAAGATGAATGAAATCTAACATTACTTATATAGATCTGAATTTTTATGTTATTATTATAAATAAAACTAAAGCTTCCATGAAGTGAATAAAATAATGCCAATGGAAAGAAACGTGTTTCTTCTCCTCGTGATACTAATGAGAAAAAGCTCCATTCATTCCGCCATCTAGGATCCAAAAGATACCAATAAACTAGTCCAGAGATGTACAACTAAAGTTGATTAAAGAAATAGATGATGGATTTATACACAGGGTGAATATAAACCAAGAATAAAACAAATGTGGCCTGATTATCAAGAACAATTTCCTGACTGTAAGAACAATTTGGTGCTGGGAATCATCTTAAGTAAATTGGGACAGCTCTGGGATATAGTCCAATTAAAAGAATAGGGATTTTCTCTCTCCACCCAAACAGAACACAGATAAAGCAATAATTGAAAATGAGTCCAAGTGAGTCCTCAGGTCTGTCTGTCTCTCTCTCTCTCTCTCTCTCTCTCTTTCTCTCCCCCCCTCACTCCCCCCTTGCCTACCTCCCTCTAGATAAACGGAAGAATAGTAACAAACATTTACCTTACATTTGAAAAAATGAGTGTCCTTTTCCCATTTTTGGCTTATGTTTATTGTAATTTAGCAAACGAAGTTAAAAAAAAAATACAATAGGAGATTAAGTGCCTGGCCCAATGTGTTATGGCAGAAGTTTAGTTTTTATTTATTTTATTCTACAGATGCTACCTCACCCTTCAAAAGTTGGGGATAAATTGATACTTATGTAAATTGCATGAAATTATAGAAATCAGGATAAAAAGAAAAATGTTCAATATTTCATTCAAGCCTATTTTTTTCAAAAATGTTTTCAGAATAGTATCCTTCCTTGCAAATAAATCATTACTTTCTTCTTTTAGTAATACAACTGTCCAATTTTAGCTGGGCTACTCAGCCTTCTTCAGTTGTAGGTACAGCCATATGGTTCTGTTTCTGCCTTCCTTCTACTCCCTTCTTGCTAATTGGAATCAGGTCAAGATGGTGAGGGCAGAAGTAACCATGGGGCACCATGAGTTGGAAACCATATTTTGAAGATGACAGAGCAACAAGACAGAGGGAAGATGATTCCTTGGCACATTTGTGAAGGAGCACTGCGATATTATCTTGCACATTTATTCCACATCAGAGTGAGAAAAAAGCTCTTGTTAATTTGGCATCTCATTTACATTAGCCAAGGTGACATAACATACCTCCTAAAATACGATGAAGTTAGTTGTTTGTTTCCACTGTAAAATGGGGGTAATAATATTACTTACTTAGGGCTGTTGTTAAGACTGGCAACCTAAATAAAAGAGGCTTTCTAAAACAAAATATTTGTTTGAGAATGAGCCTTGCAAAAGGAACATGGTGCAGTAGTAAATTTTGGGTGTATTCAGGGAGGTAAAAGAAGACAAAGGTTTTTAAAAGAAAAATAAGGAGAATTATACAAGTTGTTATTTTTTTTCAAACAATTATCCTTGGCTACAGTGATCAATAGCAAGGGTGTTGTCAGTCCAAGATTGGACAGGCAGTTGTTGGGCAGATGTCCTCCCAGAAATATCTATTTTTGGTAAGGTTGTGGTGACCTTTGTGCAAGTTTGTAGTTTTTGCAGTCTTTAGTGATAGTTCTTATGATCAGGCATTGGTGCATGAGAATTCTCCATTCATGTCCTTCCTTGGCTCCATTTGGTCAAGGTTTGACACAAGTGTCTTTAACTCTGACACCTTTCACAAGATTAATTCCTCAGCATCATCTCCAATACATATCATTCACTTAACAAATGCTGTTATATGTTTAATTTTTAAAATAATAAAAGCTTTTGTATCAGCACCTTCAATCTCTCCCTCTCCGTCTGTCTCTCTCGACTATCTGTGCATTTACTCTGCTAAGTCTTAACTTTGAGTCAGTCTAACAATCTGCTTTCATGACACCCACAATGTGGGAGAAATCATGTCATTATGTAGACTGGGCAACCAGAAATCTATGGCCCACATCCTTAGCTGAGTCTTTGGAGCAGCTGAGCTCTGTGTCAGTATATTTACATATCTCTGAGTCTCCGTTCCATTTCACTTAGGAGTGTTCTAAAGTATGAGCACTGTGCTTAAGCCACTTATATCTGTGCCATGTCTTCCAGCAGTGAGCATTAAATATGTTATAATAAATCCCTTAATTTCCCACCCCCTTTCCCAAACCTAGGTAAATCTGCATTCATTTGAACCTTTTTTCTTCTCATTTCATAAGAAGTGTCCTCCTTTCTGTTTTGATCACTTCCTGATTTTGGCAGGACCTGGCTTCTTCAATGATTCTATTGTTACACTGTATTTTTGTTTTTTTCTCTTGTATGCATCTTTCACATAGAAAAGCCTAAACTCAAATCTTTCTCCACTTGTGAGAGTTCTTGTCTCTTATTTTATTTCCTCCCCTCTACCTGTCACCTTATCTCTCTCCTCTCTGGAATCAAGCTGTCTTTACTTCATTGCTCCCAATTCACTCTTTAATCCCCTGCTCTCTGGTTTCTGCTCTCATATCTCCAATGACACTCTTCTAGCAGAGACACACTAATAGACAAATATAATGATTCTTTTAAGACCTGCAAGCTGCATAAAACTTGAAAAAGTTTTTTAAAATGTCTCTCCTTTTAATAACCAAAGCACCAATTACTTTTTTTTTTTTTGCTTGGATTCCTTTAGATTCATTTCAGAGTCTTTCACCTCTCCCTTCTCTTCTGCTTTTAAAATACTGATATTCCTTTGGTTTCTGTCACTTGTTTGCTTGCTTCTATTCTAATGCCATATGTTGTCTTTTACTGTTATCCACTACGATTCCTTAAACATCATTTTTACCTTCATGCTTCCTTGTGACAGATTGATTTACTGAACACCACTGTAAACCCTATTTAAGAGGCTCTATTTAGAGGCTGGAAAGCTAAAAACAGTGTTACCCAGAGACCACTGCAATCCTTGGCATTTGCTCTAGCTCCTGTGAAACAAATGCACCATGTGAGAGAGTTGTAAGGTAGTTGTGAGATAAATGTTTACATAGATCTTCTGTCAAGCAGAGTTGCTATGCCTTTGATAGAAGCCTTGATATTTGATCCCTAACTTCATGGGTGTCAGAAGGCAAGGCAAAGAGCATCTATTTTGAAGTGATGAATTTGATCAGCATTGGCATGTTTCTAAATCTGATAGGTGTGCTGGTAGCTTTCTGATTCTATTGCTTTCTGATATTAGCAGATATAGCAACTTCATTGGTGGGCCAGGCTTTTGGTGTCATTTGGGTTATTGTCTGTGGAAGTTTAGACTATGGGCTCTCCATGTCTGCACTAATTCTGCAGGTGCCCCATAACTCTTAATAGATTTCTTTCTGCTCTTTCTATTTAGAGTGGATTTTGTGATCTACAACTAAGAACCTTGACCAGTTAAACTCCTGCACCCATGTCTGTAGCTCAGTTGTGCCCTGTCCACTCTATATACCTTAATAATATTGCTGACTACTGGTTAACTCATCCTTCCAGACCTGCAATGGTGGCAAATCCAACAGGCTACAAATAAAACTCATTGTCTTTCCCCTACAAAAATATGTCTATTTATGAATTCCCAAATGCTGTTAAATGACACAAATGTCTACATAATAACCCAAGGTATAAACCTAGGGGACATCTCTCTCTCTTGTCCTACTTCCATCTTGTCACTGCCTAGCTAAATCCATCTCATTAATTGCTTTAATATCCAACTCTCCCCCCATCTTCACCGTTTCTTTAATTCAAGCTCTCATCTTTTTTGGCCTGGATTATTGCCATAACTTTTCAAGTTCCCTTTGTGTTAATTCTTGCTATGTTCCCATCTAACCACCTCCGTTTGGACAGTTCCTAAGACACAAGGAAGATGTTAAACTATTGCTTAACAAACTTCTCACTGTCTGAAAAATAGAGTATAAAATCCCTAGTATGGCAAACATCACCCTCCGTGAGGTGGTCCATTACAGTGCCTCCAGGTGAATCTTTCCCTGCCTCTTGATATTTCAAACCGTATCTATTCTGAATTGCTCACAGCTCCCGGAAAACATGAGGCTCTTTGTGTCTCTGTATTTTTCTCCTTTTGCTTTCCCCCTCTCCATCACCCTATCTGAAGTGGAAAATGAAACTTTAAGGCTTTTTTCACATACTGTCAAGTAAATTTTCCTAAAAGACAGGTATGAAGTTTGTATTCCTTCTAATGTTTGCAGGAAAAAAAAAGTCCTTGGAACAAATAGTTACAAGAATTATATTATTTAGCATTTTGGCAAGTTCGAATGACATTTTCAAGGTTACCTGGCATGGAATAGCAGATATGGGTTCTAAATTCAGATTTTCTTATGAAATCACTGTGCTCATCTTTTTTACCAAAACTGAAATAAAAGACAATGGAGTGGGGGAGGGTAGTGGAAAATTAATATTAGAGAAAGGTAATGGCCTTGTGCTTTGCTGGTACAGTAGAGCTTTCCTAAGAGCCTTTCCAGATAACAAATTGAATAATTTTGACCTTCATCTTTGGGGGCACAATAGGCTCTTAAAGAATTTTAATGGTTACTTCTTTGAAAATCTTCAGAACAGACGATTCCCATTTACTACAAATAGAGACCTGTAGCCAATTCCCAATTGAAATGAAGGAACAACTGCCTAAAGTATGTTTTATCTTCAAATTTACTTATAATACCAGATGATATTTTAATTAAAGGATAGATATACAGATGACTACTATCATATTTTCTTTGGCAGACAAGAAGAAATTAGGAGCGAGATAAGTGAAATGATTTGGTCAAGTTTATAAAGGTGTGGTAGACAGTAAAACTGCTCTTCTTCTAGACATTTGTTTTTTGCCTTGATTTTTTTAAAAAAGAAGTGAAATCAACAACTTCACATCAGCCACTGATCAGGTACCAGATGGCAAAAACTTTCAGTCACTACCACCTAGGGCTATATTCAAACCAATGAAAGGCCTGTATCTCATTATAGGTCCCCTGAGCTCTCCATTCTCCCACATGGTACTGTCCCTTTCAAGTAGAAAAGTGACATTATTTTTAAAACTGCCCTTGTTTCAGATAACCAAAAGATTCTAATAATTTAAACAGGTTTGTCCTTTTAGATTTTTGATTTTGCATGACTTTATTAAGTTTACATTGAATTCCACTGCAACAGAAATTTAGCAAAACAAAACCAAATTAAACTAAACTATATATTAACAACCTAAAATATTCACACTCAAGAATTATAGGTTATTGAATAGGGTTTCCAGGTTTAGCAAATAAAAATACAGAACATCCATTTAAATTTGAATTTCAAGTAAACAATTTTAAATATACATATGGTCCAAATATTTAAAGAAATATTCTATGCTAAAAAGTTATTCTTTGTTTATCTGAAATTCAGTTAACAAGAAATCCTGTATTTTATCTGACAGCCCTATGTATGAAGAATAGATAAATTATTCTGTACAACTGAAAACACAAGGACGTCTAAGTTGCTCATGAAAGTGTGTTACGATGTCCACTAAGCCACTTTATACTCTGTGGGAAGCAATCATGTCCTGTAACCGTTATATAATAATATGAAAGTTTATGAAGAATAAAGGGGAAAAGTAGCTACTGTTTTGGCTTGAAAATGGAATTATATTTTGCTAGCATGATAAAAGAATGTAAAAAAATAAAAGGTATTGTGTGTTTTTGCAGTTCCTCTCATAGAAACCAAGAAATCTTTCAGCAATTTCTTTTCTTTTTTTTTTTTCAAATAAAAAAACATGCTGCTCCAAGTTGGAAAACTGTTACGTAAATATGAAGTTCAGCAATGTTGCCTGCTGAATAACTAACCTGGAATCATGGCATGTATAGCTCCATGATTCTCTTCATCAGCTCTGTGACAAAGTGCAACTTGTGTCATGAGTATGGTTCAATGGTGTCTGCAATTAAATGCTAGAACACAGATGAAAGGAAAATATGAACACTTGCCTGGGTACAGATTTCACGTTTAATTTGTTTCTTTTATCCTGTTTCAAGAGCAGTTGAAAGAAATGTGACATCTAATATTTTACATTTCTAATATGTATGCATATGAACTCAAATCACACAGCCACAGTAACAAGGACATTCATGGTAAATACAAACAGTACTTAGGAATCCCTTTTGAGTGTATGTTCTTATCTTGATCCATAGAGATTTATACATCTAACAACCTTTAACACTGATGAATATAAATCTCAGGCACCGAGAAAAGAGCATAAATCCTTGTAATTCAAGATGTATAAGTATCCCTACCTCTAAGGGTTAGTCTTATGAAAACCAGCAAAAGCAATGAAACGGAGATTTCAGAGAGCTGACATTATGCTCTTAACCCAGGATAATTTAATAAGGATGGTAAAGTTTTTGAATTGTAAACTGTTTTCTGATAATAATTGCAATGTGAGTACGGACTTTACATTATGCTATAGCCATAGTAGGTATTTTAACACAGCTGTTGTTTGAAAAGTAAAGCTACTTTATTGTAGTTTCCACCTTTTTTTGAAGTGTTAAAAAGAATAAATCTATCTTGAATATGCTCCCAGCCGTTTTGTGTTCTGAAAATTCAGGACCTTAGAATATCTTCTGTGATGCGACTTTATTCTCAAAAAAACAAGTACTTGGAGCCATGAAATGTCTTCATGAAAGAAAAATATAATAAAAAAGACATTTTTCAGTGAATTGTGTGATGATATTTTATTATGTGGACATCAACTTACTGATTTCCGAATTCATGTTTTAAGCAATAGTATATCTGATTTTGTGATTTTAAAAATTGGAATTTTTGTCTGTGAATTTGTGATAATACTAAATATTTGTTTTGAAAGAGGTTATTTTGTTTCCAGCTTTCTGGAATTCTTTTGGAATGCATCAGTCTTTTGGGTGGTGGGTCGGGGAAGGGAATGGGGGTAACATAGTTGTTGCTTTGTGTCAGAGAGCTGAAGAACCACCAAAGCTGAATCCTCAGTGACATGTGGCTGTGACTGAGAAGATTCAGTGTGGCAGGAGTTTCATGCACACTTCAAAATAATGGAAAACAGTTATTGGGAAAATGTCATGTACTCACAGCTCGCTCTACATGCAGCTTCTAATCTTATTTGTACAAGTACAGGCAAAAATCTACTAACAACAGATATCGTCTCTTTCCCTTTGTTACCATTTAGTATTGATCGCTGTGAGGGAAGGTTGACACGAATCCCAAAATGGGTTTAATTACAAGTATACACCGAAAAGTAATTGGCAGAATAAGTAAGGGGATAGTTAGCGTGTTTCTTTTTACAGAACCACAATATTATACTAGAGCAGCCATAGTAATCAACAAGGAAGAAATTTAAAAATGTGTATATTAGAGTCCCCAGTCCAATTTAAAATTCATTTCTCCTTTCTTTTAGTCAATTCCTACAAAAGCATTCTAATACCATTTCTATTATCTTGCTATGCATGTCACTGCCCACTCAATAAATGCTGAAATAGAAAATTAAAGTAGGATGAGATATAGAAGAAAGAGAGTGAGTAGTATGGTTTCCCCACTAAATAGCATGAGGAAGCTATTCTAGTGTGATATAAGACATATTATAACCACATATATAAACATTTTT